>NC_000008.11:114464222-115714222 GCF_000001405.40 Homo sapiens
TGATATAGTAAAAATTCATTGCCTGGAGAATTTGTTGGTTTGTCTTTACAAATTAGCAAATACTTCTTGTCTGTGAGAAAAGAAATTTCAAAAAGAACATTCTACTTTTGTTGTAGTATAAACAGTGGTACTCTGCTATAGTATAATGAGATGTCATTAAATTAATTTTAGGAAAATTATTGGAAAAGCTTAATTTTTACAAAGGTCGGAAAGATTGTAATGTTACAGTTGTTCTGTTTCATTACGACCCCAAGACTTACAACAAAAATCTTACGAAAGTGTTCCACAGGTGTACTTTAAAATAAAATACTAGTCTTCTTGTCTAAAATTTAAGTGATTTCAATTGTGTGGTATGCAATATGTTCGTAGTAAACAATTCAAGTAGCACAGAAAAGTATTCATGAAAAAAGTAAAATTGCCTGGGTATCCATTTCTGGAGATAAACACAATACTTCACTCTCTCTCTCTCTCTCTCTCTCACACACACACACACACACACACACACATACACGCATACACACGCACACAGAGAACTATGTGTGGATACAGCTTTGTAATTTTGGGACATATTGCCACATTGTTGGGAGGGTATGTTTCAGTGTTTCTTCTGTTTCCTCAGGTAAGGTATTTGGTTCTCCTTCATGAACATAAGCAGAAATACCATTGTTTGGTAACTTGCTTTGCATGCATAGAAGTCTGGAAAAAGGGCAATCATTTTGCTACTATAGATTGCTGCTGAAAGCGTGTCATGAGACACTCTCTCTCTGACACCACTACTCATGGTGTCGGAGAGTAGCTACAAATCCTCGATCACAATGGCTTCCTGAGTTTTTCAGATTAATTTTCATCATGGCAGCATCTAAGAACAATGATCTGTAGAGAAGCAACAGGAGACAAAATCAAGAACCTAGAGAAAGTAATAGCTGAATCGATGAACAGCAAGATCATCAAATCAAGGAGAGAAAGTGGGTCAGACATAAATATGGAGGTCTATGGACTTGAAAGGAAGATGGAACAATACATACACGAGAAACCAGAAGAGTAGAACGTGTCTTAGAGATTTAGAAATATTAGTAATAGAAAATCAAAATTACTTAAGAAAAGAATATGGAACAATTAACTAAAAGTACACCATATTATTTCTGTAAATAGCAGGTTACATGTTCCACTCCAACATTGGGAATTAAGTTTGTGACCCTAGAATTTCATGGGCTATCAATGAGAATTAGAGGGAAGGGAGAATGGAGGCAAATGAAGCAAGAAACAGCAAAACATACTGGAAAATGTTGCATTTTTGTAAGAAGATCCAAAAAATCTAATGAAACACTTTACAGTTACATAAAACATCTTTCTAAATTGTTTTAATTGATTTTTTTAGCAGAAAATGTCAGGCTGTACTTTTCCTGATGCTGAGTGTGAACTTCACTCAATTATAAGCTCAAGTGTCAGAATGAAATTTATTTAGACATAATATTTAAAATTTAAACAAGTAGAATAGTCTATCCATTCAACCATTCATTCACTTATTCATTCAAAATTATTTATTGAGAGCCAGATGATGCTGGGTTCTGCAGACCATTTTAAGGAATTCAGCTTTATCACTGGGTGTGAATTTTGCCATGCAAAGGAAGGAATATAGATTTATTTTTGTCCTTGTTAGGAAACCATGGTAACATTTTCATTCATTCAGTAACATAGTTTGTCAATATTTAAAATAGCTTTCTCAAGTGCATTTGAAAGGAATAAGAAAAGAGAGTAGGTAGTGCAAATGAGTATAAGAACATTTCCATATACCGATAATCGTGATTGTCAAGAGACAATAACAGTTTGCCATGTGGCACTGTGGTTAGGAGTAATTCCAGAGACAGATCATTTGAGCTTAAATCTTGTTTAATTTTATTGTCGTATATACTAGCTATGAGATACAGGGCAATTACTTAACTTCTCTGATCCCCGAATTTCTGATCTCCAAAATTTAGGTAGGAGAAATACTTAACTCATTGGGCTGTTATGAAGTTTAATGGGTTATTATTTTTAAAAAATCTTCAAGTCATTCACTGAAGATACTATTATATAAATTTGTCTTAAATTAATTTTAAATTCTAAAAAAAAAACCACATAAGTGTTATGTAAGAGTAAATTTGCTTGTGTAACTTGAAAAGTTTTTAAAGATGACTCCTCTGTACTGTGGACATTTTACAAGACTCATACTTTGTTTTATTAGAATGATGAAGGAAATACTAGAATTCATCAGCTGCCTGCCTGCCTGTGATATAAATAGCTTTCATAAATGTAATAAGAATAATCTTCATATTATAAATATTTTCCATTGACATAGCATAATTTTTTTATTTAAATATGTTTAGATATGAACATATTTATTATATAGAACAATGCTAACATATATTCAAGTGTAAAAAATAGTAAAATATTATTTTTATTTATGTGTTTGGATGTTAAAATAACCATTGAAATTTATTTTTGTATGTAAAACATAAAAGCATGAAAATATATAAAATATAAAATTATTATACAAATAATATGTTAACTCAAAATGCCACTGTGATGGCAAAAAGAAACTGTGATTTTTTTTCAAAAATTATATGATGAAGATATGATCAACTTACTTCCTTTCTTCCCAGATAATTAAAACCAAAATCAGGATATTATATTTTTTGCTGCCTTTTAGTAGAAACTATTTCTTTATTAAGCAATTCATAAGTCATTATAATTCTCATATTTTTTTGTTATATTTAAATTAAAATTTCTATATCATTGAAATATCAATTAAAATTTCTCAGTTCTTTCATAGGTTAAATTCTTGATTCATTAAAAATGGTTGTAATATAATCAGAAGGATTTTTTTTTTTATTTTAGATATAGAAGTACTTTCCTTAAAGTTAAAGATTAAAATAAAGTTAGTTTCTGGAAATCTGTATCTCCATATACTGAAATTGTTCATAAAGTCATTCTTGTAAATTGATGTTATTCTTAACAAAATTTTACATGCATAGGCGGGCTTTCTCTATTCATATTTATTTTCATTATATAACCAGATAGACAGATAGATAGATAGACAGACAGACAGACAGATAGTTTGATAGATAGATAATTCCTTATTCTGAATGACATTCACTTACGGCTTTTTACTTATGTGGAAATTTAGCCAAAATGTATCTCAGAGAGTGATGACATTCATAGACTCTTTGGACTACCTTGAGATAACTCTAGATTATCAACTAATTCTGCTAATGGGGTCCTTGAGATCTAAAATGATACAGGTAATGTGCTCAGTAATGAGATTCCTATGAAAATCAGTCTATGTTGAGTAGAGAACAACTTGACTTTTCAAGATCACTCTAAGATATCTAGTCCTAGAAATACATTTCATTAGATGAAATATTAACAGTTTCTGAGGTAGTTCTAATAAATATAGTCCTGCTTTTGTTATGGCTGAATAACTCCTAACAAATTAGCCCTCTCGCAGGTGATAACTACAAACTCTGGACAAATTCTTAAAAAGAGTAATTTTAGGGAATTATATGATGAACAAGAGGAAACAAATTTTGGAGGTAGTGTCAATGCTTTAAAAAAAATATTGGATGATAAGAGAAACATGTTTTATGGTGTCTGCTATGAGAACAGGCCACAGTCTGGTATACAGCAAAACAATGAAAAGCATACTAATTGAAAATAAAAATGTATTAGATGAATTAAATATTAGCATATATATCACATGAGAGATGCCTTATGAACTCTAGCGTCGTTCTGAAGAAATCAAATTAAACTCAGTGAAGAAAGAGGATAAAATACAAATGTAAAAGAGAAAAAAAGAGAATGAGGTTGGATAGAACTTTTACTTCAGGATAAGCTGCAGAGACATGGCGCTTCTACTAGAAAAAAGCTATGGGTGAATTAAAAATTGACAGGGAAGAACTTTCCCTTGGTAGATCTCTTACTAGAACCTCCTATCTCTTGGAAGATACCATTAAGATACTTTATGCTGCTTTTGGATACAAAATATGAGGAACCCAAGATTAAAAAGAAAAATAAAATCTAGTCAAACAAAAGCAAGCAAATGGGAAAAAAAAATGTAAAAACAATGGAGCGCTGTTAGGAGGAAATGTTTCAGAAAATAAAGGGAGAACAAATTATTTAAAAAGTCCATGTAACTAAAGTGGATATATAACAGCTATAATGAGAAAAATATATACAACGTCCTGCATAAACATAGACACAAAAACCCGTTGATGATATTAACAAATTATAAATATATAATTATAAAATATATATGACAATATGTAAGAAGTAGGATACAGTCTCAAACATTTCAATGGCAAGTAAACTATCCTACAATTAACATGACTCAATAGAAAAAGATCGAATTATATTTCTCTCAGATCAGGAATATGACAAGTATGATCTCTCAGATCAGGAATATGACAAGTATGATCACTCTTATCAATTCTACTAAAGCCTCGTACTGGAGAGACCATCCAGTGCAAAAAGGCTAGAAAAACAAATGAAAGTCATAAACATATGAAAGAAATAAAATTATCTCTATATGCATATTGCTTACATAGAACAAAATCTGAAAGAAATGTCTAATAGAACTAATAAGTGAATTTAACACAGTCCAGAAAAAGTTAATATATAGAAATCAATTGTATTTTTATTTTACTAAAAGATGTAAAATTTAAAAAATTTATTGAGAATAGCACCTAAAAAACAAACAAAAATGGTAGCCCAGAAACACATTTTATAAAAGATGTGGAACATCTCTACTTGAAGTGAAAATTATAAAATATTGCTGACAAAATTTTTAAAAGATCTAAATAAATAGATACACCATTATTGGCAGATTTAATATTGTGAAGATAACAATCCTTTCCAAATTGAATTACAGAGTCATAGCAATGAAAATCCAAAGTCAAGCTGACTCTTCTCCAAGATCATTTTGTAAGTGTGCAGAGTTTTATTTTATTTATTTATTTATTTATTTATTTATTTATTTATTTATTTATTGAGACAGAGTCTTGCTCTTGTCACCCAGGCTGGAGTGCACTGGCCCAATCTTGGCTCACTGCAAACTCCACCTCCCAGGTTCAAGTGATTCTCCTGCCTCAGCCTCCTGATTAGCTGGGACTACAGGTGCGTACTACCATGCCCGGCTAATTTTTTGTAGTTTTAGTAGAGATGGGGTTTCACCATGTTGCCCAGGCTGGTCTCAAACTCCTGACCTCAGGCGATCCACCCGCCTCGGCTTCCCAAAGTGCTGGGATTACAGGTGTGAGCCACCGCGCCTGGCCAAGTTTTATTTTAAATTATTATTTGGCTTTTATTTTTACTAAACTTTAAAATTCTATCATGGGTTTAGATGTACAGAAAAGCTGCAAGAATAGTACAGAAAGTTTGCATATGTTCATTAACCAGTGTCCCTATTGTTAACACCTACATTAGCATGGCACATTTGTCACCACTAATGGACCAACAATGATAATATTAATTAAAATCTAGAATTTATTTATATATCCCTAGTTTGCTCTAATGTCTGTTCTAGAATTTTATCTAGGATACCACATTTCATTTAATTATTTTTCTATCAGGATTATCTAGACTATGTGAGTTTCTCTCAGGCTTTTCTTGTTTCCAGTGGCCTTAATCTGAGGATTACTCGTCACATCTTCTGCAGAATGCTATTTGATTTAAGTTCTGCTGATGTTTAGACTGCAGTTGTGGTCTTTCGAGAGAAAGATCATACAGGTAAAGTGTCATTTGCCCTCATCATATCAAGAGTACATGGTAACATGATGTATCACTGATAATGCTAAACTCGATCAGCTGTCTGAAGTACTGTCAGGCATTCATGCTATAAAGTGACTTGTTTTCCCACGTATTTGGAAGGAAGTCACTGTGTACAGTAATAGTTAGGGGGTGGTATTTACTCCACATCCTTCAGAATTGAGTATCTACAAGTTATTTGGAAATCTGTGCACTAAGATTTGTTTATTCTCTCACATTTATTTTTTTCATTCAATTGTTTATATAATTATGAACTCATGAATATTTATTTCATACTTGGATTATAATCCAATGTTAATTGAGTTATCTTGTTGCTCCAATTACTTCATCTATAGTCATTGAAATTGTTTTCAATTGGTTCTTGCATCACCTTGAATTATCCACATAATTTTGATTTTATTTATATTCATACATAATGCTCCAGGGTCATCTCGTGTATTTCTTACCTAAGCTCAAGGATTAGTCATTTCTTCAAGGAGTTCTGGTCCGCCTATGTAGAATAACATTGAAAACAGAGGTATAAGTTCTGAGTGTGCTGCATGCGCTTATTATTACTGGATTGTCATTGTTTATAAGGCTCTCTAAGCAGACAGAGCTAGAAAATATATGTGTGTATATTATTATGGGTATGTACACCCATCTATAATTATACATATTTATTATTATACAAATAAATGTACATATGTAAGTTATATATATGTGAACATACATTTATACCAATTTCTCCCACCCCAATCCAGTATGATGTGATTTATTCTAACCTCCCTTTTTCCTTATTTGTAACCTCCTACTCCAACAGAGAGAAATCTGTCTCCTACCATCTGCCATCCTTTTATATATTTGTTCAATTTTAGTATAAATTTGTAGTGGCTTTAGAATGATACTCCATATCCATTGAAATGGCCTTTAACAACTCAAGTACGGCGCTATACATTGTTACTATTCCTTTAGTCTTATATTCTCCATTGTCAAATTGATTTTAAAATTTACACTGACATTCACAGGACCTAGAACAGAAATAGTAAAACAAGAATAATAACATTGGAGAATTTACTACTTGCTTTAATGTCTTAATTAAAAGTTACAATAATCAACCTACTGTGATATGGTAGAAGGGTAGAATAATGGATTAATAGAATACAGTAGGTTACCTAGAAGTGGACCTATAAAAGTTTCTTGCAAAAATGTCAAGGCAATTAAAGGAGAAAAAGAAAATATTTGTCACAAATGGGTATGAAATAACTGGATAACTGTGTGCGAAGGGCAAGGAGAAGTAGACATAGTTACCTTATGCCTTATAAAAATTAAACGAAATAATTTCCTAAACATACACTGAAAACACAGAAGAAACTTTTTGTAACCTTAGTATAGTCTTCTTTTAAAGATTACTTACTAGAAAAGCAAATAAAAATAAATAAATTAGACTTTGTCCAAATTTATAATCTTTATTGTGTAAAAATTTTATTTAAAAATATTTTTTAAGTAACTAGGGTAATATGATGGATATGAGGGTGAGGTGATGGCTATGTTAATTATCTTGATTGTGGAAGTCATTTCAAAATGTATATGTATATCAAAACATCACATTTATGCCTTAAATTTATATATTTTTGTTTTTCATTTATATCTCAATAAAGCTGGAAAGGAAGATTAAAAAAATCCAAAGTCTAATAAAAATGGGCAAAAATACTGAACAGACATTTTAAAAAAATGACCTATAATCATATAAAATGATGTTCAATATTGTTAATCTTCAAGAAAATAAAAATTAAAACCCCGTCCCAAAATATGTTGGAAAAAGTCCTTGAAGGGAAATCTGAAAAGCAAGAAAAATAGGGAACAAAGGTAACGGGTTAATAGATTGCTGTAACCCCCTACAGAAGTAGGATGAACAACCACCCAAAATTTGCTTTAGATGTCAAGACTGATGATCACACACACACACACACACATGCTCACAAACACAATCTCACCACCTCTTGAGGGTATGCAAAAGTTCAGAACAGGCTTCGCATGATGGTCCAAAAGTTTCTTAAGAAAGAAAGGACTAAAAATTGACTTGGAATTTTTATTATGTTTAGGATGAAGGGTGATGGTGATAGTTTCTGTGTACAGGTGGGGGCTTGTAGGTTTCAATCTCTTGCTCAGTGCCAACGGAAGGAACACCTGAGAATTCTTTTCATTTTTCCCCTGGTATGTGGCATAGGGCAGGAGGAAGGAGTGAGGATTAAAACCTGTTAGAACTCAGACATCAAACTACAAAGTCAGACTCTTATTGCAGAATCAATATGTCAAATTACACAATTAAATCATAAAATGATATCAAAATATATAATTTATGAAATAATACAAATCTCAGATACGAACATCAGTCACAAATAATTTTGGAGCCCAGTCAATGTGATAAAGCCTTCCAAGGTCCATGTAAATACTATTTGAAAAGTCTTTGTTAAATATGTAGAAAGCTGTCTATTGTAGCTTTTCTAGAAATGAAATAGAATGTGTTACTTCAAAGTAAAGTAGGAAAAAGAGAAGAAAGAAGTAAGCATCCAAAGGTTTATCAATCAAAATAGTACAAATAATACATTAATGGATTAAAAATATGCCATGAAAATAAAAGGTACAAACTGATTTGTGTGTCATAAGTATTAATATATAAAAATCAATAAATCTAAATACACTAAAACACACAGAAAAGGTATTTAACTAGTTAATAAGAAATGAATCTATGATGTTTACAAGAGACAAACAAATGAATAGTTGAATGAATATGAATAAATAAATACTCATATGAATGAACAAATAAGAAACATGAAAAAACTTTGATTAAAAAATATAATGGCCAATAGAAGAACCATAAACGTATAGATCTAAACCTAAAAATACTTGATTCAAGAGAACAAAGATAATTACATAATAAGAGAAGTTTCAATTGACTAGAAAATAATAATAATTAAATAATTACATGTAATTAAAACATAGCCTCAAAATACACAAAACAAATATTGATGTCATTGCAAGAAAAGAGTTGGCCAGGCGTGGTGGCTCACAGCTGTAATTCCAGCACTTTGGGAGGCTGAGGTGGGTGGTTCACCTGAGGTTGGAGACTAGCCTGGGCAACATGGTGAAATCCCACCTCTACTAAAAATACAAAAATTTGCTGGATGTGGTGGCATGTGTCTGTAGTCCCAGCTACTCAGGAGGAGGCTGAGGCAGGAGAATTTCTTGAGCCTGGGGAGCGGAGGCTGCAGTAAGCAGAGGTTGCACCACTGCACTCCAGCCTGGGCAACAGAGTGAGAGTCTATCTCACAAAAAAAAAAAAAAAAAAAAAAAGAGTTAACAATGGGGGTTTTGAAAAACCCTTTACTATCAGAAATTTTTGTAGCTCAAGCTGAAAAAGATTTGTTTCTTTTTTGAGCATTGTAGCTCGAGCTGACGAATATTCAGAAAGCAAATAGAAACATTTAGACAGTCAATTAACAAATATGATTTAATTGCTGTGTAACACTTCTGCCAAAATTTGGATAATTCATATCGATTTCTAGCATCCATTAAATGTTTACAAAATCGACCATGTATTAAGACATGGTCTTAATATTAAGCTAGAAAACCAACAAATTTTAAGTCATCTTTATCAAGGAGCATATTTTCTATCATAGTTAAATTAAGAAATAAATAATTAGAGTTAAACATTATAAACTCCTGAAATTAAAAATCTTATATACTATATAGTTGTTGTTCACCCCAACTCAATACTGGTAAAAGAGAGTAAAATGATGCTTGTAGGGATACGTACTGCCCTATGCACAATATTAGAGAAGAATAAAAGGAAGAATAATAATTATTCCCTTTTCCTATTTTATTTTGAATCTTTTTCATTTATAGAAAAGTTATACTATACAACTTTTGTATATATTTAACAAATTCTTTTCAGAGTGTTTACATGGACCTTGGAAGACTTGAACTCTGTTTACTCCAAAATTATTTGTGACTGATGTTCACATCACAGCTGAGCTTTATATCATTTCATAAATTTACATATTTTGATATTATTTTATACTTTAATTGTGTAATTTGCCATATTGATTCTGCAAAAAGAGCCTGACTTTGTAGTTGTTGAGTGCTAACAGATTTTAATCCTCACCCCTCCCTCCTGCCCTATGCCCCACACCTGGGGCAAAGAAGAAATCATCATAGAAATTAAAAATACTTAGAAATATATCATGGCAAAAACAGCAAAAATCAACACTGGTGATAAAGAGTAAAACAATGCTTGGACGCAAATGTATTGACCCATACACAATATTAGAGAAGAAGAATGGCTGAAAAATAATGAGCTAAACACCCAATTTAGGAGTGACTCCAAGAATAACTATAAATTTAGAAAAGGAGTACCTTTTAAAAAGTATCAAGCATAAGAATACATATCAATGGAATAGAAAATAGAGAATAACAGAATCGACAAGGTAAAATATTAGTTGGTTTGCAAAAGAAAAAATACCAAACTGTTTTTGGATTAATCATTGTAAAACTAAGATCTATTATAAAATAGAAAAAGATACACTTAAAATTATTTAATGGTTAAAAATAACAAAAAGAATGGAAAGCACCAAAGAAAAAATTATTTACTTAAGAAATTCTTTATTGTTAATTATAACATAGGTGCATGATAGCAAAAATAAGTACTCATCACAAAAATTTTGAATGTGCAACTATGCACCATTCATTACAAACATTCCTGTAGAGAAATGGGTCTTAAGGAGCAGAATTTTCAGTGGCCTCTCTTTATTTCTTCCAGGATTCTCAACTAGGTACTCTGAAACTGCCATCCACTGATTAGCACTAGCATTTGATGATGGCAATGCTCTTCTTCACATCACAGTGTCTAATTTCTTGATGGAACAATACATTTCAGAATCTCGAAAACATAAGTTGAAAAGCATGCTTTGTATAATTTTGTAACGTGGAGTGACAAAATGAGAGGGAAATCCTATCAGGGATACCAAAGAAAATGTTATATCATTTTATAATTCTTAAAATCTATTTATAAAAATTCATCTCTGCTGTGAGAAGCTCCACTGGGTACATAATCTCACTGTTGTGCTAGGAAGGGTTTATGCTGCCAATAAAAGGCTCTTCGGAGCCTTTTAGAGCAATTGACTCTTTTATTACCTCACTTTTGAGGTGGGAGGGGGTGGGAAGGAAAGAAATTTCCTCAGACTAATAAGCCAAAACTTCTAAAAAGTGAGGATGGCAGAATACATACAAATACAATCACGGTCTAATCATTTACATCGATTTGCATTATTGGTCATATGCATTTATCACTCAATACAGAAAAGCATGACATCTTTGTCATCCCAGAATCCCAGTTTAGGTTTCATGATTACCACATTTTTTTTTTTACTGACTAAATTTTTTATTTTTCTCTGATTATAAAAGTAAACTATATTAATTATGAAAATATGTAACAATAAAAAGCCCAAAGATTAAAAAGTCATGTTTAACCCAAATCAAATATAATTTCTAGTAATATTTTGGTGTGTATCAGTCTTTTGTTTCCATGTGTGTGTTTGTGTGAGTGTGTGTATTAGTATGCAGGTATGTGCACACAAGCAACAAATACTTAGATAGCCGCTTATTGATTATAAAAAATGCATGTGCAAAGAAGAAAATAAGTTTCTTCTGAAGATTTATATAGGTTTAATTGTGTTTAATTGTGTTGAGATTAAAATAATATAGAAAACAATTCAATTTACTTTTATGATAAAAATGCCTGAAATATACAGATACTACAGTCATTCTATCAATCAAATAGATCATTGTTTATATCATTTTACTTCTATCTTTGTCTTTGAATCATTTTTCTGCATTGAAGAAAACAATGTCACATGTACATAAATTATATCTGCACCTACAGACCTGTAGACAATAATTTTTGTTTCACATACATATAACTTCACTTAAGTCTCATAACATTTGTTGAAGTTCCTGGGCTATAATTATCTTAAAGCATGAGTCATACTTCTGTCTTCATTGATTAATTCCTCCCTAAGTAGTAAAAAGACCTTCTGAACACTATTAAGCTAAATTTGTAATTTTCCTCCCCTCAAAAAGCAGGCACATTGTGGGTGTCCCTCCTCTGTGCTTTCAACGCACCTTATGCAATCCTTCATTTTAGCAGTTATCTCATTGTGCTGTAATTATTTGTTTGCATTTGTCTCTCCCATTAAATAATGATCTCATTAAAGTAGTGCCTATTTCTTATTCAACCCTAAATTCCTGACACCTAGCAGAATTCTTGGCATACAGTAAACTTAAGTAAATAATTGTTAAATGAATGAAACAACCAAATCTCTTAAATCATTCTCACCAGCTTTAATGGCACAATTTGTATAGCAATGTTGACAGAATGGCTGCTTTCATTAAGTTAGCTGTAGAGATTTCACAGCTGCTATCCATACATTGAATCATTCTTAGGTTTAGCAGTCTCCATATACATTTACAAATCATTAAATAATTTGTCATGGTATTTGTGAGCTGCTCCGGTGAATAATAGATTTACAATTACTAATTGAATTCCGATTTGGTCTGTGTCAACACTGAAATAAATAGGACCATAATGTTTCCTCAGCACACTTAGAAAGTCACACTGGATCTTCTGTGTTGGGATTTAGAAAACATTTAAAGAACTATAATGGAATAAGATGGTCAATATTATCTGGAAAATTTCTATGCTTTGTAAAGGCAAATGACTGGTTTTTAGATATTTTAAAACATATTAATTAATTAACTAATTACATTTACATAAGCCCTAGCAAGAGGGGAACTGTCCATCCTCTTGGTTGGAACCTGAGATCCAGCAAGACCTACTACCATGGGTTAAAATGCACCAGAGTCCTAAATAAACTTGAAAGACAGTTTCGGCAACAAGGACTGAAATTCTTGGGCAAGTTCTAGTGCAAAATATTTGAATAGGTATTTCTCAAATGGAGATATACAAATGACAAATAGGTCTATGAAAAAGTGCTCAACATCATTAATCATCAGAGAAATGCAAGTCACAGCTGCAATGTGATATCATCTCACCCCAGTTAAAATAGCTCTTATCTAAAATACAGGCAATAACAAATACTAGTGAGGATGTGAAGAAAGGGTGACCCTCATACACTATTGGTGGAAATGCAAATTGGCACAGCCACTATGAAGAACAGTTTGGCGGGTCCTCAAAAATCTAAAAATAGACCTACCAGCAATCAATGGTAGGTAGCAATAGATGATCCAGCAATCCCTCTGCTAGGTATATACCCAAAAGAAAGGAAACCAGTATATCAAAGAGGTATCTGTACTCTTATGTTTGTTGTAGCATTGTTTATATTAGCTGATATTTGAAAGCAACCTAAGTGTCCATCAACAGATGAAGGGGAAAAACGTGGTACATATACACTATGGAGTAATACCCAACCATAAAAGAGAACCAGATCCAGTCGTTTGCAAAAACATGGATGGAACTGGAGATCATTATGTTAAGTAAAATAAGCCAGGCACAGAAAGACAGCTTTATGTTCTCATTCATGCAGGGTGTTAAAAATTAAAACAACTGAACTCATGGAGATAGAGAGTAAAATCATGGTTACCAGAGTCTGGGGATGGCAGTGGAGGGGAAAATTGGGGAGGATTAATGGGTATCAAAATATAGTTAGATACAATGAGTAAGATCCAGTAATTGACAGCACAATAGGGTGACTACAGTCAGCAGGAACTTGTTGTATATCTAATGCTTGAGGTGATGGATACCCCAATACTCCGATGTGATTATTATATATTGTATGACTGTATCAAAATATCTCATGTACCCCATAAATATACACACTACGTATCCACAGTAATGTGAAAAACACTTTCAAAAATCACATTTATCCCCAAAATATTCACTATTGTGTATCAATAAAAATGTTTTTTAATAACAGTAAAATGTTTAGTTTATCTGTATAAAATGGCCAATTTGATAATTTGCATGGGCCAATATTCTATTGAAGGGAGTAGTGAAATTATTCTTTTTTAAAATTATAACAATGTATAGAACCCCACCGATTTATATCAAGATGAATAAAAAGAGAAATTTTCCCTTGACTTATAAGAAATTTATAAAATTAAAATACTGTCAAATAATCAGATTAATTCTTAAAAATTACCAGCTTTGGTTTGTTACTGTTTGAACTCACATTCATTAGGGAATCTGAACAAGGTATGGTTTTTAAATTTTTTATTTAGTAAACTGCATACTGCATTGAAATAACAGTAAGTATGTGGTATAGATTTAGCATAGCAGGTCAAGTGTCAGATTTCAAATAAATAATCCAAATCATATTTAAATGTAAGTTTCTGAGTAGCCTGCTTGTCAAGGAAAGCATATAGAATATCTCTACCACTTTATCTCAAAGAAGCATAAATGTCTATTTGATGCATTTTTGTAATTTTATAAAGCTATTCTCTCTTTAAATGTGCTCTCAGGTAATAGTAGTTTGAATGAATTTATTCCTACCTTCAACTTTAAAGAGCAAGAGGACAGTGAAGCTGATTCAAGAAACAGGCAATGCCACAAAGGTGAGATTTTTGGAGCAAGGATACAGATTGTGAATCCACTGTTTATAAACAGTAACAGCTCAGGCAACATAATTGAGAACACTCCCAGTGTCTCCCGAAAATACCTGCCAGAAGGACTGTCTTATTAGGAGATGAATGAATTATGTGGTTGACTAAATTTTGGCTTAAAATTTATCCTCTTCCTCTAAAATGTTTGATTTCTCCAAATCAATCACCACCTGGCCATATTATTGCAAAATTGATGAATTATAGGAGTTTTATTTCCTGACACCTTTGTCTGATACCATGTGAAGAATGATATTCCAGTGCTAGGGACAAGCTGTAAATGAATCAGCCCAGGGCTTTATATTTTAGTAGCATAGACACATATGCAAAAAACCCCAACAATTTCCAAATAGTGATAAAGCAAATATCTATTATTAGAGAGATTATCATGCCAACAGATTGGAAATCTGCTTAACTGTGCCCAAAATCTAATTAATTAACAAATCTCTACTCTGCAGTTAATTCAATCACCTCATGGGCATAATTTGAATTTGTGAAAGAAAATATATTTTTGTTATTAAGAATGTAGGTATACATAATTGCCTTCTGCTGCTCAGTTCTTCTTTACTATGTACAATGGCTGTCACTAAGTAAAAGTTGCCAGAATATATGTAACACTGAAGTTCATCACTGAGGAGATAAAAAATTACATGGGTTAACAAGTCTTTGATTATATTAATGTCTAAAATTAATTAATTTAGCTTTTATGTTACAGAAAGTAATTCTAACTTTCGTTACATTTATTTAATGCCTAGAGCACTTGGCATAGTTAAAAATAAATACAGTATTGATGATCAGGCTGATAAACATGCTTTTACCTTTCAAATAATATTTAGAGGATGTTAATTAGATAGCTTGTTGTGAAAATACTTAATGAGTCCTCATGTGAAGTGGAAATTCTAAGTAGCTTCCTTTTGTGTCTTAATACAGACTTGATTAGTAGCTCTTGGGTAATTATGTTCTAAAGTACTAAAGCAAGAATATTGGGAGGAGATGCATTTAAATTATAACTAATACAAAATTATACATGATAGATTTTTAAAATATAAGGTATTAGGAACATGGTAATTTTGCCAAGCTATGCAAGTAGACTTGAACTTTATTAATTATAAATATGTTTTCTTTGGATTTTGGAAATAATGTGATCAGTATAAGAATTTATGTATACTTATCTTTTACGTGTGTATATATATCTGATTAATATTCAAATATTTATCTAGTATAATTTATAAATAGATATAAATTACTAATATATATCCACTAACTAAAAGTCACCTTTCGCCTTTATATACAGCAAATACTAGTCACTCTTTAAGATCTAATTCATCAAGAGCCTGCAGTATCAATGAATTCCCACCTTCAATAGTGTCAAGTCTCTGAGTAGACTGCTCTATTTAAGATTTACTGTTATTCTTAGAATGTATTTCTTCACAGTTCTGCCCTCCTTTGTGTGCCCTATGCCCTATTATTATATTTATGAATCTCACAAGATTGTATGTTGTTCTTCCTAGTTCTTACTTTGTGTCTTTTTATTTAAATTCATTGGGACGTTATCTGTGGAAACTTTCTGAACACCGGATATAGGATGTTTTGTCAAAAAGAAATTTATATTAATTTTTTTACATGTTTGCTGTGGGAAATAACAACCTAGAGTTGTTCAAGAAGGTTTTTCAAAGCAGAGTGGAATTCCAAAATGGTTAGTTTACAATGGAGCAGAATTTTACAGTGAATTCTCAGGGGAGATATATTTTTTTAATCTCTCTTCAGCTTCGAGGCCAAGATATGTGAGTTGTCTTATTGTCCCTTTTATAGATGGAGTTTTTTTCTAGCCTACTTTACAGTGAAGTTGTAGCCCTTTGCGGGGCTTTTTACCAGTTGATTTTACAATGAAGTTGTAGCCCTTTTGTGGTACTATCGTTATGTATTTCCTACAAGACCCTATCACTTGAATTGGCCTAGGTTTTGTCTCGTGTCACCTCCAAACTGTGTGGCTATACATAACAGAAATTTGAAGTCACTACCTTTAAGTAAACATCCCCAAGGAAAAGCTTACTTTAAAGTTTGATTTTCTCTCTGCATTCAGGATACTGTCTTTTTCTTTCTTTCTTTCCTTCTTTCTCTTTCTTTCTTTCCTTTCTCTCTTTTTCTTTCTTTCTTTCTTTTGTGTGTGTGTGTCTCTGAGATTTCTTGTTTCTAGCTAGCTTAGAGATACATTTTTAAAGTGTCTCTACCACCTACCTTCCCTTTCCTGCATTCTCTAGGGATCTAGTCTTTCATGCAGTCAGAAACATAAATCCAGGACCTTGATATTTCATACTTTTATTTTATTTTATCTGTCTAATATGTGTTTGTCACACATTGGGGCTAAGAATATTTAGGATATGAAAATAAGTAAATGAGACCAAAGTTTCACCAAAAAAGGCAAAGAGTCACAATGGTTGACACTAAGCATTTAGAAGAATTCCTCAAAGGAAAAACAAACTTTACTTCTGTGCAGTGATTAGCTCATCAAAGCTTCATTAATGCTTTTCATGCTTATGAGTCTACTAAAAGAAGCCCCTAAGTGATTATTTACTTTAACTTTTCATATTCTGATCCTTAAGCTCACGCCTGTTTTTTAAATGTCCTGAACACAACTGATTTACTTTAACCTTTCGTATTCTGATCCTTAAGCTCACGCCTGTTTTTTAAATGTCCTGAACACAACTGATTAGACAAGGAACAATGGACAAATATTTCCTAATGCAAGAAATTAAGCCATATTTGCCTATTCCCAGTACTGTTAGCACAGGGTAAGGAAATTACGCCTGTATCCAGTATCGTTTAACATAGTGAAAAGAAAATGTTTGGTCTCAGTATTGCTTAAGATTGCTGTTATTAATAGTTTCAGTACTAAGGATCCTCAGCTTCTTTGCCTTTACCTTAAGGGACTAACAAAAACAACTTACTTTATTCTTTAAATGTCTGCTTTAAAAAAAAAAAAAAACTTTGTAATGGTATAAAACTGTTCCAAAATCCAATCTATTCTTGGAATTTTCACCTAATTAACCCAATTACAAATCGTATTTTTCCTTATTAAGTTTCCCCTTAGCTTTTACTAATGCACTTCATACTGCATCATTTTGTTCCCATTTAGCTCTGCTCAAGTAATTTATGTGAACACTGTGACACAAAGGGCAGCTTTGGCACCACTGCATAATTTAATTCAATTCTATTGTTCCCGGTAGTCTCTCATTATCCTCTTATTCAGTTTCCCTTCAGCAACTATTTACATTGTTTTTATTATATTTCTGTTGTAATTTTGCATATGTTTAGCTCCCCTCAGTGAAAGAATAGAGAATTTGCACACAAATGACAGATTTATCCATGTTTTATCCCTTCACACTGAGACATCCCATTTATGCCCACAGTTTTCAAAACAAACTGTGTCTAAAATTTTAGTTACAACACACAAAGGGAGCACATCATGAGAATTATTCCATTAAAACTGTTCTTTTTCCTGCAAAATAGGATGGATAATTCCTACTTTCTGGAATAGAAATTAGGTTTATTTTTCTTTTCTTTCAACTTTTTTTAAAATAAGAAAAATATTTTAAATAATTACAGTTTCCAAATATAGTAGGTACTTTTTGTTAGTAAAAATAAAGCATAGTTTTAAAAGAAAAGTAACATAAAATTAGTACTATTTCTGATATTTAGAATTTTATAGAACATTTACATCTGTTTGTTCTACATTTTCATTTTGTTTTCCTTCCCCTTCCACACTTGTATGATTACTGTAGACACCTAATAAACTCTTTTTGTTTCTTTTCCTATTTTATTGAGTGTATAGTATTATAAAAACTCTAAATTAAATTCATATTTATTACTTGGAATGAAGTTAATTTTTCTTTTTCCTCTGAAATAGTGACCAGAATGAGAGAAAAAAATGCATCTCTAATATGTCTTGTAATGTATTGATGTGGGTCAAAATTTATTTTTTTTAAATGTTAGGTTAAGTGTTACTTGGTTAAAATTTGTGATTAAATGTAATAGTAGTAGCCAGGCACAGCAGCTCACACCTCTAATTCTAGCACTTTGGGAGGTCAAGACGGGTAGATCACTTGAGGTCAGGAGTTCGAGACCAGCCTGGCCAAATTGGTGAAATACCGTCTCTACTAAAAATACAAAAATTAGCCTGGTGTTGTGGTGCACACCTGTAGTCACACCTACTTGAGAGGCTGAGGCAGGATGATCACTTGAACCCGGAAGGCTAAGGTTACAGTGAGCCAAAATCACACCGCTGCACTCCAGCCTGGGCGACAGAGCCAGACTCCATCTCCAAAAAAAAAATAAATAAATAAAATAGCAATAGTAGTATACACTTTATCGGGACAGCACATAAATGTATTATAAATGTTTACAAATATTTACCACACAAAATATAAAATTTTATTAGAACCACAACTCTTATGGAGATGGATGGTGATTTAAAAATAATTTAAAGATCTATTGATGAATATAATTTATTGGTGGAAGTGCATAGATTTTATCATCAATTTATATAATCTAACTTTCTTATCAACATAATTTTTGAAAAAATATGTTCAAGTAAATAATAAATAGAAATAGATGGAATTTTGTTATGTAATCAATGCTTTCAATTTGTGGGGAAAGTTTTTTTTTTTTTTCATCATCAAATCAATCACCAAAAGCAGACTTACTTTCTTTTATAAAATGCCTGGCTTTATTTTTTTAATTCAAATAAACTTGTTAATGTTGATCCCTGTGACAAACATTACAATTCTGAATTTGAATTTTCAGATAGATAGGTAGAAGTTGGCATCTCCCAACTTATGTAACGGAGGTTCTGGTGTCAGAAATGTATTAGGGATCAACACCTGCAAAAAGAAATGTATTAGGGATCAACACGTGTAAATGGAAAGGGGAGCAGGATTGGACAGAAGTGTAAAGGTAGTGCAGGTCCACCAAAGCCTCACTCAATCTAGTGTGAACTATGGGTTAAAAACATAATAACAAAATCTCTCCACAATGCTCCATTTCAGTCTAAAATGACACACATTTGTGCTTCCTTGCTCATAGGATGCAAGCTACCCAAGCCCGGCTGTGGATGAGGCAGTTCTTAGGAGTTGAGGCAGCCCTGCAGGAGGTCCTCTGCTATTAAGAACTCATGTCCTACAGCTGGGGACCAAGTACTTTTTTGAACTGGGAATTGAGTGGAGCACTTCTGTGGCTACCGAGTCTGCTTTTTGTGCTTGTCATAGCTACCTCTCCATATCGGAAGAAAAGTTCCTCCAAGATTCTGGTGCCCCTTTCATCCTGTCAAAGACAGGAAGAGGGACATTGAGAAGGAAAACTGTGATCTTCACCTCCTGTAGTTTGTTTAATGCTCTTAGTAAATATTTATCATTAAACTCTCCTAATTATTTATTCTACTTATCTGTGGCCTCCACTGGCTATTGTGGCTCATCTGGTGGCCTAGTCGTCACCCTCATACCTGAGGAGCTGAGCATTAAGTTACCATGTACATCTATGGCTATGTTGGCTTAATCTGTTCATTTAAATTCACAGTTAGACAAGGGAGTCCCAGAAAAATTCAAGTGAAATCCCTGGGATTCACACATAATCCTTTGTGTTTCCATTGTGCAACAGTAGCATCCTAGTGATCAGAATCAGTTTCCTCTGCCAACGTGATGACTCCTCTCCTTGACTCCTGGTCCTTAGATTTAAGGATCCCGAAGTTCCCAAACAGCAGCCACAACTACAAGTGAATGGAATTCTTGCAATGCACCCTGGCAAAGTCAATTTTGGGGCCGGAAGCCCTAATTCTGCTCAGTCCAGGGTTGCAAGACGGAAAGCAAATTGCTCCCTGATGAGGCATTAAGCATGACAGGAAATGGTGCTACTCCTACTTCCATCCCTTAGCATGTAGGCTTTATTCATACCTTGGACAGAGCATAATACAAATTCATTTGATTCTATTATATCTGGCTTCCTGGAGGACAGCCCTCATCCTTGAAGAATAGTGCCTGTATGCTAGGACTTTAACTGTGCCTCCAGCAGGCAATCCCAACCCTATTACACTAGCTGCTGCTGGATGGTGTGGTAAGTGATATTGGATCTGGAAGCAAAACTCTGTTTATTAATGTTTATTCTGTTGACATAGTAATTGAGAGTAACAAGTATTTTCTTTTTTAATAATATGATGCTATTCATTTTTGGCTTTGATCATTTCTATTGCCCTGTAGACCCTGATGTATATCCATTCAGCCCTGTGAGATCCCAGAAGCTCTCCCTAGCTTCTCAGTCTTTCAGCTGTTCCTTTTATGTTTGGAGTCAGTAATTATCTCTTACAAAAATTTGTCTCAAATGTCTACTTCACTTCTCTTGTCTTCCTTCTTTCCTCTTTTGGCTCTTCAAATCCTCACAGCCCTGATAGCTCAAATAAATGTTGTGTAATTTTCCTAGATTATCTAGTTTCTTTTTCTCATTAAGAGTGCTCATCACAGAGACATAGTCATCCATTGCTTGATGGCTGACATTTTATATTTACAAAACATCATGTGCTTCAGTTTGTTAAAGGTTTTGCATCTGTATTTGTTAGTAAAAATATATGTATAATTTTATTTACTGCTTACATATTAATCTATGGATCTATTATTTATTTATTCATTTCATTATCTAGTATTGGATCAATAATGCACAATTATCATAAAAGTTACCGGGCATATTTTATACTGTTTTCCTAATTCTTGATATAGCATGGATCTGAATAATTATCTTTGGAAGTTTGATAAAACTAACTTTGAAAAGAATTAGAACTATTTTAGTCTTGTATTTCTGATTTTGTTTTTAAGTGGGGTAGTAAGAGGATAAAGGAATGTAAGTAAATGCCATTTTAATTTTTTGAATAGCATTTGAGCAAAAATATTATTGTTTTATAAACCTACTTTTAAAATCTTTTGTATTTATTTTTAACTGTATTGCATTATTGTTAGGCTTCCTTTGTAATCTATTATATTTTCTATTGTATACATATACTTTCTCTGATTAAAAAAATATGTATTCTTTCTTTGTTGGCTGTTGCATGCTCCATATCTAATATTTCAAGTTTATCAAGTGTGTATATATATATATTTTTTGTTGTTGTTGTTCTTTTGAGACGGAGTCTCCCTCTTTCGCCCAGGCGGAACTGCAGTGGCACTATCTTGGCTCACTGCAAGCTCTGCCTCCCGGGTTCACGCCATTCTCCTGCCTCAGCCTCCGGAGTAGCTGGGACTACAGGCGCCCGCCACCATGCCCGGCTAATTTTTTGTTTTTTAGTAGAGACAGGGTTTCACCGTGTTAACCAGGATGGTCTCGATCTCCCGACCTTGTGATCCGCCCGCCTCTGCCTCCCAAAGTGCTGGGATTACAGGCGTGAGCCACCGCGCCTGGCCCTTATGAAGTATATTTTAAGTCTTTCATATGACTATTTAATTTATCAGATTCTAAAAAGTAGGACTTCAATATTTACTCAAATACATCATTTAGGGCATCAAGAGAAACTCGTTAGTCATTGTAAATAATATTTAAATGTAATTAAAAAATTAAAGTCCCTAATAAAGATTTTTCCCCTTTTACTTCAGCCTTTAATGTGGCTTGGCACAGCACTGTGACTGATATTCTCTTCATGTAAAATTTTAATATTTTGTTCATCATAGACTTTTGGCATCAATTTTGAATTTTAAAATATCATATAAGTGTATTATTTATCTTGTTCCTGAATAGTTTGATACTCCTTTGAATTGCACTTGAAGTGAAGGCCTCATGGATTCACCCTACCTTTAGATCCATTGAAAGGAGTTAATTAAATTCCCCAAGGACAATGTTTATTAATATAAATTTTCTTTTGAAATTCTATCAGTTGTGACTTGATAATTTTTTAGTCTATAGCATTAATAACTACGTTAGTCAGCTTAATTTAAATGGTTGCTGCAGGAACAAACGACATCAAAATTTGAAGCTTAAAGCAACATCAAAGCTGATATTTACGTACCATCTTCAGCTTTGTTCCACATCCGCCTCATATTGAGATCTGGAATGAAGGAGAAACTTTGATCTGAAACATTCCTGATCTTAAAACAAGGAGAAACAGGAGATGATGGAACCATATGATGGCTATTAGAGCTTCTGATAGGAACCTTTGAATCACTTCTGCTTTTTTTCCTTTAGGCAAAGAAAGTAGCCAGTTAAGACTGAATCAATGAAGGGAGATATTTAAAATCTTACATGAAAAGATAATATATATATTGAACAGTCATGTAATTTACCATAAAGGGGCTGCTTGCAATAGATACATGTTCTTTGTTAATTCTTTCTGTAAATGAATTATATGTAACTGATATGATTTGGCTGTGTCCCCACCCAAAATAGCCTCTTAAATTGTAATCCCTATAATACCCATAACCCCCAATGTCAAGAAAAAGACCATGTGAAAGTAATTGAATGATGGGGGCGGTTCCCCCCTTGCTGTTCTCATGATAGTGAGTTCTCATGAGATCTGATGGTTTTATAAGTGTTTGGTAGTTCCTCCTGCATTCATTCTCCTTCCTGCTGCCTTGTGAAGAAGGTGCCTTGCTTCCCCTTCACCTTCTGCCATGACTGTAAGTTTCCTGAGGCCTCCCCAGTCATGCTGAAATGTGAGTCAATTAAAACTCTTTCCTTTTATCGATTATCCAGTCTTAAGCTTCTTTATAGCAGTGTGAAAATGGACTAATACAGTAAGTAATTATATTTGCTTTAACTGCTATTTTCTAATACAATTGCCAGTTCTTTCCTTCAATTTTATTTTCTTGAAATATTTATCATGCAATTCATTTTAACCTATGTATGCCTTTGTTTGATGTGTGTCTTTTGTTGACAATAGTGTGTAGGATATTAGCAAAAAATACCTCAAGTTAATCTATTTCTCTTAATAAATGTGTGAACATATGAATTAAATTTAAAAACGTGAATACTTCTACCTTGTAGAATATTATTTACTAAGGTTTAATGTCTATGTACAGTTATATTAATACAATACAAGAATATGGAAATTCCTTAAAGAACTAAAAGTAGAACTACCATTTGATCCAGCAATCCTGCTACTGGGTATCTACTCAAAGAAAAGCAGTCATTATATGAAAAAGACACTTGAACATGTGTGTTTATAGCAGCATAATTTGTAATTGCCAAAATATGAAACCAACCTAAATGCCCATCAACCAACAAGTGGATAAAAAAATGTAGTATATACACCCCATGGAATACTACGCAGCCATAAAAAGGAACAGAAGAATGACATTTGCAGCAATTGGATGGAATTGGACACCATTATTCTAAGTGAAGTAACTCAAGAATGAAAAACCAAATATTGTATAGTCTCACTTACAAGTGGGAGCTAAATTATGAGGATGCAAAGGCATGATAATGATATAATGGACTTTGGGAATTTGGGAGAAAAGATGGAAAGAGGGTGAGGGATAAAAGACTATATACATTGGGTACAGTGTACACTGCTTGGGTGCTGTGTTCACCAAAATCGCAGAAATCACCACTTAAGAACTTATCCACATAACCAAAAACCACTTCTTCCTCCAAAACTATTGAAATAGGATAAAATTTTAAAATTATGAATACCATACAAGAATAAAAGACAATTTTTTAACTTGATAAAAGTTATATGATAAAAATCTAAAGCAAGTATTATACAGTTAATATAAGAAAAAATAGTTTTAATATTAGGAACATGACAACTCTTCCTATTATATTTGTGTATCTAAAGTAACAAAAATTCTAAAAGCTGTAAGAATTGAAATATAAATTATAAAAATATTATTTGAAAAATATTATTATCTATATTTTATAATGAGCTCAAGAAGTTTGATGTTTTCAATCAAACTATAGAAATCAATAGTGTTTCTTTACAACAATAAAACTAAACATGCATTAAAATAATATTCTATTCAGAGTAGTCACAAACTATTAAATATTTTAGAATACAATTTAAAAATATTAAAAATGCAGTAATTAATAAATTAAAGTTATTTGAGAATTCTGGTATTGGATACCCTAGAGGTAACAGAATCAGTGCACGTAAATTGAAATACATATATAAAAAATTAATGTTCTGTCAGTAAATTACAGACAAAAACCATGTGAAATACATAAAAGGTCTGTCCCAAAGAGATGAGGTTAAAAGATAATAAATAAATAAAAGCTTACATAAATACATTTAGAAATCAACTAAGGAACGAAAGAAGAAAGGAAGGAAGGAAGGAAAGAAGGAACGAAAGAAGGAAGAAAGGGAGGGAGGGAGGAAGGGAGGGAAAATGTGTACTTGTATAAATGATAATATATAATCAATTAAGGAATTTAATTAACTACACCCTTTGTAATTGAGCCCATTCACCCAAAAAATAATAAAATTAGGTGAAGTACACATTTCGGCATTTTGTTTTGTCACTCAATGTGGAAACCTTCTTATTCAATGCAAATCAAATGATGTAACTTTAATTTAGTCGTTTTAATAGTTGAATAATATTGATGGCATAAACTTACACTGAATAGCTGTAGCTAATAATTCTCTAAATTATGTGCTCTACAATGAATTCTGCCGTGTGTTTGACAGAAGTTAAAGGTAGTAGCTCTAGACTAGTCTCCAGTTCCTTTTAGAGATAAACTGGAGTTTCTCCCCAAAATGTACTTCAATTTAGTAAACAATGGGTAGTCTACAGAAAGAACAACATTATATTATAAACTCCATGAAATATTTAGCTGCTGCTTAATATTGAATCCCCAGATCCTAGAGCATGATTGGTATAAAAGTATACACCCATATTTGTTGAATAAACCAAAGGTCAAAATATATTATTGATGTTATCAGTTCTGAAAAGGAATAAACAGTTAGTTCAAGGAAAGAACAGCCAACTCAAGTCTTGATAATATATTCAAGTCACTAAACTGGCTCAAGAAAGCTTTAACCATGTAATGGTTGAGTGATCTTGGTTTGTAATTACTAGTACACTAATGTTTATGGACTTGCTCTATTTAAGGCTTAACAATGGGTTGTAATGCAGATGATATACTTCTCAGTCCTATAGTTTCACATTATTGAGTTTGGTTCTTAAAAAATGACATGCATAAATCCACATAATTAGGGAGAATTGGTTATTTCCTGCTTTTCATGAAGAAGGAACAGAAACATGTAGTCTAAAGCAGATTAGAAAATAAAATTTTCAGTGTTATTTTGAATTAAAGAATATTGCTGCAGCCATAAAAAATAATGAAATTATGTCCTTCACAGTAACATGGATGCCACCAGAGGATGTTATCCTGAGCGAATTGATGCAGGAACAGAAAACCAAATACTGCATATTCTCACTTATAAGTGGGCTAAAAATTGGGTATTCATGGACATAAAGATGGCAACAATAGACAATGGGGACTACTGGGATGGGGAAAGAAGGGGAGGAGGTTTTGAAACAAACTATTGGATACTACGTTCACTACCTGGGTGATGGGATCATTTGTATCCCAAACCTTAGCATCATGCAATATACCCAAACCTGCACATATGCACCTTGAATCTAAAAATAAAAGTTGAAACTAAAAATAAATAAATACAAATAAAATTTTTACAGAACACAACAAAAAAAGAATATTGAGAGTTCTATACTGTGACTAATTTCTAAATTTTTATTGTTCCTTCTTACGAAACCAATATGTGCTTCTAGAGACTTTAGAACACTTAGGTAAACAATAACAACAAAAAGAAAAAATAATCTCTGATATTTAAAGAATACTATACGCCAGGTATTGTATATGTATTATTCCTCTCAGTGTTCATAAAAAACATGATTCATACACAATTATTTTTCTCACATAGGATAGAAAAGCAGGGAAGCTAAGACATTCTGCCTAAGGTCAAAATTATCCATCCAGTGTAAACTTCTATACTTTTACTGAATTTTTAAAAACATAGTTATTTATAGAATGTTTTCTAAAACTTTCCAGCATCACATTTTTGATAGTGAGAAATGTTTTGTGCACATATTTTAATATTGCCAGTAGAGCACCTCTTAAATTTGTTTAAGTCATAGACCCAGAAATTGATTTCTTAAATACTTGTGGAATGTATTTTCCTTTGTGCCTTTGAAATATGTACACATTTGAGTCCACGGGTAATTTATTTAGATAATATGTGGAAATTAAGTTAGATAACTATTAGAGCTGCAAGGAAACCTCAAAGGTACAAAATTAAAATGATAAAAGATTATTTAAGAGTTATAAAAAATACATTTCTTCCTGAATAATTATGGTGGATAGAAATAATTTAATGTTTAATATTATGTTAATTTAGATATCAGCCACAAAAAATTAAAGAAGCAATATTCCAAGTAAAATCGACCGACTTTCTAAATGGAAATTATATGAGTACTCACGGACATAAAGATGGCAACAATAGACAATGGGGACTACCGAGGAGGGGAAAGGAGGGCAGGAGGTTTTGAAACACAAACTATATTAAAATTATGCAAAATATACAATGTAGTTTGTGTAATAGAAAAATAAATAACTTATAAATGATGTTCTATAATTCTTATGTGAATCATCTAAAATCGTCAACGCATAGAAGTAGACAATAGAATGTTGGCTATTAGGAGATGAAGAAAGGAGGATAAGAGGATTTGTTGCTCAATGAATATAAAGTTACAGCTAAGCAAGGTAAATAAGTTCCAGAGATCTGCTGTACAACATTTTACCTATAGTTAACAGTAAGATATTATATGCTTAAAAACGTGTTGAGGGTAGATCCCACATGAATTATTCTTAACACACATACACACACACACACACACACACACACACACACACGACAATAAAAAGGCACAAGAAACTACTTATAGGTAATGAATATGCTTATTATGTTGAATGTGATCATGGTAACATGAATATATACATATATCTAGACTCATCAAATTGTATACATTAGTTATGTCCAGCTTTTTGAGTACCAATTACACTCCAATAAAGCTGAGGGAAAATAAATGATTTTGTGTTACAGGGGATTAAAAAATAGAAAAAGTTAGGGAGAGATAAGTAGCAAAAGAACAAACAAGAAAACACAAAATTCTTAAAGTGAAAGAAACAGTAAACATGGAGAAAGAAGGCACAGTAAAATCACATTTATTAATTTGAAAATTTGAAGAATGTGGGAGTACTTTAAGTTATATTACAAGAGGAATGTTAAAATGAAGATGAACAAGTTAAAGTAGAAGGTTTCAGGTTTCTAAAGAAGAATGGCAGAAACTAACATATAGAAAGGACTTGGTCTCAAAAGCAGACTGAAGAAAGCAATTCTTTATACAACTTACTGGATATCATCAGTTCCTCTGCTGAGATCAATTTTATTACTATGAAAAAGATTTGAAATAATTTGAAATGTTTCTTTGCAAACCAGTGTTCTCAATATACAGGAAGAAAACAAGCCTGTAAGATGAAATACTTCTACCTGGTTAATAAATACAGAAATCGATTCTTCCTCCATTGAAGTCTATCTTTTCCAATGGGACCAATCCACATGCAGATGCAAAGGCACTCATGTTTGGTAAGTCAAATGTGAATATAAAAATGATATATTTTGAGGAAGAAATTTATTGATGTATGTTATTAGGATTATATTTTTTATTAAAGATAGTGTTGGTAAGGCCTTTGAAATTTTGTGAAATATGATCAGAAATGTCTAGTAAAATCATGTCTCCTTCAATGATGGCTGAAACCCTAATTCCTGTTTGGATTAAGAGAGAAAGCAGGACTCAGGAAATGCATGGTAGAAGGCCAGAGAATTCATTCATTAGGCAGAGTAGAGTTGTTCATAGGTTTTAGTGAAATTTGAATACATTATCCCTTTAGATATCAACTTATAAATGGCAGTTATGGATATTTTTCATCAATTTCAGCATTTTTAACCCCTGAATTATGAGGAGAGGGACAGATGTGCAGATTTGAAACTAGAAAAGTTAACATTTATTTGTTATCTCTTAATTAAAAATATAAGTTGTGCTGCCAAAAATAATTTTGAAAAACACTGGTTTATTTAAATTATTGGTATGCATTTCTCACCACATTATAGACTTTATATGTACATATATCTAAATCACATTGTATATTATATATATTTTATAAAACATCCTTAATACTTAGCTATTATTTGAATTCTAAAGCAAAATGTAAAGAAGGACATTTGGAATACCATTGAACTATAAATTGAGGAACATTCAGTCTCTGCAACTTTTCTCCACCAGAAGAAATTAGGAGATGATTATTAGGAGATGAAGAAAAGAGGATAAGAGGATTTGTTGCTCAATGAGTATAAAGTTACAGCTAAGCAACGTAAATAAGTTCCAGAGATCTGCTGTACAACTGAGCTCCTGCTTTAGTTTCTGAGATTCAGTCTGGAGCTTGTAATCTAGAACAATTAACAATAAATACCCTTTGTGTATTTTTCTGTCTCTCACTCTTCAACGACATAATGGAATGCAATAGACCACTGGTTTTTCTGATTACATTCCGTTTAGTTGGACAGGATGTTTAATCACTGGGAGTCTTAATTCCATTATCTGTTATTCATGCCTATTTTACAAGGATAGTTGGAGGATTAAATGTAAATGCCATGTAAAGTGTCTTCATCCTTTTTTAACAGTAGCATAATTATTATCACCACCTTTGTTTTTGCTGTTGTTAATTATTAGGGTGGGATTTGAACTTGCTCTAACAAGTTTTTCCCAAAACCCCCTTGATATCATGAAGAGTCTACATGTCAGGGTCCTATTTTCTCCACTGGCCATCTCTGATGCTTTCTGCCTAACTGGTTTCTGAGGCTTTGGCTTTTTTTCTTCTTCTGTCATTTTGTCTCCTTTCTTCTCATTGTGTAGAGCTCCTAGTACCAAATGAAACTTGCACTCTCATCTGTCACCTCCTTTTGACATTGAGCTTTCTCTCATGCTGGCCTGTATACATGGTAAAGTTGGGGTCTGGACCCAACCAATCATTTAGATCAACAAGGCACTGGGTCAGGCATTATCTGTCATATGGCTGCTGTACAATAGAGATTTTTATTCTGGCTGTTCGTAACTGTTACAAAAACATTTACTTTAAAATGATAATTTTAAACACAGTGCTCAATTAAGTGAGATGAGAATAATCTGTTTTCACTGCTGTGCATAAAATTGTTGAAATCTACAAAATTCAAGATAATCGTGTTTTTCTAACTAAGAAGGATCAACCATCATGCTGCTCCAACCCCCACCTTGCCTCCATGTGTCAGTGGTAATGGAAACACCACTTGGAAAAATATATATGTATAAAGAGTTCTTTTAAAAAACCAAACATTTTGTTTCTAGCATGTTCCAATGAATTTGTTTTTATGGGCTAAAATCCTGAAGAAATTGACTCTGCACACCTCATTATAATTTTAAATCACTATAGCCCTTTGAAACCTTAAATTCTAGAGAGATAATCTATCATAATGCTGCTTTTAAAACCACATTAAAATATTGCTTGGGTTGCCAATATTTCTTTTGCTTGGGAAAATAAAATAAAATGAAAGTTGTATTATCAAGATTTTCCCTCACTGTTTTTAAGTTGTTCCATATTTACTTGGTAAGAAATCTTACCAAAGAAATTTTTTTCATCCATATTCAAGCCATCCTCCAACTTTTTCATCAAATGGCAGTCTCAAACAACATCTCACACAGCCTCTCTTTTTTGCTAAAGTGGTTCCACGTGGCAGCACAAAATACAGTTTAATTTTAAAGAAGGTAACAGAATATTGGCATCAGCCAACTGTTGATGTCAAGAGAGAAAATGCAATAGAGGTTTGCCTGTTACTGAAGGAGCCTAAAGGTGGTTTCTAAATCCCATTTACTGTCTAAAAAAATGTAAATCCTAGTGCCATTATCAACAACAGTAAACAAGTTTCAAAGATTAGGTAAAGTCAGCACTTGAGCCCTTGAGGCTTAAAAAGACTTCTAGGATGAACTGAAAATAAGAATGGAAAGCCTTTTGGAAAAAAAACAAAAAAACAAACAAAAAAATACAATCAGTTATATTTACCTTAAAACCAGGTTACAAATAATAAATATATCACCAAATATAATTTTGTTCACTAGTTAAGATAATTCAGAATCCACTGGAAAATATTTTAAAAGAAAATGATCACTAATATTTAAAACAACAAAGAAATAGATTTATCAATAATTCAAAAATCAGAAAATGACATTGTATTGTATAAAGAAAATATGTCTGGTACCTACAAGATGCATAGCTTCCATGATACCTTATTGGGTCTTCCATGTGCAAAAGTCCTGGTATGGATTGAATGTGTGCATCTCCCCAAAATTCGTATGTTGAAATCTTAACCCTCAAAGTATTAGGAGATAATGACAAGGGCTTTGCAAGATAATGAACTCAGGAGAATGGCACCCCCATGAATGGGGTTAATGCCCTTACAAGAAGAGATACTGGTGCTTTCCCCTCTCTCTGGTGTCTACCAAATGAGGATACAATATAAAAACAGCTGTCTGGAAAGTAGAAAGAGTGTTCTCATCAGACACTGGATCTACTGGCACCTTGATCTTGAACTTTCAAGCCTCCAAAACCATGAGAAATACACATTTGTTGTTTAAGCAACCTTTTAGAAGCCTGAGCTAAGGCAAGCCCCTTATGAAGTACTTTGTACACATAGGGAGATGGATCTTTTAAACAATGATGACCGCAGGAGACTGTACCAGGAATTGTCATTTGACACAATTCAGACATATTTAACCTGACCAACAGCATGTTATGCAGCCCATTGAAGTAGTTCTACACAGCAGGATCACAGTGCAATAGATGGCGATGACTGTGGAAGAGGCCAACAAGCACCTCCACTCTTAAAATAATTCCCAAATGATTTCAGTGTATAGTCACATTGAAAATCCCTGAAATACCGCTAATTTATCAAAAGACATTTAAGAGCTAAAATATGATCTCCTCATTTTAGAACCTTATTTTGACTCTCTAGTCCTGGAGTATTTGTTGACAGATTATAGTAATTCAAAGAAAAATATTACAAAGGCATTGTCGTCAAGAAACTTAACTTCTGAATTCTCCAGATTAATTGCAAACCCAAAATTATATTTAAAAAATTTAAAGTGTTCATTAGAAATAAGAGTATAATTTTGTGAGTAGAGAATCAATTATTTTTTCATGTTAAATGAAAACAAAGTTTCATAAGAAAGTATCATATGAGATAAATTATGGAGGATACATAGGTTTTTACCAGATAGAGAGGAAAAGAACAGAACATAGCACCAAGCTGATGTATATGCAATTTATGAGTGTACATAGAGAACAATTTTCTGTTTGATTCAGAAGTTCTGAATTACAGAAAGGAAAAGAGAAGAAATAAAAGGAAAGGAAAAGAAAGAAAATACAAGAAAGGAAAGGAAAAACAAAAATAAAAGCTAGTAAATGCTAGATAGTGACACATCATTAACTGAAAGTGACTTTTCTTTCTCAGTTTTCTCATCTATGAAATAGATATTATAGTAATTGGGGAAAAGATTTCTTGTGAGAACTCACTGAAAAACAAAGATAGAGTTTTTCATTTCACCAACAAACAAGTATGTCACCAACAAACAAGAGTCTCATTTTCCTTTCGAAAGAAGAAAAATACTGATGTAAGTTAACAGTTAATTATTAAACATAGTTTGGATGAGCTGTGAAAAGAATGGCTGGATAGAATGCTTGCTATATCCTGTGGTACAAATCCACTCTCACTTCTTTGATATAAGGATGGCAAGGTTTTAATATTTGAAGCAAAAGTAAATTCTAAGATATCCAAATTAGTCCTCTTAAGGAATTGGTGGTTTCTTCAATGTTTTTGGAAAGTAAAAATTTTCCAGTAAGTGCATGTAATTTTCTTTTGACTTTTGAGCTTTATTATAAAATCAGGGATATGTTCTATTAAACCAAAAGATTCATATGAATAAATATAAATTCATTCAAAAGGCAGCAAAAGATTCCTATTAATACATACATCTGTATTCAAAAGGCAGCAAATCTTCCAAAATCATGCATTTTGAAGGAGAACATTTTCTGCTCAAATATTTACATAAATCTGAAATTTGACGTTGGTCCTGTAGAAGAGACTAATTCAACTAAATCCGTGGTATGTTTATTGGCTTCCTACCATGAGTCAGGTACTTTAATACTTAATATAATTTAACATATAGATGTAGGTATGATTAAGAAGTAGATACAACTTCAAGGAATTCATGTATGTTAAGGAAAAAGAATTCCATTAATTACATAAATGTCAAAAATATAAATTCTACAAACTTTCTAAATTTTATACTCTATGATGTTGCATAATTGAAATCTTAAAGAGATAGAACTAACTACACAAATAATAAAATTAAACTATTAATTTTAATCAAATTTACAATTGTTTGAAACATTATATAATGTATATTTTTCTATTTTGTTATAAGAAATAAAACATAAGCAAACTTCCATAATGTTTTAAAAGTATGGTGAAATTTCAAACAACTTTATAACATTTTGCATGGCATTAAAAAATCTATATTTTTAGCTCAACATGTAGAAACAAGAAAATCACACAGAGCAAGAGTGACAGAAATGTAAGATGCTATGGAATTATAAAAGGTAAGCGTGTTTTCTTTTGCTGTCTTGGGTAATAACAGAATGCATTGGATAGGAAATAGCATTATTTGAACTACACTTTGTATGATAAAAGAGAAATAATAGGAATGACATACCTTAAACAGAGGAAATAAGTGTATTGAATCAAAGGCATGGACTTGCATGGCATGATCAGTGAGAGATGAGAAGTTCATCACGATTAGGGTAGAGGAGAGAATTGGCAAGAGATAAAGGTGAAAAGATAAATTAGGCCAAATATTACGGGGTCTTCAATACCAAATTAAGGAGTTTCTATACCATTCTTCAGGAAACAGAGATTATACCAGAGATTTGTGGGCACAGGAGCAGCATGGTTAGAATTCTGTTTGGGAAGAATAATGTTGACAAAAGTGAGAAGAATGAGTATAGGTTGGGAAAGAGCATTAAAGATGCTTATGGCAACATTGTAGGTGAGAAATTAGGAGAGATTAAAAGGTGGCAGGAGGAAAGAGAAAAAGTTACTTACTGGAGATTGAAAACATCTAATAATGTTTTAAAACAAGCTCATTAATAGTAATTATTATATTTAATTAATTATATTCTAAGAAGAATCTTATTTGAGAAAGAAATGTAAAAGGTATTTCGCTCAACAATCTACACCTCTAAAATAGCAAGTCAACCACATATTTTTATTAATCATCCACCAGTACCTCTCTATTGTCAGGAAAATTATGTAATAACCTCTTCTTTCTCATTTATCTTTCATGATGTGCGACACATTATTTCTAGGTTTTTATTGTTTTCTTGATTTTTATGAGCCTATTGGTTATCTATGTACAATGTCTTTGTGTATTGTGGCTATCTAAATTGCATTTTAGTATGCCAATTACAGTGGAAAATGAACTGGAGAACTCTTCAGGTTATCCTTTAGCAAAATTCAAAATATAAAGGAATGATAGAATAAGTATTATAGTAAAGTAGCCAACAGAAGTAATAAATACAACCATATAAGAAACAATTAAAAGGTAAATTTATTTTAGGAAAAGAGTGGTAATATTAATATAGTGAGTTTTATTGTGTGTACTCTTTTAGATTAGATCAACATATTAAATTTTACTCACCCCCATAAGAGGATGGGAAATTTCAAGATGGGAAAATTTCTGAGCTGAATTGGTTTAATGAAGATGGATAGAGTAAGTCTCAACTTTGAGATTATAGTCATATATTTTCTGTGATAGTAAAGTATCACATTATTAATTTGTTACAGATATAACATGTCAAAATCATCCACTAGGAGCTACATAGATTATTTAATCATGATCCATTAATATAATTATATAATTAACTGGATTTTTAATCTGATAAGTCTGTAATAAGCCATGTAAACAGCAGCAATGAGGAAATTCTGTAGTCTGCAAGCGCATTCATATTTGCCAAACAAAAAGTAAATTCTTCATCTTTCATGGCTTGTGCTGTTATCTACATTCTGTTTCTACAATAATTAAAAATGAAAGAAAGATATCACATTACTTTCTTGTTTGGATCTTCTCAATAATTGGAAAATATGTAATGGTTTTAATCAGGAGTAAAGTCATATTTGTAATTTTGGAAGATTGTAATGTTGACAAATATGTATTAGGAGGGGTTAGACTAAAGTATAGGGATAATATACGAGACTATTTCAATGAAGGATGAAGAAAGGGCTAAGGAACTGTTAGGAATTTAGAAATTGGAAATTGTTTAAGGGGAGATCACTATAACTTGTTATTTTATGAGCCACATGGGTTAAAGGCTAACCTCCACAACAGTATCACTAATAGGGTTGACAGAAGGTGGTGCAGATTTAGTGGAAACATAGTATATTATTTGACTTAAAGATTTCCACAAAAATTACAAAAATAAAGGATAAGATATGATATTGAGCTTCACCAATCAAAAGTATAATATGTGGACCAGCAGCATTAGAGTCCCCTGGGAGTTTATTAGAACTGTAGAATCTCAAGTTCCACCCTAGAAATACTGAAATGGAATCTGAATTTTACAAGATTTCTAGGCCATTCATATTTGGGAAGCCTTGCTATAGAGAATGTGTTCATATTGCTGTAGAGGGACGTGGCAGATATGAACCAGGTGGTCACGAAAGTTCTTCCTTGACCACAGATTTTGAAGAAACCTAATAATATCCAAGGGCTTGAATTACATGAGAGTTCCTCATTGCTAGTTCTCAGAAAGAGTATGCTTTTGACAAATTTTTTACCTATCTACAACAAAAGTAAAATGACTTTTATAAAACAAATATATTACTTTTTTGGTGTTAAAATGAAATGGCTTAATTATGTTTTATAATTGTTATTTTAATAATTTTATTTGTCCAAAAATAAATTGGTAATCTTAAAACGGTGAAAGATAAATTGTGCAATATGATATCTTTTTTGGTAAAAATAAACTGTATGTTTTACATTTGCAGAATCATGTTTGACTAAGATGTTGTAAATGAACTTCTTGTAACAAAAAAGCCATTTGAACACAAATTACTGAGCATCACTGGTCGGAGAGATCATTTATCACTTCTTAATAAATGATCAGACAATGACCTCAAACCTACGTAAGTCTAAAACAGGGCTTTGAGTTGCTGCTAAAGTGACAAATTTGAAAATCTGATTCACTGTAATGAAGATTGAAAACATAGGTACAAAAACTGAATGTGAGAAACTGAGTGACTAGCCCGCTTATCCAAGACCCTTAAGAGGTCTGTGGTTATCTGAAGTTAATCGTGGTCTCTGGTTATCGGTAAAGGCATAAATCAGCTCTCTTTAAAATAGCTTTCCTAAACTAGGCACAAGTGATTTTTCAGATTAAGATTCAGCAGAAAGCTCATAATTTAAGATAGTACAAAGCAAGAGCTTGTATGTGGAGAATTAATAAATAAGAAATGTAGTCACCACAACAACTGTAGTTATTGGAGTTTTCAGAATGAGAATATAGCAAAATTTTCTATGAAATATAAAAAGACAGAAAATTTAATATAAGATAAATATATAATAAAAACTATCTGAAAAGAAAAGAGATTTGGGGAAAAATTAGAACTTCTACGTATGAAAAACATAACTATTAAAAGCATACTACATGTTAAACTGATGATTAAATGCAGTTGAGAAGATAATTCATGAGATGGAAAATACAATTGAACAAATTAACCCTTAGGGAATAAAAATAAAAATAAAGAAATTAAAGTATATACAAAAAAATCTGGACAATATCAAATAAGATAGAATAAGAAGGTTGAGCATTCATCTAATAAGAAGCTCGTAGGAAGAGACAGAATGAATGAGATATACTATTCAAAGATACAATGAGTACAAATTTTTCAAAAATTTTCTTGGAATTTTAATGAATATCAAGCAGAATAAAACAAATAAAATCTTATGTGAACATATTTTGGAGAAATTTCTAAAGAACAAATGCAAAGACAAAAACTTAAAAGACTCAGATAAAAACATTGAGAGTGATAAACTTACTATAACTAGAGAGATATATAGATGATAGATGATAGATAGATAGAGATGGATGATAGAATGGAATGACAATTTAGAGATTTTAGAAACGTTAAAAAATGTTAAGTAAAAATCACTGCCAACATAATATTGTAAACTCGAGAAAATACAAGAGTGAAAAGCAGATTTTACAGATAAAGGAGAGAAAGAGAAAGATTGCTGAAAATAGAATTATTCAAAGAATTTTTACAAAATGCTCTGTAAGAAGAAAAATCAAGAAATATAGTCTTAATTACAGAAAATAATATAAATAAATGCAACCTTAAATATGAACATGCATAAATACTAACATTCTTTCTTGCAAAGAAAAAAAACAACTAATTTTCTTCCAGGTTTTCAGTTTTGGGTTTGACATTTAAAACTTTAATCCATCTTGAGTTAAATTTTATATGGTTTAAAGAAGGGGTCCAGTTTCAATCTTCTGCATATGGCTAGCCAGTTATCCCAGCATACCATTTATTGAATAGGGAATCCTTTACCTATTGCTTGTTTTTGTCAGGTTTGTTGAAGATCAGAAAATTGTAGGTGTGCAGTCTTATTTCTGGGTGCTCTATTCTGTTCCATTGGTCAATGTGTCTGTTTTTGTATCAGTACCATGCTGTTTGGGTTACTGTAGCCCTGGAGTATAGCTTGAAGGAGATCATTATCCCTAGCAAACTAACACAGGAACAGAAAACCAAATACTGCATGTTATCACTAATAAGTGGGAGCTTAATGATGGGAACACATGGACACATAGAAAGGAACAACAGACACTGGGCCTTTCAGAGGGAGGAAAGAGGGAGAGGATAAGGAAAAATAACTAATGGGTCCTCGGCTTAATACTTGGGTAATGAAATAATCTGTACAACAAACTCTCATGAAACAAGTTTACCTATGAAACAAACCTGCGTTGTACCCCTAAACTTGAAATAAAATTTATAAACAAATAAACAAAAAGAAATGAATGAAAAGAGAAAAAAAATACTGAGTAAAAATAAACAGTAGGTGTTTTTAAGGAATGAGATTTTTTGTGTTTTTTTCCGTCTTTACATTTGTTATTATTTAAACACTTCCCAATGAACATGCACTACTTGTGTAATAAATGTAACTATTATTCACATTTAGTTGACTATGTTTTAAAACTAACCCAGAGTTTAATTTTGATAATGATTTTTAAAAGGGAAAATAACATAAACTTTTTTCTCTCCTCTTTTCTACTGTGAGAGTGAGCAGTATTTATCACACATACACACACGTCATATCTGAATTCCTCAAAATGTTAAACAAGTTATTGCTCTAAAATTGATAAGAAATACATCAATCTGTGTATTTGCTGATATATATAGTGTATAATTTTAAAATTATTTCTATATTTTATTCACGTGAAATTTCTTGATTCAGTTTAAACTGTTAGTTTTATGAAATATAATCCACATCCATCCTTTTAACTACAATCACCTGTATGGGCAACAATGCATGTAAGCTTAATGAGAAACGAGTATGCATCCATACCTGTAGGGGTCAGTTATTATTTGCTATTGTACTCTTTTATTCAATACACAATAATTTTGTCTAGGAAGGCACACTGAAAATTTATAAAATTTCTACTGAAAAGTGTCTATTTTACTTACATCACCATTTTAGATTTTCTTTGTTCTCTTTCTTTGCAATTGATAACAAAAAAATTACAATCAAGGCATATGATATATGTTTTTTTCTTCTGTTTTTTGGAATTATTTTTCCCCACCTCCAGTATTACATTAACTCTAACATATACACAGATATATACAGCCATAGCTGGCTTTGAGCTGGGGAAGGTGTCTACCCTGTCCATCTCCTTCATCTAGAATTCTCATTTGTCATACAACCGTCATCGTCTTTGTTCCATTAATTGTTTGAAAGAGATAATGTCACAAGATCTCAGAATCAAGCTACTTTGTCAATCTTCCTTTATCTTATACATTTGCCTTCTCTCAGAAACAGAATTTTAAAATAATAACAAGACAGCAAAAACTTTTTCTTTATCCAGTAATAGAATTGGCAGTTTCTATAATGAAGGGAATATTTTCAGAGGAGGAAATATGAGGCCATGCTACCAATCAAAATAGCTAATAATTATATGTATATATGTCTGTATAAAATATAATTTCAAATTGTGTGTTTTGGGGAAATGCTGAGTTTTAAACAGTTTTAAGTTATATGCCTAGGCATATAATAAAAATGTATCAATTGAATACTCAATATAATTTTAGCTCATGAAAAATTGTGTTATAACTGTGGTAACTGTAAATAAGTTTTCTGCAAGTTAAACAGAGCAATGATATTCCTTATGTTCCAGTTAGTAGTGCTGTGAACAAGAGAAAGATTTCTAGTGCAATTGAAAATGCTGAAAACATTTTCAAAAAATATTGTTTGTTGTATTCAGTTTGTTATAGCATTAATAAATTTTGCTATTATCCAACTTCTCTAAAGTACTTTAAAAATTTCTATTTCACTATTTTAAAAATATTGTAACATCTTCTAGTCTCAAGTATAAATTAGTATAAATTGTATGTCAGAAAGCATTGTCTGTCTCTCACTCTGTGTCTATGTGCCTAAATATATGTAGATTTCACTCCATCTCACTATGCTACACATATACAAGAACATGTATATATTGATAGAAAGAGAAAAGTACATTCCTTCAAGTACAATTAAATGACTGGCTATACTTCCTTGGAAGGGTGACTTGCTAACATTTCCAAGGTTAGATTTATAGATTTGCAATGATTTAATGCATAAAGTGCATTTCCTGGAAAAATTCAATTAATTCCAATATTCTCAAAATCCTTCTTTCTGAGACTTAACATGTAAATTTTTTCATGTTGCCAGTTTTTTAAATAAAATAATAAAAGTTAGCTGCAAATAAAATGTATATTAAAGATTGTTGGGTAATTTTTGTATGCTAATATGCATTGCAGTTCTTATTTTTCAAACAAAACATATTTAGACTCAAACATACCTGATATTAAATTTTAAACGTACATTATCTCTAAAAATAAAACAAAAACAAATTTCAAATATATCAACAACATCATATATAAAATACTCAGCTTTCAAAGGCTATTTTGGGGGGAGGAGCCAAGATGGCCGAATAGGAACAGCTCGGTCTACAGCTCCAAGCGTGAGCGACGCAGAAGATGGGTGATTTCTGCATTTCCATCTGAGGTACCGGGTTCATCTCACTAGGGAGTGCCAGACAGTGGGCGCAGGTCAGTGGGTGCGCCGTGCGCGAGCCGAAGCAGGGCAAGGCATTGCCTCACTTCGGAAGTGCAAGGGGTCAGGGAGCTCCCTTTCCGAGTCAAAGAAAGGGGGGACGGACTCACCTGGAAAATCGGGTCACTCCCACCAGAATTTTGCGCTTCTTGGACCGGCTTAAAAAACGGCGCGCCACAAGATTATATCCCGCACATGGCTCGGAGGGTCCCACAGAGTCTCGCTGATTGCTAGCACAGCAGTCTGAGATCAAACTGCAAGGCGGCACCAAGGCTGGGGGAGGGGCGCCCGCCATTGCCCAGGCTTGCTTAGGTAAACAAAGCAGCTGGGAAGCTCGAACTGGGTGGAGCCCACCACACCTCAAGGAGGCCTGCCTGCCTCTGTAGGCTCCACCTCTGGGGGCAGGGCACAGACAAACAAAAAGACAGCAGTAACCTCTGCAGACTTAAATGTCCCTGTCTGACAGCTTTGAAGAGAGCAGTGGTTCTCCCAGCACGCAGCTGGAGATCTGAGAACGGGCAGACTGCCTCCTCAAGTGGGTCCCTGACCCCTGACCCCCCGAGCAGCCTAACTGGGAGGCACCCCCCAGCAGGGGCACACTGACACCTCACACAGCAGGGTATTCCAACAGACCTGCAGCTGAGGGTCCTGTCTGTTAGAAGGAAAACTAACAAACAGAAAGGACATCCACACCAAAAACCCATCTGTACATCACCATCATCAAAGACCAAAAGTAGATAAAACCACAAAGATGGGGTAAAAACAGAACAGAAAAACAGGAAACTCTAAAAAGCAGAGCGCCTCTCCTCCTCCAAAGGAACGCAGTTCCTCACCAGCAACGGAACAAAGCTGGATGGAGAATGACTTTGACGAGCTGAGAGAAGAAGGCTTCAGATGATCAAATTACTCTGAGCTACGGGAGGACATTCAAACCAAAGGCAAAGAAGTTGAAAACTTTGAAAAAAATTTAGAAGAATGTATAACTAGAATAACCAATACAGAGAAGTGCTTAAAGGAGCTGATGGAACTGAAAACCAAGGCTTGAGAACTACGTGAAGAATGCAGAAGCCTCAGGAGCCAATGCGATCAACTGGAAGAAAGGGTATCAGCAATGGAAGATGAAATGAATGAAATGAAGCGAGAAGGGAAGTTTAGAGAAAAAAGAATAACAAGAAATGAGCAAAGCCTCCAAGAAATATGGGACTATGTGAAAAGACCAAATCTACATCTGATTGTTGTACCTGAAAGTGTTGGGGAGAATGGAACCAAGTTGGAAAACACTCTGCAGGATATTATGCAGGAGAACTTCCTCAATCTAGCAAGGCAGGCCAACGTTCAGATTCAAGAAATAGAGAGAATGCCACAAAGATACTCCTCAAGAAGAGCAACTCCAAGACACATAATTGTCAGATTCACCAAAGTTGAAATGAAGGAAAAAATGTTAAGGGCAGCCAGAAAGAAAGGACGGGTTACCCTCAAAGGGAAGCCCATCAGACTAACAGCGGATCTCTCAGCAGAAACCCTACAAGCCAGAAGAGAGTGGGGGCCAATATTCAACATTCTTAAAGAAAAGAATTTTCAATTCACAATTTCATATCCAGCCAAACTAAGCTTCATAAGTGAAGGAGAAATAAAATACTTTACAGACAAGCAAATGCTGAGAGATTTTGTCACCACCAGGCCTGCCCTAAAAGAGCTCCTGAAGGAAGCACTAAACATGGAAAGGAACAACCGGTACCAGCCGCTGCAAAATCATGCCAAAATGTAAAGACCATCAAGACTAGGAAGAAACAGCATCAACTACCGAGCAAAATAACCAGCTAACATCATAATGACAGGATCAAATTCACACATAACAATACTAACTTTAAATGTAAATGGACTAAATGCTCCAATTAAAAGACACAGACTGGCAAATTGGATAAAGAGTCAAGACCCATCAGTGTGCTGTATTCAGGAAACCCATCTCACGTGCAGAGACACACATAGGCTCAAAATAAAACGATGTAGGAAGATCTACCAAGCCAATGGAAAACAAAAAAAGGCAGGGGTTGCAATCCTAGTCTCTGATAAAACAGACTTTAAACCAACAAAGATCAAAAGAGACAAAGAAGGCCATTACATAATGGTAAAGGGATCAATTCAACAAGAAGAGCTAACTATCCTAAATATATATGCACCCAATACAGGAGCACCCAGATTCATAAAGCAAGTCCTGAGTGACCTACAAAGAGACTTAGACTCCCACACATTAATAATGGGAGACTTTAACACCCCACTGTCAACATTAGACAGATCAACGAGACAGAAAGTCAACAAGGATACCCAGGAATTGAACTCAGCTCTGCACCAAGCGGACCTAATAGACATCTACAGAATTCTCCACCCCAAATCAACAGAATATACATTTTTTTCAGCACCACACCACACCTATTCCAAAATTGACCACATACTTGGAAGTAAAGCTCTCCTCAGCAAATGTAAAAGAACAGACATTATAACAAACTATCTCTCAGACCACAGTGCAATCAAACTAGAACTCAGGATTATGAATCTCACTCAAAACTGCTCAACTACATGGAGACTGAACAACCTGCTCCTGAATGACTACTGGGTACATAACGAAATGAAGGCAGAAATAAAGATGTTCTTTGAAACCAATGACAACAAAGACACAACATACCAGAATCTCTGGGACCCATTCAAAGCAGTGTGTAGAGGGAAATTTATAGCACTAAATGCCCACAAGAGAAAGCAGGAAAGATCCAAAATTGACACCCTAACATCACAATTAAAAGAACTAGAAAAGCAAGAGCAAACACATTCAAAAGCTAGCAGAAGGCAAGAAATAACTAAAATCAGAGCAGAACTGAAGGAAATAGAGACACAAAAAACCCTTCAAAAAATTAATGAATCCAGGAGCTGGTTTTTTGAAAGGATCAACAAAATTGATAGACCACTAGCAAGACTAATAAAGAAAAAAAGAGAGAAGAATCAAATAGACACAATAAAAAATGATAAAGGGGATATCAACACCGATCCCACAGAAATACAAACTACCATCAGAGAATACTACAAACACCTCTACGCAAATAAACTAGAAAATCTAGAAGAAATGGATAAATTCCTGGACACATACACTCTCCCAAGACTAAACCAGGAAGAAACTGAATCTCTGAATAGACCAATAACAGGAGCTGAAATTGTGGCAATAATCAACAGTTTACCAACCAAAAAGCATCCAGGACCAGATGGATTCACAGCCGAATTCTAACAGAGGTACAAGGAGGAACTGGTACCATTCCTTCTGAAACTATTCCAATCAATAGAAAAAGAGGGAAACCTCCCTAACTCATTTTATGAGGCCAGCATCATTCTGATACCAAAGCCGGGCAGAGACACAACAAAAAAAGAGAATTTTAGACCAATATCCTTGATGAACATTGATGCAAAAATCCTCAATAAAGTACTGGCAAAACGAATCCAGCAGCACATCAAAAAGCTTATCCACCATGATCAAGTGGGTTTCATCCCTGGGATGCAAGGCTGGTTCAATATACGCAAATCAATAAATGTAATCCAGCATATAAACAGAACCAAAGACAAAACCACATGATTATCTCAATAGATGCAGAAAAAGCCTTTGACAAAATTCAACAACCCTTCACGCTAAAAACTCTCAATAAATTAGGTATTGATGGGACATATTTCAAAATAATAAGAGCTATCTATGACAAACCCAGAGCCAATATCATACTGAATGGGCAAAAACTGGAAGCATTCCCTTTGAAAACTGGCACAAGACAGGGATGCCCTCTCTCACCACTCCTATTCAACATAGTGTTGGAAGTTCTGGCCAGGGCAATTAGGCAGGAGAAGGAAATAAAGGGCATTCAATTAGGAAAAGAGGAAGTCAAATTGTCCCTGTTTGCAGATGACATGATTGTATATCTAGAAAACCCCATTGTCTCAGCCCAAAATCTCCTTAAGCTGATAAGCAACTTCAGCAAAGTCTCAGGATACAAAATCAATGTACAAAAATCACAAGCATTCTTATACACCAACAACAGACAAACAGAGAGCCAAATCATGAGTGAACTCCCATTCGCAATTGCTTCAAAGAGAATAAAATACCTAGGTATCCAACTTACAAGGGATGTGAAGGACCTCTTCAAGGAGAACTACAAACCACTGCTCAAGGAAATAAAAGAGGATACAAACAAATGGAAGAACATTCCACGCTCGTGGGTAGGAAGAATCAATATCGTGAAAATGGCCATACTGCCCAAGGTAATTTACAGATTCAATGCCATCCTCATAAAGCTACCAATGACTTTCTTCACAGAATTGGAAAAAACTACTTTAAAGTTCATATGGGACCAAAAAAGAGCCCACATCACCAAGGCAATCCTAAGCCAAAAGAACAAAGCTGGAGGCATCATGCTACCTGACTTCAAACTATACTACAAGGCTACAGTAACCAAAACAGCATGGTACTGGTACCAAAACAGAGATATAGATCAATGGAACAAAACAGAGCCCTCAGAAATAACGCCACATATCTACAACTATCTCATCTTTGACAAACCTGACAAAAACAAGCAATGGGGAAAGGATTCCCTATTTAATAAATGGTGCTGGGAAAACTGGCTAGCCATATGTAGAAAGCTGAAACTGGATCCCTTCCTTACACCTTATACAAAAATCAATTCAAGATGGATTAAAGACTTAAACGTTAGACCTAAAACCATAAAAACCCTAGAAGAAATCCTAGGCATTACCATTCAGGACATAGGCATGGGCAAGGACTTCATGTCCAAAACACCAAAAGCAATGGCAACAAAAGACAAAATTGACAAATGGGATCTAATTAAACTAAAGAGCTTCTGCACAGCAAAAGAAACTACCGTCAGAGTGAACAGGCAACCTACAAAATGGGAGAAAATTTTCGCAACCTACTCATCTGACAAAGGGCTAATATCCAGAATCTACAATGAACTCAAACAAATTTACAAGAAAAAAACAAACAACCCCATCAAAAAGTGGGCGAAGGACATGAACAGACACTTCTCAAAAGAAGACATTTATGCAGCCAAAAAACACATGAAAAAATGCTCATCATCACTGGCCATCAGAGAAATGCAAATCAAAACCACAATGAGATACCATCTCACACCAGTTAGAATGGCAATCATTAAAAAGTCAGGAAACAACAGGTGCTGGAGAGGATGTGGAGAAATAGGAACACTTTTACACTGTTGGTGGGACTGTAAACTAGTTCAACCATGGTGGAAGTCAGTGTGGCGATTCCTCAGGGATCTAGAACTAGAAATACCATTTGACCCAGCCATCCCATTACTGGGTATATACCCAAAGGACTATAAATCATGCTGCTATAAAGACACATGCACACGTATGTTTATTGCGGCATTATTCACAATAGCAAAGACTTGGAACCAATGCAAATGTCCAACAATGATAGACTGGATTAAGAAAATGTGGCACATATACACCATGGAATACTATGCAGCCATAAAAAATGATGAGTTCATGTCCTCTGTAGGGACATGGATGAAATTGGAAATCATCATTCTCAGTAAACTATCGCAAGAACAAAAAACCAAACACCGCATATTCTCACTCATAGGTGGGAATTGAACAATGAGATCACATGGACACAGGAAGGGGAATATCACACTCTGGGGACTGTGGTGGGGTTGGGGGAGGGAGGAGGGAAAGCATTGGGAGATATACCTAATGCTAGATGACGAGTTAGTGGGTGCAGCGCACCAGTATGGCACATGTATACATATGTAACTAACCTGCACAATGTGCACATGTACCCTAAAACTTAAAGTATAATAAAAAAATAAAAAAGTAAAAAAAAGGCTATTTTGATAATTCCCCATTTTAAAAGTAGCCCATAAGCCTATGTTTTGGAATTTATTTTGTATTTGTTTTTTTAAGAAAATAGAATTTAATATTGCCCAGTCAGCTTATGATTATCAAATGAAGCTTGATTGTATGTTTTAGAGTCTTAATAGACATAATGATTAATTATTCTTCAGGAAAACCCAAAGGAAATATACATGTTTACCTTTATTTATTTCTGAACCCCTGTTAACATTGCACAAATAATATGAAGTAAAATATTATCATAAAATAAATTTCAAAGTTAAGGGAAATACAATGCCATCAGAGGAGGGAAGCCTGTGTAATTAGAAACTTGGAAAGTAAAATAACAAGTGGCAATTGATTTAGTTGATTAAAGGAGCTAAATTCAAAGCCAGCAATTGGGGAACTGAGACATGCTGATTCATGCAGTATTGTAAGGGGGAGTTTCAAGTATTAGAGACCAAAGTGTCTCTGAAGTCTGTAACAATATCAAAATGATTGATTGTAAATCTTTTAAGGAGAAGTCAAAACAACTTATCCTCCCTCACCTAACAGCAAAGATAGACAACTAATTTCTTCCCAGCCCCTGAGAAGATGGTGTCTGTCTGGGCTCTGAGATGGGAAACCACCTGAAGCTAGAAATGAGCTGCCTCAGTTGAAATGGAATCAAGTCTACAAATATCATAAGAAAATCTTCAACTCTCTTTCCATTTCCCTGACTTCTGAATTCTGGGAAAGACATGGGACTCAAACTAGAAATTATTATTGTTTTGTTTGAAAACTAACAGTCACAAAAGAAAATTCCTACATATATTGGCATTTGTGGATATCTCAAAATATGGCCACATCCATTCCTGGCAATAAGAAATGTAACTCATTAGTTGGTAAGCCCAGTTTATTGTGAACACAGTCATAATAAGTCATTATAGTCAGCATACTAGTGACTCACTCCTAAATATAAGTAGATATCCAAAGTTCACTAGATATCTATTTAATATTAGTAGTTATTAGATATTATAATTATCTATTTATTATTTATTATTATTATCTAATATTATTATTATTTCAGTTATTTTTCTAACATGACAGATAAAAAATAGTAAATAATAAAATAAAAACATAAAGAATTAATTTCTTGTTAGAAGAGACAACGTAGGGAGCAATAATTTATCTCAAAGAAATAAGGGATATACTACTTTTATGAAAAATGAGCAAGAAGCTATAAAGTGCTTCATAAATTAGCTGTCAGAAGCTGATATAAAACCAACCAAAAAGGTAACCATAAAAGTTTTATATTTTACATATAGAGTTATAGAATGCAGAGAGAATCATATGACAGAAAAAAAGATGAATTGAAGAGGAAGACAGTGGTTCAAACAAAACAAACCAAAACAAAACAGAGACAAATGTAGAAATATAGACAGCTCTTTCAAATTAGTAGGTAAGAAGTAGACTTCAGCAGTAATGCTGACAACTCTGGAATAGATATGACTTATTAAAAAATATCAAGCATATATATCATATATATGTATATAAATATAAACTTTGAAAATAGTATTTGAACTTGATCCTTAAAACAAATAAACTAATAAATTAGAACAAGATGTTTTTCCTTTACAGCAGACTGAAAAAGGGTTCAACAAGAAACAAACAAACAACAAACATAGTGTCACACGTTTAGGTTGTATTATGGCAATGCATTTTGAATCCAAGTTTTCATATGCAACAGTTTTAGAATATGGCCAGAAAATACTTTGACAATTTTACCATTGAAATGTGATGTTTTTACCAACTCCTCTTGAATCTGATATCTTTAACTGTTAGATATGAAATACAGAAGTGATGCTGGCTAGTTTGTAGGTCTAGGCTTTTATAAACTGGCAGCTTCTACTTCCCATGTCTGAAATACTTTTGTAAGACAGCCTCTATAGTTTAGTAAGCACACCCACTTGGAGAGGACCTGTGCAGGTATTCAGTCCAAGAAACCTAGCCAACATGTGAGCAACTTGCTTGCATTAATCACCTGATATGTAAGAAAGGAAACATTCTAGATCACTCCAGCTCCTGCCACTCCTTGACAGTAATCATCAGAAGAAAAGAAAGAGGGAAAAACCATCTAGCTTAGTGCTCTAAATGCCTAGAAACATGACAGATAATACTAAAAATCATTATTGTTGTTTAATCTACTCAGCGTTGAGGAAATTTATTATTAAGCAACAGATTTTGTTTTTAGAGTGAGATGCTCTAATAACAAAAACCTAAATGGTGCAGCATTGGCACTGGAATTGGACTGAGACCAGAAGCTGAAAGATGAGTGTCCTTGATGCCTATAGATGCAGGTAAGCTGCAGGTGAGGGCTCAAAGAAAGTGAAAAAAACGTTATTGAAACAGGAAGGGAAATAATACCTTGTTAAGTGATGGTAGTAATGTAGATGGTAGTAGATAGACCTAATAAACTTGTTAATCTAAGGAGAGTTCCATGCATACTAAAAACAAAACCGAAAAACCTAATCATGTGTTTTCTCTTTGCCTATGAATAATCAAGGAAACATAGAGGAGAGAGATGAGTAATATTTAAAAAATGCTATATATGAGGGAGATTTTATGTTTCTGGTATGACTAAACACACTCCTACCAGATCTAACCTTTCCAGAAATAACAGTGGAAAATATTGGAGAAAAACAACAAAGAAAGAACAACAAAAAAACCAATTATCTGAAGGCACTAGAGAGTGAAAAAAGCAGGTTTATACTGGATGGGACTGGATAGTTGAAAACACAAACTGGTTCAGCTTGTGGCGATGACCACAAACATTCCAATATTCTTGTGCGAGCGCAGTGAACATGTATTGGAGTCCATATGAATGCAGATTGGCTTCGGCAATCTTCCAGAATAATAACTGAAGACAAAGCATTATCTAACTATTGATCTCTCTTAGCTTGTTACACAGATAGAATTGTTAATTCCATATCAGTCATTATTTGTGTTATGAGGGTAATATTTTATTAAGACCCTTATAATCTACAATTTCCAGTATTTAACAGCTTTCTTATAATCCAAACTAGACCATTAAGTGTGCATTCTGTAGGTGTAAGCGTGCATGCATATATTTAATCATATATTCTTTGTTAATTCCAAAATTTCTTGATGCTTCCAGGTACCCTGAATTGTTTTGTATTAACCACCCGAGTAGACTTAGGAATTCTCAAGTTTTCTACCTGGTTTGTCCAATTAAAACAAAACCAAAGGCTTCTGGTTTCAGCTCAGAAAGCTAAAGCTTCAAAGTCATTACTCTTATTCTTATGACAAGAAACAGCTTATCAGACTAAAAATCAATTACTTTTATTGAACTAATAGAAGAACTAAAATGACAGGGCAAATCTCTGCACTGAGCAAAACACATATCCAATAAATGACTGATATGCAAAATATACAAAGAACTCTAAAATTCAATGATATAACAAACAGCTCAATTAAACAATAGGCAAAAGATCTGAATAGATACCTTATCAAAAATAATGTAGACGGCAAAATACTTATGAAAAGATACTAAAATCATATGTCATTAGGGAGTTACAAATTAAAATGAGATTGTGCTACAGACTTGTTAGAATGGTTAAAAATTCAAAACCCTGATAACACCAAACAGAGAAGGAATAGCTACACTTATACCATATAAAATAGATTTTAGGTCAAAAACTGTAAAAAGCACCCAAATACATAAAGCAAATATTTAATAAACTATAGAAATGGTAAATATACAATGTAAATTAAACAAGATGAAACTAAGAAGAAAATTTAAAAATGTTTGAAGCAAATGAAAATGAAAACATAATACACAAAAATCTATGGGATATAGCAAAAGCAGTACTAAGAAGAAAGTTTATAGCAATAAGTGCCTACATTAAAAGGTAAAACTATTTTAAATATACAGCCTCAATAAAATAGAAAAGCAAGAACAAACCAAGCCCAAAATTTGTAAAAGGACAATATAAGGACCAAGAAGAAATAAATAAAATTGAGGCTAAAAATTTTTTTTAAAAAGATCATCAAAACAAAAAGTTTTTTTAAAGATAAAATCAACAAACCTTTCACTAGACTAAGAAAAAAGAAGACCCCCAAAATAAAATCAGACAGAATAGAAATTACAACTGATACCATGGAAATTGAAAGGATTTTTGGAGACTACTATGGGCTACTACATACCAGCAAATTGGAAAACCTAGACAAAATCGATAAGCTCCTGGACACATAAAACCAACTAATATTGGACCATAAAGAAATAGAAAACCCAAACAGACCAATAATAATCAATGAGATTGAATCAGTAATAAAAAGTTTCTCAGTTGGGCATGGTGGCTCACGCCTGTAATCCCAGCACTTTGTGAGGTCGAGGAGGGTGGATCAGAAGGTCAGGAGTTCGAGATCAGCCTGACCAATATGGTGAAACTCAGTCTCTACTGAAAATACAAAAATTAGCCTTGTGTGGTGGCTCGTGCCTGTATTCCCAGCTACTCCGGAGTCTGAGGCAGGAGAATTGCTTGAACCCGGGAGGCGGAGGTTGCATTGAGCCGAGGTCACACCGCTGCACTCTTGCCTGGCCGACAGAGCAAGACACCATCTCCAAAAAAAAAAAAAAATGTTCTGAACAAAGAAAATTCCAAGGGTGGATGGACCCACTGAATCATCCTAAACTTTTAAAGAATAACTACAGTAATTTTCTCAAATAACACCAAAAAATTACAGAAGAGAGAATTCTACAAACTCATTCTATGAGGCCAGGATTACATTGACACCAAAGCCAAACAAGAACACAACAACAACAAAACTACAGGTTAATATCCATGATGAACATACATGCAAACATTCTCAACAAAATACTGGCAAATTGAACCCAACAGCACATGGAAAATATAATGCACCATGATCAAGTGGAATTCATCCCAGGGATGCAAGGATGGATAAATATACACAACTCAATAAATGTCATACATCACATCAACAGAATAAAGGACAAAAAACATAGGATTATTTCAATAGATGCAGAAAAGCTGCATTTGATAAAATGCAACATTTATTCACAGCAAAAGACAGTCAACAAATTAGGTATAGAACAAATGTATCTCAAAATAATAAAAGCCGTGTAGAGCAAACCCACAGAGAACATCATGGCAAATGAGGAAAAGTCGAAAGGTTTTCCTCAAAGATCTGGAAGAAGATAAGGATGCCTATTTGCACCATTCATTCAACAGAGCCCTGGAATTTCTAGCTAGAGCAGTCAGACAAGTAAAATAAATAAAAGACACCCGAATTGAAAAAGAGAAAGAATATTTTTTGGTTGAAGATGATATGATCTTATATTTAGAAAAACCTAAAGATCACCAAAACACTGTTAGAAGTGATAAACAAATTCAGTAAACTTGCAAGATATGGGAACAATATAAAAAAATCAGTAGCATTTAAATATACAAATAGTGAACAACCTAAAACAGAAATCAAGAAATAAGTCCCACCAACAACAGTTACAAAAAATAAAAATAAACTTGTAAATAAATTTAACCTGAGAAGTGAAAGATATCTGCAATAAAAACCACAAAACTCTGATGAAAAACTTAATACTGTTCACAGATTGGAAAAATAATATTGTTAAAATGACCATAGCTTTCAAAGCAATCTATATGTTCAATGCAATCCCCATCAAAATGTCAATGGCATTCTTCCCAGAAATAGAAAAAAAATCCTAAAATTTGTATGGAACCACAAAAAGCCCCCAAAGCAATACCCAACATTGAGTATATACCCAAGGAAAAGAAAATTCACATGTCAAAGAGATATCTGCACTCCCATTTATTGCAGCACTATTCTCAATAGCAACAGTATGGAATCAACCTAAGATCCACTGATAGATGAAGAAAATGTGGTGTATATACATAAAATGAAATAGAATTCAGCCACAGAACAATATCCTGTTATTTGTGGCAACATGGATGAGCACGAAGGATATTATGTTAAGTGAAATAAGCCGTGCTGGAAGACAAATACTCCACGTTCACACTTATATGTAGGAGCTAAAAAAGTTGATCTCATAGAAGTAGAGAGTAGAATGGTGGTTACCAGAGGCTGGAAAGAGTATAGCGGAGAGGGAAATATAAGAAAATTAGTTAATGGGTTCATCCTAAATGTATTCAGTTAGGATGAATAATACATTTTAGTGTTGTATAGCATAGTAGGATGAATATAATGAACAATAATTTATTGCATATTTCAAATTAGCAAAAATAGGAGATTTTGAATATCCCTGACACAAAGAAATAATAAATAGTTGAGGTGATGGGCTATGTGAATTACTCTAATTTGATCATTACACATTGTGTACATGTATCACAATATCACATGTACCACATAAAAATATACTGTTATTAGGTATCAGTTAAACATGTTAAAAAATGTAATGTGATATCCTGGATAGGAACCTGTGACAAAAAAAAAATTATTTAAAAACTGAATAAATTTAAATGAAGAATTAATTTAGTCAGTAAGTTACCAATATGGGTTCATTAATTATAACAAATATAATAATGTGGGGGAGAGTAAATATGAAAATTCTTTCTACTGTTTCCTTAATTGTAAGTCTAAAACTGAATTTATTCCCACCCCGGTACTTGATAATTGTGTATTATGTAGCACTACATTTAGTAACCTTTTAATTGTTTCTGAGCAGGTTAAATTGAAATGCAAATAATGAGACAGAACTATTTTGATTATAAATAAAGATAATATATAGACATGCATTATATATTTAAATTGGTTAAAATAATTTGTAGTGTTTTTAAAGTATTTAAAATTATTTGTCCATTTCCTTTACCTCTTTTGTTTTTAGCAATGATATCATACCTGAATTTTGTATTCAATTTTGGACTGATGACTATACAAGAGAATTAGCAAATTTGTGTTTGTCATTTTTGGAGTGGATTGATGAGTCATCAAAGAACTATCATTTGAAGAAAGATGATGAAATTGATGATGCTGACATCATAGCTGTAAGTGAAAAAGGAAAATCACCAAACTCAGTGCATGATCTCTTAATTTCCTACACCACTTCAGCATTTTACAGAATTTTATAGTGAACAAAGGCAAATTAAAAGAAAAACTGGGAAAGAGAGAAGGAAACTAGCAAATGAATCTACTGTTGACTTAAAAGTACACTCCTCTATATTTGAAAATAATATTAAGACAAAGAATAAGCTATAGGAAAAATAACTTGAAAGCATGCAAAATTTATGTAGAATGGCATGATTTAAAAGGCATTCTGAAATTCATACTTCTGTAGAAGATGCAGAAAGGGTGAGATGCCTTTGGACAAATAAGTGATAAAGAGAAAGGGAAGAAAAGGAAAAAACTGGATTATTGCAAAAGAAAAAGAACTACAAATTAGAAGATTCTCAACCTATTTTCTCACCACTAAAACAAACAAACAAGGACAAAAATAAACAAACAACTCTAAAACACCTGAGCTTTGTTTTACTGTCAGAAGAATACGCCATTGTTACAGGATCTTTGGAGTGTCACTTTTCTGGCTGGAAACCTCTGTGGCCAGTGGCACCTTTGCCCAAATTCTTATGCTGTGTCCAGGACGAATGAGGTACGCAGACAAGTGGAAGGTGAACAAGATGAAGAGGAGCTTTATTGAGTGTTAAAACAGCTCAGAGGAGACCCACACTGAGTACCTCCTCTCTGTAGGCAAGTTGTCCAGTTAAGTGTTCAGCTCTCAGCAGAAATGAGGCCCCGGAAGAGGATGGCTCCTTCTGCTGGCAGGTCATTCCATTGTCTCTGCAGCTCTCAGCAGAGAGGGTAGCTCTTCTCTGCAGCCAGTCATCTGGTCATCTCCAGTGATCAGCAGAGAAGGTAGCTCCTCTCTGCAACCGGTCATCCCCTCTCTCCATCCTCTGACTGCTCTGGCTGAGCCTGGGGCTTTTACGGACCTCAAAGGGGAGCAAGTGTTTGCCAATTGGCCCATGGGCAGCCATGGATGGGCCCAGAAAAGGCACCACAAGTCCCCACTTCATTCGTGGGACCAGAAGCCCAGCCCCCAGCCTTCAGGCCCTTCCTGGCCTTAAGGTGGGGCCTTACTGGGGACCTGCCCGCTTCTGTCCAGGAGCCTGTCTGCCTCCTGCTGCCGTTCATAGCACCTGGGCTTGGCCAGACTTCGAGATCTAAGTGAGTGCCAAAAGCAGGGAGAAGCCAGGCACTGGAAGCAGGCACTACTGAGCCTGAAAGGGTCAGGGGCCTTCCCAGTCCCCCAAGAGTGCAGGGATGCCTCAGCCTGCAGAGGTGGTTTGGGCAGCTGCAGCTGTGCTCAGGAAGGCAGGTCTCCTGCCTGCTTAGTGGAACAGGGGCCTAGGTGTGCAGCTGTGATTGGGTGGCTCCATGGAGCTCGTAGCCATGGCCATGCCTTCTTTTTGCAGCTGGCATGATGGCAGTAGCATGCCATCTGGAGTGACTGCTGCCGTCACCATAAACGAGAAACCTTTAAAACCCACAAGTAATATAAAAATGAACACAAAATTTAACAACTCCATAGAGGTCTAGTGGGGAAAGATTGTGGAAATCAAATAGCACACATAGCCATGGAGGAAAATCCATTTCCTTCAAAATAAACTATGAAAGCAGAACACGTCTGTAACCAAAGATGACTCATTACCTCACATAAGCATTTGAGATACGACTAACCACTATTATTCCAAAATACAAAATCTAATAACACAATAGACAAAAAATGAAAACAGAGAAATAAAAGTGAATTGATTAAACATGAGAGAAATAAAACAAAATATTTAAAAATATATCAAAATGAAGAATAAATTTCCAGAAGCCAAAGGGAGAATAGGCTCAAATAAAAAATTGATAAAGAACACTGAGAAAAGACAAGAGAACACCCAAGAAAATAAAAATCATGTAAAAATGCATATAGAAGGGATCAGAGAGAAAATAATAGAAATAGAGGACAGTCAAAAATGAATAATATTCATCATTTTGAATCCCTAAACAAAACAAAACTGTAACATAGAAAATAGAAAAGTACTGAAATTTACAGATTGAAAGGTGTTGGTAGATACCTGAGAAGATTAACCTAGAATAATGAACTCTGAATTTAAAGGCAAAGATAAAATCTTCTAAGCCTCCAGGCAAAAACATCAAATAATGTATAATTTAAAAACATTTCAATAATTATTCTATCTTTGTTGTTCTTGTTTTAATGCGTTTTTAACTCATTTTTTAAGTCAAACCAGTCATTTGCTATACGTGTTAATATTTTTCAAAATACAAGATTTTGATTCATTAATTAGATCTTTACCATTTGCCTCAATAATTTCTGCTTCTATCTTTATTATATTCTTTTGTGTGTGTGTGTCTCTGTGTGTGTTGGGGGGGCTGTTTTGTTACTCTTTTTAATCATTTATTGAGATGAAAATGAATTTCATTTATCTTCCTCTTACACAGTAACATTTTTGTATTTTATTTTCTGATTGCTGCTTTTAATGTATAGATTTTTATTTTTTATGGTTGCGATTTTTAAAAAATTTGGAATTTTAGTTTCTATTTCCCATTTCACGCAAGAGTTATTTAGCTGAAATTTTTATAATTTCCAGGAGAAAGGCATTATTGGGCATAAAATTGTGAGTTAGCTCCACGTTTGATTCATATACTCACTACAGATAATTGCAACTACAACTGTGTCTTTTCAGCTTTAATCAACCTATTATATAGGAACACTATTGGTGTGGTGGTAAGACAGGGTGAGGGGCATTATATAATTAGTCCTCCAGGTAAATCTCAGAGCTCTAATAGTTCTATGTCTCAAGGCCATGACTTTCACCATTGATTTTCCCATGGCATAACTTCTTTTTTTTTTTTTTTTTTTTTTTTTGAGACGGAGTCTCGCCGTCGCCATGGCATAACTTCTTTGTCCATTGGTCCCACTCCCTTCTTTGGCTGTGGTGTTCCCAATCTATTTCCTTGAAGCCCTACTCCTTATCAACTGTTTTTTTTAGATCCTCCATTTAGTGAGGCAGAAAAGCTTGAAAGGGCTGGAGTGGAAAGACGGCCCCTCTTCAGCTAGGATAAGGCTCTATTAAAGTCTTTTACCCTGGATATTTGATATTTGGTTATTTGGTAGTGATCTACATTTAGCTTTCAACAATTTATCAAAATTGGCATATAAGTAATTTTACCAGTTTATGACTCCAATCTGCTCCCTGTAGCAGATCTTGGCTGAACAAGCTTGCCTTTGCAGAGCTTGAGGTTGTGATTTGCCTGTAATCTCAACTAGTTTATAGGTCCAAGAAAAGTCATTGATTTTCAGTTTGTCCAGGTGTTTTCATTGTTGAAAGGATAGAAATAATGCCTTCTAAGCTATTTACACGTCAGAGTTGAGCTCACTCCTCCCCTCACTCAGATGCTCCAGGATCTCTGTCCTTTTTTATCTTTCGAGTTTTCCAAACATATCTTACCTTATTCCTCTGAACTTGTTCCCTCTGCTATATCAGAGATTTCAAAAATACATTATTTTTCTATGTTTAATACTTTTAGTTAAGGTTAGACTTTATAATTATTATTTTTTTTCTTTTTGAGACAGAGCCCTGCTCTGTTGCCCAGGCTGGAGTGCAGTGGTGCGATCTTGGCTTACTGCAACCTCTGCTTCCCAGGTTCAAGCAATTCTCCTGCTTCAGCTTCCCGAGTAGCTGGGATTACAGGCATGCGCCACCATGTCCAGCTAATTTTTGTATTATTAATAGAGACAGAGTTTCGCCATTTTGGCCAGGCTGGTCTCAAACTCCTGATCTCAGGTGATCTGCCCGCCTCAGCCTCCCAAAGTGCTAGGATTACAGGCAGGAGCCACCATGGCTGGCTGACGTTTTAATTTTTTTTTTTTTTTTGAAATGGTCTTGCTCTGTCACGAAGGCTAGATTGCAATGGCACAATCATAGCTCATCTCAGCCTGCCAAGTAGCTAGGGCTACAGTTGTACATCTCCATGACAGGCTAATTTTGTTTTTCTTTCTAATTTTTTCTTTTGTAGAGATGAGGGTCTTGCTATGTTAACCAGGCTAATTTCGAACTCCTGGCCTCAAGTGTTCCTCCTGCCTTGGCCTCCCAAAGTGTTGGAATTAAAGGCATAAACCACTATACCTAGTGGTTTAGAGTATATTTTGAGTTTGGGAAATAAAAATATAAATATATTTACTGTTAAAGTTTTATTATGTATTCTTTGCTGAGAAGCCAACCATTACAACTGTAATAAACTACTACAGCCCACAAAATCTGAAGTAAGCAGCAAGAAATACTGAAGAACACCTTAAAAATTTCAATAACTATGTTGAAGATTTCAGGCAACAAATTTTGATATGTGCACACAATTTGGACAAAATCACACTGCAAAGCTTGCAGTATTAAGACAGCTCCAGGCCATTTGTAGACAAACCTTAATTTCTCTTTTCTGTGTTACTCTATTCACTGTTTCATTACTTAGAAACTATATCTGAAGAGTTCTAGCTCATTGGGCAAATGTGTAAATGTGTGTGTGTCTGTGTGATGCTTTTTTATTTAAAATAATTATGCTAGAAAAAAGTATTATTTTATGACTAGCTTTATAAAACATACTAACACTGAATAAGTTTTGCTAATTTGAGGAACATTTAATTATTATTTTATATGGTGCAGTTTCAAATGAGATGCAGTAGCTCATTGAGAGTGCTACTATGGATAAAATTTATAAATTGACAGGGAAATTTTAACAAGTGTACAGATGTCAGCACTTTCTTTTTAACTGTTAAGTCTTTGTATGCCATATACTTTCTGTCTTATATTCCAATGTAATAAAAAGGATTTTATTAAGATATTCACTAGAGTGAAGTAAAATTTAAATTATTTGACATGGACCATCTGAATAATTGCCTTAGTGTTTTGGTCCATCTTGATACTGGAAAAACTAGCCAGCCTAATTGTTATTTGTTAATAAACTTTCTTAAAAAATTCTTGATTTTTTCTCAATATGGCATAAATAAAATAAATGCTTGTTGAATTGTCAAATGTCAGGATTTAGTTCCTGAGAAACTTAGGGAAAATGTAGGTTAAAATGTCATAATGTCAACTTTGCATGTTCTGATAAGTTCCTTCTTCATTCTTTGTTGATGGGTCACAAATCAGATTTGAGGCTAAAACTGTTGTTTCTACTGTGGTTATTCATTTAAAAATAGATCCATGTATATTGCACTGAGTCCATTTATCTTTGTCTCACTCCAAAAATGGGTAAGATACATGAAGAAACAGTTTAAACTGACCTCAAACATAATAGAGTTCTGATCATTGTTCATAATAAGAGAAATGCAAGTTAAAACCACTTCAGATAAAATTTCTTAACCATCAGAGAAAAATCCAAAAGTTAAACAAAATACTCCAGGGTCATTTTTGGAAGTTGATATGGTACTAATTAATTATTTTGATAACATTTAAATCAAAGGAAATAATGATATATCTTGCTTTTCATTTTTCCCCTTATTTTTAACCAGCTTTATTGAGGTGAAGTTGAAACTAATCTGCACACATGTAATATGTAGAATGAGTTAACTTCACCATCGAGACAATGAAGATATTCACAGCCTTCAACAGATTTGGATGCCCCTTGGTAATCCCTTCTATCTGTCCATGTTCTCCAACCTCCCCAAATTCCAGATAAACAATTATCTACTTTCTATGACTATGGATTAGTTTGCTTTGATGTTTGTATCAAAATAGAAACAAAGGTATTGATCACTGGTTACGTTCACTGTTTTTTGTTTGTTTGTTTTGTTTTGTTTTGTTTTTGAGACAGAGTATCACTGTCACCTAGGCTGGAGTGCAGTGGCAAGATCATATCTCACTGCAACCTGGAACTCCTAGACTCAAGTGGTCCTCCTGCCTCAGCCTCTGGAGTTACCAGGACTACAGGAATGTGCCACCATGTCCAGCTAATTTATTATTATTTGTTTAACGATGGAGTCTCACTATAGTGCCCAAGCTCTTCTAATACTCCTGGGAGCAAATAATCCTCTTGTCCTGGCATTCCAAAACTCTAGGACCACAGGCATAAACCACCACACATGGCCGTTTGTTTTTAAAGATGAAAGTAATTAGAGTAGCGGTTTTTAAAGTCTGCTTCCTGTACCAACAGCATAAGCACCACTTGGGAACTTGCTGTCAATACAGATTCTTGAGACTCACACCAAAGTTACTGAATTAGAAATCCTGCTATCGTCTGGGCTGATCTAGATTAGAAATATCTATCAATACCAATTCCATTCAGATTATTTTAAAAGTGGTAGGTATTGCATATTTAATCTTGTTTTTTCTTATTTGAATTACATTTTAAGCTAACAATGAAAGAGAAGTTAATCATTATATAAATATTTTAACCATCAAATAAAGAATGATAGGATTAGAATTTCATCATTTTGCAACCCATGATGAAACACATGTAATAAGCAATGGTCATCAATTTAGCAAGGAAATGTTAAGACCAAAAAGCGAGATAAATAAAGATCCTGGCTCTCTTGTAAAATAGAAAACAACATGTATAAAGTATTCAACAATATCCAGAATTAGATATATTACTTACATATACTTATAAGTGCAGAATAAACTACCCCAAAACTTATTGGCTTTAAATGACCATAATCAATTATTAGGTCTCACGAATCTAAGAGTTATGTCAGACAGGGCACTGCACACACTCTTTGTTTCTGCTCCACACAGCTGAGTCTTCAGGAGGAAGATTTGAAGGACAGGGCTGAAATTATCTGAAGGCTTATTTATTCACATGTCTAGTGGCTGATATTGGTTGTCAGCTGAGGCTCTAAGTGGGCTGTCAACCAAAATATCTACGTGCTGGCATTCCCATGTGTCTTGTCCTCCGCCAAACATGATGATGGTGGTTGGGTTCCAACATCAACATTTGGGGAAAAAGAGCAAGAGAGTCAGGTCAAAATGGTATCTTTTTTGAGCTAGTCATGGACATTGCATAGCATCACATTTACTATACTGCATTATTCAGAACAGTCACAACCCTTGCCCAAATTTAATGGGAGAAACAAACTACACCTCACAGTGAGATTGCAAAACATTGTAAAATGGGTGTGCTCAATGGCATAAACATACAGGTGTGGCCAGTTTGGGAACATCTAAATTACTTAAATGACAAAACTGTAATAGGAGAAATGAGATTTTCCAATCCCTTCCACAAATAAATTTGAAGAAAAAAATAAGAGACGGAAGGGAAACTACCAAATCGAGGATAACTTAAGAGGTGTATCAATTAATTGTGATCTATAGACCATCTTGGAATTTTTATTAAAACAAGCTGCATCAAAAGTTGGAGAAAATTGGGGTAATTTGAACAAAGGCAGAATATTTGGCGATGTTAAAAAATTGTTATTTTTGTTTAGTAATAGTGTTATTTTTTTTATTTTTGAGAGTCTATAACTTAGAGTTACATACTAGATTATAAATGAATAACATAATTTGTGTTCTGCAATTTGATTGATGATAATCGGTGACCGAAAGAATGTGGGTGTATCAATGTGATTAAGTTAGATCACAATTTAATAATTATTAATTTCTGAATTGGGTTAATGGGTGCCTAAGAATACAATATACTGTTAATATTCTATATACTATACTATTAGATATTACTCATATAAATATAATATATGGTATGTACTTTTGTCTACATGTTAGAAAGATTCCATTATAAAAAGTTTAATGAGCAAGATAAAGTCTAGGAATAGTTTGAGAGAATTTTATTACCTTCCTACCTTGAAAACTTTATGAATCCTTAAATATTAACCAGAATTAAAGATCAGACAAGTGGCAATTGCTTTCAGAAGTCTGATCATCATTCAGTGTTTATGATCCTGAATAAAAAAATTTCTGAGATGAAGGTGATGTCAATATCAATCACGATATATTTGTGGTTGTAAGTTTTCTGGTTTTGTTGTAAAATGGTAATGGTATAAGAAGCCTTTTGGCTTGATTGGAGAAAATAAAATGTAAAATGTTTTACATATCAAGCCATTGATTTCTTTTTTTAAAAAAGCATGCCTAATGAGTATCTGCACTATGCTATGCATGTGGGTTTTCATTATTATAGGAGTGTAGTGTAATTTGACTGGGTGCAGTGGCTCATGCCTGTAATCCTATCACTTTGGGAGGCTGAGGCGAGCGGATCACTTCAGGTCAGGAGTTCCAGACCAACCTGGCCAACATGGTGAAACCCCATCTCTACTAATAATACAAAGATTAGCCAGGTGTGGTGGTGGGTGCCTGTACTCCCAGCTACTCAGGAGGCTGAAGCAGGAGAATCGCTTCAACCCGGGAGGCAGAGGTTTCAGTAAGTCAAGATCTTGCCAATGCACTCCAGCCTGGGTGACAGAACGAGACTATGTCTCAAAAAACAAACAACAGAGTGTACTGTAATTTATTTCTATTTCTTCTACACACACATACACAGAAAATCAGTGACTATGATGGTCCCACCATGTCCATGGTTTCAATTTATTTCCATCATTTCAGTTAACCTCCATCAACCATGGCCCAAAAATATTAAATGAAAAATTCCAGAAATAAACAATTCATAAGTTTTAAATTGTACAAAGTTCACAATAGTACGAAGAAATCTCCTGCAGTGCCACTCTGTCCTGCTGAGATGTGAATCTTTCCTTTGTACAGTGTATCTGGGCTCTATGTACTGCTACCTGCCTCTTAGTCACTTAGTGCCATCTCAGTGATCAGAGATGATGATCAAATTGAGTGTCATGATCTCACAGTACTTGTTTTCAGTGACCCTTCCTTATTTTTTAACTGTATATATATATATATATATATATATATATATATATATATATAAAGAGATGGTGTTTTTGGCATGTTGCCCAGGCTAGTCTCAAACTCCTAGGCTCAAGCAATCCTCTTGCCTCAGCCTCCAGAGTAGCTGGGATTACAGGCGCATGCCACTAGGCCCCAGATAAGTAACCCTTACTTAACAATGGTCCCAAAGCACAAGAGTAGTAATGCTGGCAATTCAGATATGCTAAAGAGAAGCTATTAAGTGCTTCTTTTGTTATAGGACCAACAGATTTCTAAGTCTGCTGCATAGTAACAGTCCAATTCCATGGAGATAGCAGGATTTGCGGCAGATTAATGATTGTAGGGGACCTTCAAATCTATCTCCCTGAGGTATTCTGGGCTGGAGTTGTTAAGAGGGTCAAAGAGAGTGAGAGGCTGGAAAATTGGGTTCGTTGATTGGTTGGGGCAAGGGGGATGAAGTCATCTAGATGTGGACACTGCATTATTTGTTGAGTCAACTCCTCATGGGATCCTTATGATCAGCGAGAGCTGAGTGCATCACTGGGGAAGCATAATAATAGTTAGGAGTATATGTCTGGCTTGATCACCGCCATGTGCAATGTACCTAGCAGCGTACCAAGCCATAGCAGTCATCCACATTTTATGATTGGAGGCATTTCTGAATATAGTGAATAAATTTCTGAATATAGTGTCATCATTGTTTAAAGCATTTGCTGACAAGTCATTCTTATTAATGTATAGCTTTTTCTGGAGGTAATTACAGTTCTCATTTTAAAAGGGATAAGAATATAACCTTCCACCTGCCCAAAAATATTATTCCAGTAGCCTTCCATAGTTGTCAAACTTCAAGTCTATAACTAATAAATTTCCTTTTTAGTTGACTTTTTTTCTCTAGATGACCTTTTATCAAATTTATTAAAAAATCCAATATGGGAATTGACATAGAGATTATAAAAAGTGTTTTTAATACTAGTTATTGTTTTGGACAATAGAAAGCAGACTCTTAAGAATGTTAATTCTGTAAACAAACATATGCATATCGAGCTCCAGAATTTTAAGAGTAGAGGGATCTAGAGATAATAAAAGTAGAGTATGAGATGCATTTCTGGGTGGAAAATCACAAATAGGGAATGAGAGGTGGGAAAATGTATAGCTGCAATCTTGGGGACATAACCGAGAGGGTAGAATAAATGCTACAGGAAAGTGTGTATGATGATGATGATGATGATGATGATGATGATGATGTTCTATACTTCATAAATTTGACTGAGGCTGAACTTGAAACAAAAATAAAGTTGATTGATGCCAGGAAGTTCTCTGAAAATTTTTGTTCATTTGTTTAATGTTATAAACCATACCAAAAATCACTAGGAAAAATGAAGTTAAGTATGAAGTATTATCATTAATCATATCTAAACATTGTCATTATTCACTGTATGTTGATTTGCTAAACTTTCTTTTACCCTTGGTTGCTTTGGGAGTTCTCTTCCTCACTTAATCCAAGATAAGATAATTGTGTAACAATGGAAAAGGAAAGCTATTCAAGATTGATGAAAGAGGATTCCATCTTGCCAGTGCCCCTTATCCATGATATGTCCTTGAAAAATGCTTTAATATATTTGAATCATGGATATGATATTATAAATAGAACACTTTATTGCATGGGATTATTTGAAATAATGCAAGTTTAATTGAAAACATGCTTTATACATTATAAAACATTATACAAACACACACACAAACACACAAACTGGTAGTATTATCATTGACCATTTTTACACTTGGTATGCTTAATTCAGATTAGATATTTGTTTATATTAATTTCCAAAATACACATCACATTATAATCTTCTACTCCTTTCAATTATATAGCAATATTTTTGTCATTCTCAAATTCAAAAGGCAAAATTTTCTCCAATTTGTTTGAAACTATTTGTTCAAGCCCACTTACAGAATAAGTAACCCATTTCCACTGGAATGCATGCTCACTAGGTTAGATCAAAATCAGATGCCTTGACTTCCTGACCGTTAACATACATACAACTCTGTGTTTAAAACAAAAAACAAAAAAAATGTGAACAATCATACCATTAAACTCATAAACCTAAAAATAATAAAAGCAGATTAAAAAAAAAAAAACAACGGCCAGTTGATAGAAGTTTCCCTAAATACAGAGAAAGTCTAAGAATGACTACCTTGGGGAACACCAGTACAAAGAGAAAACTCACCAGCAGGAAGCAGAAGAATCCAGGGAGCAAAAATTTCGACAGATAAAATACTTTATATACTGGACTTTATTGAGTGATTTGTCTATCTTTCCGATCTTAGCTCTATTAAATGCATGCCCTGGGCACATTTACTAGTTAAAACAAACACGAAAACAAAAATCAGACATTTCCAACTGTCTCTGCCCCTCTTTCCAGTCCCTACTGTGCTTCAGCTAATGTAAAAATGTTAGGGTATATAATTTTGCTATGAAATAGTTACTCAGTAAAATGGCATAGATTCATTTTAATGAGATCTTTAAAACAGACGGGGATATTTTAGCTGCCCTCAAACCTTTTGCTTGAACAATTCACTTTGTAATTAGTGGTGTGGTAAAAGTTTCCTTTAAAAGGGGTAGGAACTGAATACATTTTCAAACTGTCATGAGAAAACCTGTGAAACACAAGTGATCCGTGAGACAATTTTTTTTAACACTTATTTTCTTTACAGTGGGCAATTCAAAATGCCATGAGTAATTTTCCATTTTTCATCATGTTGTTTACTCCCTGGAGTTTCATGAAAATGGTAAACAATTGGATAAATGCAATTAAAGTGGCGGAGGTGGTCTTTAAAAATAATTTCCTTTTATGTCTGCCCCTCTGATTTTCTTTCATTATAAAATAGGTCTTTTCATTTTTATTGCTATGTATCTTTTTTTGTTTAATGTGAGTTTTTTTCTTCCCTATTTATATTTTCCATCATTATTTTGCTAGCCAAACCTGCACAGAGTAATATAATTCTTATAGCAAAAATCTCTTTTCTACTTAGATGTACAAGATATTCTCTGCAATATTTAACAGCAAAAATAAGAAGGTAAGATTTTAAAGTCAGTCTCCTTCATAAACTATCAAAAACGAAATCTTCCTGACAAAGGTTTAAATATTTTAACACATGCTAACGAAAGTAACCTATAGCAATTTCGTTCATATAGAAATATTTGTTGCTTAGGAACCAACATATTTACATGAATTATTTTGTGCAACTGACAATAGAAAAACTGAACTAAGATAAAAATAACTGCTTTATATATTTGTTTATTTTGTATATTGAATTTGATTCCTTGAATTTGATCTCTATGTTCCACTGGATACATTCTATAATTTGTTTCTGCTTATTATTTTTTAGGCATGTTGCTTTGAATGATTCCCTCAGTTATGTAAACCAGTTTGAAAACAAATTAAACTATTATTATCCTTTTATTTCTCTATAGCCCTGACCCTGTGAACTCAAATTTTCAGTCATATACCGAGCTCTCTAAGTGCATTTGTCTCTCAGATCTTGCTCTTGCACAAGCTCCACTTCTGGTTTGAGAACCTTAGCTTTTGCCTTAAGATTCCACTTAAGCTCACACTTTCACAAGATTCCTCTAGTTCTCTCAGCTCCATTCTTGCCAAATGTATTTGTTTGGACTTTGGGATTCTACAGATTCTGTTTTGTTTCAGAGATTTTATTCATACCTTTGGTGTCTGTTTACTCAGCTGATTATTTATTTTGCTGTGCAGGTTTTTAGTTTAATTAGGCCCCATCGATTTATATTTGTTTTTGTTGCATTAGCTTTTAGATTCGTGGTTATGAACTCTTTGCCTATGCCAATGTCTAGAAGAGCTTTTCTAGTTTTATCTTTTAGAATTTTTATGGTTTCAGGTCTTACATTTAAGTTTTTGATCAATCTTGAGTTGATTTTTTGTATTAGGTGAGAGATGAGGATCCAGTTTCATTCTTCTACCTGTGGCTTGCCAAGTATCCCAGCACCATTTGCTGAATAAGGTGTCCTTTCCCCACTTTATGTTTTAGTTTGCTTTGTCAAAGATCAGTTGGCTGTAAATATTAGTCTTTATTTTTGGGTTCCCTATTCTGTTACATTTGTCTGAAGCCTATTTTTATACCAGCACCAGCATGTTTAGGTAACTATACCCTTGTAGTATAGTTTGAAGTTGGGTAATGTGATGCCTCCAGATTTGTTCTTTTTCCTTAGTCTTGCTTTGGCTACGTGGCATTTGTTTGTTTGTTTTTGGTTCCATATGAACTTTAGAACTGCTTTTTATTATCCTGTGAAGAATGATGATGGTATTTTGATAGGAATTGCATTGAATTTGTAGATTGTTTTTGGCAGTATGGTTATTTTCACAATATTGATTCTACCTGTCCATGAGCATGGGATGTGTTTCCATTTGTTTGTGTCATCTATGATTTATTTTAGCAGTGTTTTTGTAGTTTTCCTTGTAGAGATCTTTCACCTGCTTGGTTAGGTATATTTCTACATATTTTATTTTGCAATTGTTGTAAAAGAGGTTGAGTTATTGATTTGATTCTCAGCTTAGTCGCTGTTGGTGTATAGCAGTGCTACTGATTTGTGTACACTGATTTTGTATCCTGAAACTTCACCGAATTTATCAGATCTAGGAGCTTTCTGGATGAATTTTTAGGGTTTTCTAGGTATACGATCTTATCATCTGTGAACAGTGACAGTTTGACTTCCTCTTTACCGATTTGGATGCCCTTTATTTCTTTCTCTTGTCTGATTGCTCTGGATAATACTATGTTGAATAGAAGTGGTAAAACTGAGCACCCTTATCTTATTCTGGTTCTCAGGGGGAATGCTTTAAACTTTTCTCTGTCATCTGTTCAGTATAATGTTGGCTGTGAGTTTGTTATAGATAGCTTTTTTTTTTTAAATCAAAGTGAATCTAGGTCATACCTAAGAAACAGTTAAAACAACATCTCTAAGGCCCAATAGAGATAAAGTGGTTGAGAAATTTCTTCCTTGCCATTGGGTCAACTATATGAACCAGAATGAAAGTGATTGGGACACTCTTTATATGGTTTCTACAGTCACTCTTCTGAGGCATTTTAAGAGCAATGAGGATCAGATAATCAATGTGTTGTATTATTTTCTCATCTTCACCTCTGGACTATGAGCTTCTAGAAATAATGATTTCATATTCTATCTGGATATCCCAAGAAAAGAGGTCTTAGAATATAGATGATGTTTAATAATTTTTTCTTGAAATAATTGATAAAAGAGAGAGTGAAATTAAATGACCACAAAATTGTCACAATTAAATGACCAACAAAAGAAATTCATCAAAGAATTACAATTTCTAAATATAGGCATGCATTTGAATTATATCTACTTCATTGAACATTTTTTCCCAATTAATAGAAAATCTCTAGCAGAGTTCTAAATAGTGTAATACAGTGTTAAGGATTATGTTATGCTTTAATTATGAAAAAAGAAAAGGGTTAAGTGATTCTAATAACATCCCAAATTAAATTTTTTGAAACCATATAAACACATATTTTTAACTTATTTTTCTACTTTCTTATGTCTTTAATTAGTATTTAATCACTTTAAAATTATATTTAGTTAATTAAACTACTCCTGACAGCTCCCACTAAGCAAATGTTTGCTTTTTCTCCCAAAGAAAATTTTAAGAACATTCATCTGAAATGTTTTCTTGGCCCTGTACATGGATAACTCCCAAATAAATGTCTTCTGCAATTTCCTTCAAAAAAGAAACATATAAGTTCAGTAAACTATTGTGTTACAAAGATGCTTGGAAAGCCTCTTAATGAGAGCTGTCATATTACTGGGCTAAGGATTCTCAGGCAAATAGACGAGATGAAATGAGTTAAAATTTCAGAAAAATATCCCTATGTTTTTAAAGAACCAGCAGGAAAAAGAGGAGCCTCACTATTGGATAGCCAAGTCCTCAAAAAAATAGTGTATATTCACTTCACTTTAGCTATCTAATCATAGAATTTGTCTCTTACTCTTAATGGAGTCAGTTACTTTTAATGGAGTCCGTTTTTTAGTCAAGTTTTGAAACATCTTTACTGATAAAATTAAATGAGTTATCTAAGTCATGATATCAACTGTATGCTCTGGTATTAACATTGTAATTTATGTATGCGCTTAACACTAGACCTGTTTACTTTTTAATTATTAAATTATATAAACAATACGTAATTTTTTCCATCGTAAAAAATATCCAACAACACTAAAGTACATACTGATTTTTTAAAATGTGATATCACACCATATATTCTTTGGTGGAGCATATGTTTTCATGTTTCTGTATTTTGACAATTTTTTAGTCCAATAGAAACATTTTTCTCATTGTCTTAAACCATAGCTTCATATTCCACTGTATGGAATTACCACAACGATGGGCATTTGAGCTATTTTCTTTTCTTTCTTTTTAGATTTTTTTTTTTAAAACAAAGCCTTGCCAGCAGATACATTTTATTATAACCATTACCTTCTTTTTCCCTTTCATTTATATTCATCTATAAAATGGCAAAACAGCTAGTAAACTTAATTGCTTTACCTTCCAAAAGCTTCATGTTTCTTATCTTTTAGTTTCTTCCTACCACAATATATTTGCAGAAATGTGAAGTACAGTATATCTCACCAATGAATTTTTTAAAAAGCAAGTGGATAGATATAATTTATAAAAATGCTACATGGCTGATAACTGCTTAATTCTTTCCCGGTTTTCGTATTTGTTTTTCTGTTTTTTTGTTTGTTTCTTTTGGTAAGATACTTGGTGAATTGAGATAGAGCTCACGTGAGTGGGAAATAAGAGAATATTTCAGTAAAAATATTTTTGAGAACTTCAGGACTCACAAATATGCCCAAATAACAGCTCTTGTTCATCTTTATTTTATTACTTGATATCTGACCTACCTTCTTATTGTGTATTCTTGGTACCCTTGTCGAATAGTTGATCTTTATGTGTAAGTTTGTGGCCTGGGATCTTTATTCTGTTCCATTGGTCTCTATGTTTATTTTTATGCAAATATCTTACCACTTTGATTATTATGACTTTATAATAAAGTTTGAAATCAGGAATTGTGATGCCTCCTGCCTCCAACTGTGTTCTTCTATTTCCAGATTTATTTAGCTACTTAGGGCTTTATGTGGTTCCATGTGAATTTTAAGACATTAAAAACAATTTCTGTGAAAAATGTAATTGGAATGTCATTAAGAATTGCTTTGAATCAGTACTGCACTTTGGGTAGTAGAAACATCTTGACAATATTAAGTTTTACAATCCATGGATGTGAGATATCTTTTCATTAATTTGTATATTATTCAATTTCTTTTATCAGTGTCTTATAGTTTTCAATGTAGAGATTTTTCACCTCTTTGGTGAAATTTATTCCTGAATATTTCATTGTTTTGATGCTATTTTAAATGAAATTGTAAAATATATTTTGATAAAGAAGAACAATTTATAAATGTATAGGAATATTTTATAGACAATAATATAAATGGCAGTAATCTGTTAAACATCTATTAGTAGAGTTTAAGGAACTCCCCTGAAAACTGTACTACCTTATTTAGTGATCATATTACTATCGCACTTATAAATAACACCTTTATTTCAAAATGTTTTTGTTCACATTTATATTTAACACTGCTTATTTGAGTGTAATTATTTGTCCAAAGTGCTTTTCCTAATTAGGACCACAATTTTTCACACCCAAGAGAATACAGACAATTTGAAGCTTTATCATGCACTTATGAGCCCAGAGATCAAGGTGAGCCATTTAAACTAACTGAACCCCAGTTTTATTATCTGCAGAGATGGATAACAATCCTTTTCATGCCTATCTACCTTATGATACTAACATGAAGATTTAGCAACCATAACCTATGTTAAGTCTGTAATGTAGCACTAGGCACACAGTAAATGCACAATAATTTTTTTCAATTCCTTTATATTCTAGAACTGCAAATTATTTTTTGTTCTGTTTTAAATATGCCACTACCAAGTCTATATTGAGTTCCTTCAGTGTTTGAGATATTGTTTCTGTTAGCATTGCCTATTTATAAGTTCAGATATTTTTCTACTTTCATTTTTCTGTTGCCATTTTTTAGTCAAGGTCCAGCTAATAACTCACACACTACTCCTCTGGGGTGCTACTTCCAGAGTTAATCTGCATCAGTCCTTTACACTTCTGTCAGAGATACTCAATGGCAATATTATATAAACTCCTCGCTGTAAACCCTTCTGTGACTTTCCATTGTCTTCAAGATAAAGTTTTCTTACATGACCCATAAGAACATTTAGAATATTGTTCTCCCTTGTCTCACAGCCCTTCAAATTGTCTAAACAATTTTCTTTTATTCTATCATTTATAAGCTTTGCTATTCTTTTTGCCAAAAGTAAATTTGCCTATTCTTTTCAAGGTTCAAATTAAGCAATTCCTGTTTTTTTGAGTCCTTTCTGAATTCCATACAGAAAATGAATGACTTGACTTTATGCATAATTGTATTCATTCTAAACCTTACCCAGGATATTTTGCTCTTTGGTGCCTCAACTCACATAGTTATGAATACAATGGCTTTTTTTTTTTCAAACTTCACCCACAAGTATGTCATAACAAAATTTATTGCCACCTTATGTCTCATTTAAAAATATTTTTTTAGCCCTATATCATAGTTTGCAGTTACTTGGGTTATAATAGCAATCTCATTATGTTTCTAAGTCCCAGAGGATTTTATTTTAAAACTCTAATTTCTAGCTTAAACTTCTTTCCACTTTCCCTAGTGTTCCAGTCTTATAGCATGGGTAGTTTAAGGAGAAGTAGACGGTCTCAGCTGGCTTGCACAATTTTTCTGTCTCTTTCTTTCACAGAATGCATATGACACCTGCCTTTTAGATTGGGATTCTCCCTTATTCACTGGGGAATGTATCAGCTGGGATTAATCTTCAGCAGATTCCTGAAATAAAGTTGCTGTTAGTATTTTTGCTCTGGGTCCCTTGGAGCCCAGTGTAGATGACCAGTTATCTAATATACTTTCAAATACTATGACTTAGGGCTCCAATGTGATAGCTATGGACAAGGGTCTGAATATATCTAACTAATCAACCCAAGGCTAAGTTGATCAGATGGAAGAAACAGGGAAGTTACTTGGATCCAATAATAGACCCTAAAAATGTCCCATTTGTGGTCACCAATATTGAGTAGAATTTCACTCAGCTGTGCTGGTACTGCCTGAAATCCAGAACTTCACAAACTATGGCTCTGGGAGACATGAATAATTTACTCTAACTGTATGTATATTGGGCTGAAAAAACCCAATAAAAGTAGCAAATAACTACTGGATCTCCTAATGTCAGAAAGTTCTAAATATGGAAAGTCTCTCCTTTGTTCCATTGTATTCTAAATCTTTCATCAGGTTTTCTTGCTTACTAAAAAAGAAAAATCACATTTTCCAACTATATATCTTAAAGGCTATACTCAAACAGTTCCAAGTCAAGCAGAACAGTTCACAAACTAAGACCCGTGCTTTGATGAAGTTCATATGTTTCTATTAAGCTCAATGCCTATATAAAAATAGCCATCCACCTGCGTAAAAATAACCTCTCACCTGTGGAGAAGGCCTCATTTGTTAGTCACTGGCCAACTCTGTAACAGTTAAGACAAGAGCACAACTCTAAATATAGATAGTGTTCCATAGGACTGGCCTTGTAAACTACAAATGAAAAACTTACATTATCTACTATTACTAAATAATTGCTAAAACCTAAACACACCCAATTAAAGCTCCCCTTAGAAGTTTTCTTTTTCACTTTGTTACCAAATTCATTCCTTGGTGGTTTTTCAGTCTTGAGCCCAGTACATCCTGTACTAACATTGCCCTGAATTAAACTTACTGCTTTCTGCTACAGAACTAAAGAACTTGCAGACAATTGGGAACTCACATTCTCTGCAGGTTGAATTGTAACAGGTCCCAAAGAGAAAGAAACAAGTAGATAACTGCTTTTTCCGCGGGAGCATAAAGAAACCAGAGACTGGTGAGGAACTGTTTTCAACCTAAAAGATCCAACTAAAGAAGATTGTCATTAGTATCGTTTATGGCAGATATTACAGGCATTTATCTCAAAATAAGTACTGCATAAATAGGAGTTTTTATTGTTAATTTTACCATTAGTCTTTTGTGATGTATTCCTCAGACCTGTGTTGTGTGTGTTTTTTAATACTTTTTGTCCCTGTAATCCTCTCTGGTCTTTCCAAAGCCTTCCATGCTGAGGTAAGAGGAAAAATTCTCACTTAACCAACTTCATGCAGAAAAGCAATGTGAGCCAATCTAAAGGAAAATCTAAAACTTTGCGATTTAATGCAAAAGTTCACCTTAAATACAATGAGCGACATATAATTTCTTTAAAGATAAAGATAACATAATAAACATAAACAGTACAAGCCATTACCCTTAATAAGTTGAAAATTCAGTAAAAATGATGGGCACACTAATCATTATAATAAATGAGCTAAGTATAATGCAATGTAAGATTGAAACACACATTGTGATACTTAACAGTAAAAACAAAATGGTGGTGGTTAGGGAAAGCGGCTTGGCGGAAGAAGCCTAGAACATTTAATTTCCATGTAATTCCATCTCATTTCCCACACTTCTGTGAACATTGATTTTTCTTTTCTTTTCTTTTGGTTTTTTTTTTTGAGACCGAGTTTCACTCTTGTCGCCCAGGCTGGAGTGCAATGCAATGGCGCAATCTTGCTCCCTGCAACCTCTGCCTCCCGGGATCAAGTGATTCTCCTGTCTCAGCCTTCTGAGTAGCTGGGATTACAGGCGCGTGCCCCCACACCCAGCTAATTTTTGTGTTTTTAGTAGAGACGAGGTTTCACCATGTTGGCCAGGCTGATTTTGAACTCCTGACCTCAGGTGATCCGCCTGCCTCGGCCTCGGAACGTGCTGGGATTACAGGCGTGAGCCACGGCACCGGGCCTAATTTTTCTTTATTATTTTTCTTTCAGATGTCTTTCTGTGTTAGTTACAAAAATTAAAGAGCATATGTTGGACAAAGTAAAATCTATAACTCTAAAAATAACTTATGTTCTCCAATAACAAAATTGGCATAGACATAAATAATGAATTTTGTAGTATAAAAGAGAGAAATCTATGTTGTTGAAATAACAATTTCCTGAAGGTAGCCAAAATTGCTATGAGAAATGTTTGGTGGCACTGAAATCACTGGGATTCATTTCTCATTTTGATATAGAAAGTAGGTGAATAAGAGGCCTGCTTTGGGAATGATAAGGGTTACTTTTCTTTTTGCATTTTTCATAATGTCTGAATAATTTGCATTCACCTAACAAAATATGACTCTCTATGGAAAAATAATATTTGAATGTGATTAATATTTTATTTCTCTATTTTTATGGGAAGACAGATTGTCAAAGGTATTTAGGAAGAATTTACAAAAATGTGTGCTGTGTATATTACTTCAGAACTTAAAAAATGGGAAAAACTTGCCATTATTTTTTAATTTAGGTGTAAATTCCTTAAGTATAAATTTTGATTTGAGTGAAACTACTTTTGTACCTCTCTGGAGAAATGTTTAAATCCCAAGTAAACTCTTACCAGAACGAACTGTCAGTTTGGATATTTGTAACTGATTACACAGAGAATAATATACCATTGCACTCTCCCTCTGGCCAAAGAACATTTGCAAGATTCTAGTGAGATGTAAGTACAGCAAACTACCTTACACATAAAACTGAGTAAATGTACACATTACTCTGCTTGAACAAAAACACTACGAACAGAACAAAAACAACCCAGTAATTTGTCTAAAAATAAGTGTTTCTTTTGTGTTCAATAAATGGGAATACATTTACTATCTTTCTCATTCTATATAATTACAACAGATGGAAACATTTTTCCTAAGATCGAGAAGTTGGCATTTTACTTGTTTAATTTGGCTCAAGATACAACATTTATAGAACTGCATTCCAGGGAGTGATTTTCTAAAAGATTCCCTATTGAATATAAAATGTAATTATGCTAAATGTACCACCCAGAAATGACAGCCCTAGCCCTAAAGGTTATTCCCTGGGCATACAACAAAAACATAGCCATTCTTACTACATTTTCTAGATCACTGAGCAGAAGTCTGCAAATTACTTCTTCAGGGTAATTAACTTAAAATTTGAATGTGAATAAAATTAGTTTTAACTAACATCCAAAATGGATTAAAAGTTTATATATTAAGCACGATTTTTCCTGTTGTATGTTGATTAATATCAAAGCTATTTCTACATAACTGGCAAACAAAAAGCCTGCAGTAGATGCAGGAAGAGGAGGGTGAGACAAATGGAATATATCAGTCAAGGAACTCTCACTTTTGCTCTTTTGTAATGGTTCTGAAGGGGAGTGGGCCACATGTACAACTAGTACAAATTATTAAATCAATGCTGATTTTTAGAAGAATTGCCAGTTTATGAAGAGAGACGAAGCAAGACTAGCTTTTGGAACCTTCCCCAGGTGACCAGGAAACCTGTAACAATTTAACAGCTTGCTGTACCATGTTAGGAATCAATTCTTAAGTTATTAATACAAACATTCACAAAGCTTATTCCAAGCAACTTAATATCCAGGAGAAAGGTCACCATGGGAACTAAGCCAATGTCCTACTGAGCTTGGCTAATATCTGTCGCTCTTTCTGTGGAACACAAATGGACTGCAAAAGAACAAAACAGAAAAGAGGATGAAAACAATTTCAAAAAGTGATAAATGAAAATTGCAAACTTTGGGAAAGACCTTCAGAATGAAGTTAAACACAAAAATTATGTATGAGCTTAGTGAAAGCAGTAGTCCATCTCGGATAAAAGAGTGAAAAGGATAAAAGAATGTTTTATTAAAACTGGCTTACTGTGTATTATATGATGATCTTAAATATCTTAAATAGGATGAATACAACCTAGAAAGAATACATGTGTGAAGAAAAGCAGGGATCATCAGTTGAAGGGATTGATGAGGAGAAAAATATATAAAGAGGAGAAAAAGCAGAAGCTGTTTGTCTCTGGTGGACAAAATTCATATGATACTTTTCTTTTACTGGATGATTAAAAAATTTTATTACAGTGAACATTTTCTTTCATATAGCATTTCCCCACTGTAAGATAGCTCCTACATCAACATGACCACTTGCAGCTGAGTGCAATTTGAGTAACTCTGAATAAAAGGTGATCCTACCTCTTTATACAGACAAATATCTTGCTCTGCTCCTATTAACAATAGTAAGAAAAAAAACAGGTGTTAAATATGAAAGACTAATAATACTAATAATACAAACCTATAAGAATCTCCAAAACTAAAACAAAAAAATGGACAAATAACAACTTATGGCAAAATGACATATTTTACTTCTTTTAGGAAGATAAGATGGTATGATTATTTTGAAAGACAATTTGGTATTGCCTTACAAAAGGTAAACACAGTCTCACCTTATGATTAAGCAATTGCACTCCTAGGTATTTATCTAACTGATTTGTAAAGTTATGTCCTCACAAAAGCCTGCATACTAATGTTTGTAGCAGTTTATTCATAGTCATGAAAAACTGGAAATGATGAAGACGTTCTTCAATAAATGAATGGATGCAAAACCGTGTTACTTCCATACAATTCAGGAATTTAAAAAAAGAGCTACCAACCAACACAGGGACATGTACAAATATTAAATGCACATTACTAAGTAAAAGAAGCCAGTTAAAAAATGCAATATTCTGTATGATTACATTTATATGAAATTCAGGAAATGACTCAGCTGTGTAGAGAGTAAACAGATTCCTGATTTTTACATTAAGTACTAGTTTCTTAGTCATAACACCATAAGCACAAGGAAAAAGAGAATGTGTGTATATATATATATATGTACACACACACACACATATATATACACACATATATATGACATCATTAAATTTAAAAGTTCTGTGCCTCAAAAGATATCAAGAAAATGAAAATACAGCTCCACAATATGGGAAAAATACTTGCAAATGATGTATCTAATAGGAACTTGTATGTAGAATATATAAATAACTTTTACAATCCAATAATAAAAAGACAAATGACAATGTTAAAAATAAAAACAGGAAAGGGTTCTGAATAGACGTTTCTTCATATAAGATGTACAAAGGGCTAACAAGTGTATGAAAATGTTCTTAACATCATTATCCATCAAGGAAATGAAAATTAAAACTACAGTAAAATAACCCTTCACACACATTTTAACAACTAAAATAAAAAAATGTTAAAAGGGAAAATAATAAGCGTTGGCATGAATGTAGAGAAACTGGATCCCTCATATATTGCTGGTGACAATGTAAAATGATGCAGCCACTTTCAAGAACAGTCTGTCAGCTCCTCAAAAATTTAAACTGTTACCATATTACTAAGTAGTTCAACTTTTAGAAAAATGGAATCATATGTCATGAACAAGTCTACACAAATGTACTTAGCAGCATTATTCAAAATAATCGAAATGTAGACACAAACCAAATGTTCATCAACTGAATGGATAAATAAAATGCATAAATAATATGCATACGAAGAATGCATATTAATGCATTAATGCATAACTTGGCAATAAAAAGAAATTGAAGTAATCATTCAAGCTACACTATGAATGAACCTTTAAAACATTATTTTAAATGAAAGAAACAAAACACATATTGTTCAGTTCAATTTATATAAAATGTACGAAATAGGTAAATATATGGAGACAAAGTTCATTCATGTTTCCTAAGGCTGGCATGTGTGTGTGTGTGTTGTGTGTGTTTCACAGGGAGACAGGTAGTAGGAAGTGGCTGCTAATGGTTATGTCTTTTAGGTGGGTGATGAAAATGTTCTAAAATTAGATGGTGATTGTCGTCCAACTCTACAAATACACTAAATATCACTAAATTTACACTTAAAATATTAATTACATCTCAATAGAGTTGTCAAAAAAGAATACCATGGTGATTCTAGTGTTCTAGATTAATCAAAGGAATAGCTCACTTATTCTAAATCACATTACTTAATGATGTGAAAATTCACAGGGCATTTTCCATGAAAACATATGAATAATGAATAAGCATTGGCCACAAACTACTATCTCTCAAAAAAGCCAAAAATAAAGAACCAACACTTCAGCAGTAAGAGAATAAGAAGTGGAGAGTGAAACACCAAAGGAATATTTTTAGCCTGATGAACTGACAAAGAAGAAAGATGGCTTAAAAAGATGGCTTAAAAAGATAACATCAACACAACATTGCATATTAATTGCACAATCAACTCAAGTAGAGAACATAATGTGTGTTCGATAGTGTATGAAGTATTATGAACATAATCAAAAGAGGCATGAAGGCATGACATGGAGGCCAATGTGTAAATTATTTCCCTACAAATGGGATGTCACATCTATCTCAGCAAAGTCTGTGTGGATTCGGATTTGGTCCATGTCAAATCCTCCAAGACACATTTACTTTCTCACAGAGGACAGTGAGTTAAATAGGTTTCCATCCCTGAGAACTCCAACACCCTTGTTATAGCAAAATCTCATGACAATGAAGCCAGTGATTTTGGGATGAGCAAAATTACCACTGGGTTCTGTGTCTTCTTGCTTCAGTCTTGTATATGTAATGGTCCAGATCCTTAAAGAAAGATAATCTGTGGGAAGGGGCATCTATTGCCATGTCATTCACAAGTTTTGGGAAGGACAAATTTTCTATATAATTTAATGAACCACAGAGTTCACACAGAGTTAATCTTGAGTTATAATTATGAGAAAGGTAGAAGCTAGTGGGTTTTCACCTGGGTCTTCTAATCAAACCATGAATATTTGGTGAGGATTACTAAGGAAGAATTCCATTTACTTATTAAGGTCTATGGTTGAGCATCTGACAATCCAAAAAAGAATGATTTTTTTTTTTCAGTACCAGTTTGAACCTCTGTGACAAGGTGGGGAAAATTCCTTTTCACCCACTGACATAGAAGAACCCTATTTCTTCTCAAGAGTTAAAGAAACAAGGGATCCTTTCAACAGACTCCCATTTCAGTTGGGATAATTTTTCAATACATTATCTGAAGTAGTATGTAATTGTATCATGTTTTATTTTCTTTTAGTTAATGCCATTAAGGCAGCAGTTCCCAATCTTTCTGGCACCAGGGACTGGTTTCATGGGAGATAGTTTTTCCACAGACAGGGCAGTGGGAGATGGTTTTGGAATGAAACTATCTAATGTTTGAACTCTTAAAAAATATGCACCTATTTCTGGTGGCTCATGCCTGTAATCCCAGGACTTTGGCAGGCCGAGGCGGGTGGGTCACATGAGGTCAGGAGTTCGAGACCAGCCTGGCTAACATGAAACCCCGGTCTCTACTAAAAATGCAAAAATGAGCTGGGTATGGTGGTGTGTGCCTGTAGTCCCAGCTACTCGGGAGGCTGAGGCAGGAGAATCACTGGAACCCAGGAGGCGGAGGTTGCAGTGAGCTAGATCCCGCCACTGCCCTCCAGCCTGGGTGACAGAGTGAGACTTCATCTCAGAAAGATAAGAAACAAAGAAGAAAGAACGAAAAGAAAAGAGAAAAGAAAAGAAAAGAAAAGAAAAAAGATGTTTCTCCTGCTTACTTATGAAATGAGATTCTGGAACGTTATTGTCATACTCTCTACCATGTGAAACAAACCTAGTAAACTTTACTTAAAAAGACAATGAAGGGAGGGCCAGGTGTGGTGGCTCATAACTGTTATCCCAGCAATTTAGGAGGCTGAAGCAGCAGGCTGAAGCATGTTTGAGCCCAGGAGTTCAAGGCCAGCCTGGGTAATATGGTGAGACTTTGTATCTACAAAGAACTTCTAAAAAGTTAGTGAAGCATGGTCATGTATGCCTGTAGACCCGGCTACTCAGGAAGCTCATGTGGAAAAATTACCTGAGCAGGGGAGGTAGAGGCTTCAGTTAGCAGTAATTGTGCCACTGCACTCTAGTTTGAGTGACAGAGTGAGACCCTGTCTCATAAATACATACACAAATAAATACAATAATAAATAAAAACATACAAGTGAAAGGAAACCAAAAAATCTATTGAAATCATGTCTCCATAAAGCACCAGGTTAGAGTGTACTTTGCTTTGCTTGTAAAGATTTTAATCTTTATATTAAAGTGTTAATATTAATTCAAGTTACAAAAGTGTGATTTCTATGTAGAACTATGGAATATGAGTACATTTTTTCACATCATACTCTACAATATGCAATGTTCTTTTGAAAATGAGTGGATTTAGGCATATTGGCAGGTGAGCTTGGTTTACCAAAATTAATCATAAAATGCTAAGCATATGCATTTCAGACAGCACAAAAATAGATTTTAAGACCTACTAGAATTAATTGCTGGTATTTAGGAAGATAATTCTTTGCTTGCTAGTGGTGGTGAGGAACCATCAATCCTCAATCAATTAAATCTTAGCTGTTACCTTGAAAATCTTACCTGTATGGATATCTCCCACTAGTCAAGAAAATGCTACATGTGAACAGGGCACTTAGTGTTACTAAAGTCAACCTTCCCTTTGTGTTATTCTTTACATTCCAATACTGCAATATGTAAAAAAGAGCATTCTATTTTCAATAACTATACTTAAGGGCCAATATCCTTCTCTGGGGTATCTATGGGGTTTCTTCGTATTATAGAATTTAGCTGCGAGTTTAGCACTTTGGGTTCTGGAATCTCTGTCTTATCATTAGAATATCTTCGAATGGTAAAATAACAAGGCAATTCTTTCCAGGAAATATTGAAAGATTAGCAATATTTTAAATGAGTTCATCAGAATGCCAAATGAAGAGACTTTGACATGATCCATAGCATAGAAATACTAACATGAAAATCATTAGCAAAAAAGTAGAAAATAGAAGTCCAGAGAGAAAAGAATAAAATATTACATAAAATTAAAATATTAGGTAAAGGAAAATGGTATAATCTTTTCTCCCCTAATTCTTTCTCCCCAAATCTAGCATTCCCCATATTTGTTTGTACATTCATGATGGAATCCCCACCCAGAATGTCTTCTCTTCTCTGTCTTCAGATATTAATTTTAATTTCAGGAATCATTTTTTTTCTTGGAACTCCCTGACTCTTCAAAATGAATTTATTACTTGCTGCTCTGTATCATCAAAACATATTGTTTTAAAAAGTTTAAGGGTGTCTAACATACTGTGCTTTCTGTTATATATAATTATTAAGCTACTTATAATGTATTAGTGTAAAAGATATCACCTTGCCTACTAATTTAAAAGTAAAGAGAAAGCATACTATATGTATTTAATTATATATCTCTGTATGTGTGTATATGTAATATATATTATATATCAAGTATATATTACATATCATATATTGAGTATATATTATATAATATATAATATATTTATATAATATTTATATTATAATATACAAATATATTATATTATAAAATATGTTATATATGTATATCATATAATATATTATATATTTTTATAATATTTTTATATTATAATATATAATATATTAATAATATATAATAATTATACTATATATTATATATAATATAATAATTATACATATATTATATATAATATAATAATTATACTATATATTATATATAATATAATATATAACATATTTATATATAATATATATAACATATTCATATATAACATAATATATAACATTTATATATAACATAATATATAATATATTTATACATAATATAACATATAATATATTTACATATTATATATATCTGTGCGTGTGTGTATGTGTATGTACGCACACACAGAGACATATATAATTAAATACACACATATATGTAGAGAGAGGAACCTTATATCTCAGGACATGATCGTTTGAGGTATGTTCTATGAGCTTCCATCAAATAAACCACATGTATTTTAAGACAACTAGCAATATATAGTACCAATACTTAAGGCAGACGTCCTTTAACTATAATTTCATATAAGTGACATAATATATAGCATAACTAAACCTGAAATTATAAAAAATAAGAGGTCTATAACCCAGTTTTTTAGGATGTAAAACAAAATTTATAACAAATTTTAATTGGCAATTTATTTTGAAATTTAATTTAAAATTACAAATGTACAACATGATGCTGGAAGAAAGTCTAAGTATTTAAGGAGTTGTATATTCTTAGGATCGAATAACATTTTTTTTTCTCTTTAGAATTGTGATGCTTCCATAAAGGTGACTCTTCTGCCACTTCAATATTATGCAATTTGAAAGAAATATCACAAAATAGAATTTCTTTGTGGTATTAAACGTGCTATTTATAAACTAATTGCATATATATATATAGATTATATATATAATTTCCACTTGAGTTTAATATAATGAAGAAAACACCTTGAGTTAAATGTTAAGAAGTCATTTAATTTAGAATCATTCCATCTGTAAAATTGGAATATACAGGGTTATTTTTCAACGTGCCATTCATTTTACATGAATGTTGTAAAAACTTGGAAATAAAACAATTTGTATTATTGCAAGATATGAAATAAGACAAACATGGCATTTTCACTCTCAAGGTTTCATGTCTTTCTGAAAGCAAAATTATTGCTTCATTGATTTGAAGATAACTGCTTTCCATTCTGACAAAAAAAAATTACTGAATACATTAATTAGCATGAGACAATTAGAGGAAAATGAGTTCTCATTCTACTCTCCTCCCAGAAAGAAAAATTTAAAAACAGATTTAAATGAAACTCTGTGTAAAATATATTCTATTTATTTGTTTATATAATATGTTGAAAGGATCTTCTGGTTACATTTTTTTTTTTGAACTTTGGCTTCAAAATGACTGAATTCTTTCCTGCTTCAAATGTCAGAGTTCTTTGGTTGTCATGGATGAACAGTGTCTTAATTCAAAACTAATACTTTTTTGACTGGTAACAGTCCAGTGGCTTTCTATTTTTGCAAAGGACATATCTAAAGTATTAAGAAAATTCTCACAAGTTCTCTCAAACTCTAGCTCAAATGCAGTACTCCCTATCTTGCTTGCTTAGATGACCTGGTTTATATTCTGTCAACTTGTCAGAGGTTGCTACACATACAAAAGTTCTGAGGGCTTGGTTTGGTGTTTTTACTGGCTGAAGCAGGAATAAAAAAGAATTCTACCAGAGTTGAGAGCAGCTGCAGTTGTTTCAGATGATATTTGTGTCCAAACACTCAATGAACATATAGTAATGCAAGTTAAGTATGATCATCTCCTGCTCCATCACTCATTAATAAAAATGCTTACTCACAGTATAATAGTTACTAAATAATGATCAGTTCTTGGGATCTGTTGTTATTATAAAGTTAGGAGTTATATGTGCCATATTATCCTAAATTCCAATGGTTAAGGCTAAAATCACACTTTTCAGCTATCTGGTTTTGGCTGAATATATTTCCTTCATCCCTTATGACTTAAAATTAGATCCTAATTCAACATATTAGGTCAGTAAAATTTCAGATGTGTTTACATTATTTTATGTGTCCTTGATAGGAGATCAAAATTTATAGTTCTGCTAATATGTAAGCCACTGAGATTTGTCTGAGTAAATTAATAATTGGTTAAATGTATTGAAATTTGCATTGGAATCAGTGTGTTCATGAAACGTGAAAACATTCATAGTTGCAATTGTATGTCATTTTAAATAGAAAATGTCTTCAAGTCTTCTAAATCCTATAATTTTAGGAAGCTAGAGAATTAACCATGGGCAATTCTAGGTGTTAGTATCTAGAACACACAATGTCCTTAATGATATAATCAACTATATAAAAAACATGAAATTTAATCACATAATGCAAGTATTTTTATTTTATTCATGATTTTATACTGTTACCCTATCAGTCCCCCTTTCAGATTACTTCAAAATAAATTTGGGGGCTGTTTTAGCTCAAAGAGACAGAGATAGAAAATTTCTTCCATACTCACAACAAGACAAAAAGTTGGATAAATGACTAATGACTTAAATCATCAGAGAACTGAGGTCACAGGACAAACGACTAATCAGAATTCTGGTGAGGGAGAGGTACTTCCAGGGAGAAACTAGACCTGTGCCTTTGCTTACCTGGAGCAGATGCCTTCTTGACGCTAAATAAACTAGTTAAAAGATTTGGCAACGAGTTTTTCTTTTAACAAATTGCTTAAGATGTGGGCTAGGAGAATGTGAAGCCACTAAGGGACACTGTCATAGAAAGGTTTGCACCCTCTTGCAGGCTTTTCCTTCATGAACTCCACCAGAAGCTCACAAAGAGCATTCTGAGAAAGCTTCCCCAGTACCAGCTGAAGCGAAACAGCAAGAAATGAAGAAGAATCTCCACTCAGGTGCATCTCTCCTCACTCTCCTAGGACAAAAGGCTAAAGAAAAAAGCAGCGTTTGTGTTCTAAAGCACAAACACTGCTTTAGGATGCTGGCGAACTCCATGGCAGCTGGGAGTAAAGATTGAGTGAAAATGCTTTCACCAGGAAGGGGCAGGAATATGTGTTAGGTCAACAACTACTGTACTTGGAGAAAAGGCAGGAACACTTGCTAAAGATCACAGTCCTGAGAACTAAGGTCATAGAGCCTTCCTAAAACTGGTTTAATCGCAACATCAGAAAATTCCCTCCCCTTCCAGTCTGAGATCCTGTTACCACACTGACAGCATCAATGCAGTTGTGAGAGTTGCAAGCAACAGAGGTTTTTTTCGTGGAAGAGTGGAAAGAGGAGACCTGAAGCCAACCAAGTTGCATAAATGTAAAACAAAACAGAGCAAAAACACCCCTAGGAAATTAGTTCATTTTCAGTGTGAGGGTTTATGTTAATCTAGTTAGAAATTGAGTTGGGTTTCAACTTTGTTTTTGCTATGGCCTCCTTCAGTGTACCACAAACTCCACGGCTCCTAGGAGAAATGGAGATCCTGAGGTTGGGGCAAAGACAGTACAGAGGAAACTGAAATATACTTGAGTGCCAGAAAGTGAGCAAATGTTTAAAAATGGCTGAGAGGAATCAATGTGTTCATGAAATATCCTAATTAAAAGGGATATTTAGGGCCAGAGGAGGGGGTGGGTTGGGCCATGAGGATATTACTTGGAAAAGTAATCAATGGCCAATGCTGGAACAATGTGAGAAAATGATAACTGATCATTTTATTAGATTATAAGTAAAAAATATAATAAATGAATAAATATATGAGAAAAAGAATAATTAAGTAAATGGGAATTAATAACTAAATAAATTTGAAAGAAGAACCAAATAACCTTTACAGAAAAATTTTAGTTAAAAAAGCTAGAAGAAATGGTGAGAAACAGAAAAATCACAATTTAAATAGCACAGTAAGAATTGCTGCAGGCAGGATCCATAGAAAAATACAGAAAATTACTGGAGAAACCCTAAGGAGAAATATGATATTTACAGATTTTCACTGTATCTTCCACAAAATATTTATTCATTAGTATGGTGATTTTAACATATGTCCACAAATTCTTTGATAGTTCTACCTGTCTACCTCTTCGGGAGGTAAAACTTAAGTGGTAGATTTAGTGACTCCTTTCTAAAATACAGATTATGCAAGCAGGAACATAATGACTTTACAGTGGTGAGACCTTGCAGACAGCATATTAAGCTTGTGATCCACGTTAAATTCACCTCTGGTAACTTACATTGATATCATGCGCTCCTCTACTGTCATATAATTAAAAATTTACTTTACTTCTCTAGTATTCTCCTCACCAAATCCATAAATCCAGTCCAATCATGAGAAAACATTAAAAAACATAAAGTTACATGACATTCTTTAAAATGCTTGACCAGTACTCTTCAGAGGTGTCAAGGTCAGGAGAAAAAAGAAAGAAATGATCTAAAAATCGTGACAGATTGAAGATGTTGAGAATATATGACTAATAAAGTCAACATGGTATTTTGAATAGTATCCTGTAACAGAGAAGCCCATTAGTGGAAACATGGAGGGAATTCAAATAAACATGTCTAATTTAGTTAATGGAATTGTACCAATGTCAATTTATTAGCTTTGATATATTAACCATGGTTATGTAAGATGTCAACATTAGTTGATATTTGGTAAAAGATGTATGGGAAATCTCTGTACTGTCTTTGCAACTCTTCTGTCATTCCGAATTATTTCTATTTAAATTATTCATGAAAATGAATAAATGGTCTTTTGATAATATGACTGCCTTAAAATCCTTAAGAATAATTACTTTGATGAGTGTAAGTAGAAATCCTGCTTCACACTAGTGGACTTATGCTCACTGAGTTAGACACTTAGGATAAAACCTTGAAAGAGTAGGAGAAAAGTGTTACTGAGAATCGAAAATGTGAGCTCAAGGTCATTAATATATTACTTCCATACAAATCACTACCAATTAGAATGAGTAACCTATCTGAAATTGGTCAATATTTTGGTGTATTTTATTTTTTCATTCAAAAGTATATTCTTAAACCTGTAATTTAAAAATATTTATTTAGACCACTAGGATGTTTAAGTACTATACAAAAATATATTATTTTATGTGTAAACATGCATAATTTCATTTGTATTAATCAAAAAGATAAATTGTGATAGGCAGAATTCTACAACAACCATAAGCTTCCCTACATTCTGGTATACAAACACTTCCCCCACTCAATCAAACACTAATCTAGGTGCTCTGTAAAAGATTTTACAGATGTAATTAATGTCCCAAATCAGTTGCCTTTAAATTAGGAAGATTGTCTTCACTGGGCTTTATCTAACTGGGTGATCCCTAAAAAGGCACTATACTATTCCTTGAGAGAGAGTCAAATCATGAGAGGAATTTGACAAAAGGTCATTATCTATTGGTGGTTCTGAAGATAGAGCAGAGAAAGCTGGCAGTTTCTAGGAGCTGAGAGTAGATCCCACTGACACCAAACAAGGAATCAGGAATATCAGTCATTCAATTGCAAGGAACTGAGCTCTGCAAATATCAAGAACGAAGTTGGGAGAGAATTTTCCTCAGGAACTCCACATGGGAACTCAGCCTGGCTTACACATTGACTTTAGCCCTGTTGTACCCTTAGCAGAGAAACTACTCAGGCTGCACTGGGCTTCTGACCTAGAGAACCATGAGCAGATAAATGGGTGTTGCATTAAGCCACAATGTTTGTGGTAACTTGTTACACAGCAATAGAAAACAAATATAATGAACAGTAAGAGTAGATCTGTTTAAGAGCAAACATATGATACGAGGGCTTACTAATGAAATGTGCAGTCTCTTACCAATTTTAGTATCATTTTGTATTTTGTTTTCATTACTGATTTTGGAAAACATGGTGATTCACATACATGAAGTGTTCTAAATCTTACTTTTGTTTTTACTATTGTTTCACTGTTCACATAACTACTTCATGATCCTCTTCAATTAAAATGATCTCAAAGCTTGAAAAAAAACAGACGTAGAATGCTTTATCAAAGTTAGACTATGAAAAACAAATCTCACCATCCTCATGTATACATATACACAAATTTTATAAGTATTGAGATATATCATGCAAAACTTACAATAAGCAGTAAAACTGTATAGCATATTATCTTGTCCTTTTATGCGTAAGCTTATCTTGCAAAACTTACTATTATAGCATTCTGATCTGAAATGTTGTATACAAATCTCGCATAATTTCTCAGGACTTTAAAACATCAGTCAAAAGATCTGAAGAGTTTGAAGTCATTTTCAACATATGTAGATGCTAACAATATATTACATAATGTGCTTATTATATTTAAATGGGAAGTTTTGCATGTATTTTTGAAAGTCAATACAGAGCCAACAACTTCATAGTCAATTACTTATTTATAAAAATGAAAAGCTTAAATATATATCCATTGTTGGCAGAAGACTGTTTATTCCACACAAGTCCACAAATATATTGAATTAACTGCATAAGTAAAAAAATAATGTGAGCCATCAGTGTCTGAAAATTTGGTATCTATGGTATAATTGAGTGAATTCGTTTTTAATTATAGTTTTTAACAAAATTTTAAAATGCAATTTAATCAAGTATTGTAGATCCCCTGAATCTTTTTCATGTAAATGCATTTTTAAAAATCATTGACTTAAGCCATGTAGACTATAAACCCAAACCATAACTTCAGGAGCCCTGGAATGAATTATTGACTAAGCATGGATCACTGAACAAGAGCTGAAAAACCTCAAGGGACAAAATGAACCCTTGTAGGTAAAAGATGGGTATCTAAACAACAGAGCAGATGGCTGCTCTCTTGCTGGTGATTTCCAGGGTCAATTCCTGTATAATCTTCATATCCCTAAAATTCACAACATTCTGCATATTTATCTTTTATCTCTCCTATGTAAATTTGTTTCATTTCTTACAGCTTAGCCATAACTGTTTTTGAAAACGTCTTAAGATTCTCCTAATAGAAACATTTTTATGGTTTTACTTTAAGATAGCAATTCTTTTCTAAATTTAAATGTGCTAGATTATTCTGCATTTTCGTAATACACATTTCTCATGTCTTTGATTATTCTCAACACCAATGATGTCGGCATTGTCACAACTGTCTTAGCTTGATTTGTATAATGTGAGGACCAAATTCTAAAGCACTCACATGTGGAAATTAAAATATGAATGTAAAAAGTTTGTACTAGTATGGTATCATGAACCTATGGGTAAGGTAGACCACTAATGTGCAATTCTATCAGGTCTAAGTGGCCAATAAATATTATTAATCTCCCATCATAAAGGGTCAGGGTAAAAAATAGAATGAGCATTTTCATATGCCAGATATATCCCCAAAATAATTCACTGGTCATTTGGAGAGGGAACAGATTCATATATGGACTTCTGAAGCTCCTGATGAAGAAATAGAGAAATAAGAAGAATGAGTGTGCTTTGTGGAAATCTTGACAAAATATAGCATGGACTGCCTTCAACACAGCAGGCAGAGTAAACCTTCACAGAGTAAATGATACCATGTTATTGTCCCACTAAAAACTCAACCTTTCCTGTTTTACTTTTCGTGAAATCTGAAATCTCCACAATGTCTACAATACCCTATGTGATCCTCTCCCCTCCCCATTCTCAGATCTTCCTTCTTCACTCCACTCCAGTTGCACCAGCTTTGTAATTGTTTCCCAAACATACCAGAGATATGTTTACCTTAGGACCTTTGTACCAACTATTATCTCTGCCTTGAACACTTTCCCTTCAGAACATTATTTTTAACTCCCTCATTTCCTTATGATATTGGTTCAGCTCTTACATTCTCAGTGAGCCCTATTCTAATTTCCCTATTTAAAATTAGAAAATGTTAATAACATACTGTTCTCTGGCATCCTAAATTCCTTTTCCATTCCTGTATTTTTCTTTTTCTTTTCTTTCTCTTTAACTTTCCTCTCAATAGCACTTCTCTTAACATGCTGTGCACATGAAAATTGCCACGATTGATCATTTTTATTTACTGTACTTAAGTTATAGGTTCTCTAAAGACATCTATCTCAGGTATGTTAGAATTCTTTTGATTACAAGTGAAAAATAGCTTAAGAAAATATATCAATAAAGATATTTAGAATTTTTTTATATATCCAGATAATCCAGATTTAAACATTATATTTGCAAGTCAAATCAATTTATGATTGTTTTTGCTCAACCTTTTACTGGACTATCTAATTGTTTTGGCATCTTTCAATCAGGCAGCATGTAGAAAAATTTAACCACAGCACCTCTTACTCCACATACTTTTAGCTTTAAAGAGAGAGAAAGATAATATATGTTTTTCAGTATCTTTTGAAAATATTCTAAGATTTATTACAATTAGGTTTACCTGTGAGTCAATCATCATGGCTATTACAATGCAATGTACAGATTGGCTTAGATTAGTGTAATTATTTTTAATATCTGGATAAGCCATGAAACCCCATTCAGAGCACCAGGCTATGAGTAATGGACACACGATCATAAATAAAAATTGGGGAGTATGTCATTTTTTTTACCTACTGCCTCTCAGGCCCATTCCTACCTTTCTGTGCTCTGCTTTCTATTTCAAAGCCTGGGGCCATGCAAACTGTATTTCCAAGACTCAGCTGCCAGCTGGCTTCCAGTAAAGTTTGATTAATGGATGGCATCAATGGGGGATTAGTAGGGAGAAGATGAGATCCAAACATTGCTTTTCATCTCTTTGCCTCTTAAAAACTCAAACAAAAACAGGTGGCAAAGTCTCCAGAAGCCATCAGCAATTCTTTCGAAAAAATCAAGTGGTAATTGATAGTGGCTGATGGAGGACATAGGCTCCAAAAATATCAGCAGTAAAAGAATGGATCAAACAGTGGAAGCAACAGCAGTTCTATTTGTATAGGATAAGCAAGAAGTACAATTATATGCTGTGATAACTTCCTTATTTCCCTTCTAGTCTTAAAGTTGCTAATGACTTCCTGTAGTTTCTAATATTTGAGTTGCCTTTCCTTCCTATTTGTGCACTCTCAGTCTTCAAACGCTCTTGTAACCAGCTCCTTTTTTTGAAATGCACAGCATGTTTCCTCTTTTCATACTGGTGCAGAAGGTGTTCCTAGTTATCAGCATAATGAATATCTAGTAGAGACTAACAATAAAGCTTCTCCAGTTTGTTTACTAGGAAGAATTGATATGGGAAGCATTTCTTTTCACTTCTCAGATTTCACAAATGAAAGCATTTGAAGGCTGAATTTCAAAGATCTGTAGAACTATTGGTATCTGTTATTATCATCTTTTTTTTTCTGGATATGATAAGACAGATCTAATACTATAATACTGTGTGACATGTTTAATTGCAGGTTTTTAAGTACTATATTGGCAATAGAGTCTACCTATAATTTTATATTTCAGACAAATTTTAGTTTTTCTGTTGATGGCACATCAAAAAGACTATGTTTGAGCAACTTTTCAGTAATAAACTCTCTTCTTCATACTTGCAAATAAAGGTAAACTTCTAGAGAATCAGTTTGAACCAGAGACAGAAAATGAACTAGGGATTTGGTTTACCAGGCTGTTACAGGAGAGTTCATGTTTTCATAGTTTATGATTAAGATTTAATACTAACAAGATTAAGTCTCATTTGATTTTAAATCTCATAATAGCCAAAATATTTTATAATTATAGCTTAGATTTTTTGACACATTTATAAAACCAATGATCCTGTTTTTGTAATTATAAGAAAAGAAAAATTATGTCTTGCCTAAGAAGATGTACACTTTAAAATATTGTATACAATATTTTCGATATATTGGTTACCTATTCATTTTAATAAATATAATAACAATTATTGGTAGTAACACTGATTAATTAGTGAGCAATTTAAGGAAGACAGACTTGGACAGTAATGAAATAATATCTTGTTAGATCAAGTTTATTACTTGTATAGACAGCAAAAGCAAGATAAACACAGGTGACAGTTCCCTGCCATATCTCTTGTCTCACAGGATGACACGGAAACAAAAGAGGCCAGATGACATGGCAATTAAGCACAAGCAGTTGGGCATGTGTTTTTGAGGAATTAATTCTTTGCTACAGCTAAGCAGTTTTATAGCCTGCAGCTGCACCCTAAAATGAGCAAGGCAGTAAGTCTCCTATCTCATCAAAACTCTGGAGGTGATAAGAAACTGTGTCACGACAGCTGCCTGGGAGTAGATAGAGTAGAGTGAGAAATAGCCTTGCAGCAGCTCCTCACTAACCACCTATATTTTCACATTCTGGGAAGATTACTGGGTGTTCTGCCAAGGCTCATGTCAGCTGTGATTAAGCCTTGCCTAGATTGTGTATGTGGAGACATGCAATGTCAACAGGGCAACACAGCAGAGCCATTCCCCTACCAAAATTACAAATATTACCGAATTAAATAATGTGTTCTATGATTAGAACCAATTACACCTGGGGAGATATGATACATCTGTGTATATTTCAGATTGGTCAGTTTTTGGTTAAAGGGATATTCCATCTTAGATGTTCTTCATCTTTATTTATCTGGTTATTAAATCATTAGCATCAGTATAACTTGCTGAAATAAACTTTTCACCTTGCTTTTGAGGGGGTATTATTAGGTTCTACAAAGAGCTTTTTGGCTCTTAAATGCCCTTCATGCTAGCCTTAAAGAAGGGCTGTGCAGATCTATGCTGAAGGACAACATGGGTCATTATAAAACCTATAAAGTTATAAATGTCAAGGAGATTGAAAAATAAGTGCTGATGAATATATTGTGTTCATTTGATTTCTCTATTCTAAAGCATAGTAGGCAACTTGTAAGACTTTGAGGAACTTTGTCTTTTGTTAAACACACACACACACACAGAGTTTCCACATATATCTAATCCATACAGGATTTGGACTAAATTTTATCTCTTTTCAGATCCCTTCTGATTCCAGAAAGTAGAGATGGGCTCTTCTTTCACTAAATCGCTAAAAGCCATGTGCTTGTTTAGGAGTCGAAGAAGACAGAGTGCATTATTATTATTATTATTATTATTATTATTATTATTATTTCTGAGTCAAAGTAGACAGCGTTCAGCTTTTTGGAGGAGCTTTGATTACAGGCCATTATATCCACTTGATTATGCAAAGGCATTCAAGATTACCTCCTTTCAGTGTATTATTGAGTTGAAGACCCAGGTAATTTTATTATGTTATTTTGTTCTAAAAAAACAAAAACAAAACAAAACACAAACAAACAACAACAAAAAACAAAACCAGGTACAGTGGCTCATGACTTTAATTTCACTGATTTAGAAGGCTGAGACTGAAGGATGCCTTAAGCCCAGGAGTTTGAGATCAGCCTGATCAACATGCTGCCGTCTCTACAAAATAGGAGTTAAGTATATCATTGTTGGTTAGGCCGAAATTATTATTTACTTAGTTACACTTTAATACCACCCACAATAATAATTCTCAACATGTAGCACTTTATGGGTCCCCTCAGCTGGTAAAACTGAAAAATTCTACAGCTTTGAAAACTAAAAATTCTACAGCTGAACTTCTTGTGGGCAAAGACTTTCAAATAGATGATGCTCATCAATTACAAAAAAAAATTTAGCAGATGGTACACATTCATTTTCAGAATAGGAGTTTTCTTTTGAAAATGAGTAAAGGACTTTGAAGAATTCTCAAAATTTGGAATCAACTTCCCTCTACATGGGCAGAATGTTTTACAAGTTGAGGGCATTTCTCTTTCATATTTATTGATGCTGTTGTTTCGTGAGTTGTTTATGGCCAGAATTCATTTTCAGAATTGATGTAGGTATATAAGGATTTAAGAAGAACATTGTACTGTCCTTTATATTTATGTGTTCAACACTGAGAGGCGGGACCACATTAGTTAACTCAGTGTGCCTTTTTCTCCCAATTGAGTTTTAATTTTCCAAGAGATAAAATCCATAAAATGGGCATGAATCAACTAGCTCTGAGGAAAAATAAAAAACAAAAACATTTCTTAATTTCTTTCTGCCATCTTTCCCTATCTAATTTTTCTAAATAACTCTAATATTCTATTATGACTTATAATTAGTAATGCTTTTATATCTCTATTTATTTATAATTATATAATTATAAATTGATGGCTTAAATAATTAAGAAACACTTGATGAAAATTTACTATATCTTGAGCATTGTTTGTTATACTAGATGAAAAATGATAGAAAAAATGATTTAGTAGGGAAAGGCAATAAAAAGTCAGATAAGTTATAAAATGTGACACAATAAAAAGAAAGTATTTTCTGTGGGAGCATCAGATCAAGGATTCATGGATTCAAAACTTCAATCCTTAGTAGTTAGATAGAGAAACAGCAACCAGAAAGGAGATACGCAAGAGGCAAACAGAAATGTTGTTGTCATGGATACCAAAATGAAATAGTGTATCATGAAGGATACTATGCATACATCTTTCAAATGATGCAGAAATTTCTTTTAAGATGAAGAATAAACATTAACCGTCAAATTCAGCAACATGAACATCATAATTTACTTTTAAATAAATATACTTCTTTTGGATAGTGGAAACTAGATTGGAGAGGACTAAAAGAATGGATGACAACAAAATAAAGAAGTAATTTGTAGACGACTTCATCAAGAATCTTCGTTTTTTTTGCACAGGATGGTAGAGACACAAGGCAATAGCTGTAGACAAAGTCAGGAATCAAGGCAATTCTTTTTTTTTTTTTTAAGATGGACGACAATTGTCACATGTTTAAATACTATTTAGAACGGGTTAGTAGATATGAAAATGCAGTGGAATTACACCTGACCCTTGATTAATACAGGTTTGAACTGCGTGTGTCCATTTATATGTGAATTTTTTTCAACCAAAGGCAAATTGAAAATGCAACATTAATGGGATGTGATACCCCATATACCAAGGGCTGACTTTCTATTTATGCAGGTTCCAAGGGATCATCTGCAAGACTTGAGTATATGTAGATTTCAGTATATATAGGGGTTTTCGAACCAATCCCTCATGTATAGTGAAGGATGTTTGTATAATGTAAATCAAAACAAGATATCACCTTGCACCTGTTAGAATGGCTATTATCAAAAAGATGAAAGATAAGTGTTGGCAAGAATGTGGAGAAAAGGGAACCTTTATACATTGATGGTGGGAATGCAAATTAGGATAGCCATTAAGAAAAAAAACAGTATGGAGTCTCCTCAAAAAAATTAAAAATAGAACATAGCAGAATTTAGGAGTGCAATAAAAGAGGGTACCCACAGTCCACTTAGAATGACTGGCCTTAGATTAGAGGAATCAGATTTGTGATAAGAGGAAGAAAAAAGCATACATAGTTTTAATAGTTTTATAGATATGGAATTGGTAAGATGTAGGAGTAATTTTAATGAGTTTTGCTTTCTCAATAAATTGTGGAGCAGAATTGATTAAATTTACCCAGGCTTGAGTATTTGTTAGATGAACACATTGGAGCAAAAGAAAGGGAACTGAGGCTTTTTGAGAGGCATTGATTACAGTGATAGATTATTAAATCCAAGCATGACAAAGAAAAAACAGCTGTGATTGGTGGTCAAAAATTGGAGGCGATAACTAATCAGAAATCTCAATAAAGCAAAAATATTTAGGAAAATCTGTCCAAATGAGCTTTAACTTAGTGTAACTGTGAAGAAAATGTTTAATACTTGATATTACAATTTCACTTTGGTGCCATTTTGTGATGGCTTGTATTAGAGACCGTGTGTAAGTGACTAGTGTTTAAAAGAGAAATTGGTCATTGGATGTGAGGACTTCCAGGAAACAAATGGATTATTCTTATGAAACAGGCTAAACACTAGTAGAAGTGTTGCCTGCTGATTTTCTGTAGTCAGTCAAATGTGGTAAAACCTGTATACCAGTTAGGGACAGCAGGGCCATATATAGTGTATGATGTTCAAAACTAGACGTCACTGCAACTCGAATATGTGAAAATTTGAGAATTTATAGACATAGTGAAAGTTAGAAGCATAGAACAACAGAGTTTCTATAGATTTGTATACTATGCTCAGTAATGTAACACCATTTACCAATGAAATAGGTATATAACTTAATAGTACCTTTTAAAAAATCTATCTTGATCAAGTCCTATTTATAGAACATTTGATTTAGCTTTCACCCAAGTTCAAGAATGAAGAAATGATGGATCTTAAATCAATGTCTTTAATAAAAAGTAATATAATTTAAATATATCTATCAGATATATCTTGGTTTGAATTAAGGGTAATTTAGCCTCTCAGAGGTCATTTGGCAATGTCTGGATGCTTTGGGTTTTCATAACTTGAGGGGCTGCTGTTCCTGGTATGTAGTAGGTAGAGATCAGCAATGCTGCTTAATATGGTTTGGCTGTGTCCCCACCCAAATCTCACCATAAATTATAATAATCCCCACATGTCAAGGGTGAGGCCAGGGGAGATATCTGAATCATGGGGTCGGTTTCCCCATACTGTTCTCATGGTAGTGAATAAGTCTCATGAGGGCTGATGGTTTTATAAATAGGAGTTTTCCTGCACAAGTTCTCTTGCCTGCCTCCATGTAAGACATGTCTTTCTTCCCCTTCATCTTCCACTATGATTGTGAGGCCTCCCCAGTCATGTGGAGGTGAGTCAATTAAACCTCTTTTCCTTATAAATCTCCCAGCCTCAGATATGTCTTTATTAGCAGCGTGAGAACAGACTGATACACTGCTAAACATTCTGCAAGAAACAGAACAGCCCCCACAATAACAAACTATCTGGTAGAATATTATTCAGATAAATAATTGTCTGGTGGAATATTGTTTTGTTTTATATGAAACAACCAAAAAGGAAATCTTGCCATTTGCAGCAACATGAATAAACTTGGAGGACATTATGTTAAGCAAAATATGCCATGCAGATAAAGACAAATACTGAATGATCTCACTTGTAGATGAAAGCTAAAAAAGTCGAATCCACAAAAAGCAGAGCAAAATAATGGATACCAGAGGCTAGGGTGTGGGGAGATGAAGCAGACGTTTGTCAAGGGATAAAAAATGTTCATATATTGCATGCTATATTGATTATACTTAATAGCAATACATTTTATACTTGACAATTGCTAAGAAGATAGATTTAAAGTGTTCTCACCACACACATGAAAAACATTATATGAGTAAATGCGTATGTTTAGTAGCTTTATTTAGCCAATCCACAAAGCATACATGTATCAAAACATGTTGCACACCACAAATACATATAATTTTTTCTTGACAACTACAGAAATAAATAGAAGCAAAATAGTTAATCATAATTTTTAGTAATTTCTTTTATTGTGTTTTTAAAATGATGTCATTTTGCAATGAATTGGAAATTAAAAAGGAAGAAAGGAAGAAATAAAATAACTGAAACGGAGTCTTCTACCACAGATTATGAGAAAATAGAAGCATTAGTATGTGAGATTCTGGGCCCAGAATGGAAGACCATACATAGAGATTCATGAAGAAATTTGCATCATGAGAGTAAGATTATGAGGAGATTCTAAAGGATAGAAAAGGTGTTATAACTCTTCTAATATTTAGCATTATAAAATTGAAAATAATAGATGCTCGATTGTATTAAACTGTAGTTCAAGTTTTTTCTTTCTATTCTTTAGTTCCCCTTGCAGTCATCAAATTACCAGCAGTAAGCATCACTGTAATCTTTCGTTAATCAATAAACTACATATTTTATATTATACACCAAAGAACTCAATCAAATTAATGGTCAATTCGGATCCCCCAGATCATAAAACTTAGCTACATGCAGTTCTTCTTGTAATGAAACTATTAATACACCAGCATCAAGCTGACATTTTATAGAGTTTACTGTACATGTTTCCTTGGAATGAAAATATTCATTGATGTTTCATGCAAGTTTATTGCCCTATTTATAGGCAAAGCAAAACTCTTGTGTGGCATCCAAGGGTTACTCAGACACTGGGAAAGGTGGGGCTTCCTCTTACCACCCAAATGATGGAAAGTCAATGCTTGCTGTTATACTGATCCAGAACACTATCTGTTACAGCTAACTAACATTTATAGAGTTCTGAGGCTATAAGAACAAATTCTGCAGCAATTATAGTAAAATTATATATTTATTATAAATCGTGAATATATTTCTATCTGCAAGTAATGAACAATCTGAAAAAGAAATCGAGAAAGTAATTACATTTACAAGAGCTAAAAATAAAGTACCTAGGAATAAACTTAACCAAAAAAGTGCTTTTCATTTTATTCTCTGCTGAACCTTGGCATCTTCTATCTCCTTATGCTACAGGGAAATTATGGGAAAATTGGAAAAAATTCTCTATTTTGCTGAAGTTTGCTAAATAACACGTATGCATTGTTTTCAAATATGTCAATTAATTTTCCTGTTTGATTTATATTATTATACTATGGAAACATGATAATTATTTCACCAGCCAGACCACAAAACATTCTAAAAACAGAATGACAAGCAGGCAACAGAGCATACTAGATATATATTATGACTACATAAGGGGCACAAGTAAGATATCATAAGTATTTGTATATTTTACTTTTGTGCCACAATAAATATTGATTGTCTACTCCGGTAAGTTATTAATAGAAATAAAAATACATACATAAGAAATGTTCTCATATTTCTGGAAGTTTTTAACATGAGATGACACACAAATTGCTACAATCATAGAATTTACGTAGTACATGTTTTATGAATAATACATTGTTTTATCAATTTCAAAAAGACAATGGTTGTTAGATAAGGCATGACTTGAGTAAGATAAAGGCAATGATTAGGATTTATCCAAGATTTTTAGCATACTGATGCATGGACAAAGAAAGTACAAGCAAAGATATTTGGCAGCTAGAAGGTTGTTAAGCTTCTTGTGCACCTTTCTCTTTCACAGGCATACCCATACTACATTTATTTTGCTTCCATTCCCAAACAGACACATTGTTTTACACTAATCAGGTTTCAGTACCTTAATATTTGGTCATTTCATGAAGATATGATGGAATATCTTTGATATGCTGCTGAATTCCAGTGAGAGGAGTGACACATCCTTGATGGCTATATTAAATTTATATATATATATATACACACACATATATATCTACACACACACACATATATACACATATAAATCCTGTGCCTATGTGTATATATACGCTTATATAATATATGCATATCTATCTGTAATATAATATCTACGTGTAATATATATGTATATATGTGTGTATATATATAAAACTCAGCTACATACAGTCCTTATAATGAAACTATTATATATACACAGATATACAAATGGGAAAATTTGGGAACTATTTTATATATACAGATATAATTGTCTCTTATAATGTATACATATATGTGTCTGTGTATGTGTATACATACATACACATGTATACATGTTTATACATACATGTATGTATACATGTGCATATTACACACATATACACATACACATGTATACTTGCATATATATACATACACATACACATGCCTGCATTTGTATATGTACATACTATACACATACACATGCCTGCATGTGTATATGTACATACTATACACACACATGTATACATGTGAATATATTAGGTTGGTGCAAGTGGTTGCAGTTTTGCCATTACTTTTAATGCCATTAGATATGTTTAGATGAGCACTTAGCACTGTGCTACAATTGCCTACATTATTCAATACAGTAACCTTCTGTATGGGCTTGTAGCCTAGAGCAATAGGCTATACCATATTGCCTAGATGTATAGTAGTCTATACTATCTAGGTTTGTGTATATACACTCTATAATGTTCATGCAATGACAAAATTGCCTAAGGCTGCATTTCTTAGAACATATCCCATCAAACGACACGACTGTATATGTTTATAAGTATATATAAAGCAGACAACTATTTCACACTAAAAATAATCAAGACTTCTTCCTTAAGTACCTCCACATTTTAATCCCCAAAGGAAGATGGCTGATACAGTGTATTAGAGTCTGGGATACTGTATATTGTGCATTGTATCTGAAAGTAAAATTCTATTGTATGTTGCTAAACGTATACAGAAGCTCACTTTTTTTTTTCTAGGATTGCTCTTCTAATTCAACCTTAACATACAATCATCTTAACACTACAAAATAACTTCAAAATTTTATATGTATATTAAATGCTTCCCTATTATCTCGATATGATTTTATATTTTTATCTGTTGTTTTAGTCACAGTTTGTTCCAGTAACAGATAACACATTAAAGATTCACAACAAGATACACTTATTTGTTGCTATTGCTGCTTGGAGGCTGCAGACTGACAGAAACTTTGGTGGGCTTATCTAGCTTATATGAGGTCACTTTTCCATTTCACACCAAAAAGAATGCCATGCCCCAGACAGGAGCTATTCCTGTCTGGGGCATGGCATTCTCTTATGATGGGCAGAGGAAAAGGCAGAACGAAACCATGAAAGGAAAATTTAACATTTCTGCTTGAATGTAGAATAAGTCACATCCACTTGTTTTTAATTGGTCAAGCAAGTCACGTGCCCAAGCCCAAACTCAAAGAAGTATGGAAGTATGTTTTACCTACAGGGAATCTTGTCAAAGGCAGGAAGGAAGAAAAAAATAGTAAATAAAGAACGACATCCATCATATTTATTTACATATATTTTAAGCAATTCTGAGAAACTGAAATTGTTTTCCATCTGCTTTCTTGAAATTGCACTAGTTTCGATCAGTGTATCATGAACATAATGCCACAGATTTTTAACTTTTAGTCTTTAAATAAGCTGTGTGTTTGTGCATGTGTGTGAATGATTTATTTAAATAGTCCCTTATTGGTTAGGCACAGTGGCTCACACCTGTAATTCCAACAATTTGGGAGGATGAGGCAGGCAGTTCGCTTGAGCCCAAGGGTTTGAGACCAGCTTGGACAACATGGCAAGAACCCTGTCTCTACCAAAAATACAAAAATTTGCCAGGAATGGTGGTATCTGCCTGTAGTTCTAGCTAGTCAGGAGACTGAGGTGGGAGGATCACTTGAACCCAGGAGGTCCAAGCTGCAGTGAGCTGAGATCATGCTGCTGCACTCCAGCCTGGGCAACAGAGTGAGATCCTGTCTCAATAAATAAGTAAGTAAATAAATAAATAACTATTCCCTTATTGATTAAAATTTATGTTGCTTCAAAAATTTATTATAACAAAGAATGTAGTAATAAACATCATGCAACATATATGTCTTTGCCCTCATGACTGTTACTGGAAGGAGGATTCCAAAAAGGATCATTGCTGGATCAAAATAGGTTTGCATTTAGAAATATATTTTGAAATACAGTATATATTCCAAATAGTAAATATGACAGTTACGTTGAAACAGTTGAAAATATAACAAAGTAAACACTTATTTAACAAACAACTGACTAAACAAGTATATTGCCAATATTGGAACTTTTTCCTACCGTATTATTCTCCCAAAATACAATCCTCTCTATCCTGAATCCTATATTATTTACTTATTTATTTACAGATTTGCCCTAATCATATGTCTGCATCTCTAATAATGCATTGTTCAATTTTGCCTGTTTTAAAAATTTATATATTAAAAAATGGCAGTATATTATTGTGATTTTTTACACAACCAGCGTTATGAGACATCCATATTGATGCATATGTTATAATTCCTGACTTTTTACTATTGTGTGGTATCTCATTATATTAATATAACATGTTATGCATGTATTATCTTCCTGTTGATGTGCAATTGCATTCTCTCTGGTTTAAGGCTATTACCAACAATGTTTCAATGAATATTATTGTACACATGTCTCCCGGTACACATATATGAAGGTTTCTTTATACTTGAAGGAAAATTTCCAAGGCATGGCCTATATGTATGTTCTACAATACTAGTTAATACTTAGCTTAGCATAATAGTATATGACTATTTACTAAGGTCCACGTTCTTGCTAACACACATTATGATCAAACTTTATTTAAAATAAACACATACACACATACACAGACACATGTGCACACACAAAAATGCATACACACCTCAGTCTGGGAAGGAACATATAGTATTATATATTGTAGTTTTACTTATAAGTTTTCTAAAACATGAGGTTGAGACCTCTTTTTTCATGTAATCATCTGATCATTCTGTGAAATTCCTTTTCATATCTTTTGCCCATTTATTTTCTCTGATTACTCTGATATTTATCATTTGTAAATGTTCTATCAATATCCAGCTAACCAATCCTTCATCAATTACTGGTATTAAAAATATGTTCTTTTAGTATCTTACTATTTTTCTTTACATTTTGGTATGTTAGTAAGTGGAACTTCTATTGTGGTTAAATTCATCTATCTTTTTCACTATATTTTATGCTTTGTGGTTAGTTAATAAATTTTTTTCTACTTGAAACTTATATGAATATTCTCTTGCAGTTATCTCTAAAAGTTTTATACCTCTGTTTTCTGCATTTTAATCTTAATCTGTCAAAATTGATTTTACATATGATTTGATTAAGAATACATCCAGCTTAAAATTGTTTTCTGTACAGATTATTTCCCAATAATGTTTTAGAACACAGCATCTTTTCCAGACTAATTTGAATACTCTATCTCTCATAGAGCAGCTTTGCCATTTAAGCATGGATCTTTTTCTGGCCCCTCTGTTCTGTCTTGTCTGTTTAGTAATATATTCTTTGGCCAGTATCAGAGATTCTTAATGACTACATTTTATTGAAAAAACATGACATCAACTGTAAGATGGTACATATGCCATGATACACTGGTTTTTAGCCACTTTGAATTTTTACTCTGTACTTATTTCAAGGATTTATTTAGATTTCTTCAGGCACATATTTTATTACATTCTACTTTTTTTACATATGTGAAAAGGAAAATTTAAGCAAAATTAAAAATTGGGTCAAGTATTCCTAAACCTTATCAACATTCAAAGTTCAAAAAATTCAGAAATACATATTGACTAACAGATATGGAGATCATCTTTTACTATATCTCTTATACCATCAAGAATGATGCTGATGTAGAATTTCTTAAAATAACTCATAAAGGAACAAAAAGCCATTGTTCATGATTATGCAACAACAAAGAGTTTGCAATTATAAAGAGTTAGCTTAATTTGACTCCCACTTAGAGAATTTATAACATAGTTCTTATTCAACTCCACCCCCACCCTTCCACATGAAGCCATTTGTTCTTAGGTTTAAAGGAGTGCTCTATTATTCTTTTGTATCTGGGGGCTTTCTTATCAAACCACTAACATGATACACAAGTTTGATGCTGAAAGATATGGAATTTTCTCATTAACAACTACTGCATGCAGACTGCTGCCTAGCTGACAGTGATTCTAAGTTGACATATATTCTAAGATGTGTCATGATTTCAGGCATGTTAAATATGAAAATAAATGTGAAATACAGTTTTGTAATTAGCCTATGTATCTTATGGGATGGGAATAGCTTTTTTCTATTCTTAATCATTGACTCTTCTATGTAAATTTTAATTTTTATGATAAACCAAGAAGGATGCTGATCAGAAATTCATTGGATTTGTAGGAATTTGTAACCATTATTAAATCAGGTGTTTCTATTCATAAACATAGTATATCTCTGCATTTATTAGGTTTTCCTTAATGTGTTTTTAATGATGTTATACAATTTTCTGCAAAAGATCATTGAATATTTTATTTGGATGTATCCCAAGTATGATACTTGATATATGTTTTCTTTTCTATTTTTAATGTTTTTTAGTTTTTAATTTTTAATTTTTGTGGGTACATAGTGGGTGTATATATTTATGGGTTACAGGAAATATTTTGATACAGGCATACAATGCATAATTGTGTTACAAACAACCCAAGTATACTTTTTTAGTTATTTTTAAATGTCCACTAAATTATCATTAACTGTAGTCACCTTTTCTGCTATCAAAACTAGATATTATTCCATCTAACTGTATTTTTGTACCGATTAACTATCTTCCCTTCCTACCCCCCACTACCCTTCCCAGACTCTGTATCTGTAGTCCAACTCACTATCACCATGAGTTCAATTGTTTTAATTTTTAGCTCCCACAAATGACTGAGAACATGCAAAGTTTTTCTTTCTGTGCCTGGCACTTATCATAATTCACATAACATAATCACCTCCAGTTTCATCCATGTTCTTGCAAATGACAGGATCTCATTCTTATTTGTGGCTGAATTGTACTTCATTGAGTACATATACTACATTCTCTTTATCTGTTCATCTATTGGTGGACACTTAGGTTGCTTCCAAGTCTTGTCTGTTGTGAATAGTGCTGCAATAAATGTGGAAGTACAGATATCTCATCTGCACATGAATTTTCTTTCTTTTAGGTATACACCTAACAGTGAGATTGCTGGATCATGTGATAGCTCCATTATTAAGTATCTGAGGAACCTCCAAGCTGTTCTCCATAGTAGTTGTACTAATTTACATTCCCACCAACAGTGTATGAGGGTGCCCTTTTCTCCACATCCTTGCCAGCATTTCTTATTGCCTGTCTTTGGATAAAAGGCATTTTAATTGGGGTGAGATGATATTTCATTAGTTTCGATTGGCATTTCTTTAATTATCAATAATGTTGAGCACTTTTTCATATACTGATTTGCCTTTTATATGTCTTCTTTTGAGAAATGTATTTCTCAAAATGGGCAAAAGAAATTTCAGATCTTTTGCCCATTTTTGATTGAATTATTAGAATTTTTTTCCTATAGAGTTGTCTGAGCAACTTATATATATCCTGTTTATTAATCCCTTGTCAGATGGATGGTTTTCAAATATATTCTCTCATTCTGGGGGTTGTCTCTTCATTTTGTTGTTTCCTTTAATGTGTAGAATCCTTTTAACTTGATGTGATCTCATTTGTCCATTTTTACTTTGGTTACCTGTGCTTGTGGAGTATCACTCCAGAACTTTTTGTCCAGTCCAATGTCCTGGAAAGTTTCTCCAATGTTTTCTTTTAATAGTTTCATAGGTTTGGGTCTTAGATTTAAGTCTTCAATACATTTTTATTTCATTTTTGTATATGCCATGCATCTAGTTTCATTCTTCTCCGTAAGGATATCCACTATCCAGCACCATTTATTGAAGCGATTATCCTTTCTCCAGTATATGTTCTTGGCAACTTTGTTGAAATGAGTTTGCTGTAGATATATAGATTTATTTCTGGGTTCTCTATTCTTGGCCATTAATCTATATGTCTGTTTTAATGTTAGTTTTTTTTTGTTTTGTTTTGTTTGGTTTACAAACAATCTGATTTAATTAGGAAGTTAAATAAGTTGAGGTGGGGTGGACTGGCATTATCAGAAGGCTGACATGGGATCCCTGGAGTTGGCAATCATAGCAGTGTGGGGTTGGCAAGGGGAGCAACCCCCTTCAAGGCAAGGCATAAACTATTTGGCAGGCAGAGATGAGGGGTGGGACCTCACTGTCAGTGGATGTGCTCAGGGAAGCCAGTGGGTTACATGCAACAGGCGGATCATCTAGGCAACCTCAGCTATGAAGCTGGGCATCTGTGAGGGCTGAAGGCTCAGGGTTTTCACAGAGACTTGTGGTTCACCTGGGAGATGCTGACGCTTATGACTCTTTCTACTCACTATGCTGTTTTGGTTACTAAAGCTCTGTAATATAATTTGAAGTCAGGTAATGTGATTCCTCTAGTTTTGTTCTTTTTGTTCAGGATAGCTTTGGTCTTTTGTGGTTCCACTTAAATTTTAGGATTTTTTTTTTTTTTCTGTGAAGAAGGCCATTGGTATCTTTGTCTCCTCTGCCTGTGTATTTCAAATAGTCTGTCTTCAAGCTCACTAATTCTTTCTTCTGCTTGATCAGTTCTATTAAGAAGTTATAATGGATTGCTCAATGGGTCAGTTCCATTTATCAACTCCAGAAATTCTGCTTGATTATTTTTATTTATTTTGATCTTTTATTAAAGGTATCTGATAGAATTCTGACTTCTTTCTCTGTGTTATCTTGAGTTTCATTGCATTTTCTCAAAACAAATATTTTGAGTTATCTATCTGAAAAGTCACATATCTCTGTCTCTCCAGGTGATATGGTTTGGCTGTGTCATCACTGAAATATCATCTTGAATTGTAGCTCCCATAATTCCCACATGTTGTGGGAGGGACCTGGTGGGAGACAATTGAATCATCAGGGCAGTTTCCCCCATACTGTTCTTGTGGTAGTGAATAAATCTCTCATGATCTGTTGGTTTTATAAGGGGAAACCCCTTTCACTTGGTTCTCATTGTGTCTACCCTACCACCATGTAAGATGTGACTTGCTCTTCCTTGCCTTCCACCATGGTGTGAGGCCTCCCCAGCCATGTGGAACTGTGAGTCCATAAAACTTATTTTCTTTATAAATTACCCCATCTTGGGTATGTCTTTATCAGCAGCATGAAAATGGACTAATACACCAGGATTGGTTCCTAGTGGTTTATTCAGTTTACTTGTTAAATTCCTGTTTTCCTGGATGGTCTTAATGTTTGTGGTCATTTATCAGTGCCTGGGCATTGAAGAGTTAAGTATTTATTATAGTCCTCAGAATTTGAGCTTGTTTGTATCCGTCCTTCTTGGGAAGACTTTCCAAGTATTCAAAGGGATTTGGGTGTTGCACTCTACTTTTGGTCTCTGCAGCTATATCTGCATTAAGGGGCACACCAAGCCCAATAACACTGTGGATCTTGCAAAATCATAGAGGTACTGCCCTAGTTATCTTGGATAATATCCAGAATAATTATCTCAATTACCAAGAGAGACTCATGTTCTCTTCTGTTACTTTCTACTAACAAGTGAAATCTCACTAGTGAAATCTCACTCTTTGTGCTGAGCTGCCTGAAGCTGGGAAAAGAGTGACAAAAACACCCCTGTGGCCACCACCACTTGTACTGCACTGGGTCAGAACTGAAGCCAGCATGGTACTGGGTCTCACCCAAGGCCTGTGCTAAGCACTGCCTAGCTACCACTTATGGTGACTCAAGGCCTTGGGGTGCTACAATCAGTAGGTGTTTAAGCAAACCAGGCTTGTGTCCTTCTCTTCAGGTCAGTGAGTTTCCCTCATCCCTGGTCAGGTCCAGAGATGATGTCCAGGAGCCAGGGCCTGGAGTCAAAAACCTTAGAAACCTACCTGATGTTCTATTGCTACTGCTGCTGAGCTGACACCCAAACAACAAGATAAAGTCCTCATGCCCTGATGATTCAATTGTCTCCCACCAGGTCCCTCCCACAACATGTGGGAATTATGGGAGCTACACTTCAAGATGATATTTCAGTGATGACACAGCCAAACCATATCACCTGGAGAGACAGAGATATGTGACTTTTCAGACAGATAACTCAAAATATTTGTTTTGAGAAAATGCAATGAAACTCAAGATAACACAGAGAAAGAATTCAGAACTCTATCAGATACATTTAATAAAAGATCAAAATAATTAAAAATAATCAAGCAGAATTTCTGGAGTTGATAAATGGAACTGACACATTGAACAATCCATTATAGCTTCTTAATAGAATTGATAAAGTCCTTCCCTTCTTTCCTCTCTTTCCATAAGCAGAGAAGTCTCTCCCATTGGCCACCACTTCCCTAGGCTTGCAGCAAGCGCTGCATAGCTAGCACTGATATTCACTTAAGAACCAAAAGCTCTTCAGTCATCTTTTACTGAATGCTGCCAGGCCCGGGACTCACCATTCAGAACAATGGGCTCCCCTAAGGCTCAGAGCAAGTCTAGAAGTGCTATCCTAGAGCCAAGACACTGAGTTCCAATGCAAAGTCCCCATGATGGTTAATATTGAGTGTCAACTTGATTGGATTGAGCCCAAGGACCCTAAGGACCCCCTTGGTGCTTTACCCCACTGTGGCCTAGCTGGTACCTAATCTGCAAGACAAAGTCCCCTTTTATTCTTCCCTCTTCTTTTCTCAAGCATAAGTAATCTCTCCTCACAGCCAGCACAGCTGAGAATGTGCTGGGTTACACCTGAAACCAGCGCATCTCTGGTCTCACTCACAGCCCATGATGAGTACTACCTGGGTATCATTGCTGATTATTCAGGGACCAAGGGTTCATTAGTCAGCAGGTGATAAATCCTGCCAGGACTGCATCCTTCCCTTCAAGGCAGTGCATTCCTTTCTGGCCCAGAGTGTGTCTTGAAATGTCTTCTGGGAGTTAGGGTCTGGAACAGGGGCCTCACACCTCTGCCTGGTATCCTATACTACTGTGGCTGAGCTGGTATCCAAGTGGTAAGACAAAGTCTTCTTTACTCTTTCCTCTCCTCTTCTCAAGGAGAGGTAAGTAGTCTCTCCTGAAACTGAGCTATGCTACCTTGGGATGGATGAGGGGTGGCATAAGCACTCCTTTGGCTTCCCAGCTAGTGTCTCATTAGGTCACATGCTTCCCAAGCCCCCTGCTCTGGGTCCAGCACAGCACCATAACTTGCTCAATAATTGCAATCCTTATGGCCTAGACTGCCTTTTAAGTTTATTTAGGACCCCAGAATCCTTTAGCCCATGGTAGCATAGCTTGCTAGTACTCAGGTTCTGACTGCCAGGACGGGCAAGTCCCCTCTGGCTAGGGCTGGTCTAAATGTTCCCTCCATTGGCGCTGGCTGAGTTCTGTCTGGTGTTGCTTTCTGCTGTGGCAGGGCAGCACTGAGTTCCAATGCAAAGTCCCTGTGATGGTTAATATTGAGTGTCAACTTGATTGGATTGAAAGATACAAGGTATTGTTCCTGGGTGCATCTGTGAGAGTGTTGCCAAAGGGGATTGCAATTGAGTCAGTGGACTGAGAGAGGCAGACCTACCCTTCAGCTGGGTGGGCACCATCTAATCAGCTGCCAGCACAGCTAGAACAAAGCAGGCAGAAGAAGAAGGGAAAGCTGACCTATTGAGTCTTCCAGCCTTCATCTTTCTCTTGCATTGGGTGCTTCCTGCCCTTGAAAATCAGACTCCCATTTCTTCAGCTTTTGGATTCTTGGACATAACACCAGTGGTTTGCTAGCAGCCCTGGGGCCTTCAGCTACAGACTGAAAGCTGCACTGTCAGGTTCCCTACTTTTGAGATTTTGGGACTTGGACAGGCTTCCTTGCTCCTCAGCTTGCAGACAGCCTATTGTGGGACTTCACCTTGTGATCGTGTCAGTCAATACTCTTTAATAAACTCCCCATCATATATACACCTATCCTATTAGTTCTGTTTCTCTAGAGAACCCTGACTAATACAGTCCCACAAACACTTTGCCCTCTCCCTCTCCCAAAAGCACAGATTCTCTCTTTGCATCATGTGGCCAACCACTGGGGGATGAGAAAGAGGTGGCAGTGGCAATCCTGTACGGTCTTTCTAACCCTCTTCAGTGTCTCTTTCTGTGATATGCATTTAAAACCACATATTGCGATTGTTCACTTGATTTTTGGTTCTTATGAAGGTGACTTTTTGTGTGGATTCTTGTTCAGTCTGGTGTTCCTGTGGGGAAGATTGTTGGTGGAGGCTTCAATTTGGTCATCTTGCTCCACCTCTGACTGATATATGCTTTGTTGATATATTGTTATTATTTCAATTTTTTTTCTGAGTGTTGCTATTCTGTAAAATTGGATTTGTATTTCCATTTTAATCTGACAACCAGCCAATTTAAAGAGTTCTTTTTTTTAACCCCAATAACTCTGTATATTCTTTGGGGATATCGACGTAAAGGGTCATGTAATTTGTAAATAATGACAAAGTGATTTTTTCCTTTCTCATCCTTGTGCTACAGCAGGTAGTTAGAGATGAGCAGGGCAGGAGAACCCTCCTCCCACCCCCAGGAATGTCAGGCAATCATAAGATGAGGGTCAAGCCGTTGTTAAACTGCCTCGCTAAAGTAATAATTAGTTGCAGCTGGTGCCAGGGACGGACCGTCTTCCAGTAGATAGAAAACACCTGAAACTGGTGATCAGCTGCTTTCTGATAAGACCTCAGGAATTAGGCGAGTGGGCTCAAGCATGCGCACTAACAGGCATAGCGGAAGAGTTAAAAATGCCTCAAATAAGCATGCGTAAAACTTTAGTAAACACACTGCACATTCAGTCCCTCCCAAGTGCTGGCCGGCCACTGTGCATGCGAACAGCCTACCTCAAGGTAAGCATCAGGCAAGAAGGAACACAACCCCTGCGCCCCCCCCAAGGAATCATGCCAAAATATAAAACCGTAAGTCTAAAGTCAAACGGTGCACTTGAATCTCTCGTTGCCCACTTGACCCTCTTCCAGGCGTACTTTACTTCCTTTCATCCCCACTCTAAAGCTTTTTAACAAACTTTCACCCCTGCTCTAAAACTTGCCTCAGCATCTCTTTCAGCCTTAGTCCCCTCAGTTGAATTCTTTCTTCTGAGGAGACAAAAATTGAGGTAACTAATAACATTTGTATTTCAATTTTATTTTCTTTCTCAATACTCTAATTAGATAATTTCATAAAAGGTTAAATGGAAGTTGTGCTAATATTCACGCCTTCTTCCTAACTAAAAGTAATTATCTCAAAATTATCTATCAGTACCTATTATGTTTGTTGGTTGATTGTGATAGATAGCTTTTATTAGAAAAAGTTTTAATTATACTCTCAATTTGATTATTTTTGAATGAATATTGTGAAAGTTAATATTGCCAACTGGATTGGATTGAAGGATGAAAAATATTATTTCTGGATGTATCTGGGTGTTTCTGGGTGTTGCCAGGAGAAACTAACATTTGAGTCAGTAGACTGAGAGAGGAAGACCTGTCCTTAGAAAGACTCACCAGTGTGAGTGGGCATCATCCAATAGGCTGCCAACACAGCTAGAAAAAGCAGGCAGAAGAAGGTGGAACTGGCTGACTTGCTGAGTCTTTCGGCCTCATCCTTCTCCCATGCTGGATGCTTTCTGCCCTTGAACATCAGACTCCAAGGTCTTCAGCTTTTAGACTTGGACTTACACCAGTGGTTTGCCAGGGGCTCTCAGGCCTTCAGCCATAGACTGAAGGTTGCACTGTCCACTTCCTACTTTTGAGATTTTGGGACTCGGACTGGATTCCTTGTTCCTCAGCTTGCAGATAGCCTATTGTGGGACTTCATCTTGTGATTGTTTGAGTCAATATTCCTTAATAAACTCTCCTTACTCCCCTTCGTATATAGTTAGACAGAACTAATAGAAGTTCTGTCCTCTAGAGAACCCTGACTAATACAAATATATAGTAAAATTCATTAAGTACTTTTTCTGCATCTATTGAGATCATATAATTTCCCTCCTTTAGTACTTTGTTTTCAAAAATTCTAATAACTTATTCTAAAATAGTATGTCAACAATGCATTTCTGGATAAACTAAGCTTACTTATTGTGTATTATTTTATTTTGGGGGAAATTTTATTTGGTATCTTAATAGTTTTGGATTTTTGTAATCATTTTCACAAGGGAGATCAGCCTGTAAAGTTTCTTTCTCATAGATCCTTTACATGGATTAAATATTAAAGTCGCATTTCCTAATAAAAGCAATTTGAACGTGACCTTTTATGTGCCTCTTCCTGGAAAATACTTTTATGAGATTGGAATTACATAAACCTAAATGTTTGGTGGAACTAATCTGTAAATCAATTTGAGCTGAGTGCTTTCTTTACAGAAAGTTTTCAAAATAGTGATTTACTTCTTTTAACAGTTGTAGAATGCTCCAGGGTTTCTTGTTTTTCCCAACTTACTTTTAACAATTTCATGTCATTTGAATTATTCTATTTTATCTTAAATTCTTGCATGTGATTCTGTTGTTTGTTTTTTTTTTTTTTTTTTTACTGTATTTTACATTGAAAACTTTTATTTTGTCTTTTAAATTGACTGACCTCATTTCTTTTAGGATCACTATCTTTGTAGAAATTCATAGACACTTTGGTTCAAAGGGTTTCTCCAGATGTTTGCCTATTCTCCTGTTAATTATCTGGCATCATATGCCCATCATCTTATGACTTCACTGATTAGATTATCTTCTTGAGCTGTTTTGTATCACATAAATCCATGTGATAGTGACAGGCAGCTTACTTCATTTCTCATAAAAAATCACCCATCACCACCCCATTGTAACACGGATTCCATAACTTTCTAATTGACCATCTGTGCATTAGATTCATTTTAAACTTACCCTTTCTCTGAAGGTATGGCCCTCAGGGCCACTACCTTTATATATGGATTCTTAATTTTACTCATTGTCTTGGTGAAGTCTGAAGATTTATTTCCCAACTCCTCTATTCTACACAGCAATAAATATGGAAGTTCTAAGTTACTACGATTTGGCTCATATTCTCAAGATAAAAGCTGATTTGGGGCTAACTTACTTCCATGATGCCTGTTTCATTAAGTTTTTTTTTTTAACCCCTGTTAATTTCTTAATTTCATGCCACCCTAGCTATCCATTTAAGTGTGTGTATATATGAGTCGACTTTTTAACAATTTCTTCAAGTGAATGTTTTAGGTTATATATTCCCCAGTAATACCAGGAACAAATTCTTGGTATAAGAGTACGCATGTTTTAAATATCAACCGATATTGCATTTGCATAGGTATACTTATGAAAAAAAACACTAGATACTATCAATATTTATGCATTTAGATTAATAAAATATACTTTAGTTTTTAAAATTTTATTTTGCATCGTATCTTGAATATGAGATTTGGAATATCATTCAATTATTTATTGAGCATTCCTTTTCTTGCATGTATTGCTTTCTCAGAGACTATTCCACTTTTTTATTGATTTCTCTTTTCATATCTGACTTTGTATGCAATGCACACCTATTAGGAAGCTATTTTAAAAAGTGTTAATGGTGCAGAAATACAAAGTGCATGTGTTTAAAATATAAAGAGGTAGGGTTGAAGTATCTCTACTACATTTGGCAACTACAGTGGCTTCTGTAGAGACACAGCTTGCAAGTTGGCGAGGCCTTCTCTTCTTGATAAAATCACCCCTCTAAATGGCCAATTATCAACTACACCATCACTTAGAAAGCTGTGCAAGGCTTCGACCTACTGTCTGACAGGTAGCAACATATCCTGGAAATGTATCCTGACTGTAGACAAACTTTTCAAATGTCATTTGTCAGACAGTGGACTAAGTAGCAATTCAGAGGAGCAAAGTGCATCTGTATAAAATGTACAACTGACAGTTTATGGGTTAACTTCTAGCAAAGAAAATATTCTTGCTCCAAGTTCCAGCTGAGATTTTATCTGCCTCTTATTACATTCTTTTCTTCTCACTGACTTAATCTTCTTTGCTTGTTTTCCTTTAGTACATTCTATTATTTATGTAATTCTGGGGTACCAGTGAAAGCACTTGGTAAACTCATAGAAGGAAAAAAATACAAAAACATATGTTATTCATGTATATTTATAATAACTTTTTCTTTAAAAATTTAAATATTTTTGCAATATATATTATGTGACTTAGAGATCTGTATATGTATCCTAGCAGCAGTACTTCCTTGTTTTAATTACTAAAAGTCTGTTACACTGTGATATGAGTACTACACATTTGAAAATTTCCTATGTATTCTAACAGAAATTATAGGAAATTGGTCACAGATTTCTCATGTGACCATTTCTAATTAAGAAATAGATAGAGCAAGAAATTCTAGCGAATGAAGTTATAACTTAGCTAAGTCGCCACAGTTCAGTGTTCTCCTGGCTCAACCATGATCAATTTGGAAGCCATACACATCTCTTGTAACCACACTTACTTTCTAAAGACAGACAATAGGAAAGTTATTTTTTTAAATGATGCACGTGCCCTATATATAAGCAAAATCACCCTGATTCCATTTTGGAAAAGAGAATACAAAGTCTTTCTTTGAAGAATGTCCATTTCCCTTCTAGCAAAATCATAATTCTCCTTTAAAGCCTTGTAACGTAAATATTTAGATATCAGGTTAGCTACTATTAATCGTTTTCATGCTACATGGTAGGGAATAGATAAGGTAAAGAAAAAATATAATAAACAAATATACTGGTCAGGTGCGGTGGTTTACACCTATAATCTCAGCACTTTGGAAGGCTGAGGTGGGCAGATTACTTGAGCCTAGGAGTTTGAGAGCAGCCTGGCCAACATGGCTAAACCCCATCTCTACTAAAAATACATAAATTAGCCGGACATGGTGGCACATGCCTATAATCCCAGCTTCTTGGAAGGCTGAGACACGAGAATTGCTGGAACCTGGAGGCAGAGTTGCAGTGAGCTGATATCGCTCAAGGGTACTGCAGCCTGGGTAACAGAGCAAGACTGTCTCAAAAAGAAAACATCCAACAAATATATTAATATTTACCAATTTAATATTTGATTTGGTATTAACACACAAACAAAAAATATTCGTATTTAAGAGCTCATTTCTGAAGCCAGTCACATGATTTCTCTGTCTTTTACTCTCCATTTCATCCTCCTTTTATCTTTGGCAAACATTGCAACCATTTGTGGTCCCTTCATGGTAGAGTTTGGGCTCAATGAGAGAAGTGAGACCCCTATAAATTATGTAAAGCATAACTTTTGATAGTCATTAGCCATTGTATAATCATAATAACCTGTTAAACAGTTCATGTATAAATATTGTATCCCTATGTCTGTGACTGATCTTGAAATTAAGAGGTACAAAAGTTGGGATGGGGAGCTAGATATAAAATAAGGGTTACCAAGAGCAAACTGGGAACACATCACTGAAACACATCATTCTCTTCTTAAAATAGAAACTAAAAGCTGTTAAGTAAATAACAGAGAAAAACATAAAAAGTAATCAGTGACTGATTAAGATAGAGTCTTATAAATAACCAAATATACATAACTTACTAATTAAATTATTTAAAATAGTTCTCTAGGTTTCATATGCACCTTGCATGAAGATTATATAAAAGCTTTCTCTTCGAGGGTTTTTCTTTTCATTATGTTATATTCCACAAGGAAGACTCCTGCTAGGTAAAACAAACAAACAAAAATAACAAACATAGACTCTTGTAATTATATGTATCTACTTTGAATGCTGGTTTTATTACTTATTAACTATATGGTCTTGTCTGGAATACTCAACATTTCTCAGCTTCATTTTCCTCATTAATAAAATAGAAAAAGTAATGGTTGTAGAACTAGTGTAAAAATAAAATTAGATTTTATAATTAAAGGCCTAGGTGCATAATCAGTTTACTAATTTTATTCACTTTTGTAGTCATGAAAATAAGATGATGATATTTTTCTTAATCGTAACTTAAGCCATGTGTTCTGGCAAATTTTCCTATGAATGATGAGCATATTGATATGAAAATTCTAAAAGAAAGGTTAAATTGTTAATTATAGTTGGAAAATTTTGCAAATTGACTAAGTTAATAATAAAAAATAATCATCTTTTTAAAATATTGGTAGCTGACAATTATTAGAGGTAGATGATGGTTAGCCACTACCACTAACCTTATTATCAGTCTAAAAGGAAAGAAATTTCATACCCTATTCTGTCATATTATAGACATTCTTAGTTGATAGGCAAAGACTGTCTTCTAGCCAGAAGCACAGGCAAAAAGAAATAAAGGCAAATGGGATAACATCAAACTAAAAAGCTTTTGTGCCACAAAGAAAACAGTCAACAAAGTGAGGAGAAAACATACAGAATGTGAGAAAATATTTGTAAACTATGCATCGGACAAGGAGTTCATATACAAGAATATGTAACAAACACAAACAACTCAATGGCAATAAAATAAGCAATCTGATTAAAAAATGGGCAAAGACTCTGAATAGACATTTCTCAAAAGAAGACATACCAGTGACCAACAGATATATGAAAAATGCTCAACATCACTAATCACCAAGGAAATGCAACTCAAAAAATATTATTTCTTTAATTTATAATGAAATCTCATGTCTTACTCTTTGTGGTGTTCCAAAAATACTCTCCTTGAAATATTCCGACGTATATGATAAATTAATCTAAAGGGAGGATGAAGCTAGAAAACTAGGCATATATAGATGATTAAAAATTAGCTGAGTTAGGAAATGAGCTCAGAACCTTTCAGAGATCAAACCCAGGGTGCTGTGCCTCATTTAAAGAATGAGGAGTCACTTGATTCTAATATTCTGACTATGCAAGTGTGTGGAGTTTCCAAAAACTATTTTAAACAAAGCACATTGCTGGGAAACTACTAGTTTTACTAACAGGCAACCACTTCTAACATCCATTATGCTAAATAGCAAATATCCTATTGTTGAGGAATCATACAGGTTGTGGAAATGATTGGGGTAACAACCTCTAAAGTGTGGACTTTCTGATTAAATGCTAGCTGACCATGCCAGGAGAAGGATTTTCTAATTAGGCCAATTAGATGTCCTCAGGTTCAAATAAATGTACACACACTTATTTCACATGGCCAATAACATCAAATTACATACTAATGTAAATTGGAAACATCATAAAATTATGTCCTCAAATTTTTTTAAATAATAAATTTAGACAATCAGAACAGCCTTAGAAAATCCACACTAGATTTCCACTGGATATACATGTATTGTACATACATCAGATATATAGAATTTACAAATAAAGAATTGATTCTTCTTAATTGTCCCTCCTAAGTTAAATGGCAAACTAGTATAAACCTAGAATAGTAGAAACATGGAAAATAGTTGTCTTCTCCCATGTTCCCAGATGCCAGTGGTTCTCAAAAATATAACAAAAAATATTTGTGTCAAATATAAGATGCTGTTTTACAAAAATGTTGTAAGAAGGGTTGTCCACAGGAGTAGACTTACCGAATGTGTTTTTCAAAAATTGTTTCTCGTAAAACTAATGTGGCTAAAATTTGTGAAGGTTTACTTATTCCAGATACTATTCTATGAGCTTTTTTATATGCATTAATTTATTCATCCCTCAAAATAATTCCATAAATTAGACAATATTATTAGCCTTTGTGCAGATAAGGCAGATAACTATTAAGTAACTTGCCAAAGGTCAAACAGCTAGAACATTAATTAAATAGCATTAAAGCATAGGCATTTGGCTCTGGAGTTCATCTTTTCAGCTAGTACAATATAGTGACTCTGTCATGGTGTGTAGCCAAGGCTGGCTTCCTGGACATATGACCTGTGCAGTCTCATAGGTTCCCATGCTTAGAAGGGAACTCTTCTTGGTTTAATACTCACATTGCTTAGTTCATACTTAGTTAATAACATCCATACCTGCATCATAGTCACACTGTTCTTGAGTCCATTAAGCAAGGGTGTGGGAGATTGTGGAAGGAGGCTGGCTATCAACAGAATAGTCATGTTGTTCATATGCTTTGTATGATCCTGCTGTGAACCGGAATATTTTCTAGCTATTAATGCTGCATAACAATCTGCCCTAAAATTCAGTAGCATGAAACAAATCTTATTTTAACTAATATTTTGCCCCTGTCTCATTTCCTGATTTCTGGGACTTTGCTTGGAGACCCAATGCCTGGGGATGATGTTATAGCCAGGAGCAGGTATAATATGGATGTGTCTTTACTTGTGTATCTGGTGATTCATGCTAGATGTCCGCTGGAAATTCAGCTGAGGTCACTGAAGAAAGCACTTATGAATGGTCTCTCACTGTAGCCTGGGCTTCCTCAAAGCATACTGGCTTCAGAGTATTTACCCTTCTTATATCTCACTTCTTACAGACTTCTAACATAAGTGAGTGCTCCAAGACAGCCAGGCAAAAACAGCTGAACTTTAAAAACATAGCTTCAGAAGTCACTAAGATTTATTTCTGCTGTACGCTATTGTTTGGGAGCAGTGACCAGCTAGCCCAAATTTAAAGGGAAAAGGCAAAGGTCCTACTTCTTTTTTTTTTTTTTTTAATTATACTTTAAGTTTTAGGGTACATGTGCACATTGTGCAGGTTAGTTACATATGTATACATGTGCCATGGTGGTGCGCTGCACCCACTAACTCGTCATCTAGCATTAGGTATATCTCCCGATGCTATCCCTCCCCCCTCCCCCCACCCCACAACAGTCCCCAGAGTGTGATATTCCCCTTCCTGTGTCCATGTGATTTCATTGTTCAATTCCCACCCATGAGTGAGAATATGCGGTGTTTGGTTTTTTGTTCTTGCGATAGTTTACTGAGAATGAGGACATGAACTCATCATTTTTTATGGCTGCATAGTATTCCATGGTGTATATGTGCCACATTTTCTTAATCCAGTCTATCATTGTTGGACATTTGGGTTGGTTCCAAGTCTTTGCTATTGTGAATAATGCCGCATTAAACATACATGTGCATGTGTCTTTATAGCAGCATGATTTATAGTCCTTTGGGTATATACCCATTAATGGGATGGCTGGGTCAAATGGTATTTCCAGTTCTAGATCCCTGAGGAATCGCCACACTGACTTCCACATGGTTGAACTAGTTTACAGTCCCACCAACAGTGTAAAAGTGTTCCTATTTCTCCACATCCTCTCCAGCACCTGTTGTTTCCTGACTTTTTAATGATTGCCATTCTAACTGGTGTGAGATGGTATCTCATTGTGGTTTTGATCTGCATTTCTCTGATGGCCAGTGATGATGAGCATTTTTTCATGTGTTTTTTGGCTGCATAAATGTCTTCTTTTGAGAAGTGTCTGTTCATGTCCTTCGCCCACTTTTTGATGGGGTTGTTTGTTTTTTTCTTGTAAATTTGTTAGACTTCATTGTAGATTCTGGATATTAGCCATTTGTCAGATGAGTAGGTTGCGAAAATTTTCTCCCATTTTGTAGGTTGCCTGTTCACTCTGATGGTAGTTTCTTTTGCTGTGCAGAAGCTCTTTAGTTTAATTAGATCCCATTTGTCAATTGTGTCTTTTGTTGCCATTGCTTTTGGTGTTTTAGACATGAAGTCCTTGCCCATGCCTATGTCCTGAATGGTACTGCCTAGGTTTTCTTCTAGGGTTTTTATGGTTTTAGGTCTAATGTTTAAGTCTTTAATCCATCTTGAATTGATTTTTGTATAAGGTGTAAGGAAGGGATCCAGTTTCAGCTTTCTACATATGGCTAGCCAGTTTTCCCAGCACCATTTATTCAATAGGGAATCCTTTCCCCATTGCTTGTTTTTCTCAGGTTTGTCAAAGATCAGATAGTTGTAGAAATGTGGCGTTATTTCTGAGGGCTCTGTTCTGTTCCATTGATCTATATCTCTGTTTTGGTACCAGTACCATGCTGTTTTGGTTACTGTAGCCTTGTAGTATAGTTTGAAGTCAGGTAGTGTGATGCCTCCAGCTTTGTTCTTTTGGCTTAGGATTGACTTGGCGATGCGGGCTCTTTTTTGGTTCCATATGAACTTTAAAGTAGTTTTTTCCAATTCTGTGAAGAAAGGCATTGGTAGCTTGATGGGGATGGCATTGAATCTGTAAATTACCTTGGGCAGTATGGCCATTTTCACGATATTGATTCTTCCTACCCATGAGCATGGAATGTTCTTCCATTTGTTTGTATCCTCTTTTATTTCCTTGAGCAGTGGTTTGTAGTTCTCCTTGAAGAGGTCCTTCACATCCCTTGTAAGTTGGATTCCTAGGTATTTTATTCTCTTTGAAGCAATTGTGAATGGGAGTTCACTCATGATTTGGCTCTCTGTTTGTTGTTGGTGTATAAGAATGCTTGTGATTTTTGTACATTGATTTTGTATCCTGAGACTTTGCTGAAGTTGCTTATCAGCTTAAGGAGATTTTGGGCTGAGACAATGGGGTTTTCTAGATATACAATCCTGTCATCTGCAAACAGGGACAATTTGACTTCCTCTTTTCCTAAATGAATACCCTTTATTTCCTTCTCCTGCCTAATTGCCCTGGCCAGAACTTCCAACACTATGTTGAATAGGAGTGGTGAGAGAGGGCATCCCTGTCTTGTGCCAGTTTTCAAAGGGAATGCTTCCAGTTTTTGCCCATTCAGTATGATATTGGCTGTGGGTTTGTCATAGATAGCTCTTATTATTTTGAAATACGTCCCATCAATACCTAATTTATTGAGAGTTTTTAGCATGAAGGGTTGTTGAATTTTGTCAAAGGCTTTTTCTGTATCTATTGAGATAATCATGTGGTTTTTGTCTTTGGCTCTGTTTATATGCTGGATTACATTTATTGATTTGTGTATATTGAACCAGCCTTGCATCCCAGGGATGAAGCCCACTTGATCATGGTGGATAAGCTTTTTAATGTGCTGCTGGATTCAGTTTGACAGTATTTTATTGAGGATTTTTGCATCAATGTTCATCAAGGATATTGGTCTAAAATTCTCTTTTTTTGTTGTGTCTCTGCCTGGCTTTGGTATCAGAATGATGCTGGCCTCATAAAATGAGTTAGGGAGGATTCCCTCTTTTTCTATTGATTGGAATAGTTTCAGAAGGAATGGTACCAGTTCCTCCTTGTACCTCTGGTAGAATTCGGCTGTGAATCCATCTGGTCCTGGACTCTTTTTGGTTGGTAAGCTATTGATTATTGCCACAATTTCAGCTCCTGTTATTGGTCTATTCAGAGATTCAACTTCTCCCTGGTTTAGTCTTGGGAGAGTATATGTGTCCAGGAATTTATCCATTTCTTCTAGATTTTCTAGTTTATTTGCATAGAGGTGTTTGTAGTATTCTCTGATGGTAGTTTGTATTTCTGTGGGATCGGTGGTGATATCCCCTTTATCATTTTTTATTGCGTCTATTTGATTCTTCTCTTTTTTCTTTATTAGTCTTGCTAGCGGTCTATCAATTTTGTTGATCCTTTCCAAAAACCAGCTCCTGGATTCATTAATTTTTTGAAGGGTTTTTTGTGTCTCTATTTCCTTCAGTTCTGCTGTGATTTTAGTTATTTCTTGCCTTCTGCTAGCTTTTGAATGTGTTTGCTCTTGCTTTTCTAGTTCTTTTAATTGTGATGTTAGGGTGTCAATTTTGGATCTTTCCTGCTTTCTCTTGTGGGCATTTAGTGCTATAAATTTCCCTCTACACACTGCTTTGAATGCGTCCCAGAGATTCTGGTATGTTGTGTCTTTGTCCTCGTTGGTTTCAAAGAACATCGTTATTTCTGCCTTCATTTCATTATGTACCCAGTAGTCATTCAGGAGCAGGTTGTTCAGTTTCCATGTAGTTGAGCGGTTCTGAGTGAGATTCTTAATCCTGAGTTCTAGTTTGATTGCACTGTGGTCTGAGAGATAGTTTGTTATAATCTCTGTTCTTTTACATTTGCTGAGGAGAGCTTTACTTCCCAGTATGTGGTCAATTTTGGAATAGGTGTGGTGTGGTGCTGAAAAAAATGTATATTCTGTTGATTTGGGGTGGAGAGTTCTGTAGATGTCTATTAGGTTTGCTTGGTGCAGAGCTGAGTTGAATTCCTGGGTATCCTTGTTGACTTTCTGTCTCGTTGATCTGTCTAATGTTGACAGTGGGGTGTTAAAGTCTCCCATTATTAATGTGTGGGAGTCTAAGTCTCTTTGTAGGTCACTCAGGACTTGCTTTATGAATCTGGGTGCTCCTGTATTGGGTGCATATATATTTAGGATAGTTAGCTCTTCTTGTTGAATTGATCCCTTTACCATTATGTAATGGCCTTCTTTGTCTCTTTTGATCTTTGTTGGTTTAAAGTCTGTTTTATCAGAGACTAGGATTGCAACCCCTGCCTTTTTTTGTTTTTCATTGGCTTGGTAGATCTTCCTCCATCCTTTTATTTTGAGCCTATGTGTGTCTCTGCATGTGAGATGGGTTTCCTGAATACAGCACACTGATGGGTCTTGACTCTTTATCCAATTTGCCAGTCTGTGTCTTTTAATTGGAGCATTTAGTCCATTTACATTTAAAGTTAATATTGTTATGTGTGAATTTGATCCTGTCATTATGATGTTAGCTGGTTCTTTTGCTCATTAGTTGATGCAGTTTCTTCCTAGTCTCAATGGTCTTTACATTTTGGCATGATTTTGCAGCGGCTGGTACCGGTTGTTCCTTTCCATGTTTAGTGCTTCCTTCAGGAGCTCTTGTAAGGCAGGCCTGGAGGTGACAAAATCTCTCAGCATTTGCTTGTCTGTAAAGTATTTTATTTCTCCTTCACTTATGAAGCTTCGTTTGGCTGGATATGAAATTCTGGGTTGAAAATTCTTGTCTTTAAGAATGTTGAATATTGGCCCCCACTCTCTTCTGGCTTGTAGGGTTTCTGCCGAGAGATCCGCTGTTAGTCTGATGGGCTTCCCTTTCAGGGTAACCCGACCATTCTCTCTGGCTGCCCTTAACATTTTTTCCTTCATTTCAACTTTGGTGAATCTGACAATTATGTGTCTTGGAGTTGCTCTTCTCGAGGAGTATCTTTGTGGCGTTCTCTGTATTTCCTGAGTCTGAACATTGGCCTGCCTTACTAGATTGGGGAAGTTCTCCTGGATAATATCCTTCAGAGTGTTTTCCAACTTTGTTCCATTCTCCCCATCACTTTCAGGTACACCAATCAGACGTAGATTTGGTCTTTTCACATAGTCCCATATTTCTTGGAGGCTTTGCTCATTTCTTTTTATTCTTTTTTCTCTAAACTTCCCTTCTCGCTTTATTTCATTCATTTCATCTTACATTGCTGATACCCTTTCTTCCAGTTGATTGCATCGGCTCCTGAGGCTTCTGCATTCTTCACGTAGTTCTCGAGCCTTGGTTTTCAGCTCCATCAGCTCCTTTAAGCACTTCTCTGTATTGTTTATTCTAGTTATACATTCTTCTAAATTTTTTTCAAAGTTTTCAACTTCTTTGCCTTTGGTTTGAATGTCCTCCCATAGCTCAGAGTAATTTGATCGTCTGAAGCCTTCTTCTCTCAGCTCGCCAAAGTCATTCTCCATCCAGCTTTGTTCCGTTGCTGGGGAGGAACTGCGTTCCTTTGGAGGAGGAGAGGCACTCTGCTTTTTAGAGTTTCCCGTTTTTCTGTTCTGTTTTTTCCCCATCTTTGTGGTTTTATCTACTTTTGGTCTTTGATGATGGTGATGTACAGATGGGTGTTTGGTGTGGAAGTCCTTTCTGTTTGTTAGTTTTCCTTCTAACAGGGAGGACCCTCAGCTGCAGGTCTGTTGGAATACCCTGCCGTGTGAGGTGTCAGTGTGCCGCTGCTGGGAGGGTGCCTCCCAGTTAGGCTGCTCGGGGGTCAGGGGTCAGGGACCCACTTGAGGAGGCAGTCTGCCCGTTCTCAGATCTCCAGCTGCGTGCTGGGAGAACCACTGCTCTCTTCAAAGCTGTCAGACAGGGACATTTAAGTCTGCAGAGGTTACTGCTGTCTTTTTGTTTGTCTGTGCCCTGCCCCCAGAGGTGGAGCCTACAGAGGCAGGCAGGCCTCCTTGAGGTGTGGTGGGCTCCACCCAGTTCGAGCTTCCAGGCTGCTTTGTTTACCTAATCAAGCCTGGGCGATGGCGGGCGCCCCTCCCCCAGCCTTGGTGCCGCCTTGCAGTTTGATCTCAGACTGCTCTGCTAGCAATCAGCAAGACTCTGTGGGCGTAGTACCCTCCGAGCCAGGTGCGGGATATTATCTCGTGGTGCACCGTTTTTTAAGCCCGTCGGAAAAGTGCGGTATTCCGGGTGGGAGTGACCCGATTTTCCAGGTGCCATCCGTCACGCCTTTCTTTGACTCAGAAAGGGAACTCCCTGACCCCTTGCGCTTCCCAAGTGAGGCAATGCCTCCCCTGCTTCGGCTCGTGCATGGTGCGCGCACCCACTGACCTGCGCCCATTGTCTGGCCCTCCCTAGTGAGATGAACCCGGTACCTCAGATGGAAATGCTGAAATCACCTGTCTTCTGTGTCGCTCACGCTGGGAGCTGTAGACCGGAGCTGTTCCTATTCGGCCATCTTGGCTCCTCCCGGGTCCTATTTCTTAATAGAAGCAGGTAAGTATCTATTTCCTATAAACTCAGAAAAAGAAGGACTATCTATCCATGACATGTGTTGAAAAGTTTCTATATATTTGCTATGGATCTATTTGCAGTAAACGTGTCTGTACAAAGATTGTGATGTAAAACACTGACTTTTTTTTTTTTTTTTTTTTGAGAGGGAGTCTCGCTCTGTCGGCCAGGCTGGAATGCAATGGCGCTATCTCGGGTCACTGCAATCTCTGCTTCCCGGGCCCAAGCGATTCCCCTGGCTCAGCCACCTGAGTAGCTGGGATTACAGGCACGCGCCACTGCGCCCAGCTAATTTTTGTATTTTTAGTAGAGATGGGGTTTCATCATGTTGCCCAGGCTGGTCTTAAACTCCTGACCTCAGGTGATCCACCCGCGTTGGCCTCCCAAAGGGTTGGGATTACAGGCGTGAGCCACCGCTCTTGGCCAACACAGACTTTTCCATAGGATCATAGCTGACGTTCAAAACTTAGCACAGCACTCGACACCTAATGGGTGCTGAATAAATATTTGCTGTGGTTGGAATAGCATCTGCATTATCATTATCGTCCTGAACAGTCATAAAGGAATAATACGAGGGGAGTTATATCTTGCATATGGGTTATAAAGGTAATTAGAGGATCAGAAAATGTAAGGTTGATTAGCAGAGATCTTTCCAGTAATAATAGCTTTAAATAAAATCACAGGAAATAGATAGTAATAGAGGAAATTGTTCTCTGAGATATTATACTGGAAATTGTAGTCAAGTGATGAGAAAATTATGGATTTATTAAACAATTATCTGACTTGTTTACAAAAGGCAAAAGAGAAATGACTTTTACTGGATACAATTTCAGTTAATTCTATTTCTCAATGTAGGCAGATACAAAATACAAAATCTAAAAGCATCTTAGTAGGAGAAATGTTTATTATATGAGTTACAAAACTTGGATTTTCTGTCTGTTGTTTTAAATATTATAAATTAAATTAAACTCTCACAAAACTGAATTTAAAACTCAGTTTCTTCAAGAATTCTTATGCATCCTTTTATAAACATTTTTGATTGTGTTACTTATGTCAAATTGGCAAAGGAAAAAGTTGAGACAAGTCTTTCAATTAAACATACAATCCAATTGACCAGGCTGTGATGGTCATTCCAGAAGCTACTATTGAGACATAATATTATGGTAATACTTCTAGGCATCTTTATAGCTTAACAACAAGTAACACATAATTTCTATATTGCCCAACTCTCAATTTTACTTTCCATGAGATACTATTCCTATTCTGAGTAATAAAAGGCAACTGAATTTTCTTTTCCAAATATATATAACATTCAAAGAAAAACACAAACTTATTCTTCAGGCATAATCATTTTGTCAGAAGTTAAAAGCGGAAGCACATCAGAATGTAGTAATTAAATTAGAGAACTTAGGAAAAAATGACTTTTTTCCTTTTTTATATTCTTATGGATTGTTTGTGATATATAATGCGCACAGTTCTGGGTATTATGGACACCACCATCGGTAACGTCCAGCCCTGACTTTACAATATTCTGTGAAAACAAAGAAATCAATGGTTAGAATAAACTGAGAGGTGGATGATACAGTTTGGTAATAATTCTAGACCACATAGGAGGGGCATCTTAACCAGACAGTGGGATTTAAAGAAAGCTTCCTAGAGTAGGTCAATTTGTGCTGAGACATAATTAATGTAGAAAAGGACTTTTTTGCTAACTGGTTCTGTGTTTTAGGGTTCAGAACTTTTTTAAAAAAATTATGAAGATTCATAAATGACTACAGAGCATTTTTTATGGAGCTACTATAGATAATATATGTAACCACTGAAGTAGAAATTTTGAACAACAAAAAAGAATGCAAAATTTAGCGTATGACATCTGCTTCTTCAATTTAAATCAGGTCTCCTTGACAAAAGCTTTAAACTGAATAGCACGTTTGATCCCCAAATCTTTGCTGGTTTCAGTTCTGTGTGTTAAAAAGCTCATAGGGTATTGGATCTAAAGAGAATTGCATGGAAAATTTTTAAACATTTAGGTATTTTTTTCTGATTTTAATAGCAATGCATGATAATCACCTAAAATTTGTAACATACTAATACAACACAAACAGCATACAAGAAAATGGTACTTAGACTATTCCCATAATGACTAACCATTGTATTTGGTTAAAAATATATGCCGTGCAATTTTTCAAAAAATTTAAAATTTCAAATTCCCAGACTCCCAATATTTTATCAGTCTAATCTTATCTCACCAACTAATGGAGAAAAGGATCTACATTTCCCTTTATTCCTGAGGCCACATCAACCTGTTAGTACAGATAACACCTCCTTTGCCTTAATATCCTAATTATTTTGGCAGGTTAGTCCTTCCAAGACACAGGTTATCAGGCCAATTTAGGAGAGTCTCCCAATTTTCCTGATCTTGGCTGCACAGAATTCTCACACATTTATCTGCTCCAGCTTCTTTATGTAAACACACTCTACATACTCTGTGCCCCAGTCTCTGCAGTAGATACCTCCATAGATATGGCCTTTTTTCCAATGCAACAGCCATTGCTTTGATTCTAGTTTATATCTATAGCATGAACTGCCAATGTATTCTATAGAGAAATAAGGTTATTGCTTCTTTTCCAGTCAATGTTGAACCTTGTCATCATAACCTCAGTGTAGCTTAATATATATGAGGCTCTTCATTAAATAAAGAACCTTTTAATCTGGGTGCATATTTTCTTTCATATTTTCTTTCCATAGATGTGGAAAGAGGAACTATAATACAATTTCCTGCTTCACCTTTCATCTTTGCTTGAGGTTCTTCTCCATAAACCTTTTCCCGCCTCTGTCAGCCCCAGAAACACCAAGGAAAACTCATCTGCAAATGCAATAAAAAATTACATGCATGCACATGTAAAGAAGAGAGAAGAATGTTCCTCTTCCAACCCAAACCCTGTTTAGGCTCAGCCTCAACAGCATGCTAAGCACAGAAAGAAAGATTTCTAAAACAACGCAAGTATGTGATAATAAATGGGTAGAAAGCCATCAAAAACTCAACAAAAATCTTCTAATGTTTTAAATTCTGAAATTGTTGGAAGCACTTTTATTAAACATCAAAAAGAGGAGATGACAAAGCAGGCTGCCTTTTCAAAAATAAGAAGTTGCACTGTGGTTTTTATACCATGTGTAAAAACCAAACATTGTTCTAGGTCTGAAAACTAAGGGAGTTCATTGTCAGTTCAGGTACATGTAAATAAAGTAACATAAGTACAATTTCTAAATTATTTCTAGTTTCTACATATATGTGTTTTATGAATTTCCATAGTTATCTAACACATACTTCACCAATCATCTACATTTAACAGCATACAATAAAGTTAGGTAACAAATAAATTTACCCAGAAGTCAAAAATAATTCACAGAAAAAAGAGTCTTATTTTTTGATTAAATGACGAGGAATCACAACATAAAAGCTTTTCAATTATGAAGGGGATCAAATTATAATAAAATTTTAATTTGGTTTAAGACCTAATTAATTAAGCTGGGATTCTTTATTTAAACAACTAGGTTATAAATTCAGTTTAAGGGTAAAAATAAGATATTTTACCTACAGTACTTAGATGACTCAAGTAGATTGTTACATAGTATTTGTTTGTTCAGCTTTGTTCTGTTTACCACAGGACACTCTGTCCAGTAACTATGGCCTTGATTCTCCATAAGGGTTTGGGTTAGGAATGAACCCTCTCACCAAATATAGAGTTGAAAGGAGAGTGGCTTCTCCCACTATAATATCTAATGAACAGGAATTGTTCTTTGTGTCCTCCTAACTCTGGATTCTGCTTGAGTTAGAGTTTCAGTACTCAGAGGGGAAACATTCCCAACAAAGGGGCCAAGAACCAGTATATTAGAAATTGAGATCATCCCTGTCCACTTAATGCTTATTGGACCATTCAAAACATAACAAAGAAAATAAAAAGCAAAAGAGCTACAGTTTTGGCAGGCATATGGCTCTAAATTTCATGAAGAAATCGAGCGACTGCTACAAAATAGAACAAAAATAGTAAGAAACCAGTGAAGTTGTAATCCCACAGATGTAAAATCCTCAAGGACTTGGATCTCTCAGGAAAGATTAGATCAATCTACAACGTTAAAAACAAAAACAAACACAAAAACAAAACAAAAAACACCAAAGCATCTGAGATGGAGCCAAGACTAAAAGGAATATGGAAAGTGATCAAGAAAGTGAATAATAAGTAGATATAATGCCTCAAAATCAATTGCAAACTTGAGAAATGCAATATTTACTCATTTATTCCTATGTTGAATACATGTTTGGTATACATTAACTATTTTACATGTATTTGTATATGTTAGCTATTTTTTCTTTTTGTACTGCTAATCTCTTGCTATATTCTATAATATGTGTGAATGATGGTTAATTGTGTAGTAGTAGTCCACAGATTGCAGAATATTGATACAGAATTAAGAGAGAATTACAGGAAGAAGAGATGTCACACAGAGATTATAGGCTTTGAGTTCAATAAGAAATTTCATAAGCTGTGGGTTCTTCCCATTTGCGGATAGAATTACGTTTTTAATAACAGAAGAGACTGTTGTGTGGGGCAGAGGTATTATTGTTGCTCTTGTGACTGTTTATTGTGAATTAGAATTTTGAGTATGGAATAAAAGCATATACTGATGTTATGTAGCTGATATAATAGACCATAAATTTATTTTAATACATTTGACTGTCTATAATCCTGAAGAACTCTGTGTATGTTTGAGAAGTTTCTAGATTTCATTACTTTCTGCCTCCCTATGTTTGAAGTCAGAAATATACTTTCCTTTCCTTTCTTTCAGGCTCCTGCTCTGAAACTCTATTAATCTGAACCATTTATAGCAACATCAAAAGAGATGCAAGAAATCAAATAAGTAGGCTTGTAGTTGAATGTCCTGTGATGAATGTGATGTCAAATCCAGCTGCTCAGAAGTAGGAGTGTCAGAGGTTTTAGGAAGAGTATCTCGTAGGCTGACTTGATATCCATGAACAGTGATGATTGTGCAGGGATCTTCTTGAAAGAGACCATCTGCTCTAGATTGGACAAGTTTCCTAGCTATGTAACTTCCTACTCTGGTCATTGGCCTTTTGGGAAATTCTAACAGCTATCAAATATCCTTTCCTATGTTTTTTTTTTTTTTTCAGCTAAAATTAGTTACTGATGTTCTCGCCTGTTTTATTATGGACAACAGTCATTATTGGTTGTGTTTAGAAAATCTCTGATTAGAGCTCTGCAGATGGTCCCAAAGTAAGACAGCACAATGCTATATCTCATTTCTTAAATGAGGAATGTATAAAAACTGGAAACAAAATAAAAGAATCCATTATTTCCTCTTCTTCTATAGCAGTAAACATAAAATATACATTAATATCTCAAGAAGTAATCATTCCTATGAATGGAAGCCTTCATGTAATCAAAGAGGGAGTCTAATTTAAACCTAATCCCAAATCACCCCACTTAATTTTAAATAAAATGTGTAAATGGCAATATTTTTAGAAAAAATGGAAAGAAATTAAAAAAATGTGTTTAAAAGCCGTATGAATCCTGAATGGCACTCTTTTCAAGACATGAAGTAATTTTAGATTTGAATGGCTGCTGTTGCAAGGCAAAAGCCGCTAAGAAAACAACTTAGGGACGAAAAAAAAAATCCCTTCTTACAAAAGAAGAAGGAGGGAGAGAAAAAGGAGAAGAGTACCTGCAGCAATTCAACATAATTAGGTCTAGACAGTAATGCAGAACAAAGGTCTTAGAGTCTGAAAAAAATAAGTGTTGAAAAGAAACATAGGGAAAGATGGAGTGAAGTTGCATGGTTCCAGAGTTGCAAAGTGTGCCAATTTGTGGTATTTCTTCTGTTGGAACGGGTGTGTCAAATGTGATCTGTAGCTGTAAACAGGTATCCCGATAAGGATGCACCACCTTCCTGCTCTGCAAGGGACCCAGTATGGACACTCTTTCAGTGGCTGGGTAACTCACGGAGACAATTAGCTTCCAGAAATTAAGATGTACGTACTTAGTAAATTTCCTCATACAGAAATTTCCCACAAGAGTCAGGGCTAAAAGATGGGCAGACCATGAGATTTAGAGATAATTTGGATTAATCAACAAATAAGAATCTGGGCTACATTTGCCTTGCATTCTGTATTTGGATCAGATTGTAGAGCTGTGCTAGGATATAAGATGTTTCTGAGAAGACTCCTCCTGTTTTCTGAGTCAAAGGCAGTTCCCTAACAAAAATCCACCTCATGTCATTCAGTTTTCTTAAGGAATGTTAGGCTTTCAAAATACAAATCCAGACATCTATGCCTAAATCCCCTTTTTTTCCCTTGAAAATCTTGCCGCACCAGCTCCAAAGGTCTAAGAAGATTTAAGAGGATGAAGTGTTTGATTTTTTAAAAAATGAGTCACCTCTCTTGTCTATTAAAATGCAACAACATTTTTAAAAAGAAAATTCTATTCTTCATGATTTTATGTGATATTATAGAGATTTTAATTTGCTTTTAAAGTATTTAAGTATTTGATTCCTTAAAACCTCTCTAAAGCTGCAAAATCGTACATTAGCATGGAGAAACATTTAAAGCAGTTTCATTTTCAATTTATATTCATATATGCAAGTATATCTAAAGTAAATCTTTCAGCAGGATTTTGAGCTATTCTAGCAGTGCGGAGAAAAAACTCTTTCTGAGTTAGTGGAGTTTCTTATTACATAGAAAGTAGCATATTATTTCAGTATTGTGAATTAGAAAAAATCCTGGACCCCCCTCAAAATTATTCACTATAGTGAAATTTAGAAACATGTGGTTTCAAGATAGAACCAGCAATCTTATGGAGGCAACAATTGAAAACAAATAATTTTAAAATCCTCTATTATTTTAATCCTCACCAAGAATATATTTAATAAACTCTTGATCTATATGAGGCTCCATCTTAGATACCTTAGAAGAAATCAAAACGTCATTATTTCCACATCTAGGAAGAATATGAAATGAAATGGGCGCACAAATAAAAATACATGTTTGAGTGTGGAGTAAGCGAGTTAACATGTGGTGTCACAAAGAAAGTTTTGCCTGAGGTAGCAGAGGCTTCATGGAAATATCAGCATTTTATCTCTGCCAGAAGATGGTACATAGATGATTGATAGATAAGAGAGACCAGCTGTGTGTGTGCATGGGAGAAAGAGACAGAGAGATAGAAAGAGAGAGATATACAGAAAGGAAGATTTTGAAAATGATGAAAGATTGGAAAATACCCTCAAAATATTTGATGTAATCTGTACATAATCCTTTTCATTCTATCAGGATAGAAAAAGGTTTTGGTTTAGAAAATCTATGGGTTGAACATGGAGTAGTATTCAGAGAGACAAACAGAAACAATCAGATTTATTACAAATTTACATAAGTAGTATTTGAATATATGAATTTACAATAAGGAATATTTATTTTGTTCCTCCGATAGAAACCTTGCAGAATTATGAAAGCTATTCTCCAATGTGTAGTTAGAGAATGATTTCAAAACTATATATACAAACTTAAATGGCCTATGTGTTCAATTAAAATAATTGAATAGTTTGTTCTTTATCATTCCAATTGATCAAAATAGAAAAATATCTTGCCAGCTGTGGTGGCTAACGCCTGTAATCCCAACACTTTGGGAGGCCCAGGTGGGCAGATCACCTGAGGTCAGGAGTTCAAGAGCAGCCTGACCAAAAAAAAAAATAGAAAAATATAAAAATATATTGCAGAGGCCGGGCATGGTGGCTCATGCCTGTAATCCCAGCCCTTTGGGAGCCTGAGGCGGGCGGATCACGAGGTCAGGAGATAGAGACAATCCTGGCTAACATGGTGAAACCCCGTCTCTACTAAAAATACGAAACAAAAATTAGCCAGGCGTGGTGGCGGGCGCCTGTAGTCCCAGCTACTCTGGAGGCTGAGGCAGGAGAATGGCGTGAACCCGGGAGGCGGCGCTTGCAGTGAGCGGAGATTGCACCACTACACTCCACCCTGAGCGACAGAGCGAGATTCCGTCTCAAAAAAAAAAAAAAAAAAAAATATATATATATATATATATATATATGTATATATATATATATATATATGGCAGAGAAACAGACAAAAAACTGGTATTTGAAAAATTGTGGACTGTAATAAACCGCATATGTAAGTGAAATTCTTCCTGTTGTACATCTCAATTGTATCTACGAATGACAAACAAGTAACATGACACGTGTATCCGCAATGACACATGTATCCATAAATGTACTAAGAGAAATATTAACAAAGGGAAAAACTTCTGAATACAAAACTTAATATACCTTAAAGATATTTTCACTGAATTTTAAACATTTGCAATTCACAACCTATTTTTAATGTTAACATAATTAATGATATTTTATACAGTAAACTGAAGCTTTTTGATGATTATTTCAGAAGATAATATTGGACTGTCTGGTTCATAATTAATTCTTGTACTGGCTTTTAAAAATATTCTTTCATTCAGGTAAGTGGCACTGTTAAATATATAATTAAAGTAGCAAAGAAATCTTGGCTGATTAAGGAAATAAACCTACTGTTTATGAGTTAACCTACATATTTAGAGCAAAAATATGGTTAGTTTACTATATTTAATTGAGATTCCATATATAGCAAAGGAGCAAAAGTAGAAGCAAAAGGAAGCTAAATGCCACAGGAGAATTAAGTAGTGTCATCATTGTAAATAAGTGGCTATCATAATATATTTAATAATAGATTTGAAAGAAAATATATGCTGTTCATTTGGAAAATTTCGTCAGCTAAAAATTAAACACAAGCTATATTTATCACTTAATTTTACTCTCTTTTATATGTTCTGCAGTGCACGTCTGTTATATTTTCAGTTAAGCTGAGCGGCTCTTGACAGAAAATCTCCCATTACTAGATTTATAGTCTTTTATTATATTCTTGAAAAACTAAGAAACCCTCTCCATAACACCCTCCATTCCATCAAATTTAATAGAGGCAGATAGATAGATAGAGATGTGAGATATATAAATAGATAGTTTCAGTTTAAATTTATGTATAACGGACATAAAGAACAATGAAATTATAATGAAATACTTTATGATTTCCTTATAGTTAATTTAGTTGTCTGTAGTTTAGTGGTTGTTTCATAAAAGACGTAAATAATTGAATATCCACCTATACTACAGACAAATCAGATTTCTTAAAAAAATTCTGTAGATTTAAAATTTAGAAACTATGCTTCATATAAAGGCTACTTTGGACAGAAATTTGTTTATATATCTACAACTACATAAATATACACATACACATGAACACACATATTTATTCCATTTTCCAATCCCATTCTCCTTCATCCCTCCCAAGAGGCAATAACTTCTGATAATCTCTATGTGTAATATTAGTACATGTTTCATATTGTTTGCAGAAGAGAAAGAAGCACTAAATGTGAGGGTGATCAGTCCGAAGCACTTATTAGGGGAATGTACTTACAGAGTGCTACAGCTTATCCTCCCAACGGACTGCGAAAAAGAAAAAAGTGCTACCTAGGTGTGACCACAGCAAGGGATCAGGGTATTCAGTTTATAGGGGGTGGTTAAGAAATTTTGCTCAGAGCTGGGGTTAGTTTCAGTGTTTGGGGCAACAATCTAAACATCTTTACCAGTACCTGGAACCATTCAAACCACTGGCTTGGATGCAAACCTGTAGTGAAAAGCACAGCTGGCCCAGTCACAGAGCAGTTAAAGCATTCTGTATTTCTCATTTAGGACAGTAGCAAAAGTGGAAGAACCTGGGAACCCCACATTTTATTATTTCTTTCAGAGATAAATTGTGGGTTATAAATAGTCAGACTTTCTCTGATTTTTTAAAAAATATTTTCTTAAATATTAGTTTAGCTAAGCACACTTTGGCTAATTATTGAATATGTCATTCTATCACCTTCTTACATTTACTATTATTGATGAGAAGCATTCTGGGACTCTAATTACCATTCTTTTTATATATGCCATTGTAATATATCTCTTTAATACTTTCTATTTGTCTTTCAGGTATGAAATTTATCTATAATATATCTAGATATATTTTTAACATGCTTCCTTAATCTTAAAACATATCTTCCTTTGAGATATGATTATTACCTTTGTCTTTTTATTCTCTCCTTGTAGAATTCTTATTTGCTGTATGTTAGATACTTTAATTCCATATTCCAAGTCTCTTAACTACATTTTATAATATGATATGTATTTTTATCTGTCTATGATGCATTTGCATGATCTTTCATTCACCAATTCTATTTTAAGCTGTATTTTATCACATTTTAATCAAACATCTTTTTAAAATTTTATTAACAACCTCTTATTACTTGTTTTCATTTCAAGTTCACCTAATGTTTTTGGTGATTTTCTTTCATCATTGTTCTCGTGTCACATTCAATTTTTAATCATTTTAAATATCATTATTTTAAAATTTTATTTCAATTTTTTTTATTTCTTGGCATACTATCTTATGTCTCATGTATTTTTTTCAGTTTTTCAAATCTCATACTCATTTATGATTCAGGCATCCTCGGGGGCATGCAAAGCTTTGATAGTCAAGGCCCAAATAAGTTTTATTACTGGATATAGGAAATGAATTATCTATTTTTCCTCCACCCAATAGCCTGGACTGTAATAAATAATACAGTTTCTCTTGTGGGAAATATGGGTTCTGTTAAGAAACAAAAACAATAGAATTCAGGTGGATGAAAATAAAAATGTCCACTTAAATAAAATTTTGTTTGATTTCTAGAATCAGTTCTGTCTTCTTTTGATAACAGCCCCAATTTTCATATGTGGATGTATTTTATCCACTGTTAGGCCAGGCACAGATGCAGAACACATGATCCAGACTAAGCCAGCCATTCTCCTGTCCACACTGACTGATTCGAGTTTGGCTTGTGATCTAAGCCATTTTAATCATCATAGTTATTAGGAATCTTGGGAAATTTATTCTTTTCTGATGTATTCACATTTTAAAGAATGTAGTCATAAGAAGTGAGGGCAGAATCAACTGTGAGAAAAGAGAAGCTAATAAATCCACAGTGAGAATGTAGTTTCTGGAGATATACATTGATCCCCGAACCAAGCCACATGGAAATTAAACCTGTCCCTGCCCAGTTACGGGAACCTGTAGTCGCCTTCATGCTTCAGCTACTTTAAGTGGTGATTTTATTAATTGCAAAAAAAGTAGGGAAGGGGATTCCAAACTGCTATGATCTACTACATTCTAAAATATAAAACCACTTTTCATGGGTTAGCGTTTTGAATTCAGGTAATGATATTTTCTGACATTGTAATTCGGGGCACATTACTTCTTTTAACCTCAAGTTATCTATTTTAAATTGAAATAAAACAATGCCCGTCTTTACGTTTAAGTACAGAATGCGACAGTACATATTGAATGCCTGCTATATATTAAGAATATACTTTTTATGATTTTATTTTATTTTAATTTCAACTTTTAGATACAGGAATACATATGCAGATTTGTTACATGGGAATACTGCATGATGCTGAGGTTTGGAGTACAGATCCTGTCAACCTGGTATTGAGCGTAAGTACCTACTAGGTAGTTTTTTAACTCACCTTTGCCTCCATACTCTAGTAGTTCACAAAATCTACTGTTCCCAAATTTATGGCTATGTGTGCTCAATGCTTAGCACTCGCTTATATATGGGAACATGTGGTATTTGGTTTTCTGTTCCTGAATTAATTTGCTTAGGATTGTGGCCTCCAGCTCCATCCATGTTGCAGCAAAGGACATGATTTTGTTCTTTTTTAAGGCTGCATAATATTCCATGGTATATATGTACTACATTTTCTTTTATTTTTCTTTCCAACTTTTATTTTAGGTTTGGGGGTATGTGTTTAGGTTTGTTACATGGGTAAATTGCATGTTTTTGGGGTTTGGGGTTTGGTGTACAGATTATTTTGTCACCCATATAATAAGCATAGCTGATAGGTAGTTTTTCAGACTGTACCCTCCTCCCACTCTTACCCTCAATTAGTCCCTCATGTCTATTGTTACCTTCTTTGTATCTATGTGTATTCAATGTGCAACTCCCACTGTTAGTGAGAACATGTAGTATTCAGTTTTCCATTCCTGTATTAATTTACTTGGGATAATGACATCCAGCTCCATTCATGTGAGTGCCGAGGACATAATTTTATTATTTTATATGGCTGTATACTGTTCCAACACTGTAAACATACTACATTTTCTTTAACCAGTCAACTGTTAATGGGCATCTAGGTTGCTAAGAATATATTCTTAAAAAGTGTCAATACTATTTTAAAGTTACAAATTACCAAACTGGAAGATAAAAAAAATTCTAGTTAAGCCACATCCCACATTTTGCAGGAAAGTTATGCGGGTCAAATTATATACATGATACAATTTTTCTACAGGGGCTTTTGTCGTCAATAGTACTGGTAGAATTTGAATTCAAGTCACCTGAGTGAAAATGCAGTAGCATCTCTTTATTCTACATACATTTTTCTTTATATGTTTGTTTAATTCTATATACACAGTTTTATATTGTCAATGATCTATGTGAACATTTTTTTCACAAAGTCAAATTGGCTTCATAATTTCCAAACATAGACCACCTGGAATATTTTAAGTTAATATTTGTTATCATGCATGTATGCTTCCCTACAATCATTTAAAAAAAAAAACCTGCTTTTTTTTTAAATCCCAACATAATGGAAAAGAAGGGGAAAAAGTATAGGGAAGAGAAATGCTAAGATATAAAAAACAGTTTTCATAGAATATCATGTATGTGAAATCAATATTAGCATAAATTATTCAAATAAAATTAATTATGAAAAATAATAGACTTTTTTTATAATTGAGAAGGCAATTCTGCTGTGTAATCCATTTGTGTACATTCACAAAGCAAAAGGGGATATGACAAGTGTTCTCTAATTGAGACAGAAAGAGAGAATGACAATGCTATGCCCAGCAGCCCCTGTTAATGCATGCATCTTTTGGTGATTTATGTTTTTCTAAGCAAATGTCAGGTATCACTGCTAGTATATGAATATATTACAAGTGTTAGAACAAGTGAAATACATTCTGGCTGATGAATAAAATACAAGGCTATTAATAAGGATAGGTAAACACTGTTCAAAGCAGGCTGTTCATGTCTCCCGCATAAAATCATTTCAAACAGAACGTAATGACTAATGACTTGTAAGCTCTTTTTAATATCTGCTAGGTATTATGCAGTTATAATTTGTAGATTAAGAACCCATTGCTATTCATTCCCTCTCCAAAGATTGAAACACAAGAAAACTATACAGATAATAGATATATGGGTTTAAATATATATGTATTTATCCAAAACTTTATATACACATGTAAGTATACAAGAAGTTTAAAATTACTTTGCAAATGGTGAACTATTAGTAATGTAAACAAGATTGTTATATAAGTTGTGACCACAGGTAGAGGGGCAGGAGAGATGAGAAAGAAGGCTGTTCTTAAAAACTCAGAGGATAAGAAAGAAGAGAAATTATAATTTAGAGAAAAGGGACAAATTATCCATTTAGTCAAGAAATGCAGTTATTTAATGTTATGGTGACAAAAAGGAATGTGTTAGAGGAATAAAGCAAAACCAGTTTTCTAACTGGAAATATTAAATATGGATGATAGGAAAACCCATGAAAACCTCCGGTAGACAGTAGTAGGAATTATGGGAGTGGAAATAATGATGGTATAAGTTGTCAGTGTTACACAATATTTAAAATAAAAACTGTAAATGAGATCAACTTGGCACGATATATCTTCCTAAAAGAGGACACATTTTTCAGAAGTCACAGGCCAATTATTCTGCATTTTTCATTATGACATGTCTGATAATGCCTCACATCAATTAAGGATCCATCTATCTACAAATGATCAGAAAAAAAATAATTATCAAATTTAGAACATAGGCAGAAATAAAGGAGGTAATTTAACACTAAGAAAGAATAGTATGTGAGATAGAAATAATAAGAGTTTATTATCATAAACTGATTTTGAGAGTTTCAATAAAATGGAGTTTACATCTCTGGAAAATTTACCAGGAAGGTATAATAAAATGAGAAAAAAATAAGGCTTTTTGGGAGAAAAGTATTTGCAAAAGACATATCTGATAAAGACTATCATCCAAAATATACACAGAATTCTTGAAACTCAACAATAAGAAAAAAAATCCCGATTTTAAAAAATAGGCAAAAGATCTTAACATAACCACCTGAGGAAGATATACAAATGACATGTAAGCATATAAAAAGATGCTCAACATCATCTGATATTAGGAAATTTCAAATTAAAACAACAGCATGATGCCACAACACACCTGTTAGAAAGGCCAAAATTCAAAGTAATGAAAATATTAGGGATAAAAGACTATGCATTGGGTTCAATGTTTACCGCTCAGGTGCTGGTAAACACTGTATTTTTAGGGCAGTAAAACTATTTTCTGAGAAATCATAATGGTGATTATATGTCATCATATATTTGTCAAAATCCATAGAAAATACAGCACCAATAGTTAAACTTAATGTAAACTTTTGACTTTAGGTAATAATGATATGTCAATATAGATTCATTCATTGTAAGAATATACAACTGTGGTGTGAGATGTCAATATTGAGGGTGGTTGTGGATGTGTGGGACAGAAAATAAATGGAGACTTCTTGTACTTTCTACTAATTTTTTCTGATAATCTAAAACTTCTCTAAAATAATAAAGCTTTATTTTTTATAAAAACAAGCCATTAATTTTGGCAATTATGACCTCCTCCAAGGAATTTTGTGAAATATAGGAAAGCTGTGGGAAACAAAATACAATGGGTTAAAGATTAAATTTAAAATATTGGTGATATTTTTTCATTAATGCCTAATGCCTTCAACTCACTATTTTATTAACATTCACATTTTTCTTTGCACAGTCCTTCAGGTTTACTGTTGCTGATGATGATTTTTCTTAAAATTTTGTTTAGAACACAAAATGCTGGCAAAGATGGGAAGAAAGTGAGTCACTCATAAATTGCTAGTAGGAATGTAAAATGGCATAGCCATTCAATAAAAGAACATGGCAATTTTTTTCAAAAACTAAACATACACTTACCATAGCTCCCAGAAAATACTTGGGCATTTGCCCCAGAGAAATAAAAAATTATATATATTTCACACAGAAACCTGTACAAACATGTTCATAGCAACTTTATTAATTATAGCCCCAAACCAAAACAACCCAAATCCCATTCCATGGGTAAATGCTCAAACAAATATCCATACCATGGAATAGTATACAGCAATGAAATGAAATGCAATTTTAATACACGCAACAACTTAGATGAATCTCAACGGAAACATGCTGAAGGAGAAAAAAAAAAAAAAAGCCAGTCTCAAAAGTTTGCATACTGTATGATTTCATTTGTATAGCTTTTTTTTTTTTTTTTTTTTTTTTTTTTTCAGAAGGAGTCTCACTCTGTCACCCAGACTGGAGTGCAGTGACGAGATCTCATCTCACTGCAACCTCTGCCTCCCGGGTTCAAATGTACCCCCTGCTTCAGGCTCCCGAGTAGCTAGGACCACAGATGTGCTACCTGACCCTGCTAATTTTTTGTATTTTTGGTAGAGACAGGTCTTTGTCATGTTGCCCAGGCTGGTCTCCAACTCCTGAGCTCAAGTTATCTGCCCAAGTTGGCCTCCCGAAGTGCTAGGATTACCGGTGTCAGTCATGACGCCCAGCCTGCCTAGCATTTTTGAAATAACAAAATTATAGACATGAGAAAAATATTAGTAGTTTTCAGGCATTGCAAGGGTGTTGAAGAAGAAGAGTATGGCTATTAAAGGGTAGCAGAAGGAATCCTTATAATGGACCTGTTCTGTATCTTGACTGGTCGTTGTCACAAAAATCTAAATGTGAGATACAACTACATAGATCTAGCTAACCACACACACAAACACGAATGAATGAAAAAGACATTAAATCTAAACAAGATTAATGGAATTTGTTAACATAAATAAACTGTTGTGATATTGCGTTGTAGATATGTGAAACATTACTGTTGGGGGAAACTGGATGAAGGAAATATGGGATATATCTATATTGTTACACTTGCTTGAAAACCTAAAATTACGTAAGTAAATATTGTTATTTTTTCTATCCATAGCCTCTTAACAAATTTATATATGTGTCAGAGGGTAATTATATGTTTGGAGTTTATATACAGTTGCATTGCATTTATTTATTTTCCACTTTGCACATTTTCCACTTGCACACTTTTCCACGGGTTTTCCACCTTTCCAAAAGCTTTGAGACCAAAAAATGTTTTCTCCACAAACAAATCAATCATTAATTTTGGGTACAGGAACCATTTCAATTGTCATTGTTCTACATCTCTTCCTATGTTACTTACCTTCCAACTGGCAATATTTTTCCATGACTGATGAATAGTTTTTAGAGTTTCATTTTGTATGGAGTTGCTCATAGTGAATTATCTCAGTTTTGACTTCATCTTGAGTAACAATGTTAATGTGTATGAATTCTACATTGGGGTGTGTTTGTCAACATTTCAAAGAAATTATTTCATTTTATCTACCTTCCAATGTTTCTGTTTCCATGTGAGCTGTCATTCTCAGTCAACTTTTTGTTCCTTTGAGGATGATCTTTTTGGTGCCCATGTTAGTAGTTTTCTAGATTTGTTCTTTGTTTTTTTCTTTTAATCAGATTTACTATCATATGCTCAAGTGTAGTCTTCTTTTAATTTAGATGTTTTGACCTTATTATAATGGCATCAATACATGGACATTTTGTCGATTTTGAAAGGTTCGAAGCTTCTATTTAAAATATATTGTTTTTATTGTATTCTCTTTCTTGCTATTCAGCCACTTCATTTAGACCTTGCAGACTTTATGTCGGCTTTGGTTAGGCTATAGAACAGTTAAAAATGATTCAAAATATATGATTTAGAAAAACTATTTTATCTTTCCTGTTAATATCAGCCACTGGCCAGCTATAGTACTACTCCATGTATATTCTTCATCCTGGTAGCCAATCTGAAGGATCCCCTATCTCTGGAAAATGCTTTTCTTATGTCAGAGGGTAAAGAAAAATTGCAGAGCCATGTCCTAGCTCTTCAAACTTCTGGTTAGGAATAAGAAATGTTAATGCTGATCAAATCCTATTGGCCAAAGTCAGTTACAAACCAAGTTTACATACAAGATCAGAAAGCATAATCCCATCAAAAGAAGGCCTATAAATTAACTGTCAAAAATAATACTATTGACCACTGACTGAACCACTGACCTTCACATAATATCTTTACATCTTTCACCTTTTCATTTCTTTATTTTTGGAAATGGGGTCTTGCTGTGTCACCCAGGCTGCAGTGCAATGGCGAAATCAAGGCTTACTGTAGCCTTGGGCCTCCTGGGCTCAAGCGATCCTCCCAGCTCTAGGACTGCAGGTACATGCCACCACGCCTGGAAAATTATTTATTTTTTTATTTTTGTAAAGACTGGGTCTCACTATGTTTCCCAGGCTGGTCTCAAACTCCTGGGTTCAAGTGATCCTCCCTCCTTGGCCTCCCAGTGTGTTGGGATTATAGGTGTGAGCCACTGCAGCTGGCCACCTGTCTTAATTCTTTTGTTTTTCCATGCTTCTTTATTAATATTTTGACTAAGTTAATTTACTAATTCTCTCATCAACTATGTCTAGTATGCTGTTAATCATATCCTTTGAATTAATAATTTGACTACTATATCTATTTTCTAGTTCTAGAATTCTACTTAATTTTGTTCTCACCAAATAAGTCACTTATTTTTTCCAGTTGTCAGCCAAATTGTTCAAGCCTGAATCCATCTCTTTGAACATGTTCAACATAGTTTCTACCATCTGTCTCTGATAATTCCCCTAACTGAGGTTCTGTGCGTCTGTTTCTGTTGTTTGCTATTTCTGCATGTTTTCAATTCATATTATCTCTTCTCCTTATGGGGATGACTATCTTTACTTATGTGATGGACTCTGGACTTAAAAGAAAAAGAATGAGTTCATGTACTTTGCAGGGACATGGATGAAGCTGGAAACCATCATTCTCAGCAAACTAACACAGGAACATAAAACCAAACAACGCATGTTGTCACTCATAATTGGGAGTTGAACAAGGAGAACATATGGGCACAGGGAGGGGAACATCACACACTGGGGCCTGTCGGAGGGTTGGGAGCTAGGGGAGGGATAGCATTAGGAGAAATACCTAATGTAGCTGAAGGGTTGATGGGTGCAGCAAACCACCATGGCCCATGTATACCTATGTAACAAACCTCCACATTCTGCACATGTATCCCACAACTTAAAGCATAATAAAAATTTTTTTTTTAAAGAAACAATTTTAAAACAAGAATGGTGTAATTTTTCTCAAGATGTTTGCTTCCACCGGGTGTATGGGGAAATAGTAATGTAAGATCATTCAAATCCAATTTCAGAGTATAAGACTTTTGTGCGAATGACCACTGAGATGACCCGAAGCTAGACAGCAGTTCCCAAGAGGGTTGGTTTACTTCTTTATTATCTTATCCTGAGGGTACATCCCTCTAGCCTTCACTCTTATCGTACCCTGGTTTCCAGTTTTTACTCCCTGATCCTATAAGTCTATCAAAATTGTTGCTCGTATTCCCTGTGCTTATTTGGAATTAGTAAAGTCCCAGGAGTAAATGAGCTCTCTCAAGGCCAAACTTATGTCTATACAAAAAGTCTTTTCTCAGTTTTACCTACTGATTCTTATCTTCATTTATAGTCTTTTGAATATTTTATATTTTTCTAAAATATTTTTTCTGTATTTTTTGTTGTCTCCAATGGGAGAATTGATTTGAATTACATATTCTGACATACTGAATTGTCAGGTTTGATTTGTCAAGTTGATTCATGTAAAACATCTACTTGAGGCACTTTGGTGGCAAAATTTAGTTTTTATGTAAACTTGTTATCTAAAAATTACATACAGTGGTCAGGCACTGTGTTTCATACCTATAATCCCAGCATTTTTGGAGGCCAACGCAGGAAGATTGCTTGAGCCCAGGAATTCAAGACCAGCCTGGGCAACATGGAGAGACTCTGTCTCTACAAAAAGTTTTAAAAATTAGCTATGCATGCCTGTAGTCTCAGCTACTTAGGAGGCTGAGGCAGGACGATTGCTTGATCCTGGGAGGTTGAGGCTGCAGTGAGCCATGACCTCACCAATGCTCTCCAGCCTGGGTGACAGATGAGACCCTATCTTAATAAATAGAATAAAATGTTATATAGAATATTATCCCCAAAATTACAATCTTCTTCATATAGATAAACTCTACAGTTTCAACTTGTAGCCATCTCAGCCTCCAGAAAATGCAGTCTTAGTGTGTTCATTATCAAGCAGTTTATTCCTCCTTTTTTAAGTTTCCTCTCCTGCACTTGGATTCCGGACATTCCTTCCTCTCAGAAGCTAGTATGACTTTAGGGTTCATTTTGTTTTTATTTTCTCAGGGATCAGAGTGCTGTACTATCCATTGTGCAATGCCTGAAAACAACTCTTTCATATACAGCCAGCTCCCAACTTAAACTTAAAATTTTTTAACTTTATGATGCCGTGAAAGCTTTATGATGCTATGAAATCAATGATGCTGTTTCACATTAAGTAGAAACCATAATTTGAATTTGAATTCAAAATTCTTTACAATAATTTTATTATAAAACAGGCTTTGTTTTAGAGGATTTTTCTCAACTGCAAACTATTCTAAGTGTTCTGAGCATGTTTAAGGTAGGCTAGGCTAAACTATGATGCTTGGTAAATTAGGTGTATTAAATGCATTTTTGATTTACAATATTTTCAGCTTACAATAAATTCGTCAGGACATAACCTTATTGAAAGATGAAGAGCATCTGTAGTTTGTTCAATTTTCTAGTTATTTCTAACTTGAGATTAAATTCAATGTTAGTTACACCATCCTGGCAGTTTTTCCCATTTAAAAAAACGTATTACTTTGACTGTTTAAATTGTAGGAAATTTTTATCCGGTTTGAATATAAGTTGTCAGAAATATACATGCACAGATTTTCAGCCAATTTGTGGCTTCACGTTAATTTTCTTAATGGTGTCTTTTCATCAGTAGGTTTTTAGAACATGGATAAAATCCAGTGATAAATTGTGTATCTGTAACAAACTTTTAGTTTCGTCATATGTTGCCTGTTTTCGTTTTTGTTTTCCTGCTGGACAACTAAAACCAAATATGTTCACTTATCATTTTGGATACGTGATTTTTCCTATTTTATACTTTCTAAAAATTAATATCATACGTAGATTTATACATATTTCTATTGTGCTCTTTAAAGTAAAGAACCCTTAAATCAGCATGAATTTAGAAGGAATATTCTGTAGATCTGCTGAGAATTTTGCTCTCTACTCAAAGGAGAAACTCAATTTGACTAAATAGCCACTTAAGATCTTTTTTGGTTGTTTTTTAAGTAAATAATTTTAATTAGAAACACCACTGATGCAATCCATCGTAGGTATATTGATCTTCAATTATTAATAAAACTGCCTACATCAGACAAATATAAGCAAGAAAAATATCTGTTTATGAGTGCATTACAGATGTATCTATATGATTAATTTCAGATCTGTCAAGAGTTCACAAATAAAGATGGCTTAGATTTCTACAGTTTTTTTCAAGTAAAAGTCAAAATGTCAAAACTGTAACAGAAAAATAAACGAATCCAAAAGAGGAGCCAAATTTGTTCAGATTAAATACTTTCTACCTTTGAAATCTTTAAAGCAAACTTGAAGCAAATACTTTTATAATTAACAAGCTTTTGATTTTAAATTATAAATGATGTTTTTGATAAAACTAGATTTCAACAGCTCTGGGCTCTTTGCTTAGATCTGCTACTTGATTTTTCCTGGATTGAATGATTTTTTTTACTTCAAAGCTTTCAGGTTTACAATCTCAGTTTCTACTACTTTCAAACCTCTAAAATAAACATTATGGAAAAAATAATACTCAAACTAAACTGTCTGCAACTTAAAAAGGAATTTGTGTTTCATGCAAGGCCAATCAAAGTAGAGAAAATTTGCCATGTTTTACTTAAGAAAAAAAAATACTTATTCTGACTTTAACCCCAAGATAGTCACTCTGTTTACTTGTCTTCATTTTGAAAATCTTAATGTATCCCCTGGTGTAGATGCTATGAATATCTTGGCCTTATTCCCTCAGTACTCATCTCTGCCAACTAAAGACTGTTTACTGGAAACACCTGTGACTCTGCCTGCCAGCTTTTTGCTACATGTGACAAGTTAAAGCTCCCTGAGAAATCCTTAACCCATGATGAACTGAGAGTTGATGAATAAATACCATAGCTTACTTTGACCAAAGCTGAGAAAACTGAGAGACATGGTTTACAGTGTTTCCCAGAGATTCGCGAAGGTGACTTACTTCATAGTACACCCTTTGTTGGCTGCCTTGACTTTCTTGACTCACTTCTCCACTCTCTCCCTAGTGTTTAGGGATCACTTCCCCCCAAAATGACTTCCATTTGAATCCTTGTTTCAATCTTGGATTTTGAGGAAACTCAACCTAATTTATTTTCAAAAATAAATAACACCCTGTTTACCATGCAGACTTTGAACACAAAGTCCCATTTATTTCAATCCAATAAAATGATAGATATAACTTTTTTAATATAAAAATTTTAAATCAGCCTTCTTAGAATTTCATCAGATTAGATAATTTCTACACCTCAAGATATAAAGTTATAGTTTTACCAGATAACAGTAAATAAATTCTAAAGTATTAGAAAATCATGTTTTATTTTCAAATGCATATATATATATATATATATATAATCCAAAAATATAATATATATATATAATCCAAAAGCTTTATTTTTGGATTAAATTTCAAAACAACAGAAGGGTGGATGATAACTTCTTAGTCTGTTTTCAGGCCATATAGATATTAATCTGAACAAAATATTTTCTCTGATGTTGTTATAGTATAATTTTCATGAAATGGCTAATAAGGAGAAAAATTGCTTCAAATTGTAGGATACCTCCACTGCCTCATTGTTACCTCTGCCCAAAATGCCTCTTGGAAAAAGAGAAATCATCATGTGTGTTTCCCTTCTAGTCCTTTTAATGGAAATATTCAATATAGTAGCTAACCCAACCAATTTTGCTCTGTATACCACTTGCATGTGATTTGATTGTCATATTTCTTGAACAGATTTGGAGGTATTAATCAAGGAACATAGGCTAGGCGCAGTGGCTCATTCCTGTAATCCCAGCACTTTGGGAGGCTGAGGCGGGCAGATCACTTGAGGTCAGCCATTCCAGAACAGCCTGGCTAACATGGTGAAACCCGGTATCTACTAAAAATACAAAAATTAGCCAGGCTTGGTGGTGGTGGGTGCTTGTAATCCCAGCTACTCGGGAGGCTGAGGCAGGAGAATCACTTGAGACCAGGAGGTGGAGGTTGCAGTGAGCCGAGATCCTGCCATTGCACTCCAGCTTGGGCAACAAAGGGAGACTCCAACCTAAAAAAAAAAAAAATCAGGGAACATATTTAGAAGGTCTCTAATATGCTTTTCTGAGCTTTTCTTTTATTTTATTCAGTATTGACTCAGTAACAGATACAAATCCCTTGGTAACACATTTCCTTTTGTGTTTGTATTACTTGTGAGTTAAATAGTCTCAAGGGTTTTGCTAGGTTGCAAGAAAGCAAACTTTTAAAATAGCTAATATTCGGTTCATCAATTTAGTAGGATTCCATTCTTGTTTTAGTTGAAAAAGTCAATGGATATTTATAAAAAACTTGTAGGGTTTTAACTTATATACTATAAACTCAACCTACTTGATGATATCATAAGTGGGGGAAGTAGGCCTTTTGATTTTTTGGTGTTTAAGTTAGAATAAAACCTCTTGAAAGACGAAACCTAACATTACCTCCCTATTTGTTGAATGAATGAATGAATGAAAGGGTACATGAATGAAAGTATGCCTTTTGTATGTAGATGGGATGAGGATGACCACTAATTTCTTTTATTTTTTCCTTGTTTTTATTTTATTTGCATATTTGTTTACATAAGCCCAAAGTTTCCTTTTAGACTGATTTGTTACTTGTAGCTTCTATCCACTTCAGCCTCATTTCCATTTTTGTATTTTATGAGTTTAGAAGATTCTAACTTTCAACTTTCTTCATGCTGTGATCTGAACTTCCTTCAAGTCAGATACATGCTGTGAACAAGTGGGTTTCTTTATTTGTAAAAATCCTGTTAAGATCTTTATTCTTTTTATTACTTATCTACATTCTACATTGCAATTTAATAGCCTGTACAAAGTAAGTGCATGGTAATTTGAGATTATCCCACAAATAATTTTTGGAGAAGAATTTCTAAATTATTTATGAATGATTACATGAAGAATAATGATAGAATTTTAAAAAGTGTAGAAAGCTTAGCTTTGAGGAAAGTTGTTGCCCTACCTCATTATAAGCTCTAAACTATTTTACTGTCTACTTCAAATATTTCAGGGTTTTTTCACACCAAAAAAGGCTTTTTTTGTTAAGAACTTAGAATGCAAAATATTTTAATCATTTATTTCATTTATAGTACCATTCATTGACTTCCAAATACTAAACTTCATTAAACTACGTGCATATATATGTGGTTTTAAAATAATATATTTTCCTCTGACTAAAGACTTGCTTTTGAATTTTACTTTGATTCATGTCTTTAAATGCAACATGGCACTCCAGTTGAAAGTTCTAATAAATTGTTAAATGTCAGATTTCGGAGACTTAACCTGTGTCTTTTTGATAACATTTTTAAAATGCTACAAGTATATAATCTTGTGTATCTGTAAGCAGTGGCAATAGTAGATCTTTGCTCCACTGACACTCTTAAGGGTCTCAGCTGCTGCCGTGTGAGCCAATGTGGCAGGTCTTTTGTCAAGACGGCTGATTTAAACGGAGTTAATCAAGTCAGCTTTGGCTCCTGCTCCAGGGATTAATTGTAGGCTTGGGGAAGCATCATGTGACTGACAGCTCTCAATCATAATGCATCATAAGAAAGTCATTCCCTGGTATCTCTCTTACTTCCTTTGAAAAACTGCCCATATGCCAACTTGGGAAACTTAATAATCAAAATCTTATCTTCATACCCATCATCATGAAAAGCTTTAAGAAAGAATATTTTCTTACAGTTGCCCATTTTAATGGACTTCTTTAGGATCAAAGCAATATGGTTGATTTTCTTATTTATAAGCTGTTATATGACTATATTATAGCTAGAGATTAACATAATAGCATTGCATGTTTCATCGTCTTTTATAGATTAATACACACACAAGATATGTGTGTGTGTGCATATATATATATATATGTATATATATATATATATATGTACACATAGACAGACAGATGGATATACAAGAGAGAGAGAATTGCTGTTCTTCTTGGAAACATGCGAATTGATATAACCAGCCAAAGTTCATATGTTAGAATGCTGAGACTAAAATTTGAAGTAGTTTATCCTCAGACCTTGTGCTAGTCCATTCTCATGCTGCTATGAAGAACTGTCTGAGACTGGGTAACATATAAAGAAAAGAGGTTTACTTGATTCACAGTTCTACAGGACTGGGGAGTGGCCTCAGGAAACTTACAATCATGGCAGAAGGGGAAGCAAACATCTTTCTTCACATGGCAGCAGGAAGGAGAAGTGCCAAACAAAGGGCGGAAAGCCCCTTATAAAACCATCAGATCTCATGAGAACTCACTCACTATCATGAGAACAGCATGGGGTTAACTGCCCCCATGATTCAATTACCTCCCACTTGGTCCCTCCCATGACACGGAGGGATTATGGGACCTATAATTCAAGATGAGATTTGGGTGGGGACACAGCCAAACCATATTAGACCTGGAAGAAGAAAGAATCATGTCTGTAAAAACTAACTTCAAACCTTGTTTCACTTCACCAAATCTCATTTAGGTAAAAGAGAAGTAGACACTACATGTTTTTCAAACCTGCTTGTATTTTAAGTATGTGTGTGTATGTGTATGTATGAATAACCAGCCCCAAATTGTTACCCAGGATGCATAAGAAGCTGCATATTTTAATGTACTTGTAGGAGAATAACAGCTTTTAAACAGTTAAATGACTGTCCTTCAATGTGTACAAATGCAAAAGGTATCTGTGGTAGACAGAATTATCACCCCCAGGAAGATTCCTTTCCTTAATCCTCGCAACTGTAGAAAAGATGATATACGGTGCCAATGAGTAAGTTAATTTACGTAACAAAAGGGACAGTCATTGCAGGTATAATTAAATTTACTGATCAGTTGACCTTAAAATAGATTATTCTTCCATTATCTAGGTGAGCCTAATGTAATCATTTGAGCCTTTTAATCACATGCGAAGAAGAGTAAATCATCAGAAGGTGGAATGAAAAAGATATGACAGAAAAGGAAGTCAGACAAATTCAAAGCTCGGCAATGACTCCTTGACACTGTATTGCAAACCTGGAGGTGGAGGGGGCCTAGTGGAAACCATGAGAAAGAATGCAAATAATCTCTAGGAGCAAAGATTGCTCCCCACTGACAGCCAGCAAAAGGCAGAGATCTTTGTCTTATACTGCATTGAAATAAATTCTGCCAACTGGGTGATCTCGGAAGAAGAAACTTTCCCAGAGCCTCCAGCAAAAAATTTAGCTCTGTTGAAACCCTGACTTTTCGGCCTTCTGAGGTCCTAAGGAGAGGACCCACTATTCCATCCTGTGCCCAGATTTCTGACTCCTAAAAACTGTAAGATCATAAATATGTGTTGTTTTAAGCTATGAAATGTTGTAATTTTTCAAATCATCAATAGAAAAGTAATACAGTATCTCCTGAAAAATTTCTTTTTAAAAAATTGAAATCCCTTACTGCCGAGCTAATATAGCTATAGTATGTTATTTATAATTAATATTATATATAAATTAGGGCATACTAATACAGTTTATTTATTTGTAATTTTTTTGTTGCTGTTGTGCTTTTTTCCCCCACTGAATGACTAAGATATCTGGGAAGAAAATCTTGGTCTATGCTAGGTGGAAAAGTTTCTGCCAAGGCCTATTACATAAAAATATATTTTCTATGAACTATTTCACTTATAATTTCAACAGAATTATTCACGTTGAGATTTATAACAATTGCCTTAGGAGTAAGAGTAGGCCTAATTTTAATTAGTATTATAAAGATTTATTAAATTTCTATTTTATAATTAGCAAATGCCTTTGCTTTCTGATGAAAATAACCAATTGAACATTTCTGCAAACATTAAAAATTTTACAGTTGATGGAAACAGAAATTGATCAGTTGATTTTTTAGGAAATGTTCTTCAATTATTTTATAGATAACTGAAAAATAATTCAGAAAATAAAAAATAAGAGGTAGTATTTGTATTTCCACTACAATTTAGCACTTGTTATCTATTGAGACATTAACCACATAATCTTATTTTTCTTGTGTATGAAATATATGTGTATATATATATATATTATATATATATAGCAATACCCATATTACAGGGTTGTTTTGACAAGTAGAAACAATATTAGTAAAGGTATGAAAAACTCATATAAATATCAAGAAATTTCATAGAACCAACCCATATGATGGTACTTTTACTTTTACTACTAATTCTTGAGAAAATAAATACTCAAAGACCTCTTACCCTCTGCAAAATTTATTGGTTTCTATAGGGGTCTACTACTGTGAACCACTGGGATCCAATTTTTACTTAGTAATTTTTTTTTCACAAATGTATGGATAGAAATTGCTCAGTGGAGCTAATTCTGTTCTTGATTATGAGGAATAAAATGTCTCAATATTTGCTTATATTTAGACACTCACTTTATGTCCCTTTAAATATCCTAGATAAACTTTTTAATTTGAAAATGGAATTAGATTAATGAGGTCTACCAGATGTCTTTTTAATTAGTAACAATAAACCTTTTCTTATTTTGTGGTGATACGTTACACTGAATTACTAATGTGAATTTTGCCAATATGGAATTTAGTACTTCAGAAAAACAACCAGAAAATTATTTTTCAAAGTTTAGTTGAGACCATATAATCTCCCTTCATCTCAATACCCTTATATGCACAATACTTATAAAAATAAGACTGAGCATTTAATCTGTCCATAATATAAAATAAGGCAAATGATATGGTGTTATATTTACTGCTGCCAAGGTAGATGGACTTCAACTGCTGAAAGTTTTAAATATTCTTTATTTTGCCACTACAGAAAAGTGGGTTGGTTGGTTTGGTGTTTTCTAATTTTAATTTTAGATTTTCTGATCCAAATAAACTATGTTGAATTGGGCTCAATTCAAAGTCTAGATTTGTAAAAACTAGATGAAGTCAGATGGACATATACTTTCATACTCACAACTTATAGGTTCTGTTTTACTTTTTTAAACAATGGGATTGGAGTCAGAAAATATTTACAAGTCAAGGTACTATGAGTATTGCTGCATGATACTGGCTTTAAAATAATTAGCTATGCCCACAAGATGGAATATGAATACAAGAAGGAAAAGAGAGGCTTGAATGAGAGACAACATAATGAATGTTTTGCAGGAGGCTAAGTAGAAGATCATAAAAATCTGAATGAGGAGAAGCTTGCAGAGATGATAAAATGTGGTAGAATTTGCAACTTTTTGGAAGATAAAATGGCCAGGAGTTGAATATGTGAGATGAAAGTAACGTGTGAAGGAAGAAGTAAGAAATACATTCCATTACTCTAAGTGGATAAGTTCTACAATAGAGCTATCAAGGGGACAAAAAATACAAAAGGAGTAGATCTGAAGAAAAACGATGAGTTCTGTTCGGAGTATAAGGACTTAGAGAAAACTCTGTGGTATACAGACATGTATACCACATGATAATAACCATGAAAAAAGTTATAAAACAAACATAGCAGCAATTATTTGAAGAGAAAAATTAATGTGTATGACACAGTTTGGGTGTTTGTCCCCTCCAATCTCATGTTGAAATGTGATCCTCATTATTGGAGGTGGGACCTCGAAGGAGGTGCTTAGGTCATGGAGGTGGATCCCTCATGAATGACTGGGTGTCATCCTTGTGGTAATGAGTGAGTTCATATGAAAGCTAGTTGTTTAAAAGAGCTGGCACCTTTCTTGCTCCCTCTGTTGCCTTGCAAGTCATCTGCTCACTATTTGCCTTCTGCCATGAGTAAACAATTCCTGAGGCCTCACCAGAAACTAGGCAGATGATGATGTCATGCTTGTATAGCCTGCAGAATCATGAGCCAAATAAATCTGTTTTCTTTGTAAATTAACAGCCTTAGGTATTATTTTATAGCAATGCAAAAATGACAAGTACAAAGTATTGTTTATTAGTAATGGAGTGAGAAACTGTTGTTGACAGGAGAGTCTGATGAGAATAAATCTACCACAGCTCTTTCCATGGTTATTATGGATTTGATTATTATCATAGCAACTATAAAGAACTTAAACTAAACTACACCTCAAGCAAGTGTTCTCAGCTTGCCTGTTCAAATTCAACATATCTCAAACTAAATTTCTGATTCCATCCCAAAGCTTTTAGAAGCCAGGAAAATGAGGCTATTCCACATGCCTAGACAAGACTGATGGTGGCTCAGAATAAGGTGGTAATTGTGAGGGTGGTGAGAAGAAGATTGATTATAGATAAACTCAATGTGGAGTCAACTTGATTTCCTAATGGACTAGATCTTAGGTGAGAAAGAAAAATGGGAGTAAAATACGGTTCCAAAATTTTGGCCTGAGCAACAAGAAAGAAGGAGCTGCCTACCATCAACTGAAATGAGGATGTTAAACATGCAGAAAAAGAGTAGATCTTTTATAAAAGATTTTATTTTATATTTTATTATAAAATAATAAAGTAATGCTTCTATGCTTCTGTGATTGAAGTTAGATCATCTCACTGATATACTCAAAACCCTCCCCAAAATTATCACTGAAACCAGGGCCAAAGTCCTTACAATAGCCCACAAAGCCCTATCTCTGTGACCTGTCTCAACCCCTTCCCTCATTTCATCTACTCTCTGCCTTAGTCATACTTGGATCCTTGCTTTCATTTTTCAGTCAAGACATATGTCTTAGTCCCTTCCTAATACTACAACAAAATATTTTAGACTGGACAATTTCTAAATAATATAAATTTATTTCTGTTATATCTATGGTTCTGGATGCTTGGAAGTTCAAGATCAAAATCTGATCTTGTCACCAGTCGGTGAAGGCTGGCTCTCTGATTCATAGCTGGCACCTCATTGCAGCACCCTCACATGGAGGAAGAGCTGAAGGGCAAAAAGGATCTAACAGACTTCCTCAAGCACTTTTAAAAGGACACTGATTACCTCCTAAAGGACCTATCCCTTAAAACTGTTATATTGGAGATTAAGTTTCAACATGAAATTTGGAATGACACTAACATTCAAAGCATAGCACTATGCTTGCACCATAGGAAATTTGTACGGCCTTTTTTTACCTAGAACACTTTTTCTTCAAATATCAACATGGTTAACTCTCTCACCTCCTTACCCTTTGCTCCCATGTCACCTTTGCAATACAGCCTACTTTGACCACCACTTAGTACTGAAAATTGACATTACCCCAGTCTCTGCTGTCAACTTTATTTTCTCCACATCACGATCCATTTTATTTATGTTGCTTATAATTTTTTGTCGGTCATTCTCACCATAAAATAAGTAGGTTCTCAATAGTTATTTGTTAATTAATGCATACTGCTGGCTTCTCCAATAATTATTTTTGATGACTAATTATAATTTTTATATTTTGTCTTATTAATATAATTAACAATATGAAAATGAGTAAGTGTACTATTATAAAGTTATTAACGAAGTAGGAAAATGCTTTAATAACTATAATAATTAACAAAAATGATACAACTATTATACAGTTATTAAAGCATTTTTCTACTTGTTATTTCAATTTTATTCCATCTGTATAATTTATTCTTATTGCCACATAGTGGACAAAAACTTGTCATTCCTTAAGGCTTTAACGCTGAAATTATTATCTCTTAAACTTTGTCTTCTGTGGAAGTATTTCTTATGTATCACAAAATATTTCCCTGGTTCTCTCCTCTTCTTGGTACATTTTAAAATTTTTCTTCCCTTTCCTGTTCACCAAATGACTTGTTTTGGTCAAGGAAGTGTGAGGATAGTGTTGTGTGTCACTGAGTGGAAACATTATAAGCCATTGCTTGACTTGCCATATTATCTTATTTTGTTTGCCACAATAGCAAGGCATATTCAACAGTGGCTGCTCCATCAGCCTGGGTACCAAGAAAAAACAATGTGAAAGAGAATCCTAACCAACTAATAATCGATATACAACTTGAGTGGAAGAAAATATTAATGTTTTAACCACTAAGATTTTATAGTTAATTATTCTTTAACATAAGTTAGATCATAATGGTTAATATTTGCTTTCATCTTGCCGATTACTTTATCTCCATATAATTTTCTCTTCAAATTTTTGACTATATATCTTTCTCTACTGAACCTAAAACTTGCATTCATTTTTTTTTTTTTTTTTTTTTTTTTGAGACGGAGTCTCGCTCTGTCGCCCAGGCTGGAGTGCAGTGGCGCGATCTCGGCTCACTGCAGGCTCCGCCCAGGGTTCACGCCATTCTCCTGCCTCAGCCTCCTGAGTAGCTGGGACTACAGGCGCCCGTCACCTCGCCCGGCTAATTTTTTGTATTTTTTTTAGTAGAGACGGGGTTTTACCATGTTAGCCAGGATGGTCTCGATCTCCTGACCTCGTGATCCACCCGCCTCAGCCTCCCAAAGTGCTGGAATTACAGGCGTGAGCCACTGCGCCCGGCCTCAATATTTTAAACTGTATTTTTTAATTGATAAATTATTTATTTCCCCATTTGTGGTTTTATTTATTTATGTAACACTTACTAACTTGTGGATAAAACAGGCAAAGCATTTCATGTGGGGTACAAATAAAATCCGAACATGTTAACTCTTTTAAATATTATAAAGAGTAAGTGTAGAACATAAAAGAACTACAAAACAGTGATTTGACTTTTTCAAGGAGATCAGAGAAAATTTTCTGGTGGAATTAAAGACGGATTTGAGAAATGAATAAAGGATAAGTATTAACAAAATAAGAGGGAAATAAAAGCATTAGAAGAGGGATATTTGTGAGTATGAGAAACCCAAAGACCAGAATTAACAGGACAAGAAAACAGATAAGCTTGATACAAAATGAGGTTAGAGATGTAAGGAACATACAGCACATAGGACCTTCTTATAGTGCTGGTGAGTATTATAGTCCCTGATGAGTACTGGTTTAATTTTAAAAGAAAGAAAATCTCTTGAAAGATTATTAATTGGGAAGAAACACAGTTAAATATGTAATTGGAAAGTATCGCTGTGGCTGCATCAAGGAAAAGAGATAATTCAGCAAGAGTGAAGGCAAGTAGTCTGGTAAGGGCCTATGGTATTAATCCAAGTGAAAGATGAAGGTGGCTTAGTCTAGACTTACGTTACAGTCTTAATAAGAAGCAAATGGATTTTATGGGTGTCAGGGAGACAGAATTCACTTAGACTTAGTGAGAGATGGTCCAATGGAGTGAAGGAGAAGGACTAGTTATGGTAATTTCCAGATTTCTAAATTGTATAAGTGAATGAATTGTGTTGCACTTCACTGAGATAAGGAAAATCAGAAAAGGTCCACATTAGGAGAGAAAGATAATGAGCTCTCAGGAATCTCACACACTTCTGAATTCTTGCAATTCTTTTTCAATTCCTTTTTTTTTCAATTAGTGTATACAATCTTTATGGCCAGGGCTAGATGACTTATTTATTTATCCTAACATATACAGTGTATCAATAGATTCCTTGGTGTTTTGCTGTAATATGAAAGGAAGAGACACATGCACCAAGAATAAGTACTGCACAATTTCTAAATAAAGTAAGTACTAAAAGGAATTATACAATGATACTTTACCAGGATGAGATCACTACGCTAGTGTTTAGCATTGGGTAAAGGTAAGAGAATGTCATAATTGAAAGAAAAACTAAACTTTTCACTGTCTTTCCTGCCTGCTCTTTTCTGCTAAACTGAGTAGTTGCCATTCATATAAATTGTTCATATTTACTATAACAATATATAGATGTATTTCCTCTGAATTTTCATGAGAGGAAAGTAATTACTTTTTAGGTAACCTAAGAACAATATTGTTCCCTGGCTCTGGGGATAAAGGATGAAATTCAACCAATAGTTGTTTTTGTTGTTGTTTTTTATTTGTTTAGGGGGCTTCAAAAAATCACTATTCATCATGTAATGTCTGCCTTACAACACTTATTTGGTTGATTTTTTTTCTCCTAACTATTTGATGAAATACCATGCATTTTATTGAAACATATGGTGATAGAGTACTCGAGTCTAAACATGGGCATCTGACAGATCTTGTTCCTTGCTGAGAAACAATTATTTCAATATAGCTTGACAACATGGCTTTTTCGCAGACATTCTGTGCTTCATTTTTCCCCTGAAGTAAGCATGCTGTTAAGAAAATTTATTCACACAGGATCCTTTATTCAACCTACAGCCATAACAATAAACTTTCTTTCTCCTAAATCCCTCTCAGATTTCCCTCTAGTGACAATAACGATACACTGCATCTACCAATTCAATATTGTTTAAAATTTTAATGCTTGAACTCATTGTTTTTTTGTAATCATTACATCTTAATAGTTGAATGCACCTAGAGCTTCTATTTTAGCTTGCTACATAGACATCTTTCAATAATAATATTAGCTATTAATCTTATCTGTTTTATGTGCCAATATTTGTGTTTGTAGAATGATTTTGATCAATTGTTTTGTCGGCTTTCTTTGAGCTTTAAATCCAATGACATTCTATGTTTGTCATCAAAATATGTTTAATAAAATTTCATTCTATTCTCTCTATTCAATCAGGAAAACTGTATTTCAAACCTTGATTCAGATTTATTTTTCTAATAGATTGAAATGTGTTTATCAAAATATTTCACATGCTATAAATGAAATATAAAAATTAAAGTTCTCATTATTCTGTCAGATACTTCCACATGAAACTTTGGGTCTCTGATAGGTTATCGTGATTCATTTTGTTTGCTTGCATTATGCCTTAATTAATGGATTCTTTTTCTCAATCTATAATGCTTTACTCACTTTAAATATGTTTCCCTGTATGTCTAAATTTATTCCCAAACCTCAATTTAACACTTACGTGCCAATATTTGATTATATGACGTCTAATCCATAGGAGACCCTGATGGACAAATCGTTATTGCCAACTTCTATACCTAGAAGAGGCAGATATATTACTTTAGGAATGCTATTTCAAGTCATGTTGGGACACGATACTAATAAATGGATATTAGGGTTATGGTACTACTCAGTTTTCCGAAGTAATGAATGGATTGAAACACAGCTTTTCCTATCTAGGCTGGGCTTAGATAGGCAGGTCTGTTTAAGTCAAAGTAGCTGTTGTACCTTTATTTCTCGCTGCATATTTCTGCATTTAGTATGGCCAAATAATTTTCTACAGGACCCAAGCACCTTCTGAGGATAGCAACTATAAGGTATGGGAGAAAATAAGATATGAAGACACTGAGGGGTGAACAAAAATAATCAGATTCTGGAGGGAAGTTACATCTTGGATAAAGGCAGAAGGAATATGGTTAGTTTCTTAATTTTCAGCTTTTAGTGATACCAAAAAACTAAAATTTTTATAGAAAACACTAAATCATTCTGGAATGAAGAATTATAGAACAGAGATTAAGGCAACCCCTGCTATTGGAAAATTAGATGGCATTTTGCAAAGCGGAGAAAACAAAGAGAGAGCCACAAATTCTGCATCTGAATGAAGAATGTGTGGGTAGACATAAAGTGTGTCAAGTATGAACTAAAGTGCCAAACAGAGACCAGGCTGCCACTCCAAAGATAGAAAATACAGTGAGAGTTCAACCACGTTATTTTTCTGCTAACACAAAATACAACACACTTTGGGAGACTATAATTAGAGTCTTTACACTTTAACATTTTATATCAGTAGTACCCCTTTTTTTTCTTTTTTCTTCCCTGGCCACAATGGAAGAATTGTCTTGGGCCACACATGAAATACACTAACACTGACAATAGCTGATGAGCTAAGAAAAATAATTGCAAAAGAAAATCTCATAATACATTGGGAGTTTTTGTGGTTTTTTAACTTTTAATTTCCAGGGTACATAGGCAGATTTGTGACATAGGTAAACATGTGTCATAGAGGTTTGTTTTGCAGATTATTTCATCACCCAGGTATTAAACCTAATACCCAATAGTTATTTTTCCTGATCCTCTCCCATCTCTCCGCTCCTCCCTCCAATAGACCCCAGTGTGTGTTGTCCCCTTCTATGTGTCCATACATTCTCATCATTTAGCTCCCATTTATAAGTGAGAACATGTAGTATTTGGTTTCCTGAATTAGTTTTTTAAGGATAATGGCCTCCAACTCCATCCATGTCCCTGCAAAGGACATAATCATGTTATTTTTTATGGCTGCATAGTATTCCATAATGTATATGTACCACATTTTCTTTATCCAGTCTATCATCAATGGGCATTTAGGTCGATTTCATGTCTTTGTTTTTGCGAGTAGTGCTGCAATGAATATATACACACATTTGTCTTTATAGCAGAACAATTTATATCCTTTTGGTTATATATGCAGTAATGGAATTTTGGGACTGAATAATATTTCTGTCTTGAGGTCTTTGAGGAATCACCACACTGACTTACACAATGGTTGAACTAATTTATACTCCCACCAACATAATGTTTTAAGAAAGTTTATAAATGTGTTTTGGGCCACATTCAAAGCTGTCCTGGGCTGAATGCAGCACATCGGCCATGGGGTGGCCACGCTTGTTTTAGAGTATATAGGATAAAGTCCAAAATTACTTGACATAGACAAAACCAGGAAAACTTTGCTCTGATTCCAACTGCAAAAAGACCCCAGTGTTGGAACTGGCAGCCAAAAACTTTAATGCAACTACAGCTATGTGCCAAATAACATTTCCATCAAGGACTTACTGCACATACGATACTGCATATAATCTTACGACTGCATTATAACTCTGATCAGTAAGGTATAGAAAAAGATGTTCACAATAAGTGAAAAGATAGGAAATCTCAACAAAAGAATAGAAACTAGAACAAGACAATTATAAAACCTTTATAATTGAAAATTACAATTCCTGGAATTTAAAGTTTATTAGTTAGATTTAAGAGGCAAAAAAATATAATAGTTTTTAAAAGTCAGTGAATGTAAAAATATAAATAGAAATTATCCAGTATGAAGGGAGATTCATAAAAGTACTAAAGTAAAAAATAAATATAGACTCAGGGTCCTAAGTGACAGTAACAAAACAACTAAAGTTATTGGATTTGGAGTCCCAGAAAAGATCAGTTGTTTGAAGATAGAATGTTCAAAAGCTTCCAATAATTGGCAAAAGCAATAAATTTACATATTTGAGAGGTTTTGTAAACCTAAAACATTATAAATAAGAAAATAATCACATCATGAATGATAATGCTCAAGAAGTAAAACCACAGACAAAGCGAAAATCTTGGAAATAGCCAGAGAAAAAATGACATGTTATATACGATGATTTAAAGGAGAACTAACTTATCTTCGAAGTGATATTTCCAGAAAATAATAAGACAAGGTATCTAAATTTCTGGGGTCAGGAGAGACTAGTAGCTCATAACTATATCTATAAGGCAAAACTATCTTGTAAACACTAAAGCTTAATGAAGGCATTTTCAGATGGAAAATAAATACTTTATTTCTTGCACAGGAGAGCTCCAGTACAAGAAGCACTAAAAAAAATTATTCTGGCTGATGGAAAATGCTACCACCCAAAACCTTAGATCTTCAGGAAGGAATTGGTAAATATCCTTGCATAACTAGAAACTATTTTTACTGGAATCCTATAAATTGTAGTAAGGCAAGAAAGGAAAATAAAAGCTACAAAGATTCGAATGATGGAACAAAAATTCACTCTTATTGTTTATATAGTATATCCTAAGTAATATGCAGAGCAACCAGTTGAACTAAGTGATTTTACTATGTTATTAAGATATATTATTATTATATAAACATGCATCATATTAATACCACAGGAAATAATTGGAAATTGACATTTTAAAAATTATGCTTACAGTAGTAAAAACATTCATAAAATACCTTGTTGTAATTAAACAAAATCTATGTAATTCTGGTACACTGAACATAAAATAAATTAATTGAGATATACACCCTATTTATGGATCAAAAGATTAAATATTAAGATGACAAATCTTCCCAGTTTTTTTAATGTATATGTTTAATCTCAAAAAAAATCCACAAGAAATGTTGTAGACATTGACAAGTTGCTTCCAAAATTTCTCTGGAAATATCAAAAACCTAGAATTTCCAAAGCGTTCTTGGACAAGTGAAAAGTTGAAGAATGGATACTACTTGATCTTAAGATTTACTAATTGCTACAGTAGTCAAGAAAATATTTCACTTGCATAAGGATAGAAAAGTAAATCAAGGAAACAAACTAGAAACTGATCTTCACTTATATTATTTTAAGAAAATCACCAAGAAATTCATTTTACAAAACAAAGTTATTTCAATCAATACTTGATTATGTGCTATGGAAAAAATGAACATTAACCATTACATTATACCATAAAAAAATATGAAATGGATCAGAAACTTTAATGAAAAAGGTTTTAAAAGATAGAAAAAAATAAGTAGGGATTTGGGAGCTGACAAAAGTTCCTGAACAGGTTTTAAAAAGACAGAAGCATAAAATTTAAAAAATACACTCCATCAAAACAAAGAGCTTTGGTAAACACATCTCACAAATTGCCGGTACTAAGGATACATGTTTTTTAAAATTTCCTAAAACAACCTCCTATCTGCTTTCTCCCTTTATCTCCCTTGGCCTCTCAGAACATGTTCTTTATTCAGACTTTTTCACCTTAGGTAATCATAACTTTATTTGCCCATTTGTTCTAACCAAAACTTCTGGGGTCATTTATCACTTCTTTTCTGCATCCAATGTGAAATCCATCAGTAACTACATTTGCAGCTGCCTTTCAATAAATTGAGAATATTGCCAGGTTCAGTAACTCATCCCTGTAATCCCAGCACTTTGGGGGGCTGAGGCAAGAGAATTATTTGAGCCTAGAAGTTTGGAGACCAGCCTGGAAAACAAACTGAGATCCTGTTTCTCCAAAAAGCATTAAAATAAATTAGCCAGCCATGGTGTCATGTACCTGTCATCTCAGCTACTTGGGAGACTGAGGTGAGAGGATGGCTTGAGCCCAGGAGGTAAGGCTGCAGTGAGACATGATTGTGACACTGCACTCCAGCCTGGGTGACAGAGCAAGACCCTTTTTAAAAAAATAAATAAATAAATAAATAATAAAAAAAATTGCAGAGTACGACAACTTCACTAATCTACCATAATCGAAGCCGCCCTTTCCCTTAAACTGTTTATTCTAGGCTGGCAGAGTTAGATATGAATCCATGGAATGATCATACCATTCTTTGTTTAAAAATATCTGATGGATATTCATCACACTGAGAATGTAAGCTCTTCAACAAGACCATGTGGCCCTATGTGATTCACTTCTGGGAGAAGAGACTCCTAGTTAGAGAGTATGGAATATGAAGAGGCTGTTAGGCAAGAAGATGCTGGATATTTCTGAAGGATAGTGAAGAATTGTGTTATTGCAAAAAAGTAAATAAGAGAAAATAATAAAAGATAAGGTTGCCAGGTAAAAATGTATTCTCTTAATGGCACTATGAATAAATAGAAATTTTTAATTTTAATAAAGATATTTTACAAATATTTTGATTATAGTTAGCGTGCTCTTTGTTCTGTTAAAAAAATCTTTGCTCTGTAAAAATCATAAAGTTCCGCTGTGTTTTTCCTAAAGCATTTACATTTATATTTCATTCTGTAATATGTCCGAAATTACTTTTTGTATTATTTAGGACATAAAATAGGGAAAAATTAGTTTCTTTTTCTGTATAAGAAAACATCTTATTGATGTATATAAGAGCTACTGATTTGTGTACATTAATTTTGTATCCTGAAACTTTGCTGAATTCATTTATCAGTTCTAGGAGCTTTTTGGAGGAGTCTTTAGTGTTTTCTAGGTATACGATCATATCATCAGGAAACAGCAACAGTTTGACTTCCTCTTTACCAATTTGGATGCACTTTATTTCTTTCTCTTGTCTAATTGCTGGAGCTAGGACTTCCAGTACTATGTTGAATAGAAGTGGTAAGAGTGGGCATCCTTGTCTTGCTCCAGTTCTCAGAGGGAATGCTTTCAATTTTTCCCTGTTCAGTATTATGTTGGCATGGGTTTGTCATAGATGGCTTTGATTACATTGAGGTATGTCCCTTGTATGCCGATTTTGCTGAGGATTTTAATAATAGAGAAATGCTGGATTTTGTCAAATGCTTTTTCTACATCTATTGAGATGATCATGTGATTTTTGTTTTTAATTCTATCTATGTGGTGTGTCACATTTATTGACTTACATATGTTAAACCATCCCTCCATCCCTGAGTATGAAATCCACTTGATCATGGTGGATTATCTTTTTGATATGCTGTTGAATTCTGATAGCTAATATTTTGTTAAGGATTTTTTCATCTATTTTCATCAGGGATATTAGTCTGTAGTTTTCTTTCTTTGTTATGTCCTTTTCTGGTTTTGATATTAGGTTGATACTGGCTTCATAGAATGATTTAGGTAGGATTCCCTCTTTCTCTATCTTGTGAAATAGTGTCAATAGGATTGGTTCCAATTCTTTGAATATCTGAGAGAATTCATCTGTGAATTCATCTAGTCCTGGACTTTTTTTTTCATTAGTCATTTTTTTATTACCATTTCAATCTCGCTGCTTATTATTGGTCTGGGAATACACCTAACAAAGGAGATAAAAGTCCTCTACATAGAAATCTACAAAACACAGCTGAAAGAAATCACAGAAACAAAAACAAATGAAAATATCCCGTGCTCATGAATAAGCAGAATCAATATCGTGAAAATGACCATATTTCTGAAAGCAGTCTACAAATTCAATGAAATTTCCATCAAAATACCACCATCATTCTTCACAGAACTAGAAAAAAAAATCCTAAAATGGATATGGAACAAAATCAAAACAAACAAACAAAAGAGATGGCATAGCCAAGCAGGACAGAGCAAAAAGAAGAAATCTGGAGGCATTGCTTTACCTGACTTCAAAGTATACTATAAGGCCATAGTCACCAAAACAGCATGGTACTAGTATACAAATAGGCACATAGACTAATGGAACAGAACAGGGAACTCAGAAATAAACCCAAATACTTACAACCAACTGATCTTTGACAAAGTAAACAAAAGCAAAGTGGGGAAAGGACACCTTATTCAACAAATGGTGCTGGGATAATTGGCTAGTCACATGTAGGAGATTGAAATTAGATCCTCATTGCTCACCTTATAGAAAAATCAACTCAAGATGGATCAAGGACTTTAATCTGAGACCTGAAACTATAAAAATTCTAGAAGATAACATCAGAAAAACCCTTCTATACATTGGCTTAGGCAAAGGCTTCATAACCAAGAACCTAAAAGCAAATGCAACAGAAACAAAGATTAATATGTGGGACTTAATTAAACTAAAGGGCTTCTGAACAGAAAAAGGAACAGTCAGCAGAATAAACAGACAACCCACAGAATGCAAAAAATCTTCACAATCTATACATCTGACAAAGGACTAATATCCAGAATCCACAAGGAACTCAAATCAGCAAGAAAAAAAACAAACAATTCCACCAAAAAGTGTGCTAAGGACATGAATAGACAATTTTCTAAAGAAGATATACAAATGGCCAACAAACATATGAAAAAATGCTCAACATCACTAATGATCAGGGCAATGCAAATCAAAACCACAATGCAATATCATCTTACTCCTGAAAGAATGGTCATAATAAAAAAGTCAACAAATAATAGATGTTGGCGTGGATGCGGGGAAAAGGGAACATTTCTACACTGCTGTTGGGAATGTAAGCTAGTACAACCACTATGGAAAACTGGAGATTTCTTAAAGAACTAAGAGTAGAATTACCATACGATCCTTCAATCCCACTACTGGGTATCTACCCAGAGGAAAAGAAGTCATTATACAAAAAAGACACTTGCACATGCATGTTTATAGCAACACAATTCACAACTGCAAAAATATGGAACCAGCCCAAATGCCCATCAATCAACAAGTGGATAAAGAAATTGTGATAGATAGATAAACAGATCGATAGATGATAGATAGATAGATAGATAGATAGATAGATAGATAGATGTTATAGATATAGAAGATGGAATAGTACTCAGTCATAAAAAGAAAAGAATTAATAGCATTTGCAGCAACCTGGATGGAACTGCAGACTATTATTCTAAATAAGGTAACTCGGGAATGGAAAACCAAACATCGTATGCTCTCACTCATAAGTGGGAGCTAAGCTATGAGGATGCAAAATATAAGAAGATACGTGGGAAGGGAGTGAAGGATAAAAGACTACAAATTGGGTTCAGTGTATACTGCTCCAGTGATGAGTGCACCAAAATCTCACAAATCACCACTAAAGAACTTACTCATGTAACCAAATACCACCTGTCCCCCAAAAACTGAAAAAAATTTTATAGAAGATATAGAAGCCAAGAAAAAAAAGAAAAAGGAAAGAAAACATCTTATTGAGCAAGCATCATTTACAACAGCTCCCCCTTATCTTTGTGGAATACGGCTGAAGGTCCCCCAATGGATGTCTGAAACCACAGAGTACCGAATCCTATATGTGTAATGTTTTTTTTCCCCTATATATGCCTATGATAATGTTTAATATACAAGTTAGGCATAGTAAGAGATTAACACCAATAACTAATTATAAACTAGATCAATTATAACAATATACTATTATAAAAGCTTTGTTAATGCGGTCTTTCTCTTTGTCTCTCTCCTCTCTCTCTCAAAACATTTTACTGTATTCTACTGTTCTTGTGAGGATGTGAGATGATAAAATGCCTCTGTGCTAAGATGAAGTGAGGTGAATGACAGAAACATTTTGTCATAGTCTTAGGCTACTACTGTCCTGATAATATGTCAGAAGGAGGATTATCTGTTTTTGGTAATCCTTTATCATCAAGCCAAAATGATATCTGTCGTTGGATGTGAGAAACAGACTGTGTTGATGACTAACAGCTAACAGGCAGGTAGCAGACACAGTGTGGATACACTGGACAAAGGGATGATTCATGTCCTGTGTGGTGTTGGGGTGATCAGACCCAACGCCAGGCTGTGGGGCTACGAAGTCTGGCGGAGTCAAAGGAATGAGAAAAGACAAGTTAAGAGTGCATAAGTTGGGTTCAGGGGGCCAACGCTGGTATGGAGGCTGCGAAGGCCCCGAGCTCTGGGAGCCCACACTATTTATTGGTGATCAAACAACCAAGCAGGTGGTGAGAACGTGCAGATGTGGGGGTAAACAGGTGAGGACCTGAGGACGTGGGGGTAGAAAGGTAGTGGTGCATCAAGCATAGCTGTGACAGTTTAGCATTTTCTTTGACGCATATAGAATATGTTCTGCTGCTTGAGATAATGGAGAACATGTTTACGAGCCTGGGAGAGCAACCAACAAGTCTGTGCACATTGCAGAGGCTATGAGGGGTTTTATGCCCTGAGCCCGGGATTCCATCCAAGCCACGAGGGGTCTTATGCCCTGGGCTTAGATTTGTGGTGTGGCAGGGCAGCCTTCCACCCTTTGGCACAGAGCTTGGTGTTCCAAAGGCCACGAGGGGTTTTAGACCCTGGAACCCAGACATCTTCCAAGACTCTTTTATATTATGACAGACAAGCCAGTCCTGCCTCAGTTCTTCTACCAACATGTGGAAAGCAAGACAGTGCAAGATTTCATCATATTACTCACAAGACTGTTCAATTTAAAACTTATAACTTTTTATTTCTGGAATTTTCCATTTAAGATTTTCAGACTCAGTTTGACTGCAGGTAACTGAAACTGAAAAGTGAAGCAGCCAGTTAGAAGGGACTTCTGTAATGAAATATCATCACTTCTCCACTGCACTGCAATGCCACCTTTGTAATATCAGGTGAACAAATAGGTGTTAAGAAATATATAAATATGGATAGAGCTGAGTGCATTTCTGATCAGATCCTATCAATTAAAGGAATATTTTAAAGTTTTATTGGATCAACTAAGCTGTGAGATCAGGAATGGTAAAAGATGTATACAGATAAGTAGGACCGAGAAAGCAGGACACAATTATTTTCTTTAGAAATTGCTTCTTTTCTTGGGTTTTTAAATGGAATGCCTGGGCAAATGCATGCTACCATTATTCATTGAATCTACAGTTTATATTTTATCTAATTTATTATTTCTCAAATTAGCTGCACTATACAATCAATGACATCTTACAAGTAAATAGTATTATTTTTCTTACTTATAGGTATATGAAATAGTGGTGTAGCTTAAAATTGGTAGTGTCAAAAATTTGATGATGCACAGTATGCAATTCTATCTCTCTGGCCAGAGATTACTAACTTGTACACATGACCCAAGACCATTTAGAAACCAAAGATTGTCTCTCTCCAGAATGTGTACTAACTCACACAACACATTAGTAAGTTGTGTTGTGCAATATTAGGTCGTCTCAGGAATAACATCAGCATCAAGCCATGCAAATGAGCTATTTGAGAGAATGAGACAGAAAACCGTAAGAGAATGTCAGAGATAAGAAACCATGAGGCCCCTAAGAGAATAATAGAGTGCAGCTTTTCTTTTTTTCTTAGAGTCTACTTGGCTCTGGTTCTCATGAGGCATGCATCTATTTTAGTACTTATATTCATAATATTACCTTCCATATTGTAGAAGAAAGTCTATACACTCAAGTTAGCTTGAATAGGTTTCTCTTTTTTATAATTTCAGGGGCACTGACTAACACAAAGTATACTCGTATTTCCAATTTCAATAGGTCTTATATTTAAGTAGGACAAAGGTATAAATTACTTTTAAGCATAATAAGAACATCATCTATGTCATTGCACAGTATTTTTTTCAATCTTTTGCTTACAAAATTAGTGTGGAAGATTCAAATATCAGTATATATTAATGTGTTACACTTTGTATTTACTTTACTGTACTTAAAGGGACAACTACATAAGTCAGGTTGTCTGTAATATATAGTGTTTATTTGCTTTTCCATTTGGCAAAATAAATTTTCAACTTTCAAATTTGTTATTGAATATATTTCATTAAATATCATAGTTTTTAAAATATTCTTGGGCTATATATAATCAATGATTCTGTCTTATGAATAAGACAACTTATCTAATATATAATACTGAATAAAATACTGAGGGATAGCTTTCTTAGACCATGTATTATTTACAAATGAACCAGATATAAAATGATAAAAGACTTCCCAGGGCACAAAAATTTCTCTAAAGAAAATGCAAGTTGATATGATTAAATGAACATATCACATTAGCATACATTATAGTTGATTTACTCTTTGATATTTTCAACCCAGATTAGCCTCAGGGCCATATATTCAACCACGTGGGTATTATTTATTTGAATGACATACTTTCCCCCAGTTGTACAGTCAGAAATTGAACATTAGCCCCAGGTTCCCTTGTAACTTTCACACTACTCACAAATTCCTATACAGTCTATCTCATACATATGTTTCTAATTCAACTATTTTACTCAACTCCAACTTTTATTTCATCAGAGAAACAATATTTATTTTTAGTCCTACAATCTCAAAGATATTATCAAAGATATTTGAACTATGCATTGCCAGAAAAATCCTTAAAAATTATAGATTGTACCCTGCCACTCTACTCCTTAAGACATTTTAATGGGACTCTCATTTTAATGAGGATAAAAATCTACAATATCTATCATGGCTTATAAAGCATTATGTGATCTTCACTCTGTTTACTGCTAATGATTATGTATTGTTATGCCCCTCGTTTTTTTTTTGCTTTTTAATACATATGTTGCTTCCTCAAGGCTTCTTGCTTGGCTCCACCATTCTGGGTTTGCCACTCTCCTGTGTGTTCCATGACACATTGTATCCCCTAACTCCTTTGCTGTGTTGCACTTCTCTGCATCTTTACACTTGAAACTCTGTATACTTTATTAAACACTACATTTTTATCACCTCTTGTATTGCCTGAAACCATAGAAGCATTAATTAAAGTTGCTTGAGTACATTAGTAAATAACTATCTCCTTTGCTTTAAAAAGATCTATTTTGACTTAGGAAGACATATGTCTGATACAATAAATATTCAGAGAAATAAATTTGCTTCAGGGAATATTTATAAGGTACTTAATGTAACTACTACTTAGAAGCTTGTGTTCCTTTTAAATTGTCTGTTTTTTCATACTGAGAGGTAATATTTTATAATAAAGCCTACTCAAACATTGCATTGAATTGACTTGTGATCTTACCTTAGTTTTCAACACCTTTTTAAAAATTAGCTTGGTGTAGGAGATTATGCCAAATCAGAGTGAGCTATGAGAAACTCAGTCAACAAAAAACAATGTCATGAAAAGCCCACTCATTGTCATTTCTTTTTTTTTTTTTTAATTATACTTTAAGTTTTAGGGTACATGTGCACATTGTGCAGGTTAGTTACATATGTATACATGTGCCATACTGGTGCGCTGCACCCACTAACTCGTCATCTAGCATTAGGTATATCTCCCAATGCTATCCCTCCCCCCTCCCCCACCCCACAACAGTCCCCAGAGTGTGATATTCCCCTTCCTGTGTCCATGTGATCTCATTGTTCAATTCCCACCTATGAGTGAGAATATGCTGTGTTTGGTTTTTTGTTCTTGTGATAGTTTACTGAGAATGATGATTTCCAATTTCATCCATGTCCCTACAAAGGACATGAACTCATCATTTTTTATGGCTGCATAGTATTCCATGGTGTATATGTGCCACATTTTCTTAATCCAGTCTATTATTGTTGGACATTTGGGTTGGTTCTAAGTCTTTGCTATTGTGAATAATGCCGCAATAAACATACGTGTGCATGTGTCTTTATAGCAGCATGATTTATAGTCCTTTGGGTATATACCAAGTAATGGGATGGCTGGGTCAAATGGTATTTCTAGTTCTAGATCCCTGAGGAATCGCCACACTGACTTCCACCATGGTTGAACTAGTTTACAGTCCCACCAACAGTGTAAAACTGTTCCTATTTCTCCACATCCTCTCCAGCACCTGTTGTTTCCTGACTTTTTAATGATCACCATTCTAACTGGTGTGAGATGGTATCTCATTGTGGTTTTGATTTGCATTTATCTGATGGCCAGTGATGATGAGCATTTTTTCATGTGTTTTTTTGGCTGCATAAATGTCTTCTTTTGAGAAGTGTCTGTTCATGTCCTTCGCCCACTTTTTGATGGGGTTGTTTGTTTTTTTCTTGTAAATTTGTTTGAGTTCATTGTAGATTCTGGATATTAGCCCTTTGTCAGATGAGTAGGTTGTGAAAATTTTCTCCCATTTTGTAGGTTGCCTGTTCACTCTGATGGTAGTTTCTTTTGCTGTGCAGAAGCTCTTGAGTTTAATTAGATCCCATTTGTCAATTTTGGCTTTTGTTGCCATTGCTTTTGGTGTTTTAGACATGAAGTCCTTGCCCATGCCTATGTCCTGAATGGTATATAGCCTAGGTTTTCTTCTAGGGTTTTTATGGTTTTAGGTCTAATGTTTAAGTCTTTAATCCATCTTGAATTGATTTTTGTATAAGGTGTAAGGAAGGGATCCAGTTTCAGCTTTCTACATATGGCTAGCCAGTTTTCCCAGCACCATTTATTAAATAGGGAATCCTTTCCCCATTGCTTATTTTTCTCAGGTTTGTCAAAGATGAGATAGTTGTAGATATGCAGCATTATTTCTGAGGGCTCTGTTCTGTTCCATTGATCTATATCTCTGTTTTAGTACCAGTACCATGCTGTTTTGGTTACTGTAGCCTTGTAGTATAGTTTGAAGTCAGGTAGTGTGATGCCTCCAGCTTCGTTCTTTTGGCTTAGGATTGACTTGGCGATGCGGACTCTTTTTTGGTTCCATATGAACTTTAAAGTAGTTTTTTCCAATTCTGTGAAGAAAGGCATTGGTAGCTTTATGGTGATGGCATTGAATCTGTAAATTACCTTGGGCAGTATGGCCATTTTCACGATATTGATTCTTCCTACCCATGAGCATGGAATGTTCTTCCATTTGTTTGTATCCTCTTTTATTTCCTTGAGCAGTGGTTTGTAGTTCTCCTTGAAGAGGTCCTTCACATCCCTTGTAAGTTGGATTCCTAGGTATTTTATTCTCTTTGAAGCAATTGTGAATGGGATTTCAGTCATGATTTGGCTCTCTGTTTGTCTGTTGTTGGTGTATAAGAATGCTTGTGATTTTTGTACATTGATTTTGTATCCTGAGACTTTGCTGAAGTTGCTTATCAGCTTAAGGAGATTTTGGGCTGAGACAATGGGGTTTTCTAGATATACAATCATGTCGTCTGCAAACAGGGACAATTTGACTTCCTCTTTTCCTAATTGAATACCCTTTATTTCCTTCTCCTGCCTAATTGCCCTGGCCAGAACTTCCAACACTATGTTGAATAGGAGTGGTGAGAGAGGGCATCCCTGTCTTGTGCCAGTTTTCAAAGGGAATGCTTCCAGTTTTTGCCCATTCAGTATAATATTGGCTGTGGGTTTGTCATAGATAGCTCTTATTATTTTGAAATACGTCCCATCAATACCTAATTTATTGAGAGTTTTTAGCATGAAGGGTTGTTGAATTTTGTCAAAGGCTTTTTCTGCATCTATTGAGATAATCATGTGGTTTTTGTCTTTGGTTCTGTTTATATGCTGGATTACATTTATTGATTTGCGTATATTGAACCAGCCTTGCATCCCAGGGATGAAGCCCACTTGATCATGGTGGATAAGCTTTTTGATGTGCTGCTGGATTCGTTTTGCCAGTATTTTATTAAGGATTTTTGCATCAATGTTCATCAAGGATATTGGTCTAAAATTCTCTTTTTTTGTTGTGTCTCTGCCTGGCTTTGGTATCAGAATGATGCTGGCCTCATAAAATGAGTTAGGGAGGATTCCCTCTTTTTCTATTGATTGGAATAGTATCAGAAGGAATGGTACCAGCTCCTCCTTGTACCTCTGGTAGAATTCGGCTGTGAATCCATCTGGTCCTGGACTCTTTTTGGTTGGTAAGCTATTGATTATTGCCACAATTTCAGCTCCTGTTATTGGTCTATTCAGAGATTCAACTTCTTCCTGGTTTAGTTTTGGGAGAGTATATGTGTCCAGGAATTTATCCATTTCTTCTAGATTTTCTAGTTTATTTGCATAGAGGTGTTTGTAGTATTCTCTGATGGTAGTTTGTATTTCTGTGGGATCGGTGGTGACATCCCCTTTATCATTTTTTATTGCGTCTATTTGATTCTTCTCTCTTTTTTTCTTTATTAGTCTTGCTAGCGGTCTATCAATTTTGTTGATCCTTTCAAAAAACCAGCTCCTGGATTCATTAATTTTTTGAAGGGTTTTTTGTGTCTCTATTCCCTTCAGTTCTGCTGTGATTTTAGTTATTTCTTGCCTTCTGCTAGCTTTTGAATGTGTTTGCTCTTGCTTTTCTAGTTCTTTTAATTGTGATGTTAGGGTGTCAATTTTGGATCTTTCCTGCTTTCTCTTGTGGGCATTTAGTGCTATAAATTTCCCTCTACACACTGCTTTGACTGTGTCCCAGAGATTCTGGTATGTTGTGTCTTTGTTCTCATTGGTTTCAAAGAACATCTTCATTTCTGCCTTCATTTCGTTATGTACCCAGTAGTCATTCAGGAGCAGGTTGTTCAGGTCCCATGTAGTTGAGCGGTTTTGAGTGAGATTCTTAATCCTAAATTCTAGTTTGATTGCACTGTGGTCTGAGAGATAGTTTGTTATAATTTCTGTTCTTTTACATTTGCTGAGGAGAGCTTTACTTCCCAGTATGTGGTCAATTTTGGAATAGGTGTGGTGTGGTGCTGAAAAAAATGTATATTCTGTTGATTTGGGGTGGAGAATTCTGTAGATGTCTATTAGGTCCGCTTGGTGCAGAGCTGAGTTCAATTCCTGGGTATCCTTGTTGACTTTCTGTCTCGTTGATCTGTCTAATGTTGACAGTGGGGTGTTAAAGTCTCCCATTATTAATGTGTGGGAGTCTAAGTCTCTTTGTAGGTCACTCAGGACTTGCTTTATGAATCTGGGTGCTCCTGTATTGGGTGCATATATATTTAGGATAGTTAGCTCTTCTTGTTGAATTGATCCCTTTACCATTATGTAATGGCCTTCTTTGTCTCTTTTGATCTTTGTTGGTTTAAAGTCTGTTTTATCAGAGACTAGGATTGCAACCACTGCCTTTTTTTGTTTTTCATTGGCTTGGTAGATCTTCCTCCATCCTTTTATTTTGAGCCTATGTGTGTCTCTGCACGTGAGATGGGTTTCCTGAATACAGCACACTGATGGATCTTGACTCTTTATCCAATTTGCCAGTCTGTGTCTTTTAATTGGAGCATTTAGTCCATTTACATTTAAAGTTAATATTGTTATGTGTGAATTTGATCCTGTCATTATGATGTTAGCTGGTTGTTTTGCTCATTAGTTGATGCAATTTCTTCCTAGTCTTGATGGTCTTTACATTTTGGCATGATTTTGCAGCAGCTGGTACCGGTTGCTCCTTTCCATGTTTAGCGCTTCCTTCAGTAGCTCTTTTAGGGCAGGCCTGGTGGTGACAAAATCTCTCAGCATTTGCTTGTCTGTAAAGTATTTTATTTCTCCTTCACTTATGAAGCTTAGTTTGGCTGGATATGAAATTCTGGGTTGAAAATTCTTGTCTTTAAGAATGTTGAATATTGGCCCCCACTCTCTTCTGGCTTGTAGGGTTTCTGCCGAGAGATCCGCTGTTAGTCTGATGGGCTTCCCTTTCAGGGTAACCCGACTTTTCTTTCTGGCTGCCCTTAACATTTTTTCCTTCATTTCAACTTTGGTGAATCTGACAATTATGTGTCTTGGAGTTGCTCTTCTCGAGGAGTATCTTTGTGGCGTTCTCTGTATTTCCTGAATCTGAACTTTGGCCTGCCTTGCTAGATTGGGGAAGTTCTCCTGGATAATATCCTGCAGAGTGTTTTCCAACTTGGTTCCATTCTCCCCGTCACTTTCAGGTACACCAATCAGACGTAGATTTGGTCTTTTCACATAGTCCCATATTTCTTGGAGGCTTTGCTCATTTCTTGTTATTCTTTTTTCTCTAAACTTCCCTTCTCGCTTCATTTCATTCATTTCTTCCATTGCTGATACCCTTTCTTCCAGTTGTTCGCATCGGCTCCTGAGGCTTCTGCATTCTTCACGTAGTTCTCGAGCCTTGGTTTTCAGCTCCATCAGCTCCTTTAAGCACTTCTCTGTATTGGTTATTCTAGTTATACATTCTTCTAAATTTTTTTCAAAGTTTTCAACTTCTTTGCCTTTGGTTTGAATGTCCTCCCATAGCTCAGAGTAATTTGATCATCTGAAGCCTTCTTCTCTCAGCTCGTCAAAGTCATTCTCCATCCAGCTTTGTTCCGTTGCTGGTGAGGAACTGCCTTCCTTTGGAGGAAGAGAGGTGCTCTGCTTTTTAGAGTTTCCAGTTTTTCTGTTCTATTTTTTCCCCATCTTTGTGGTTTTATCTACTTTTGGTATTTGATGATGGTGATGTACAGATGGGTTTTTGGTGTGGATGTCCTTTCTGTTTGTTAGTTTTCCTTCTAACAGACAGGACCCTCAGCTGCAGGTCTGTTGGAATACCCTGCCGTGTGAGGTGTCAGTGTGCCCCTGCTGGGGGGTGCCTCCCAGTTAGGCTGCTCGGGGGTCAGGTGTCAGGGACCCACTTAAGGAGGTAGTCTGCCCATTCTCAGATCTCCAGCTGCGTGCTGGGAGAACCACTGCTCTCTTCAAAGCTGTCAGACAGGGACATTTAAGTCTGCAGAGGTTACTGCTGTCTTTTTGTTTGTCTGTGCCCTGCCCCCAGAGGTGGAGCCTACAGAGGCAGGCAGGCCTCCTTGAGGTGTGGTGGGCTCCACCCAGTTGGAGCTTCCAGGCTGCTTTGTTTACCTAAGCAAGCCTGGGCAATGGCGGGCGCCCCTCCCCCAGCCTTGGTGCCGCCTTGCAGTTTGATCTCAGACTGCTGTGCTAGCAATCAGCGAGACTCCCTGGGCGTAGGACCCTCCGAGCCACGTGAGGTATATAATCTCCTGATGTGCTGTTTTTTAAGCCGGTCGGAAAAGCCCAGTATTCTGGTGGGAGTGACCCGATTTTCCAGGTGAGTCCGTCACCCCTTTCTTTGACTCAGAAAGGGAACTCCCTGACCCCTTGCACTTCCCAAGTGAGGCAATGCCTCGCCCTGCTTCGGCTCGCGCATGGTGCGTGCGCCCACTGACCTGTGCCCACTGTCTGGCACTCCCTAGTGAGTTGAACCCGGTACCTCAGATGGGAATGCAGAAATCACCTGTCTTCTGCGTCGCTCACGCTGGGAGCTGTAGACCTGGGCTGTTCCTATTCGGCCATCTTGGCTCCTCCCCTGTCATTTCTAAGTCTTTATTTGATTCCTTTATGTTGAAAGCATGTTGACTTTTGAGTAATTTTCAGAAAAGCTATTATTATTCAAGTGTATAACCAATAAAGACTGAGGGTATTTTTCCTTAGAAGAAAGTTGGAAATGAATTTTAATTGTGACTTAATACTTGCAACATTTTCTTTCCTCCTGTTTGCTCCTCAGCTCCCCGTGCTGTCCATAAATATGTCGTTTGCTGTCATAACAATGGTTTAGCAACAAATGCTTTGAATAGAACACATCTCTTCAATGTGTAAAATTATTCACTTTCCTGTGCTGATCTGTCTTAACTATAAAGCCTTAAAACATATCTTAATATCTGATTGGGAAAATCTAGCAGTGGTTTCCAGTAAAGTCTTGGCTAATTTTAGCCCTTTATTGTGAATTTTGATTTAATTTACTAAGCGCCACAGAACCAACAACAAACAACAGTTAAAATATTCATAAGATTTCTAAAATTAGAATTGCAATGAATAAAACCAATTTGGAGATCACTGACATTTTACAATAGCTGGTCTTTCTATTCAGCAAAATGTTTCTGTGTCTTTTAATGATTCCCATGTATTTTCATTTTTTTCTCCATAAAGTTTTCCACATATTTTGTTAGATTTATTCCTAGAAATATTTTGTTCTTCCAAAATACATATTTCTGTAATAAGAATTACCTCATATATGACTGATAACTTTGGTAATGACACTAATAGAATACAGATGTCAGGTTGATTCATTTTCTTCAACAGAAGCTAAACACAAATGCAACTTAAAACAGAGGATCACTGAGGAAGATAGTAGTTACGAAAAGTCACAGTCCTCTCCTTGACTCAGTTTTGCTCATTCTTATTGTTGTTATTAAGAGTGAAGATGTTAAGAAACTGTCTCACAGAGAGGGTCTTTCTATGAGAGAACCAGAAAATACGTGTTACTCAGTGACAATAGAGACCAAAAGCTGAAAAAAAAATTGCAGCAGGCTATCCATGAGGGTACAAGTCAGTTATCACCTGTCTTAAATGTGATAAGAAATGTGACTGTGAGTAGAAGACATGATCACAGTGTGGCATGTAGCAGGGGTGAACTTGATGGCATTGGATTAGGTACTCTGTAAAGCCAATAAGCAAGTCCTATTTGAAGCCATGTAAGCATCTTTTATTTATAGTTTATTAATGAATAAGGAAGAGGGCAAAAAAAAAGAAAAAGAAATAATGTGAACTAATGGAAAGAAACAAATTCAAGACAATGAGCCAGGTAATCAATCTTTGGCAGCATGTTACTTTTCCAGTTGACTCATTGTTCCTTTACCTGTAGCTACTGATGAAGACAGCTCTCTCAGCTTGTCCCCCTAATTGAACAGCGACATTTTTCCTTAGATACCATTCATCAATTTACATTTACCTATTTAAAAATTATCTATACATATGCTATAAAATTCCTTTAATAGGAAGAATTTGGCATGCCTTTTAAAATATGTTAATATTTTATTAGAATTGTTATTAACTTTCAGTGCTCTGTTTATAATGTCGCAAGGGATTTGAATGATTGATTCTTGATCTTTTATTTTTCCCATAATCATATTCTTTTCTGGGAATAGCACATGATTTTTCCAAAACCTGAGGTTATTCAGGACTATGTGGAAGAGTTGTATAAATTATAAATATGCCAATGTTATTTATCTATTTGAAAAAAAAACCTCTATCTAATTTGTGTTTGTATATAGACATGAACTTGTTTATTGTTTTTGGTTTTGTGTCCTGCAAATTTGCTACATTCGAATAGTATATCTGCTAATATTTGTAATGTCAATCTAGTCGTTATACATAGCTTATGTTTGTGCTATGTAAACAATCATCTGCAAAAACTCATTGATATCCCTGCTATTCCGCCATTTTATAACCTTTCATCCTTTAATTTATATCACTTGCTAGGTCTTCCATTAAAATAGTGAATAGTAATGGTAATATGATATTAGAGGAAATGTTTTCATAATTTAAAATTTTAACAATATGTTAAGAATCTCTAGATTCTTCTTTATGGTGTTAAGTAACTTCCTTTTTATTTTCAGTATTAGAATTTTGTTATAAATGTCTGTTTAATTTTAGGTAGTACTTCACTGAATCTATTGAGATAACCACATGATATTTCTCCTTTTTGAGATAAAATAGTATGTTTCTTCATATATCAGTTTTAATAACTTGTATTTTTAAAACTAATCACCTAAGTTTTCAAATATAGGCCGTACTTTTTTGTTAGTCCAGCTCATAATACATTTAATCTCTGTAATCTGTATTTCTATTATTCTTTCTAATATTATTTATTTTTGCTTTCTTTCTAACTCTTTTGTTTTAAGTAATCTGGCAGAATTTGTTTCTTTTTAAGAATTTTACTAGTCTTTTCAGTCAATCACTTTATTTCTCACTTTCTTTTCCTTTGAAATCGACAACCTTTAAGGTACTTCCTTTATGTGGAGTTCTCCTGCTGGAGTTCCCCACTGTAGGCCATCCCTAGCTTTCATTCTTGTCCCTGTATTCATTGCATATATTAAAGTAGGAACTCAAGGATCCAAAATTTGGCAGAAGTCTCAGGGTAAAAGGCAATTATAATTATAGTACTCTCTACTCCCCAAAGTTCCCATTTTCACTTTTTTTGGTTTGTTTTAGTGAATCTTACCTTTTTTTCTTAACTTTGCAACACTGATTAATCTATCATCTATTCTTCCAACAATTCATCCATCATGTCAAAATTAAAAATCTCAAATGATTTATTTTTATTTTTATTTTTTATTTTTTTTATTACACTTTAAGTTTTAGGGTACATGTGTACAACGTGCAGGTTTGTTACATACGTATACATGTGCCATGTTGCTGTGCTGCACCCATTAACTCGTCATTTAACATTAGGTATATCTCCTAATGCTATCCCTCCCCCTTCCCCCCACCCCAAAACAGGCCCTGGTGTGTGATGTTCCCCTTCCTGTGTCCATGTGTTCTCATTGTTCAATTCCCACCTATGAGTGAGAACATGCGGTGTTTGGTTTTTTGTTTGTCCTTGTGATAGTTTGCTGAGAATGATGGTTTCCAGCTTCATCTATGTCCCTACAAAGGACATGAACTCATCATTTTTTATGGCTGCATAGTATTCCATGTGTATATGTGCCACATTTTCTTAATCCAGTCTATCATTGTTGGACATTTGGATTGGTTCCAAGTCTTTGCTATTGTGAATAGTGCTGCAATAAACATACATGTGCATGTGTCTTTATAGCAGCATGATTTATAATCCTTTGGATATACACCCAGTAATGGGATGGCTGGGTCAAATGGTATTTCTAGTCCTAGATCCCTGAGGAATCACCACACTGACTTCCACAATGGCTGAACTAGTTTACAGTCCCACCAACAGTGTAAAAGTGTTTCTATTTCTCCACATCCTCTCCAGCACTTGTTGTTTCCTGAGTTTTTAATGATCACCATTCTAACTGGTGTGAGATGGTATCTCATCGTGGTTTTGATTTGCATTTCTCTGATGGCCAGTGATGGTGAGCATTTTTTCATGTGTCTGTTGGCTGCATAAATGTCTTCTTTTGAGAAGTATCTGTTCATATCCTTTGCCCACTTTTTGATGGGGTTGTTTGTTTTTTTCTTGTAAATTTGTTTGAGTTCATTGTAGATTCTGGATATTAGCCCTTTGTCAGATGAGTAGCTTGCAAAACTTTTCTCCCATTCTATAGGTTGCCTGTTCACTCTGATGGTAGTTTCTTTTGCTATGCAGAAGCTCTTTAGTTTAATTAGATCCCATTTGTCAATTTTGGCTTTTGTTGCCATTGCTTTTGGTGTAAAGTTGGCTCAAAAGCATTTTTACTCATGAATGAAAGAGTCTGTAAGCAAATTCAAATCTAGCTGTTTTTTTTTAATGAAATGCCCAACTGTTTTCGCCTTCCAATTTTATTTGATTATAAAAGATGTTCAAATATAAAATGGATTTCCTACTGAAGAATTCCCAAGAGATGTTTGTTACCTAGAGACCACCATTTCAAATTTATTCTTCAAATGATAATAGCATATTAATGAGTGCTAGGAACATTTCTACCAAAATCTATTCTATGTTCAAGCAGAAAATGGGCATCTCATCTGGTTCAAGTATTTCCATACACACAATAGCACAGCTGACTCTTTTATAGCTGCAGGAGTCCTAATTCAGCCTGTCTAGAGAAGTAAATCTCCCACCCACATTGCAAAACATATCTGAAACTTTCATTCTCCTAAAACACCCTTTCTATTAGGACATGAAAGGCCAGTCAAGACATTCTCCAGAAATGTTAATTTTGTATTTTTCCACCTCTGTAGAAAATATTGATGATTACCTTGTATGTATAGTTGTTATGATATAAAAAGAATTACAATAACAATAATAATAAAATTTCTTTATTCGGCATATGTTTAAACACAACTAATTTACCTACCTTAAAATCTGATTCTCATAGATCTTTTATAGTTTCTTTAGCCAGTTTCTTTTCCCCATAATTTTTATTTACCCCACTTGATGCTGGTGGAATACCAATTAATTAATTCCACACATATTTATCAAGCCTTTCTTTTTTTTTTGCATTAGCAATACATATATACTCCAAACAGACAAAATTTTCTGCTGTAGAATACCTTACTTGTAATATCCAAATACCAATCAAACAAAACAAAAATTATCAGCATATTAAGAGGTAATAAATACTGTGGAGAAAAAGCAGAAAGGTTAGTTAGAACATATGAGGGGTAATTACAGTTTTAAATAGGGTAGTCAGGGAAGCCCTCATTGAAGCAAGGAAAGCTTATAGGTAAGAGAATAGGCTACTGGAAGGATGAATAAGAATAATTGATACGTAACAGATAGCATGGAAAGCCTCCCTTTTGAACTAAGATTTGAGTTAATATGGAATGTTTGAAAAGAATGAATAAGGGTTGGATCAAGAGTGAGGTGAATGTCCCAGTCTGGGAGACAGTGTATGTGCAGGCCTAAAATATGAGAAAGTGCACACACACACAGACATGTGTACACTTGTCATCAAAATTCTATATTTTGTCTTCTTTTTCAGTTTTGGAAGCTTTGTTAGTATACTGGAGCTTTGTTTTGTTATTTCAGTAATTCCAGATATCTTTGTTAAAAACCTGGAAAATAGAATCATTTAATGAAACAAAGTGTTCCTATGAATTCAGGTACCTGAGACTTTATTTATCATTCTGCCAAACAATAATTAACTAAATGTTTATTTTATTAACTGTATAAAAAAGAAATTATAGGTGCAACTTTAAATGAAATATACTAATAATATAACAAAATACTCATTACATACAGGGTGTTTATATATTTCTTTCTTTTTTTGTTTTGTTTGTTTGTTTGTTTTTTGAGGTAGTGTCTTACTCTGTCGTCCAAGCTGGGTTGCAGTGATGAGATCTTGGCTCCCTCCAACCTCTGCCTCGCAGGTTCAAGCAGCTCTCCTGCCTCAGGCTCCCAGGTAGCTGGGATTACATGCACCTGCCACTATGCCTGGCTAATTTTTGTATTTTTAGTAGAGATGAGGTTTCCCCATGTTGGCTAAGCTGGTCTCAAACCCCGACCTCAAATGATCTACCCACCTCAGCCTCCCAAAGTACCGGGATTACAGGCATGAGCCACTATGCCAGGCCCATGCAGAATGTTTATAATCAGTTTGTAAATACAAGGCTTGCAAATAACAAGATAAAGAAACAAAACAAGAGAAACTTTTTTTTCCCCTCAAAGGTCATAGACTCTCAATGTCATATTAGACTGCTAGGTTTTGACACTTCGGTGTATACATTCTATGTATACCAGCATCAGCCAAATAGAAACTCCAACTCACAGGACTGGGTTTCATACCCACAGCCTTTTTTTCAAGCTCAAAGACAGCAACATTAGCCAAGTTGTGCCTCCTCATTAATGATACCTGCTTATCAGAATTTGATGTTCAGCTCTACGGAGACTCTTTTGGTAAGCTTCTGATTTTTCCCTTTATCACCTTTGTCCTCTTACCTCGAGGAGGTTAACTGCTCCCTACGGTTGCTACCTCCAGAACACCTTGCATTTGTTTAAGTTTTTCTTATCAACTTATCTGTTTATCTCCAAGCTGAAAATCCCAGAAATTTTTTGAAGGAGACAGATTTTGTTTTGCTTTTGATCTCATACGTCCCTGACCATAGTATATAATCCTCTTTTCTTCTGAGACATTTTCCTTGTTACTTGGTTCTGACAATGGTACCTATTTCTCACTCAGCTCTTCATTAACTCCATCTGCAAAGTGGAAATTTTATTGTTTAGTAAATATTTATTCTATATTTCCCTCTTTTTATCAGAGTAATCTTATGCTTGGAAATTAATGGGAGTCCTCTGTTTTCTGGACCAACAGCTTCAGATTTGTCTTTACTTAAAAGATTATAACAGAGGTCAAATCTTCCACTGACACCAGAAAATGGGGGCAGCACTGAGATTTTGTCTGCAAAAGTAAAGGGAACTAATCATAAGATGATTAACTCTTAATATTAACAGCAATTCATTTGGAAGCCTCTTATTAAGTCAAACATGCTTTCTCATTATCAGCCTAGAATAATGCAATGACCTGCTACACTTTATTATTTTTTAGATGAACTGGGAAAGGCAGAAACAAATAATTTAGAGTATATTTAATCCATAAGTTTATTAGTCTTTTTCTAATATGAAAAGAATGTGAAGAACTAGTAGTATGGAAGGCCTCTCTCTTTAATTATTGGTTGCATGTTACCTCTGACAAATTGGTAGTTTTGTGGTTTGGGGAATGGATAAGTTTGAGAGAAATAACTCTGTAAGTAATTGTAAGTTCTATATCCTATTTACTTATTTTTCCCCAAAATAATAAGCTAGATCAGTGCTTCCCAAAAGTGCCTTTGATTTTATTTGAGAAGTTTGAGTTTGAGGCATATAAATTTGTGTTTTTATAAAAGCACCTTGGGTGATTTGTATAGCCAAAGTTTGCAAAACATTGGAATAAATCAATAAGTTTCTACCTTTCAAGAATCAGAATAAACTTGAGAAACTTCTTTTTAAAGAATACCCACAGGCGACATCTCAAAGATTTTGATTTAGTAGGTTTGTGTTAAAGTCTAGACTTCTTTTTTAAAAAAACATTGTATTCTGATATGCATTTGGGACTGCAAACTACTGAATTAGAGCTTCTGAGAAAGACAATTGCAGCTGGATTCTGAACTTAGAACTTCACTGCTCAAAAGCAACTGTCTCCGTCCCTATGGTAATACAAAATAACACTTTGTAGGAAGGAATAATATGGCCATCAGAAGGAATAATATGGCCATCAGAGTTTCTGGCATCAAGGAGGCCATACAGTAACTGATAACATATCTGGAATAAGAAAGTTTCCTCTAAGTTTGGCCAGAGATCTATTGTTTCCCTCAGACTCCATGAAATTTATCTTCATCCTGAGTCAAGGGCCTCAGAAAACCAAGTAAACTGTCATTATGTCCTTACTGGTCTCTGAAACCCTCTACTCTCCTCCTAATCTCTAAGAAAAGCACTTCTAAAGGAAATAGAAATTAATCAGGGAGTTAAAAAGGCACACTTCTCTTAATCCTGTCAATACACTGTCAGAAAAATTAATGGAGTTAATGGAAGAAAAACTTCTGTTGCTGGAAATATGACCAATTAAGTAGGAATAAAAACCACACATTTAGAAAATATCCAAAATGGTGAACAAGAAAAGGCAGATATCTTTTCTGTTAAAATATGATTCTCCAAAAGTTAAAAGTAGACGTCTCATAAATATATAAAATGAACTTGCATCAAAAATTTATTAACAAACAGATTGAAGGATGCAGTAAAATGGTAATGATCCAAAGAACATTTGAGGAAGCAGGATTTATGTATTCTAACAGGAAATATATTTTAAAAAATATTAAAACAACATTACATAAAAATTAAAAATATCAATAAACTATAGTCAATAGCATTATCTATTTTACTGAACAAAAATAATATTTGTATTGCCATGTGACAAGAATTTTTTAATTGCATTTGATTTTTGGTATGTTAACTCTTCCTATCCTTAAAGAGTTGTAAAATAGTTAAATCAATAGTAAATGGAATGTGAAACACATATATTCACCCCTGGAGATTCCAATGAAACCTGCCAGCCAATGCCAGCACACACTATAATGAAAAATATATATATGCCCAGGAGTCCATTTTGCAAATCTCCAAATTGTGTATATATTTAAATTTTTACCATTTTTATTATAAATAATCCTCAAAAATTATCCTGACCAAGTGTCTCACTTTTTTTAAATTATGTGACAATTTCTGAGACTCTCTTTCCAAAGCCAAAGCAATAATATTGTTCATACTATGATAAGTGAAAATATTTAAACCACTGACTATGATTATTTTTCTACCTTTGAGCAAACCTTATATCTAGAGTTTTAGAATTATAAGCATAGATTAGTTTTTTTAAACATTAGACTGTAGATTATGATAATGCCATTATGTTTGTTGTTCATTACAACTAAAGAAATTAAAACACTCCCCACAATTCCTCATTTTAAAAATTTTCTTCGTTTTCTTTTTCTCCTTTTAAAGCACTATAATTTTCCTATTTGGGGTACTAAAGAATGAGCATTACTTCAGTAAAATTCAACTCATGACATCAAACTACATCCTTTTAATTTGCAAAAAAATATTAACTAGATTACTCACTGAAACCTCTTATATTAGTGATTTTGATTATCACTGAAAATATAGAACAAAGTAATTAGGCTCTTGTATTAATGGTGTATACATAAAGAGTAAAATGGCTGAAAGAAGATAACCCTATTTTTCTAATTTATTTTCTCAACAAAAATTACACAATAATTTAGAAACTCCAAAATGCATAAAGAATAGTATAATGAACATTGATATAATCATGATCTCGTATAAGATAAAACAATGAAAAATGCAATAGAATCTATGTGTGTTTCTCTTCTCAATACTAATTGCCTGGTTTCTGCCCATCTAAAGTCACAATTTGCACATATATAGTATTCTGAATTTGATATTTCCCATCATATCTTAAAATTTTATGTGCATTGAACAATTTTAATGAATATTTGATTAATGCACATATATACATATGCACATATATACATATATACGTATATATATACGTATATACGTGCATATACATATATGTGTAATTGTCGTTTTATATGAAAGTGTAGGGCCATAATAATGACTCTACAGACTGAAACCATGAAAGCAATCTTTATAATCAATAGAAACAGTATAATTTTTTCACAATTTTTAAAAAATTTTTGTCACAACATTAAAATTTTGTCTACTGTTGGCGACAAATGTGTAGGGAAATTAGGTCAGGAGATCGAGACCATCCTGGCTAACACGGTGAAACCCCGTCTCTACTAAAAAATACAAAAAAAAAAAAAAAAAAAAAAAAATTCGCCACGCCTGGTGTTGGGGACCTGTAGTCCCAGCTACTCCGCAGGCTGAGGCAGGAGAACGGCGTGAACCCGGGAGGCGGAGTTTGCAGTGAGCAAGATCGCACCACTGCACTCTAGCCTGGGCGACGGAGAGAGACTCCGTCTCAAAAAAAATAAACAAACAGAATAAATAAATAAATAACAAGAACCACTGATAATTAAAAGTGCTTTATTTCTTTATTAAAAATAGGCTTTGAGAAGCACTAGTATTCTTCTCATTACATAGATTATGATACAGAGTAAGCATCTTTTCCGTCTTGGCAACTGTCACACTCTAAGTCCAAATCAGCTTCGGATGTTTTATCTTTTGTTTATTGGATTATAAATGTCATAAAATATCTTCAAAATTTGCCTTAATGTGAACGTACTGGCTGGTGTCACTTCCTCTGAGATATCTACATTGTTCTCCTCACAATCAATTTTTTCATTTGTTTTAATAAGTTTGCCTTCACCCCATTTCTCTAGGTTCATATAAAGAGTCCCTTAAAAGGCAGAATTGTCAACATTCCCATGGTCATTTATTCCTTTTAAAACTATATTTGAATTTTACTCCCAACATTATTACATTTTATTTATTTGCTGCACTTTTATGATTATTTGCTGATTCTCTTTCTTGATTATCCATTTTTGTAAAATGTCATGTGAGTTTATCACTTGAATACAAAAAGACTACCCAACTCTGCATTTTGTTGTCTCTGCAAAAACTGAATAACAAATGCACAGTGACCAATCACACACATATTTTGAAAGAAGTGATGTGATTGCTGATTGATGAGGATGTACATTTGGTATTTACATGATGAATCATGGACAAAACAAGTAGCAGGGAAGTTTTCACTTTATGTAATTATTTATGGTTCATATGCCATGGTAGCTAAAATTTGAATTGTGTAAGTCATTGATGATGATGTACATTTCAGTGAATTGTAATCAGAAGAGCCAGCACTGAAGTTTGTACTTCACATAATTATTTATGGTTGATATACATCATAGTAACCAAAATTTGAATTGCATTGTAGAGTGGCAGATATTTTTCGACAAAACCATGTTAAATGAAATTCATACATATTGGGATTTTGCAAAGTAAGAAATATTCTACATACCTGAAACATTTTTATGAACTATATTATGACATGTTTTCTTCAAGTTATTTTTACACACTAAAGTTTATGAGCTTAATTTGTATTTATATGTGTATTATTAGTTCATTAAATTCCATATTATTTAATATAATTACACAAATAAAACATGCTTCCATGTTCAATCCTTTTGTAATAGTCATTTATTTTTCCTCAAATATTTACCACATATAATTATATATTTGCCATATACCTGTATTATATAGAGTGCTACTATAAATGCATTTCCGTTGCATTGTTTCTCAAAGTTTCATGTGCATTAGAATTATCTGGAGATCTATTATGACAAAAATAGCAAATTTTCATTTCTAGAGATTCTCATTTAATTGGTTTGGGTTAAGAATTTGTTATTTATTTTTATTTTCCAGAAACTCGTCGTATAAATTCAATCAATGACCTGGATTGAAAACAGCTGTTCTGGGATATACTGGTAGGAGTAAAATTTCTAAATTATAGACTGTGTGCATCTTCAAATTAATGATTTGCTTTGCAAAATGGTTGTAGCAATTTATACTTGCACCAGGAGAGTATTGGATGTATTTCTACATCCTTATAAATTTTAAATTTTATAACTATATGATTATAAATTGTGTTACTTTATGGTTTTGATTATAGATTTATATATTCATATAAAGTATAAGGTATGATTACTACTTTTTCTATGAGGCTTTCAGATGCTGGCTTTAGTCTTTCTTTTAGTTTCAGAGAGCAATGCATAGCTTGAGTCAAGTTTTAAATGGGTTGATTAGAACCTTGGTCGGTTTGCACAGCTTGAGTCGAGTTTTAAACGGGTTAACTAGAACCTTGATAGGTTTTGACCCACAAATTCTACTCCTATTTTAGAAATTAGTAATAGTCTAGTAGCTTCTAAAAATCTTCAATTTAGGTTTGATTTGGGCACAAGGATACCAGTAAGTCAAAGTCTAAATAATCTGTGACTAGATTATAAATAATGTGGTCTATGGAGTTCTCCAGGAAAATGCCTTCAGGAGACCACATAATACAACATTTTGTTTGCATGATAATATATATTTAACAATTAGGTCTTATTTTTATAAAGTTCTGATTTCCATGCTGTAATACTAAATTTGAATTTAGCAACATGATGTCACTGAATGAAGAGTGGGGAAGAAAGGTGCACAATCAGCTTTCAAAAGATAGTGCAAGTTGATTGTAACACACCCTGTCTAAATTAGTGAATTTCACAAAAGAGAAAATAGTATTCCTTGATTACAGGTTTAAGGGTGAAGCTTGTGGGTTTAGACATCAGGAATGCCAAGGTTATAGTTGTCTACTACATAGGCAGGTTGGGAAAAGTTGTATGACAGTTCGTGTGTTTAAAGGAAATATTATTAAACTATTTAGCCAAAAGTTTGCAAATATTTTGGCATTTGTGACATTTTTCTTGTGAGTTTCAGTGAAACAGAGAAATTGGGCACGTGGTTCTTTTACTGGCGATCTTTATTGTTGACCTAGTTATTTGTTTTCCCTTCATTTTCTTAGCTAATACAGTACAATTATTTTTCCAACTTAGTTTTCTCTTAAATATCTGTGAGTGCCTTTAAAGAAGCCCACCACTGACTGCTTTCACCTATATGGGAGTATGAAATATATTTAATCTGTAAAGCTATCAATTTATTATAGGTCATATTCTGCTTCTAAGACTCATTCAAAATCTTCAGCAAAGTGTTATGAATTCAGCAATGGTATTTTGTTATTCCAGTATTACAGGTATATCAAATTCCCTATTTTTGGTTAAAGCCATTCATACAAAGGGAGAAGAGAGTCAGGGTCACAACACAGTCAGGAACTACTCTTGGATCTTATCTAAAGGTGCTGAAGAATTCTCTGATGTCTAGGATGGATTTATCTTTGCTTCAGGACTGGATTAAGGTGTAATCTAATTTCAAGGAAAGACTTCAAAAAGATTTCGTCAAAACACCATAGCTTTTCTCAACACCACTGACACCCTATGGAATTTTCACTTTGCATCCTGGAGGTCCCTCTGAGAGTCTTCCTTATCTGCCTATTCCATTCTCTCACCCCTTATTTTTAATCCAGCTTTCCTAATAACATGTGAAACAATTGATATACATTTCACACACCTGTACTGTATGTCCTTAAGCTTATTTTAAATTATTCTGTTTATTGTTATCTCTTCTATCTCAACAATTGAAAGAATGAAAATCGCCTCTCAATGTAGGTTTAGAAGATTTAAAATCAACTGTAAGTACCTTTCTCTATTTTGAATGGTTTAACTTAAAGTAGCAATCAACTTTTCAAGATTTGAGGCTTACTAGAATGAAAGGATGAAGATCAGAGAAAAGGATAGGAGAGGATTGGTTGTGTACATTACCAGAGAGAAAAGGAGAAACAAGATAAAAAGTAGTTGGGATATTGTTTGGAGAGATCCAAAAGATAGATACTTTTATTTTACTAAATTATTCATGTTTCTCTGGAAAGAAAATAAAAAAACAATTTTGGGGTCTCAGCTCCTTTTTCACCTGTTATTGTCATGCTTGACTATTTTTCCCTCTATTACCTGAAAATGCGTATATAGGTATATGTGTGCATGTGTGCATGCATGCATGTGTGAATGCATATATACAAACAAAATATAAATTTCATCAACATCTCTACTTGACTATAAAACATTGTGATTATCTTGAATGTTAGCAATCTTTATTTTTAATGTTATCTATTTTGTCTACCATTTTTTATCACCAATATTAATCTTTTGAATTATGCAATTAATGACTTAATCTAGATGTTTACCAAAATTTTTGTATACTCTTTCTTCTTTATCTCATGCCTTCATTTTGGGGTTATTTTTCAAAAAACAATCTCTAACAGTTTGCAGGTGTCTCATATGGTAACTGCTAGCCACCGTTGGCTATTAAAATTTAAATAATTAAAATGAAATAAATTTTAAAATTCTGTTTCTTTGTAACATTAGTTATATTCCAAGCACTGAATAAAGATGTGGTTAGTGGTTACTGTATAGACAGTGCAGACAGGAAACATTTCCTTTATATAGAAAGTCTTCCTGGGCCACCTGTCCATAGCCTAGATCTGTTAATATTACCATTGATTGATTTTGTTTATCTGAAAATGTATATCTATCATTTGATCTAATAATTGTTGATAAGACAAAAAGATCACTAGAGACTGTTGTGAGAGTCAAAACTAAATTCATGGAATGTTCTAGGCAAAGGAGACCTGAATTAGGATGCAGATTCTTTGAGCAATGCTCAAATAGGTCTTGTGCATACTGAGTGAGAGCAGATTTGATTATTTCTAACAGTCTCTGGGAAAGATCCTGATTGGCTCCTACATAAAAATTTAGACTGCATCAAAAATTTCACCATTTTAAGTTTTCTAGTTAAACCTGCTTTATTCTGATTTAGTCCCCAGTATGTATTCAAGTAAAAAATTTTTATAAACTAATTGATTCAAAAAGTAAATTTTCTTAGTATTATTGTTTTCTAATATTATGAGTCTATTTTGTTTAAAAGAATATGGTTTGTAAGTATCATATCCTTGATTTCCATCAGTAGAAACTAGCTTTTCAGTTTCTCACACTTGAATGAGAACTTTTCTAGAATGAATAAATTGAAGTTGACAGTTATTTCCTCTCAGCTTTGAAAATATTGTATCATGGTGTTTTGGAGTTAACTCTTATGCTTGAGAAGCTTGCTGACTGTCTAACTGCAATTGCTTTGTAAGTAATCTGTCTTTTCTTCCAAGCTGTTTTCATTTAATTTTCTTTGGTCTTTCCTTGTTTTAGAATCATATGTGTCTAGGTCTGAATATCTTTTTATTTATTTTGTTTGGAATTCATTGTGCTTGTCAAATTTGAATATATATTTTTTCACCAATTCTAGAAAATTCTGTCATTTTATCTTTAAATGTTACTGCTTACTCTTTTCCTCCAGATCTCTAGTGGAATGAATATTAGTTTTATTGCATTCTCCAGATTCCTTAACCTCTACTTAATAATTTTGCATTTTCCTTTATATTCTCTAGGTTTCACTGGGCTAATTTTTTCTGAGCTTTCTTACAAGTATGAATTCTCCTTAAGCCATGTCTATGATGCTGTTTAACCCATACCTAGAGTTTCTAATTTTAATATTATACTCTTTATTTCTAGAAATCTATTGATTTTTAATCTTTACAATTTTTTTAAAATATAATTTTATTTCCTTAATTTTTTTGAGTATTTCTTAAATATGTTAAACACGCTTACATTATAGTCAACATTTGATAATCATATTTAGAAGTTTTCTTGTCATAATTTCTTATTGTTTTGTTACTGATTGTTCTCTGGTGTGTTCTGTAATTTGAGGATATGAGTTTGTATGATTACTAATTTATCTGGATTAAGAGTGTTTCCAACCAGAGAGGATTTTATTTGTTTTGAACTTTCATCCAGTGGTATTCCCAAACTGAGATCACTTTATTCAAATTTATTAGTTTGGCTATTCCTGAGCTGTACTGAGAGTAAAAATATGAATCCTGAACCCCTGTGAAAGTAAGGCTATGTCTTAGTGGACTATTGTTTTTAAGCATAGAATCCAGACTCAGAGAAGTTTTCTTGCCTGTTGCTGTGTCAATTTGTTTTCTTCTTTTTTTGCCCAGTGAAAAGCTTGAGAGTACTGGCTATTTGCAGCATTCTCAGTTACATCCCATCTTGTTGGGATTCTTGGCCTAGAATCTTTTCTCAGGGAAACTTAAAATGCAAGCATGTTGAGGGGAACAACACACACCTGGGCTTTCTGGGGCAGTTGGGGAGGGAGAGCATCAGGAAAAAATAGCTAATGTGTGCTGGGCTTCATACTACGTGACGGGTTGTTAGCTGCAGCAAACCACCATAGCACACGTTTACCTGTGTAACAAACCTGCGTGTCCTGCACATGTATCCAGAACTTAAAATAAAATAAAATAAAATAATAAAAATGCAAGCCTATTTAACACTGATTGTCAAAAGCCAACAAATCAGATGAAGCTTCAGTTTTATCACTTTTTTTTAAAATTATTATTATACTTTAAGTTTTAGGGTACATGTGCACATTGTGCAGGTTAGTTACATATGTATACATGTGCCATGCTGGTGTGCTGCACCCATTAACTCATCATTTAGCATTAAGTATACCTCCTAAAGCTATCCCTTCCCCCTCCCCCCAGCCCACAACAGTCCCCAGAGTGTGATGTTCCCCTTCCTGTGTCCATGTGTTCTCATTGTTCAATTCCCACCTGTGAGTGAGAATATGCGGTGTTTGGTTTTTTGTTCTTGTGATAGTTTACTGAGAATGATTTCCAATTTCATCCATGTCCCTACAAAGGACATGAACTCATCATTTTTTATGGCTGCATAGTATTCCATGGTGTATATGTGCCACATTTTCTTAATCCAGTCTATCATTGTTGGACATCTGGATTGGTTCCAAGTCTTTGCTATTGTGAATAGTGCCGCAGTAAACATAGGTGTGCATGTGTCTTTATAGCAGCATGATTTATAGTCCTTTGGGTATATACCAAGTAATGGGATAGCTGGGTCAAATGGTATTTCTAGTTCTAGATCCCTGAGGAATCGCCACACTGACGTCCACAATGGTTGAACTAGTTTACAGTCCCACCAACAGTGTAAAAGTGTTCCTCTTTCTCCACATCCTCTCCAGCACCTGTTGTTTCCTGACTTTTTAGTGATTGCCATTCTAACTGGTGTGAGATGGTATCTCATTGTGGTTTTGCTTTGCATTTCTCTGATGGCCAGTGATGATGAGCATTTTTTCATGTGTTTTTTGGCTGCATAAATGTCTTCTTTTGAGAAGTGTCTGTTCATGTCCTTCGCCCACTTTTTGATGGGGTTGTTTGTTTTTTTCTTGTAAATTTGTTTGAGTTCATTGTAGATTCTGGATGTTAGCCCTTTGTCAGATAAGTACGTTGTGAAAATTTTCTCCCATTTTGTAGGTTGTCTGTTCACTCTGATGGTAGTTTCTTTTGCTTTGCAGAAGCTCTTGAGTTTAATTAGATCCCATTTGTCAATTTTGGCTTTTGTTGCCATTGCTTTTGGTGTTTTAGACATGAAGTCCTTGCCCATGCCTATGTCCTGAATGGTAATGCCTAGGTTTTCTTCTAGGGTTTTTATGGTTTTAGGTCTAACGTTTAAGTCTTTAATCCATCTTGAATTGATTTTTGTATAAGGTGTAAGGAAGGGATCCAGTTTCAGCTTTCTACATATGGCTAGCCAGTTTTCCCAGCACCATTTATTAAATAGGGAATCCTTTCCCCATTGCTTGTTTTTGTCAGGTTTGTCAAAGATCAGATAGTTGTAGATATGCGACGTTATTTCTGAGGGCTCTGTTCTGTTCCATTGATCTATATCTCTGTTTTGGTACCAGTACCATGCTGTTTTGGTTACCGTAGCCTTGTAGTATAGTTTGAAGTCAGGTAGCGTGATGCCTCCAGCTTTGTTCTTTTGGCTTAGGATTGACTTGGCCATGCGGGCCCTTTTTTGGTTCCATATGAACTTTAAAGTAGTTTTTTTCCAATTCTGTGAAGAAAGTCATTGGTAGCTTGATGGAATAAAAGAGGATACAAACAAATGGAAATTTTATCACTTTTAACTTTATCTCTTATGGACTGAATTTTTTTCCCAAAAATTCATGTTAGAACTTAATTCCGTAATGAGATACATCCTTTAAAGGAGTGAATGGTTAATGAGGTCACAAGGATGGAGCACTAATCAAATAGGACTCATACTTCAACCACATACTTTCAAAACACTTTTTATCTATAATATTTTTAAAACTAAAAATTTAATAGTGAACCAAGAGAAGAGACAATCAAATTAGAAAATGGGATAGAAATATGAAACAAAGCCACAAAGAATATACACAGAAAGTAAACACATTAAAAGTTGTTCTACATAACTAGCCATCAAGGAAATTAAAATTCATGATGAGATATCACTATACACATATTAGAAGAATATATATATATAGGATATATATATATGGGTTCTCTAGTGGGTTCTCTAAAATATATGTATCTTATATTCTTACTTTCTTTCATGTCTTTGGTAACTTTTATACTATTACAGTTAAAAAATCCTTAGAAGGCAAAAAATAAATTATATACTCCCTCTCTATATGCATATATCAACCTTATATTTATGTATCAACACTATGATAAATATCAACACATACACACATATATATAAGGTTCTAATACATGTGTAATGATATCTGATTATGAATTTGAATTTGAGTTTGAATATATATGTATATATATATAAAAACACACTCCAGGTTCTCCTCCATATGTATATCCATATATATACACATATATATGGAAGAACCTGCAATATTTTAAGTGAAATGAGCCAGGCACAGAAAAACAAATATAACCTTATCTTGCTTATGTATGAAATTTTAAAAGTATAGTTCATAGAAACAGAGTAGAATGATTATTACTAGGAGCTGTTGCAGGAGCGGGGGATGGATTGGGAAGAGGTTGGTCAAATAATACAAAATTTCAATTAGATAGGAGAAATATATTCCAGAAATCAATTTTCCAAGATGGTAACGACATTTAATAACAATGTGCTATATAATTGAAAATGCTAAGAGAGTAGTTTTTTTTTATTGTTTATTTTATTTTATTTTATTTTATTTTATTTTATTTTTTTTTTTTTTTTGAGACGGAGTCTCGCTCTGTCGCCCAGGCCGGACTGCGGACTGCAGTGGCGCAATCTCGGCTCACTGCAAGCTCCGCTTCCCGGGTTCACGCCATTCTCCTGCCTCAGCCTCCCGAGTAGCTGGGACTACAGGCGCCCGCCACCGCGCCCGGCTAAATTTTTTTGTATTTTTAGTAGAGACGGGGTTTCACCTTGTTAGCCAGGATGGTCTCGATCTCCTGATCTCATGATCCACCCGCCTCGGCCTCCCAAAGTGCTGGGATTACAGGCATGAGCCACCGCGCCCGGCCTATTTTATTTTATTTTTGATGGAGTCTTGCTCTATTGCCCAGACTGGAGTGCAGTGGCATGATCTCCGCTCACTGCAACCTTCGCCTCCCAGGTTCAAGTGATTCTCCTGCCTCAGCCTCCTGAGTAGCTGAGATTACAGATGCGCACCAGCACGCCCAGCTAATTTTTGTATATTTAGTAGAGACAGGGTTTCACCATGTTTGCCAGGATGGTCTTGATCTCTTGACCTCGTGATCCGCCCGCCTCGGCCTCCCAAAGGGCTGGTATTACAGGCATGAGCCACTGTGCCTGGCCTAAAAGAATAGTTTTAAGTGTTCTCACCAGAAAGAAATGATAGGTATTTGAGGCAATGCATATATTAATTAGCTTGATGTAGGCATTCCACAATATACACATATTTCAAAACATCATGTTGTGCACTGTAAATATATACAATTTTTATTTGTCAATTTAAAAAATGATAATAGCATTAGTGAGTAAGAATGCAAAATGATATAGCCAATCTGGAAAACAGTTTGTCAGTTGCTATAAAGCAAACAAACAACTAAATGCAGACTTAACATATGACCTATCAATTCAAGTATTGAATATTTTACCCACAGATTTAAAAACTTTGTCTACACACAAAAAAACCCTATACATAATTGTTCATATCAGCTGTGGTACAACCATACCATAGAATAAATACTATTCAACAATAGAATAATGATCTACTGATACACTTGGCAATGTAGATAGATATCAAGACTACTATGCTGATGGAAAATAAGCCAACATGGAAAGGTCACTTCCTGTATGATTCTATTTATATAACATTCTTGAAATGACAAAATTATAGAGATAAAAACAGATTAGTGGTTGCCAAGACGGAGGAACAGTGGAGGGGAATAAATAGGCTTTGACTATGGAGTAGCACTAGGAAGATCGTTGTGGTAATAAAATAGTTCTGCATCTTGATTGTGGTCATGGTTACATGAATCATGATAAAGTGACATAGCGCTATATACATATTGTACCAATGTCAATTTCAAGTTTTTGATTGTATTATAATTACATAAAATGTGTCCACTAAGAGAAACTCAGTAAGGGTATGGGGAAAGTATCTGTAACATCTCTGCAACATTGTGTGAGTTTTTAATTATTTCAAAATAGTTAAAAAGTCAGTTATCTTTAAAATGATTTAAACCACCTGAATTACAAAGAAGCATCAGGAAATGCTTAGGGTGATCTGTGTCTTCATTATATTGATCCCAGTGTTGGCTTTATGATTGCATAGATATGTCAAATCTCAGGAATCTGTACACTTTAAATATGTGAAGTTTCTTGTACATGAGTGATACACCAATAAAACAATACACTTGAATACTAACTAGTAGGCTCAGCATGTGCTCTGAGATTTATGCTACTATCGGATCTATTTTTGATATTAAAAAAATAGAGGTTTAGAGTGCTTTAGTTATTATCCAAGGTCACAGGACTGGCATTTGGAATACTTTTAATCTGAAAAGTCTGATCCTAATTTCTATGTTCTCTAACAAATGGTGGACTTCTCCTTCATCACTTATCACTACAGTAAAATATTTTTTATTTCTTTATTTCATTTTGTTTCCCTTTCAAATCAGCTCTGAGAGAGTTTCTAGTGGGTTCTCTAGAATATACATCGCATATTCTTATTTTTCTCATCTCTTTGGTAACGTTTATATTATTCCAGTTTAAAAATCATTAGAAGGCAAAAAGTCATCAAATATTCTCCTTTTTAACTTAACACACACCACATTATATACATATTACATATTTTATATATTATATATTATTATATTTTCTATTTTACAACAAAAATTATATATAACTGAACATATATTTAATTACATATATATTTATAATACATACATAACTTAATAACTATAAATATATATAACTCCACATAACATACCTTCTTGTCATATTGAGCAATAAACAAATATGAGCACATCTTTTCTTCTGGTACTAAAACTTTTTGTTCATCTCTTGATGGAATCTTATTCCTAAACTCTTCTATCTCAGGCATCATGTCCCATTATCCTGAAACATCCTATGTACTTGCAAAGAATCCTCTATGATCACATTCGCCAAAAGAGCTATACACTTTTAATTGACTTTTCTGTTTTTCCAAAGCTTCTTAAGGGCAGAGACTGTTTTTTTCTCTCTCTGAGGTCGTTCAGAACACCTGTAGGTATTTAATTTGCTTATTGAGAACCTGCTTGTATTTAATTTACAAATAAAGTGCAAAACAAAGTTTTATTACCTCTACTGGCGCTTCCTACCATTCCAAAAAAAACAAACCGTAGAAAAATAGACATAAAGAAGAACCAGGCAGACCTTAAGAGAGAGAGAGAATCTATCCTCTGAGTCACTTAAATTTCCACCTCCTGAGGTTCCTATTGTACTTTTGATGCAAGAGGCAGTGTAATTGCACAGCATGAACTGAATAAAGGAAACAAACCTGCTGTATGTGTCTAAACTGATCATGGTCAATGTGACCTTTGAAATCACAGCATTAGACTAAAGATTTTGTCTCATTTAGTCACTGAATTATTTCATTTTCTTCATTTCATGTGTTTTCTTTTTCATATTTGTTATGTATATAACTTCTCAAAAGCTCTAGGGATCTTACATTGGTGATTTGGCTAAAATTGAAGAGTGATTAAGGGAAACTAAAACTGATTAATATTTTATTTTCTTTTGAATAAAATATTTCAGGTTTCTTTTTCCTTTGATCATTCATTATCACATGTCATGGCTTAGTCCTTTCTTGTGTGAACTTTTGTTAATAGACAGCATATCTTCTCTTGAGTAATCTTTACTATTCCAAATCTCCATTTTGCAATATACATGTGTATGTATGTATGTGTATACATATATATACACACACATGCACACATTACATATATGTGTGTATAAACACATATGTATACGTGTGTGTATGTATGTATATGTTTCACACATACGTGTATATATACACACGTGTATATATATATTTAGTTGTATCATGGAAGACAGTACAACCATTAATTTTTAAAAAAATTTTCAAGTTATAGAACAAGTATCTCATATAGGTTAACAATTTTTGTAAATAAAATAAACTCCAGAAATGGTGAATCATTTTAGACATTTTAGACATTTGGAAGTTAAAGTCTCAGTCTATGCTAGTGAAACAACTGTAAGCACATACACTCACACACAAAACAAAAGGGTTTTCTTCCCCAGGCTAACTGAAACCTGACAGAAAATTAAATATTTAACATAATAAAGTAGGGTTTATTTTTATAGGATTTATGTCATATAAATAGTTTTCATAGTATAAGAGTTAATTCTGTTTAATAAGTTAAGTATTGAAATGTCTACTATATACAACTGAGCTAGCTGGCTTAAAAGAAATGTTCCACATGATCCATGAATTATTTCTTTCTGGCTTTTTTCTCTCAATTTTTTGAGCTTTATGTCGACTAATATATTAAAATGGAAAACAATAGAGTTTCTAAAGAGGTTTTGGCATGAATTAATGCATTCTATTTTAGTAAAGATTAATTGTTATGCCAACTTACTGAATTTTGGTTAAATTTCAGTTGAATTCATTGAACAATGCTGAAAATGCCTTTGAATTTTTTATTAGTAAAGAAACCATGCTACATGAGTTATCATATGGAAATTATAATCCAATTTTCTTTTACTCTGCAGGTTCCTATTTGAGATTTTATAAAAAGGAGATCACTTTATATTTTCTAAGTTTGCTTTTACTTCTCATACATCCTTAAGATTCTATTTATCTTACTTTAAAAATATGTATAGCATTAATGTTACCTTCATGATTTTTCTAATTTCTTACCTAAATTATATAAGAAAATTGTATGCATATCAAAGTTTCTGCTAGTTTCCTATAAATGTAAGTTTCTGGTAACCATACAGTCATATAATGTTTATACAGTTAAATATGTTTTTTGTTGTCAAGGCAAACATTTAAAATATGTCACACATTTTAATTCCTTCTTCCAAATTCATTTTTATTACTATGTAGTTTAGTGTGGATATTAAGAATGGGAAGCCCAGAGTCAGATAGAAAGAACCAAGTTTTTCTTTTCTTTAATACATATTTCAATATCTATTATGTCCCAGGCACTAGAGATCTAGCTACACACCAAAGTCTTTACCCTTAAGGAACTTATATTATAGTAAGTACTGAAAGCAAAATTTAGAGTTCAGACGCTGTTTGAGATTATTCACTGCTCTAATTCTTATGACATGTGAGACCTCGGGTAATTAAGCTAATCAACTATTCTGAACATCCGTTCCCATCAACTAAAAACTGTGGATAAAATTAGTAGCTAACCCTTAGTGTTATTGTGAGAATACATGAGCTAATGCATGTAAAATGACTATCTGCTTAAAAATAGAAAAAAATCATATAATGGTGGTTATTAATGAAATGTTAGCTATTTTCCCTGCTATTAGCTCATGTATTACCTAATGGTTTTACATAAAACATATTACCATAAGATTAGAAAAAACTTTTTTAAAATTTTTGTACAGTTTGTAATGTGCAATTATTAAAAATGTTTTCAGCAGTGCAAATGAACTCCTTAGGGAACACTACTGTGTATTACAAACATATTAAAAATAAAATGATCTGTTTCACTTTCTAGAGCTAATTTTCCTGGATACTATAGTGAGGTAATGATTAGTGTTTTTCTTCTTCAGAGGCATAGCATGCTCCAGGCTTTATCGATTATGACGGGTTTGAAAGGTATTTAACAGAGCTTGACTATCATCTTCACTGTGTGACCCAAAGGACAACACAGTGTGTTCTTCAGTAATTAAATCTGGAAGACCTATTATTCAAATATGTATTGTAAGAATTATTGGCTTTGCATTTGGCTTTGAAATAAATAGTGCTTTATTAGAAAAACTTTAATGCTAAAAATCAATTTCAATGATATGAATGATAAACTAAATGCAACCTACACATATGCTCTCTAAATTAACACAGCTTTTGCTCCATAAAAATTAATATTTGCATTATTTAGTATGATTGATTACTTAAAAATAATATTACCATTTATGTTCAAGTAACATTGTTTAATGACCTAGGTTTAATTTTCAATGTCTTACATGTCACCTATAATAACAAGAATATATTATTTTTATAACGACTTTTAAAGACAGTGATCCATTCTGAGTCATCATGATGAAAAATAACCACAGAAACAATTTATAATATAATAAAATGGAATACATAATTAATTATGAATGATGATTAATTTAGGAACCTCACTAGTAATACTGGAAGCAAAAAATATACTGATTTTATTTCATGTGTTGCTAATTCTCCGTTTGCCACCACTGCGTGTTCTTTATCTTCTCTACTCAGTGGTGTTATAGGCTGACTCTTTGAGCTCAGTCAACCTGGCTTCCTTGCCTGTGTTTTTCAATAGTGTTTGGAGTGGGGGACAAACTGTTAGGAGACTGATGAACAGGAGAAGAGAGAGGCCAGTGTGAAATCATCCCCAAGGAAATTTTATAAAATCAACTAAGGGAGAAATAATAATAAAATTTAAGTAGACTTATAGCACATCAGCTTGCCCTTTGACCCACTTCCTTGTAGCTAGTCACTGCTTACTACCCTAGCTAAGATGATGTAGCTCTTGTCACAAGACTCATGGTTCCTTTCTGTTCCACAGGTAAAATCTAATACATTATAAAATAATAAGCTTTCCTTTTGAGTTTCTCCTTTAGTTTTCTCATACTGATAAAACTACCCATGCCAGCTGGTCTGAGGGCCCAGAAAGGAGCTGACTCATGGAAGCATACAGTTTCTATAATCTGTGATTTTATCCCTCTTATTACAAGCTATCGATGACCCTAATTTTCCAGCTCCTTGCCCTCCATGATCCCCTTAAAAACTCTTGCCCAGAACCCCTTGAGGAGACAGATTTGAGGCTTGAGGATTCCTTGCATGTCCTCCCTCTGCAGCTTGTGATTATTAAATTCTTTCTCTGCTGCACACCCTGCTGTTTCAGTGTATTGGTATGATGCTGCACAGCAGGCAGGCAAACCCAACAGTTCTGTAACAAGAATATATCTGTCCCTACTCCCTTTCTGTTGTGTTACCATATCTCCTGAAGGTACTGAGTCCCTCTAGGAAGAAGCCTCTGGCTCTGGCTCTGACTCATTTCCTTATAACAATTTCCTATCTTTGCTCCTTCAGATTTAGTAGTGGCAATATCTTTCTGCTTTTGGTTACTTCCAAGTTGCCTTGACATTCTTTTTCTAGTTTATTTAATTCTGTCTACATTTCTGTTACTACCTTCTTCATTAAACTCTCTTAAATTAGTCTTTTTGAGTAGAAATATATTTTTTTGCTTGGCTTTCTATTTGTAAACACTGCAAGGTGATGTTGATATTGTTACTGTGGAAAATAATGAAACCTTACAGATAAGAGCAGGGAATCTGAAGCTCTGTCATAAGCAAATTACTTAAACACATTGTATCTCATTTTCCCTGTCTATAAATGAGCATGTTAAGTTTGTGCTTGTCTGTGTTAGGTTCTCCAGAGACACAAAAGCAATAGGATGGTAGATAGAATAGACAGACAGACAGACAGACAGACAGACAGACAGATAGATAAAAAAAGATAGAGAAAAATGTTTTAGGGGAATTATAGAGGCAAGTTCTACAATAGGCTGTCTGCAAGTTGGAGACCCAGGGATGCTGGTAATGTGGCTCAGTCCAAGTCTGGAAGCCTCAGAACCAGGGAAGCAAATGATATGACTCTCTAACTCTCAGTCCAAGGCCAAAGACTTGAGAGCCCAGAAGTTTGCTGGTGCAAGTTCTGGAGTCCAAAGGCCAGAGAACCTGAAGTTCTGATGTCCAAGGCAGGTGAAGAAGGACATTCCAGCTTCAGGAGAGAAAGACAGAGAGAGAAATCACCCTTCTATTGCCTTTTTCTTCCATCTGGGCCCCCAGACCATTTGATGGTGCCTGTCCACATTAAGGGCTAATCTACCCACTCAGCCGTCTGACATACTCACCAATGGCCTCTAGAAACACCCTCATTGACACACTTAGAAATAATGCTTTACCAGCTATTTAGGTATCCCTTAGTCCACTCAGACTGATACCCAAAATTAACCAGCACACTGTCTCACAGAGTTGCTATGCAAACATTAAACATGCTGTCTTACATGTCTTACTTTAGTGCATACAGAATAGTCACTAAATGTTAGCTGTTATTATTTTATTTGTAATAAAATTTAAATGACGCAAAAGAAAATTAATGCATTCTAGACATGGTATAAAATGTTTTCTGAGAAGACGTAACACTACTGAAATGTTAGTGCAAATAATTATTTTTCTATAAGGTGGTTCCTATACCCATATGAGATAAGGTATAGTATGTTAAATGACAGTTTTCTTGGTGCATTTAAAACACCTTCTAAAACAAATGTTTTCTGTCTGTGATAATTTTTCATCACATAGAATGATTGTAGAGTGTTTCCTTAATCCTCTACAAAAGTCTCTTAAAAAATAAAACTTCTTGACTGGATGTCGTGGCTCATGCCTGTAATTTCAGCACCTTGAGAGGCCAAAATGGGAAAATTGCTTGAGCCAGGGAGTTCCAGACCAGCCTGTGTAACATAGTGCAACTCCATATCTAAAAAGAAAAAAAATTAGCTGGGCATGGTGGTGTGTTCCTGCAGTCCCAGTTATACAGGAGGCTGAGGTGAGAGGATCACCTGAGCTCAGGAGATTGAGGCTGCAGTTAACTGTGATTACACCACTGCACTCCCGCCTATGACAGAGCAAGACCCTATCTCAAGAAAAACTGTGCGACCCTATTGAAAAAAATATGTATATACATATATTTTAATAAAAATTATATACACACATATTTTAATACAAGTTATATATATATATATATATATGTTTTCAAATATACCATTTTTTTTGCAGAGGCCAAGTAGATAATACTTTGGCCTTTAAACACTCTTTTGCTCTTGTTTGATTTTCCTAAAGGTGATGAATGTCTATTTCTTCATAAGTATACTGAACCACTTCACATTCAACTACCTAAGCAGGGAGGCAGATACATGTATCTCAGAAGCCCCATCTGCCGTGTTTTCTTTAAATTTCAAGCTTCAAACACCAAATAGAAATGCATTTAGACCCAACAATGGTGGGAGCAGAAGTAACATGGCTTATGGAAGGCAAAATTACAACAGAAATCATAATACAATTGTACCCTCTTCTAAAAGATATAGTGCAATATTACTGCCAAGAAGCAATGCGTCTTTATTAAAGGTGAAGAAGCAAAGTGTACCTTTCACATAATCAACATATGATACACATTCACCTTAGAAGGAAACTATATATGCAAATACATAGCATATTTCATAATCATAGATAATCATTGTAGATTTGTAAAGGTTGTTGCCTTTAATTGATGCAACTTTAATGTAGCACTGATGTGTCTAGAAGGGCTGATAGAACATTTCTAGATATATATATATGTATCATATATATGTATCATATATATATATGAATACACACACACACATAAAGGTGAAGAAGCAAAGTGTACCTTTGCTTCTTCATATATTTATATGTGAATTTAATTGGTTTCACAAGTTTTCCCCATGTCATATTAGGCCAATTACATACATAATTGAGGCCTGATGTCCTCATTTATAAAGTGAAGATAAGGATCCCTCTTGTAATTACCAGAATTTTTGTACAAAGAGCTAATCATTCTATTCAAACATTCCAAGTAATATGGGCAGACTTTGAGGGCAGAGATTGCTGAAGAGTGTTTAGTTATTGAAACATAGTACATTTTCCTATTTTACAGTGAGGAAGCTGCATCTGGCCATGTCAAATTCATGCAAGTAGTTAGCACTATTTTACAAATGCTGTCTACTTTTAAAACGTGAGACAAAATTCTTGACTAAGAGCATCTACATGTTTGCCATATAAAAAAATTGTCAGAAAAAAAACAAATGTTTGTGCAATGAGAAGATTTTCCCAAAGTGGGGATGTAAGTTACATTTTCCAAAAACAATTCATGTAGCTATTTTATTATAACAATAATTTAGTTCTCACTGAACCGGCTCTGGTGGAATAAATTTTGTTCTCAAGTCCACCATAACTTTGTCTAACTGAAGAATAATTTTGCCAAAATAAACATGTCAGTAAAATTTCAAATATTTCACATTCATATGTAATAACCAACTATTAATCATTCATTAAAAACAATTCACAAATCATACGTCAGATGAAAGTTGCAAAAGTTTCCACATGAGGTAAATTAGCTGACATTGTCTAACGATAATCTGCTCTCAACAAAACTACAATCATTACGTAGATGTAAGCATTTTAATAGAAATTTAAGATACCTCTTGGGCAATAGCAAGACAGACATAGCGTTCTAAACTATGAAGAATTATAGTAAAATAGAATGCCTTTCTTAGCTAAAGCTCCAATATGGTGATATCATCCAATAGGTCTATTATGGAGCAAAACAATATTCTTCCTTGATAAGTCAATGAAAAACTCTTGCCCTGCATTGCCAGATAATAGTAAATATATGGTCAGAAGGAAGCTTAAAATTGTAGATGGTGAGAAAATATATTCATGTTCACCTATAGCATTTATTAAAATCATTAGCATAGCTGCAATGGCAAGTTTAGGAAAGTGATAAAGATGATTTAAATTGCTTAACCTTGCATAGGTTAAATAATAACCTTTCTTTGTACATTTTCATCCTTTCTGAGATTCAATACACCTTGTAAAAATATATCATTTTCTCAAGGGCCTTAAGTATATGCCAATCTCAGTGATAGAATGAGAAAAAAAAACCATGTTTTCAAGTAACAATACATTAAAAAGAGATAAGTAAGTACATATGGAATATATTGCAGCCTAAAAAAAAACAAAAACATTTTTGGAGTATAAAAACATATTGTAAAATGATTTTTTACTTCCTGTCAGAAAAGAGGAAAGCAAACTCAAGTGCTTTTTAAAAAATTTTTAATGTTGCAAGCTATTAAAGTGTCACATATCTGTAGGAGAAATAGAAGATATTATAAAATAAACTTGCTAGCATTTATTAAATCATTGGGTTATCAAGAAAATATGAAAAAAAATTTTCAAAATGTTAGGTGCATTTATTGATTAGAAAGGGATAGACAGGACTCTTGTCATTTTCTCTGACATTTTAATTAACAAAAATGTATTTTATTGATTAATGCATTATTTTTAAAAGGCAAATATTGAGTTCATACTACATAAAAGTATTTTCTTTAAATATTTTTAGCACGGAGCAGAAGTGATTTTTACTTTGGTTCTCATATATCTTCTTTTCCCTTCGTTGAATCATTTTTAATGAAATTCTAGGAAATATTCAGGATAAAATTCTAGTCATATAATTTAGTCAATATAAACAGGAATCAAATTTGTTGCAAAAATATCTTCCAGGAATACATACATCATTTTTTACTCTCCATTACAAAAGTCTTTTCTGAAATACATAGAATCAAATATTTTAGGAAATAATATTCTAGTTGAATGTAGAAGCTGTATTACTCATATCATACATGAATATAAGAAACAAATAAAAATATACGAGAAAATATCATTTGAAAATGAACATTTTTGGAGGAATTTTCACATTGATCAACATGAACAGAAATACAGTATTTAGTATTTAGATGTGTTCTAGATACGCAGCACAAACACTGACATAGACACACATTCATATGTCCAAGAAGAGCTACAGGATGGGTAGGGGTTACCTACCTAGCATTGTGATAGAGATAGATGGCTTCATGAAAAGAAAGCTGCATGTACAAAGATTTTGTTATAGAAAAATTTCTGGAAAATTCAAGGAACTACAGAATGGCACTGAGTAAAATAGTGTGCCTAGATTTTTCAAATTCATGAATAATACAGAAAAAGGCAGAATTATACATCTATCTATAGCTGTGGAAAATGATATTAGACAAGTTTATGGAATATACCTATTGCCCAATACAGATTACATGCCCAATGCAGCCACTCTGTAAGAGGGAAGTTTGTGAAACTTAGGTAAGCTAGGATCAAGTTTAGATTACACAGCCCTTAGGGAAAACAGAAGACCCAAATCATTAACGAAACTGTAAGTTTTACGGGAAGGCACATATAAAATAGAAGTAAGAATGTGTCTCAAAAGCAAGTCTATAAATGGAGAAAAATTTTATATAAACTACTAAAGTATAGAAAGGTGAAACTGTTATCTCCAAAGGGAAAAAAATAATAATTATTATCAGGCTTACCTAATATTTTGAAGTCTAAGTAACCTTTATTGACCATTCTGTTGAAAAAAATGAACACTCCTTGATTCTGTATATAGTCTACTTTTAAAACATGAATGGTAGAAATATAAGAAACTATCAGACAATAAAAATGGGAAAAACAGGGACCTACGCAGGTAAGAAGAGCATTACGACCAGCTTTTCCTACTGGGAACATTTGACAACATGATGAACATGAGCTTAGAGTCTCATGTACTCACTAGGAATGGGACAGAGAATACTAGCCTAGTCCTTTGAAATTTTCTGTTTGTCTTTCATAGTTGTACCATGATATGTTTAGATAAGGATAACTGTATGTTTATCCTACTTGGCTGTTTCTTTAAAAGTCAAATCATGATAATAACACCATCTTCTTGAAGTTGTTGAATAGACTAAATGAGATTATATATATATGGAATTATGAAAAGGTCAATTATATAATATATTTCAATCAGGGATATAGAGAATATTAATAAATATGTTCTATTTAAGTCTCATAACTTGTTGACCACTTTATTTATTTATTATTATTATTTGTTTTTGAGATGGAGTCTCACTCTGTCACCCAGGCTGGAGTGCGGTGGCACGATCTTGGCTCACTGCAAGCTCCGCCTCCCAGGTTCATGCCATTCTCCTGCCTCAGCCTCCCGAGTAGCTGGGACTATAGGCCCTCGTCACCACGCCCGGCTAATTTTTTGTATTTTTAGTGGAGACGGGGTTTCACCATGTTGGCCAGGATGGTCTCGATCTTCTAACCTCATGATCCACCTGCCTTGGCCTCCCAAAGTGCTGGGATTACAGGCGTAAGCCACCACGCCTGGCCTGTTGACCACTTTAGACTAGGAGCTGTGTGTTATTTCTAGCCTGTTCAACACTTATTTTTGCCAAAATTTCTATATCATTATATTGCCAAAACAGGTGAATTTAAATAATTGGCACCAACTAGAAGCAAAATTGATTCTAGATTGGAGCTGACCAAACTCATAAAATAAGTTTACATTATTTGAACTGTTAGGTTTTAGTCAAAATGTTGTTTCAACTTAATGTAAATTGTAGCAAATTAGTCAGAGTCTAAGAGTATTTGGTTTACCGTAGACAAGTGCATTCAAAGATTTGATTTATTGAATCCTGGGCTCCATTGCTCACTTCTGTAATCCCAGCACTTTGAGAGGTCAAAGATGGAAGATGGCTTGAGGGCAACATTTTGAAACCTGGGAAATATAGTGAAACTCTATCTCTACAAAAAATTAAAAAACGTAGCCAACTATTGTGGTGTGCACCTGTAGTTCAGCTACTTGGGAGGCTTGGATGGGAGGATTGCTTGAGTCCAGTAGTTGGAGGCTTCAGTGAGTGAGCTGTGATTGCACCACTGCACTCCACCCTGTGTGACAGAGTGAGACCCTATCTCTGAAAAAAAAAAAAACAATAAAACAAACAAAAAATACATTTAATTTATTGAGGCATACTTTAAAGTTTCCAGATAATATAGTTTACAATTCTAACACTGATTAAAATTCTTATCTAATGAACTAATATTATTAAATAATTTAATATGAGTAATTTATTTCCTGAAAGAGTGTATGAAATATCTGTCACCATAATTTTGGTTATCTGTGCAATACTATATAATATTATAGCAAAAATTATAGGCTATATGAAGAAGCCTGTAATTCTATGTACCTTATATTAGTTTTCTTATTTATTTTCACAGCATCCTTTTTCTATGTAGCAATGAGTTGCTTTTTTTTTGCCTTTTTAAAGATGGAAGTCACAGCAAAATGGGAAATTAACTTGCCTATTAATTCATGCAACATGACAACTGCAGAGCAATGTCTAGAGTAAGACAATAGTATGTCTTATTCTTCTTCAGAAAATATTCTTATATGTCATATTTAGTTAAAATATCATGTATCATATCATATGTTTATGTAAGCCAAAAATGAAATTCTAAGCCCCGTCCTCAACAATTGAACAGACTCCTTCTCTCGGCCAAAAGAATTTGAAAGAAAACTAATCAAATAGCTCAGGTCATAATGGGAAGATGGCATTGGACACAACTCATTATATTCTCTTCCCTTTGGAATTCAGGCACCAATGACCAAAATTAATGTGAAAAAAGAGATCTTAAGACTAATATAACAAACTCTTTGTAGCAATAAGATACCAAATTCTAATTTGACTTTTTCTATTGATTCCAGGTCGTTAGGTAATAACTCCTTCAACCAATTGCCACTCAGAAAATATTTGAATCCACCTATAACCCACCCACATCAAGTCTTCCCTCCTTTCCAGACTGAACCAATGTTTACCTCACATGTGTTGATTGATGTTTTATGTCTCCCTAAAACATATAAAACCAAGCTGTAACTCAACCACTCAGGACACATGTTCTCAGGATCTCTTGAGACTGTGCCTTTGGCCTTGGTTACTCATTTTCGGCTCAGAATAAACCTCTTTAAATATTTTACAAAGTTTGTTTTTTTCATTTTCATCAACATTAATAGTATTTTAGTTTAGGGAATATTGCTATTATTCAAGCAACTAGCAGTGGAAGTCAGAATATTGTCATGAAATTATAACTTACTAAATACTATAATGAAGACAATCTTCTAATTCATCAACACGTCTTCAGAAATTTCTTATTCTCCTGTACTACATTGGATGCTACAGATCAGAGACTCTCAGCCTTGACACTATTGGCATTATACAGTGAATGAGTCTTTGTTTGGGGGGCATGTTCTGAGCTCTTGAAAATGTGTAGCACCATCTTGTACTTCTACCTACTAGAGACGAGCAGCATCCCCTTCCCAGTTGTAACATAGAAAATATCTCCAGACATTGACAACATCACATCCTTTTGAGAATTATGGCTGCTGAAGTAAGCAATAATTGTGGATAAGACAAATTAGGTTTCTGACCAACATTTAATGGGAAACACAATTAAATGAAAAATAAATAAACTGGAACAATACTCATTGTTCTAAATCATTTAAAGTTACTAAATGGGATAAAGTCATATGTAATGGAAGAGACCATATTCAGGGAATAGTTCTTGAAAAGGTTGCTCTTGAGTTAAAATTTAAGGGCTGAAAAGACGCTATATATGTGAAGAGATTAATAAAGTGTCAGTGTCTTTCCGATTTAAAAACATGCCTAAATCTGCCCACAAAGCCATACAAGACTTTCCAAAGAAGGCTTTATATTTAAGATAGAGACATTATGAATTTGTATGTTAGCAAGTTGAAGAAAGGCTACCCAGCCCCTGCCCTAATGGAATGGAAATGGTAGTTGGATTATTACTATTTTCTGGGGGCAGTTCTAAGTACCCCAATTCTCACAGGGTAACAACACTTGGAGAGCCAGGTACACAGATTGCTCTGGGTTACATTACAAAGGAGGGACCCAAGCTTTAAAAAATGCAAACTTTGATAATGGCAATAAACATGTCTGCCCGACTTTTACCCTACAGGGAGGACTAATTTTTATCATGCTGGAGCATAAATAAGCCTGCCCTTTGCTCTAGAGGATGACTATATCTATCTCCCAAGGCTGTCGACTACACAAACATTCTTGAATAGATGGTGAGCAAAAAAAACGTAGTGAAGAGACTCATGGGAAATTGTCTTAGAGCACATAGGAAAGGTGTTATGGATTAAATTGTGTCCTAAAATTCCTGTGTTGGAGCCCTAACCCCGAATATAACTATATTTGGAGATAGGGCCTTTAAATAGCTACTAAGATGACATGAGGTCAGAATAGTGGGGCCCTAAACCATTATGATTGTTTTCTTCTAAGAAGTGGGAGAAACACCAAGGAAATGTGCTCACAGAGAAAAGGCATGTGAGAACACAATGATATGAAGCTGTCTGAAAAACAAGGAGAGAAGCTGAAGAGAAAATCAAACCTGCTACAACCTTCGTCTTGGAATTCCAACCTCTAGACCTGTGGGAAAATAAATTTCTTTTGTTTGACCCATTCAATCTGTGGTAGTTTGTTATGACAGCCTATGCTGACTAATGCAAGTAGTAATCACAGGTGGAAGCTTAAAATCTAGATTACATATAATATAATGACAGAGTCATCAGAGAGACAAACTAAATAAAAACATGAGCAGTACATAGGAGCATTTAGATGTCAAAATTTTTAAAATGTCTGAGATCTTGCCCACTTAGGCTGACAAGTTATTGAGTTACAGTTTAGCAGATGCTGGTAGAATACTTGTGATTCTGACTGGGTCTGAAATGAAGGACAGTTTATTAGTCACACCAACAGCAGTACCCAGATTATCACCGTTTTTCTCCTGGTTCTCTGAGCTCTAGTTCTCATAGGACAATACAAATGAAGCCAGATGACACATGGACATGAAGTAATTTACATGGCAGGAAAAGAAATCTGAGCTAAGCTGACTTGAATCATTTTTAATGCCCAGTAAGCATACTGCTCCTTTGCTCCAGCAAAAGACTATCTTCTAAGGATGTTAGCTCACCTGACCTTTACATCAGAGGAAAAATCAGTATCTCTATCTTCCTTCTCTGCTATACGAACATCCTTGAAAAGATAGTTTACAATTTAAGAGGTCAGTGCCTTCTTTGCAACATGTATAGAAACAGTATTGAACAACAGGGAATTATCTTCCAGCATTCAGAAGAAATCAGAAAATGAACCATCACATTTTGTTTTTAATTTTACTTTAAGTTCTGGGATACATGTGCAGAACTTGCAGGTTTGTTACATAGGTATATATGTGCCATGGTGGTTTGCTGCACTTATCAACCTGTCATCTAGGCTTTAAGCTCCTCATGCTTTAAGCTCCTCATGCATTTGTTCTAATGCTCTCCCTCTCCTTTCCCTCCACCCACCAACAGGGCCCGGTGTGTGAGGTTCCCCTCCTTGTATCCATGTGTTCTTATTGTTCAGCTCCAATTTATGTGTGAGAACATGCAGTGTTTGGTTATCTGGTCCTGTGTTAGTTTGCTGAGAATAATAGAACAATCACTTTTTTTTGTTTTTTTTTTTGAGACAGAGTCTTGCTCTGTCGCCCAGGCTGGAGTGTAGTGGCGTGATCTCAGCTTACTGCAACCTCTGCTTCCCAGGTTTAAGTGATTCTCCTGTCTCAGCCTCACGCCCTGCTAATTTTTGTATTTTTAGTAGAGACAGGGTTTCACCATATTGGTCAGGCTGTTCTCAAACTCCTGACCTCAGGTGACTCACCCACCTCGACCTCCCAAAGTGCTGGGATTACAGGCCTGAGCCACTGTGCATGGCCAGAACCATCACATTTTTATTTGAGAAACACCTTGCATCTTTTTTCCCTTGATAGATGTCATCTAAAATGTTTAATATGTGGGTGCCTATAAAATAAAATTTGAGAAGAAACAAGATAATGGGCCCTACTGCAAAAATATTTATTTCACTATTCACGGTTAATACTTAAAATGCTATCATTGCATTTCAGTGATTGTGAAGAGTATTGTTTCAATGCCAAAGCATTCTTTTTGGGAAACAAATAATCCTGGGAAAGATAACACATTGTAACCAACATTTTGTGAAGTAAATTTAGCTAAATGATTACTTTTCTTGAAATAGAGACACTGGATAGTTGTAGGAAATCCTTTAAGGTGGGAAGATATAAGAAGAAATTGTAGGTGTCAAAGAAATTTTAAAGAATATTTATATTAGGACCATCTGTCTTGTGCTTATGTTGCAATAAGTTTCTATGTGTAGAATTATACCCTCTAACATGTGCTAATGTTCTCTATTAAACATGTATAGAACTGCTTTTATAATGCCTTTTAATTTTCCAAAAGTTCATTCTTAAATGGATTTTACATTTAGAAAAAAAATTATTGGTAGTCATCTCCTTGGATAATTACATTTAGTGTATTGAAGTGACTCCACAAAATTCTGCATCAAGGCTTAAAAACTAATAAACATAGGGACTTGCAAATCCACTCTGAGTATATATACATATATATGTTTGTGTGTATATATATATATATGTATGTATAATACATACACATATACATACATATAATACATATAGTGCTAGTCTGTAAGGAGACTTTTCTGTTTCATATGCATCTGAATAACTGAAGGCAGTATATCAGTGTCAACTGTGTGGTACAAAAAGTTAATTCTAAAACTATGTGGAAGCAGACAACTGTAAATAGAAGTAAACAGAAAATGCCTTCTTTAAATAAAGAGCTTCTTTGTAATGGATGCAGAGAATTTGGACATGTAAAATTGGTAAAGGTATAGCTAGCTGCAAATAAGACCATAGAAATGCTTAAAGACAAGAATGTTGTTATTGACTCAATTATGCCCCCACCCACAACCCATTAGTGTATTGAATCTTTAACCTCCAATGTGACTATAATTGAAGAAGGTCATTAACATTAAATCTAGTTATAAAAGTGGGGCCCTAGTTCAACAGGACCAGTGTCCTTAAAAGAAGAAGAGACACAGGATCTCTCTCTCTCTTTGTCTCTCTCTCTCCCTTTCTCTCATTCTGTGCACATAGAATAAAGGGTATGTGAAAACACCTGTGAGAAGGCAGCCACCTGCAAACCAGAAGGAGAGGCATCACCAGAAACCAACCCTGCAGTCGTCTTGATCTTGGACTTTCATATTCCAGAACTGTGAGAAAATAAATTTTGATTGTTTAAGCTATCCAGTCCTAGGGTATTTTTTTTTTTTTATGAGCAGACAAATGTATAAGGCATGTTTCAAGACAGTGGATATGCAGTTTAAGTAAGATAGAAATTGGGTACAAGTGGCCTTTTGTAACATGACAGAAATTTAATATATTTTGTGAATAAACAAATGTGCAAGCTGTTTATGTATTTGCACTTAGGAAACAGAGGCAGAATAAAAAAATTACTAAAATTTATAGTGTGATGGACACCTGCCTTAAGAGAAGAATAGAGACAGTAAAGAAGAAGGGAAGGATGGAAAGAAAATGAGAGAAGGCCAGGTGCAGTGGCTCATGCCTGTAATCTCAGCACTTTGGAAGTCCAAGGCGGGTGGATCACGAGGACAGGAGTTCGAGACCAGCCTGGCCAACATGGTGAAACCCCGTCTCTACTAAAAATACAAAAATTAGCCAGACATGGTGGAGCATGCCTGTAGTCCCACCTACTCTGGAGACTGAGGCAGAATAATCACTTGAACCTGGAAGGCAGAGGTTTCAGTGAGCCGAGATCACACCACTGCACTCCAGCCTAGGTGACAGAGAGAAACTCCATCTCAAAAAAAAAAAAAAAAAAAAAAGAAAATGAGATAAAACAGGAACTGATTTTTTTATGCAAGCAAGGAAGAAATCAAATGTAAATCTATGTTTTAAGTCCTAATAGAACAGTGGATAGTGACATTGAATTCAAGTGTGGGAGTCCGTTATAGTGGAAAGAAAATATTTGAGTTGGAAAGAAAGATTTGAGATGACAATTGGATCGGTAAGGGAGAAAGACTGGGTGATTGTTGTTGATGTAAACCTGGAAATAGAGGGAGATAGCAGAAAGAGAGTGATTTAGTAATTATCTACATAGAGATGCTCATTGAAGCAATCAGATTTGATTTCCATCTTGAAGGAAGATATTCTTGTTGAGTTAGAGAACACAAAGTTCCTTCATTACAGAGCAAATAGCTAAAATTCATTTAACTGGATTAAATTATATATTTTAGTAGTTTCTGTTATGCTTATCCCTGCCCATCTAGTATAAAATCCTGCTCTTCAGCTAATGTTAAGCAAATCTAAGTGTAGCTTAGATCCATCAATTGATGGTATCCAGAATTTTTCAGTAATTTAGGACAGAATACTAGATATTGACATATCTAATAAATATCACTGTTTTCTTTAATATTTCCCTAGTTTATATGACTGGATTTATGAATTAGTCCATGGTTCAACTGCAAGCCACCAGACCTCAAGATCTGCTCTGAAACCAGGGATTTAAGACATTTAAGATAATAGATTGTTAAAATTGCAGGGCCGGACACAATGGCTCATGCCTGTAATCCCGGCACTTTGAGAGGCCTAAGTAGGCGGATCACTTGAGGCCAGGAGTTCAAGACCAGCCTAGGCAACAAGGTGAAACCCCATCTCTACTAAAAAGAAAAAATTCAAAAATCAGCCAGACATGTTGGTGGGTGCCTGTAATCCCAGCTACTCTAGAGGCTGAGGCAGGAGAATCGCTAAAACCAGGAGGCAGAGGTTGCAGTGAGCTAAGATTACGTGACTGCATGACTGCATGCTAGCCTGGGTGACAGAGCGAGACTCTATCTCAAAAAAAAAAAGAAAAGAAAAATCCAATAAATCAAAATATAATTGCTATAGTATTTAAAGTCAGTAAATTAATGACTTTTATTTGTAATAAATATAACTGTTTAATTCAGAAACATAATATACAAAACATTATTTTTAAGTTTAATGAAATAACACATATTTAAATAGTAAAATGATTGGCATAAAATAGTAGCAGTAGTTGTAGGAGTAATTGCCAATGTTAATAGAGTGGTTGCTATTCTAGATGCTTTAAGAATATAATTTTGTTAGTCCTCCAATCATTCATAATATATAATATTATTCATTCTATTTTACAGATGAGAACTTTAAGGGAATTTAGGTAACTTGAACAAAATCCAGATTTCGTGCCATTGTAGACTGGATCCAAGGGACATACACTAAACCATTAGAAATATACAATGAAGTAGCATTTACACATACTGATTTAAATATTTCCGCAGCCTATAATTTTAAAGGGCCCCACAATTTACCTTTCTTATCTTAATAAGAACTAGGGTTATGTTACCTTTATGTGAGACATACTAGTAGAATCAGCAGTTAAAATGTATTTCGTGCACATAGTATGAATTCCATGAATTTAATATTTTTGATCCTTTGAATGTTCTAAATTAGAAAAATCTTCCAGGCATTGTGACACATACAAATATGAGCCATTCATCCTTAAGGTTTTCTTTGGATGGGAGTTGGTGTAAAACAGGTAAAACATTGAGACTTCTGAAATTGATTGCTATAATTCTCCCATGAAAATAAACCAAAGGAAATCTCAAAATGTTAACTATATACTGGTTTTAGTTTTTAAAAAATTTACAAGGTTTTCCATAAAAACCAGTAATTGAGCTAATAAAAGTTATGTAGCTATTAATAATGAGCCAGTCAATGGAAGGTAAACCCTTGGCTCTTATGAAACATCATGTCAATTGATAACTTGAGGCCCAAACTTACAACAGAATCTCCTAAAAGAAAGAACAGTGGCCTGCAAAGATGAAACATTAATAATATTTAGTTAAGTCTCATTTATGCCAGAGAAAAAATATCTTGACTTGGATTATTTTTACCTAGGCCAACAGTGGTAGAATGGGGGATTATACAACTTAGTGCCATTTCTATCCCATATTTTTGTAAATAATAAATTTATTCATATTCATCATGGTTATATTTATAAGGAGAAATATTATATTTCCCCTTTGTCTCCAAAATTACCTATCAAAATTTATTTCTATCATTTTTTTCATTTTAAGTTTTCACAGGTGTTGTCACCCATACAATTTTTCCACCCCAGCTCTCTTTCTCTTCTCTATTTCCAGTATCAAAACATTCCTCTTCTTTATAAAAAAAAAAAAAAACACTTTTCATGCAAGACAATTGATCTACAAATAATTGCATTTGAACCTGAAATTGTCTAAGCGAAACAACCCCTCAATAATCATGATGCTATCTCTACTAAGAATTCTTAAACAAGCTACCAATGGAAAAATACATGCACAGTTGACTCTTTATATCTGTGAGTCTCACATCAGTTGATTCAACTAATGGTGAAATTAAAATACTAGAATATAAATTTCTATAAAGTTTTGAAAAGCAAACCTTGAATTTGCCATGCATCAAATACTATGTTGAATCCACAATATTGGAATGATGTATAGGCACTGAATTCAGTATTACAAGTAATTTAGAGATGATTTAAAATATTCAGGAAGTGTGGAGGTTATATCTAAATTCTGTGCCATTTTATGAGGGACTTGAGCATTTGCAGAATTTGATATCTGTTGAGGGGGTCTGAAATCAATGCACCATGAATACTGAGGAACAACTGTACGTATATGGATGTATTAAATTACTGCATTTAATTAGTGCAGAAGCCACATCACAATTTCATCTTACAAATGAGGAAGTTAAGTGACTTTCTCAAAGCATAAACATGGTAGTTACACAGCTGGCATGCAAAGCTAGGCTTTCAGACTAAAAGTTTCTTATGCTTCTCACTGTTTCTAAGTATTTTCAATATAAACATAATATATAAATTCAATATAAACATATTTGTCATCATTTAATATTTATAATATTAAGAAATCTCCTTTTAGTGCTTATGAAGTAGTAGAGAGCACACAAACAGTCCTCCATTTTAAGTAATAGTGCATTTCTTCTGACCAAGAGCTAAGATAAATCACCATGGGATTAAGTGTTAACTATGTATAAGCCAAACATTGATTGTGCATATTCTCTCCACCTATAAATAATATTAAATGCATAGCTATACTTTAGAAAAGTATACAGAAATATATATTCTTCTCTTGAAAGAAGACTGTATATTTTACCAAAAGAGAAGAACAAATTTTTGAGAAACATGAATGAATATTTTTAGACAACTGGAAGATGTGCCCCTATCACTTAAAGTCAGGGAAATTGCATTAGATAAAACTTTGTATTGCAAACTAACATGCAATGCCAATTAGTTCAGTCAAAAGGGAAAATGTATTGGTAGAACTAGGGAATTTCACATAACTGCTATACTGTTCAGTTGACTGTCATGGCTCACTGGAACTTCAAAAACTTTGCTCTCTCCATCTCTCATCTCTTCTTTCTCACTAATTCTCTCAGATCACCTTCCTGTGCCTAATTGGAAACGTGACAACCTGCAGAGTTTATATCTTAAGGCTTTACAATAGTGACAGACACCCTGCTTAGTTTAGCTTGAAAATTGTCAGCCCAAATTCTGATTTCCCAAGAGATCACCACCTTTAAATCAGGCAGACATTAAGAAAAAGCCAGGGTCACAAAGCACACAAATGACTACTGAGGTTCCAGGCCTGAGTATCAGAAAAATTACATTCATGATAGAACAGGAAGTGCAGGCATGCATAACAATTCTAATTCTCTTTTTAAAGAAGGAATGAAATGATGGTGATAAAGGGAGGTTTTTTTAAATATAGTGAAGAGAAGTGGACATGAAGACTAAGTGTGATGTTCAATTATATATAGATGCATTCCAGCCATCTTGGTTTGGAGGTTGGTTAGGAAGTGAATATTTGTGAGGAAACTAGCACAAGAAATGCATTATCTCCTGGAGTTATAAAATCAACTGATCACTCCTTGCAATTTCCTCACACCACATTGGTCAGATTCCTAATACATACTATGGAACTCAGTCCTATCAACAGCACTCTCAACAGTAAAAGTTATTATAATTGCAATTGAATCAGAGCTTTGTGATTAATCACCCTAAAATTTAGAAGAGAATTCAGTATGAATCACGATAGTATCTCTGTTCGAATCACAAACACTAGAAGGCAACGTAACGAGAAGAAGCTACAAATGTTTAGCAAAGATGGAGTTAAGTATCTTGGTCCTACATAAAACAAAGTTAGCTAACAGGAATAACTCAAGCCCTCAAATGAATATCAACATGTTGAACTAGAAGAGTCATTAGCTTTCCCACATGCATCAGAGTTATGCCAAAACCTAAGAGTATGTCTGTCTCATTATTCTTCCATCTCCTTTGCTTTCTCTCACACTCCTACTTGCTTGCCAACATTTTCAACTAATGCTTCTAACTGTCTTACTTCCTCATAGGCTAAAAATGTAATAAGATACTAAAAAATATGGTTCTTTCTTTAGTAAGTTATTGGGTAGAGCAGGGTTTGATATTCTCATTCAGCTGTTTATAGCCAGGATTATGAAAGTCACTTTTGGCACTAAACTGAAGGCATGATGAATGGGGCAATGAGCAAGCAAAACAGAAAAGCAATTTCTCCCATATGAAGACTTTGCTATTTTAGTCATAAATAGCCTAGCTAAAGTTATACCACATATTACGGAAATGAAGATTGAATTAGTGAAAATGTTTGGTTTCAATATTTCAATTTTTCACTATTATTATCTTTTATTTATTTGAGGACTGATGATGGGTAATTGGCTTTATACAAGCTATTAGAGAAGACAGAGTTCCTCCCCTAACAGTTTCTTATTAAAAGTGCACAAATTCAGGAAACAAGACATGGTTTACTTTATTAAGTGATTAGTTATTTTTTCCCCAGAGGTGAGACATTTTACTGCTAATTTTTCCCTACTTAAGAGAGGGGATGATTGATGCCATCACAAAAGACTTCCAAGGATAAGTGAGTAATCCCTGGCAGAAACCCAATATTATAAAGGAAGGAAGCTTAAAATTCTTACTATAATATAAGGTTGGAGAAAGTATTACAATATTGGATGTGCCTAATTGGCAAATACTCATTTTATGTTACTAGACAACAACATCAACAAAAAATCTTCTAAACAAGAATACGAAGTCACTTTGGACAAAAATTCTATAATAAAAAAAGAAAAGAAAAATTTCAAAAGTAATTTTTTGTCACATAAACAAAACATAGAAGCTACAAATGTTGGTCTAATAACCTTTCGATGAATTATCTTTTTTTAAAGACTAAGAGAAACTACTGTATTACCAATAATTTTTCATTATGTCATTTATAGAGGAAAAAAGAGACAAAGCTTTTCCTTGGCCTTTCCCCGCCGAAGTTGATGAAAAACTTAAGATGATGTTGTTTTCATTTCTGTGGAAAATTGAATGAACACTGAAACTGTGCTTGTGAATTTATCTCTAATTAGTAGTGATTGATTGTATGCATAGTTGATAAATCATTTTTTTGGTGTAGAGACAAACATTGATGCTTCCAAACGAATGCACAGATGGGAAATAAAACTGGGAGAGATAACTTCCAAAGATTCCCTACAGCATTTGAATTATGTTTTAAAAGATTTTTATCATTCTGCCTTAAAAGCTTTGTGGGGTAGGATCTATTTTCCTTTTTATAGATTACACATGAGGCTACCTGTCTTTTCAGTCACCAAGTCTAAGGAAACCCCAGAAAATCCTTGTGCAAAAATGTTCCAAATACACTTCGGTCTAGGGCATTTTTATTTGGCAAACTTTTGCAACTTGTCAGAATTACTAAGTACGACAGTCTCCAATGTACTCACTGCCAGCCAGACAACAGAAAATACACACTGCAATAAAAGAATTTACAGTGTTTAAACACTTATTTTCAGGAGCAGAAAAACTAATCAGCTCAACAAGAAGATGTAATACACTTCACGGTTAGAAGAAATTGTGCTCCACTTTTTCTCATCATTATTTTAAATAGCTCTAGTTTAAAGATATTCCACACATTCAAGGAAAATCAGCAAGCAGTTATGGTAAACCACATGTCTTTGTTTCTACTGAAGATGAAAGCAATCCAAACTGAAAGACTGAGAAAGCTGATGACTAAAATAAGTTTACATACACATTTCCTTGATAAAATAGAGCTTTTGCAGTTGTAAGTTACTCTTGTGTGAGGCCTCACTGTTAAAATATCATAATTGTGTTTTGTTCTTATTCCCTCCAGGGTAAATTTAAGATAACCCATTTGCAGGTGTACATTTAAAAACTCTGTTATTTCCTCTAATTTTTAAATTTATAGGCATTTATAAGATGAATTTGAGCATCCAGAATAAATAAAAGTGCTCTTTTAAGTAATTTCAATGGTTACATCCAATAGAAAGAAGGATCTGCCAGGAAAAGAAGCCCTTAATCGGTTTCCCAGCCAAAGGAAAACATCACCAATAAAAACTATTCCCAGACCAGCAAGAACAAAGATCTTCATTCTCAAAGTGAAGGAAGCCAAAGACAACCAGAATGTTTATTGAAATCCAGGGAACAGCTTTGATTGCAGAATGTTCAATTTTTTAAGTGGAATTAAAATTTACTTTGTACATAGTTGCAATTTACTGAAATTAGGAAGAGATGTATATGCTTACTATCTTTTCATAAAATTTCTTTTGCTTTGTGTACCTCCTTATATACTTAGTCTTAACAGAATATGACAGACTAGATAATTTATAGAGAAAAGAAATTTATTTCTCACAGTTCTACTGTCTTGGAAGTCTAATATCAAAGTGTCAGCATGCGGTGAAGGCCTTTGTGTTGCATTAACTCTTGGTGGAAGGTGGAAGGGTGAGAGAGAGAGAGAGAGAGAAAGGGGACTGAACTCAAATTTTTATAAGAAACCCATTCCATGACAACTAACCCACTCTTGTGATAATAATATTAACATATTCATAAGCACAGAGCCCTTATGGCCTAATCATCCCTTAAAGGCCCCATTTCTCAACATTGTTGCCTTGGAGATTAAGTTTGCAACACATAAACTTTGGGGACACATCCAAAGCATAGTATTCTGCCCTTGAACCCCAACATTTCTTAAAATGCAAAATACATTTATTACATTCCAATAGCCCCAAAGTCAAAGTCATACCTTATTCCAGCTCCAACTCATAAGTCAAAGTTCAAGATCTCATGTAAATCAGATATGAGTGAGATTCAAGGCACAGTACATACACTCTGAGACAAATTCCTTTTAGCTGTGAGCCTAAAGTTAAACAAGTTATCTACTTCAAATATTTAATGGTGGGACAGGGATGGGATAGGCATTTCCATTGCAAAAAAAGAGAAATAGGCAAGAAGAAGGGAGTAACTGTTCCCAAGTAAGTCTAAGACCCAACAGAAAAAAAACAACACTGAATCTTAAGATTCCAGAATACTCTTTCACTCCATGTGCCACCACATGGACACACTGCAGCAAGGGTTGGGTGCCCAAGGCCTTCCAGAGCCAAACCCCCATGGCTTTGCTGGGCTCAGTCCACACTTCAGCTCTTTCCTGTTGGCGTCTCATGATTGCAGCTCTCCCAGCCTGGTGTTGCACACTGGTAGCTCTATAGTTCTGGGGTCTCAGTGCCAGTCCCATTCCCATGGCTCCTCTAGGCATTATCTGGGCAGAAACTCTCTGTGGAAGCTCCACCCCAGTGGCATGTTTCCGCCTGGGCCATCAGGCTGTCTATGACTACCCTTGAAATCTAGGTAAAGGCCACCATGGCCTTGCAGCTCTTGCATTTGGCATGCCTGCAGAATTAGCACCATGTGAATGCTGCCATGGTAGATGGCTTGTACCTTCCAGAACAGCAGGACCATCTGCACGTGGGCCCACTTGAGCCAAGGCTGGGATGGCCAAGGAGTGCTGTGCTGGAATGCAGGGAGCTAACACTTGAGGCAGCACAGGGCAAGTCACCTCTCTGGAAACCTTGCCTTCCAGGATCTAGCTTGACTCAAATATCTCTGAAATGCCTTAAGGGTCAGTCCCTCATTGTCTTGATAAATGGCATCTGGCTCCTTCTATTTTTACTAATCTCTTTAGCAGATGTTTGCTTGACTGAATTCTTGCTTTGCACTCTTAAATATGCCTTTTTTACTCTGCATGGTCAGGTTGGACATTTCTCAAATTTTTATGTTGTTTTTCTTTTAATTGTGACTTCTGTCTTTAAAACAGTTTTCTCTTTTCATATCTTATGATTTGCAATAAAAAGTAGTTGTGTTGCTTCTTCAATATTTCCCTTAGCAATTTCTTCTGTCAGATATCCTACCTTATCACTTTTAAATTTTGCCTTCTATAAAGTCTTTGGCCATAAACACAATTCAGCCAAGGTTTTTGCTAGTTTATAACAAATAGAGGTTTTACCCCAATTTCTAATATCTTGTTCCTTAGTTTCTTCTGAGACCACATCAGAATGGCTTCTACTGTCCATATTTCTACCATTTTGATCACAACCACTGAAGTAAAGAAGTTTCATACTTTTTCTACATTTCTTGTCTTCTTATGAGACATCATTGGAATTAACCTTAATGCTCCACTCAAGGCAATCTAGGATTTTTTTAGCCTACTCTTCCAAATTCCCCCAGCCTCTATCCAAAGCTGCTTCTATATTTTCAGGCATTTGTTACAGCCATAGCTCCAATTCTCAGTATCAATTTTATGACTTAATTTGTTTTATGTTGCTATAACAGAATACCATGGACTAGGACATTTATTAATAATAAAAATTTATTTGGCTCAAGATTCGGTAGGGTAGGAAGTCCAAGATCAAGAGGACTCATTTGCTGAAGGCCTTCTTGCTGGGTCATAACATGGTGAAAGGCATCACGTGGAGAGAGAAAGCAAGCAAGAGAAAGCAAAATTCACTCTTAGAACCAACATAGTCTTGTAATAATGACTTTAATTTATTCTTTTTTTGAGACAAGATCCTGCTGTGTCACCCAGGCTGAAGTGAAGTGGCACAATCATAGCTTACTGCAGCCTCAACATCCAGTGAAATCTCAGAGGTTTTAAATCACAGGAACTTGAGAACAGGGGTAAATAGCATAATTCACACATTAATCTACTCAGTTTGGGAATAATTTTATAGTATGAATCCCAATATATGCTATTCTTTCTCTCGAAAGGAACAAAATAGAAATTATATATCTCAATTTAGCATAAAGAAATTAAAATTTTCACATCACAATATCACAAGGCAATGAACACTGAAAATGGGACAGAGAACTCCAGGGTTAAAATAGTAAATAGTCATTATTAGTTGGTTACAGTTAATAGACCAGAGTATATTATTTGTATTTGGTTGCATAGAACGGTTGACTAAATTCATGCTTTATATTCTCAATTCATTGTGTTGCAGCGTGGCTTTAGGCTTGAAAATGTTCAATCATGTCTTTCAATTGTACTTGGCCAGCCAAAATAGGAAAAAAGATAATCAATGACTCTTCATGTGGTTTGGTATAAGGCTAAGCCAGAGTCAGTCTTTGTACACACATTAATGTAGTCAGCACATTGTCATCTAATGGTTACAGCATTTGTTAATCACAAAAAGTGTAACCAAGATTAAAAACTTTAAATCCATTTTGCTATATATTTTCCATTCTAAACCTCAAGGTAGATATATGCAAAGTGGACAAACTGCATTAAAGCTTCTAGATTAAATTTTTCTGACTACCTGAGATAGTACATCAATGAACTGCAGTGGCTCTTTTTGCATAAAATGATGAGCCTCAGCCTCTGGCATCCTTTTCTCCTTAGTTCCCCTCTTGCTTGTCCTCTCAAGTTTGAAACCTATCTGCTTACAGCAAAAATGATTTAAGACAAGTACAAAGGCGTACCACATTAAAAAACGTCTTCTTTAAAGAATTCCAAGACTTTGGCAGAGGATGCAAAAATCTTTAACTTCTCTTACATGACTGAACACAAGCTTTCAACCAATTCTCCTTCCCACAGCCTAGCATTATGATATAATAGTATCTTTAGCTTTGGCTTAGTATTTTTATTTCCTGTCTCATTTTTACAAATTGAGTTAGGGCTTGTGGAGGAGAGTGCCAAGTTTCCCATTGTAATTGTAGTATGTCACCAGTAACATTCTTACATTTATTTTAAAAATTGAGACTTGTCAACAGCTGATGGACAACCTAACAAGGTAGCTTTCCTATTAATTTTAACTTCGTTACTAGAACCAGAAGATTATTTATCTGAATATATGTAACCATTGGGAAAAAAATCCTGATTTAAGACTCAAGAGACGTGGCTATGTTTAGGTCTTTGTTTCAAGCAATATAAAATTTACCCTAGGACAATGTTTGGAGCTGTATTATATGACGTGTTTGTAATCCATATTTCTTTGGATTTTACCTCTACTTGCTATTGCTGGACTCAACTCCTTGCAAAATTCCGATTTTGAAGACTCTTCTAAGGAATTTTCATATGACTTTGCAGAAATGTCTGAGTAGGTATAGTTTATTTTTTCCCCACTTCAGGGTTTCCTATTGTTCTGTCACTAATATAGGCTCATCACACCACTGAGAAATATACTGCCTTGAGATCACTTTTACTGTACTTCTACAGGGAGCCTTGGTCTTCTGCCTTTATCTGTCACCTCTCATGATTTTTTTTTTTTTTTTTTTTTTTACCAAGAAGCATCCTTAACCAGTTATCTTTGCTTTCCAGATGGTATCACCATCTCTTGTTGGGCACCACTGCTAATCCTGTTGTGATCCTGATGTACCCTTATTATAGGGTGTTCTGTGGCAAAGTGGTCAGCTAATTCTCCTTCTTTGTTTTTAAGATTCTCTTTCAAAGTAGTTCTAAGACAGTGTATCCTGTTCTGTGAGAACTATAGAAGTATCAGTGAAACAATCATTTTAACTTCATACTAAAAATTGTGATTCCTTCTCTTCCTTTTTTCACCATTCTCGTAAGAGTAAGATGTGAGCTGATGGGATACTGTACCAAGAAAGAAATATGAGTATAACTCACCTAGGTCAGAGTCATCCATACATTATAATAATTAATGCTTTCTTGCCAGGTTAAGCTTCTCTCTCTAACCCTGAAAAAGTCTTAGCTTCTCAAGCCAATAGACTTCTGATGAGATCTTTTACCTGAATCAAAACATTAGAATTCGTAGGTATAAGGCTTATTGTATGTAAAGCAAGGGATTGTATATGATGATCCCTAGGGGCTTTATGTAAATATGGCTCCCTATGGTCCTCTGCTCTTACACACTCTTCTGCATTTATTAATGCCTTTATATTACTTATTTTAAACTTAGTCTTACTTTCAAAATAATAATGAGTGTTTGAATTTCTCTAAACTATTTTCATATTTTAATGTAAATTTAGTTAAGATCTTTCTACGTTTTGAAGGTCTCAGAAGGGCCTATACAGCAAAATTATATTCTGTACTTACTCTCGAAAGGAACAAGGTATAAATTGTATATCTCAATTTAGCATAAAGAAATTAAAATTTTCACATCACAATGTCAGGAGGCAATGAACACTGAAAATGGGACAGAGAACTCCAGGGTTAAAACAGTAAATAGTCATTATTAGTTGGTTACAGTGAATAGACCAGAGTATATGATTTGCATTTGTATTTTAGAATGGTTGACTAAATTCATGCTTTATATTCTCACTTTATTGTGTTGCAGAGTGGCTTTAGCCTTAAAAATGTTCAATCATGTCTTTCAATTGTACTTGGCCAGCCAAAATAGGAAAAAAAGATAATCAATGACTCTTCATGTGGTTTGGTATAAGGCTAAGCCAGTGTGTTGGAGGAACTATACTTTTTGTATACTAGGGCAATATTAATTACCATTTATGTGTAATAAATTGACCTAAAATAAGAGTCATCTCTAAAAACACACCACCAACCATAAAATAATACTTATTGACAGATAAAAACTTCCCCCAATTAGTATGTTTCTCTTTTATCTCAGAAATATATTTTTAAATTTTACATTAATGAAATACAAAGTTAATCACTATTTCATGAAAACCAAAATATGTACATTTGTTCAATGGATACAAATTTAATAGATGAAAATATAAGCTTATTCTTTGCTATTATGATGAAATTCTTAATCAGGCACATGCAATAAAATCAATTCTTCAAACTTTCGTTCTGCTTGCTTTTAATAACATAACATCAAAAAAGAAGAGATCCTTATGGAAGAGTATAACATTATTGAATATGCTGTGACAGGCATGTAATTGATTATTTAATTTTTGCTCCGCAATTTTGTTGATATAAATGTTGCCCTTTACATTTTCTGATAGTGTATTTGATTTTTATTAATATGTATGCATGCACTAACATATCTCAGTAGAAATATGGTTATGGATTTGCAAAAATAAATGAGATGCAGCCAACTCAGGGATATGTAGGGGAGGGCAGGAATCAGGAATGAGACTCATTTAGTGCAATGAGACAAGGTTTCTATAGCAATGTCCTAAAAGTTTCTGATTCACAAAAAATTAATTAAAGCTGTAGATATTCTCAACATAAATACACACACACACACACAATTAAATATGTATTTTTAAAACAGCCACAGATTTTCTATCCATGAAGCAAGAAACTTAGTTAAAGTTTTAAAAAAATCTAAATAAAGTTTGCCAACTTTTGTGGGACAACCAGAAATACAGGTGCTATGACAATGACCAGGCAGACAAAAAAATATTGCAATTGAAAAAATAATAAAAGTGACTAGGGATTTTCTACTTCCATAGTAACCACGCTATTCCTACATGCTTTGTAAAAATCTACTGAAAGAGAATATTATTATTATCATTATTTATTAACTATGGGCCAGTTGTCATCTAAAGTACTTCACATATGCAAAACATAATAATAATCCACCCAAGTCTATTGGGAAGCTGTTCTTTTGCTCACCACTCTAAAGATGGTGAAGTGCAGGTGGAGAAACTAAGGTTAAAAAGAAATAGAGTAAGTTCCTAAATCATCCAAAGATTAAGTAGCAGGATCTGGATTTAAACTCAAGCCATCCTGTTTCAGACTAAAAGCTTTTAACCATTATGATATATCACCCTAGTGTATGCTGGCCAGTACAGAGCATCACTGTAAGAGCAGATAACATTGGAAAATGCAAGGGAAATAATTTAGTAACAGTTGGTTTCTCTGGCCTCAAGGTAAAAGATCTACAGCCCTGAGAACATATAAGAGGCTTTATTCCAGTCCCAGATAAGGGAGAAATGGCCCCTAGGAAAGAGGGCTTATACCTACATGGATACGAATATTAGGTGACAAGAGAGGAGCCTAATTAGTAGAACCGATGTAGATGGAAGGAAGTCGATCTCAGAACAGGAGTCTAATTAAAATAAATGGTACGGCAAATTAATAAATTAATATCATCATTCCCCCAAAGCCCATAAATTCCTTCTTTCTGGCATTAGCCTTGGACTCGTCAGTTATTCCAGTATTTGAGGTGGAGGAGATGTACAAAGCTGTGCATTTTTGAAAATAAATATTTGTCTAGTAAAAATCATTATATAATTGTATGAAGACAGTTGACTAGAGTCTTTCTCATTACTCAATAACTGTTCAAAGGGGAGAATCTGTTCATTTAAAATATATCTTAAGAGGAACATTTAAAAGATTGGCTAATAAATCATAAAGCCATAAAGTGGGGAATGTTTCTCTTTTGGCAACTTTCAGAAACAAAGGTTAATTACTGTTATCTATACATATTCACTTCCTAAAGAACAAGTCTTAAGGTATGAATCTGTTGAATTTTGAAGATGAATATTTTCTCAACAACCATTGTGAAAAAAAGGATATAAGTGTGTAGCCATTGTTATTCTAGAATGGTAGGCTCATAGTCAGAATATTGCTGTTCCTAAGTAATACAGGGCATGTTAATACAGTGCAAGACTTTAAATGGGCCAGAGATAAATCTATCATTGTGAAAAAATTGTATCTAGGAAGATGAACATATTTTAATAAGTATTTAAGGGAAAGAAAAAAAAGCTGATGTTTTGGTGTTGGTGACCATTAAAATCTAGAAATGCATTACAATTATTTGCAACTTGAAACCTAGATTTAAGAAAATTACTATTTTGATGGGGGAAAATAAGTATGTCTGTTGAAAACAATAAGTGAAGAAAGACTGGTCATGTGCAGAAAAGTTTACAATTTTTTATTTCCACAATGCAATGAAATTAGAGATGTCTATATTAAAGCTGCAAAGACAGAGATAAACTTTATAAATAAAAAACAGGCCCAGTGCGGTGACTCACGCCTGTAATCCCAGCCCTTTGGGAGGCCGAGATGGGTGGATCACCTGAAGTCAGGAGTTTGAGACCAGCCTGGCCAACATGACGAAACCCCGTCTCTACTGAAAGTACAAAAATTAGCTCGGGGTGGTGGCTGGCACCTGTAATCCCAGCTACTCAGGAGGCTGAGTCAGGAGAAGCTTGAACCTGGGAGGCGGAGGTTGCAGTAAGCTGAGATTGCGCCACTGCACTCTAGCCTGGGCGAAAAGAGCGAGACTCTGTTTCAAAAAAAAAAAAAGAAAGAAAACCAAAAAACAGAAAAAAACAAAGCCATAAGTTGTTTTCCAATAGTTAAATAAATTCAAATGATAGGCTACAATCAATTAAATTTAAATCCAAATAATGTGAGGTAATCATAGTCTTAATCTGAAATAAAGAATTTTCAAATATCTGCATATTAATATAAAGTTTTTGTGTTGCTATACTTGGAGATGAAAATTATCTGGTATATCAATGCATTTTAGTCATTATATAAAGAAATATATATTGAGATGTGTTAAAGATAACTGTTCTAGGCTCTAAGGACATAGTAATAGACAAATCAGAATCTCATCTGTAAAGAGATTATGGTTTAACAGAGCATATCTATATATATAAAACGCTAATTCAGAGAAATGTTATTGACAAATATTTTGATAAGATAGTGTTTCATAGTCAAAGAGCTTTAGGAAAATAGCTTTTGCTCCGTTTCTTGAATGATATTTTCTCATATGTGAACAAGCATCTTCTTTAGGAGCTAGTTAAAGGGCAAAAATGGCCAGGCAGGATGGCTAATGCCTGTAATTACAGTACTTTGGGAGGTCAAGGCAGGTGGATCTCTTGAGCTCAGGAGTTCAAGACTAGCATGGGTAACATGATGACATGGCAAGACCCCATCTCTACAAAAAATACAAAAATTAGCAAGTGTGGTGGTGCACACCTGTAGTGCCAGCTATTCGGGAGGCTGAGGTGGGAGGATTGCTTGAACCAGGGAGGCAGAGGTTGCGGTGAGCCAAGATTGCACTACTACATGTCAGCTTGGGCAAGAGAGGGAGTCCCTGTCTCATAAAAAAGGACAAAAATATGAATAATCATAATTACCCTTAAAAGTCTTCTAAATCTTCCACAAAATACATAGCTAAAAGTATAAATCATTATGGAAGATAATATGTAGTCTGAATTCAGCACTAGACCATGTTATTATTTTGTTGGCAGAGGACCATGTGAAATATTTGGCTTGGATTTAGAAGCCAAGTTGTCTTTGAAAACACCTGTCTTTAAACATTACAACATGGCCAGATGCTTCCTTCTGGAAAAGTGTATGGCGACTTATACCAGTTTATCAAAAAGTAAATTTTATTTCCAACATCAACTTTACTCTGGAGCAAATCAAGTACATCAGTAGGTAGAATCACTTGCAGTATTTATGTATTTTTATTATATCTGTCTATGTACTTGTTTTATTTTTCTCATTCACCTACTTTAATTCATTGAATCATGCAAGTTGCATGTTTGATGACATTTCCCTTTAAAGATAGGTGTTTCTGCTAGTTTAACTTTATAGTTTTTATACTGAACATGGAGTGTGTGTGTGTGTGTGTGTGTGTGTGTGCAGTATAGCTCCTAGAAATATTGTCCCACAAAGCAGAGTTACTCTAATGAGCAAAACCAGTAACTTTACAAACAGTATTTGGTGAGGGGTGATGGAGAACAAAAATGCTAGATATATTAAGGTTTTATATTTATTCATAATTATAAATATTTTTAATAATCTTCACTTTATTTTAAAGTCTCTTTGAAACTGTCTTAGAATTAAAATATGCAAATGTTGTTGAGTCTAACAATTTCTATGAAATTACTAAACTTCCTTTAGTAATTTCCAATTAATGTTCCAATTAACATTAATCTAGTAAACTTGAAAACTGAGAAACATTGAAATCTAACAATTAGTCTATAAATAAAATAACAAGCACTTGAGGTGAATTCAGAAACATGTACTGTTACTCAGGTATTCATTAATTATGCTTCAAGGAAGAGTGCTTTAAGGGAGAGGGAGAAGTAATAAGATGAATTATTTATAAATATTTAGTCTTATATGAGCAAGACACTCTTCTAATACTGACCATGAGTTTACCCTCCTTAATACAACCTTATCATGACCTTTATTAATGTTCATTAAAAGAAAATTATATATACCATGCATATTTGATGAGAAATATAAATAATTTTATATTCAATAGCTCCATCAAGATTTATCATAACAACATAATTTCACTTATAAATATATATTGAGTGTTTTTTCACATTCTTCCAAATATTGCCATTGACCAAAGTTAAAAGAAATGACAATTTGATTTGTCATTTTACTATCCAGTCTCTTAAAGAATGTAATTTAAATATAGTGTTTAACTATATAAACACATTTGATTATATGTAACAATGGAATAGGAAGATGAGAAGACTGAAAAAGCAGATTTTTTTAAGGCATAGAGTAAAGAGACTGTCAAGGGAAGAGCAATTACCAAGATATAATTATTCCTTTGAAGACTCATAAATTCATCAGAGATATTATGAACAACTGACACCTCAGCACAAATTAATTTATCAGTCTAACTTGCCTCATTTTTATGAAGGCCATAAGGGAATTGACAGTGTAGGTTAATTTTTTTTCTTAAAAGCAGACCTGGAACATCTATTTGTGTAGGTTAATTTTGAAGGGTAGAAAGAGCTTAAGGAATGGGATTAAGAAAAGAAAGGATGGATAGAAGTGGAAGAGTTGAGAATATTATCCATTTATCAGTTACCTGGTACAGAATTATGGGATAAAATGAAGGAGAAAAATATGGAAAATAAATAGTGAGACTCTGAGTTGTTATTAATAATAATATTTATTATATACTTAAAGTTTGCTAAGAGAGTGAGATCCTTCTCACCACCCACCCACACACACATAAGAGGTAACTATGTGAAATGATGGGTGTGTTAATTAACTTGATTGTGGTAATCATTTCATAATGTGTGTATATACATATTATCAACCCATCACATTAAACACCTTAAATATATACAATTATTTTTCAATTGTACCTTCATAAAGCTAGGGAAAGAATAAAATAAAAAATGTTATTTGCAATTTTGGTCAGATTTCACTCTGTAATAGGCAGTATATATTCTAAATATTACCCAGTAATTATTAATGACTACAGAAATTAAATAGTAAAATTTTCGTTGAAGTGAATATTGAAAGATACGTTTTATGCACTTTGAGTCATGATTCTTTACCATTTTATGTTTGTTGAACTAAATACAACAAACTCATATGAATTTTTAATCACGACAGACATTTTCTCAAAACAACTATATTCCATGATTTTCAGATAAAAACATGGTACTGGTCGGGCACGGTGGCTCAACCCTGTAATCCCAACACTTTGGGAGGCAGAGGCGGGCGGATCACTTGAGGTCAAGAGTACGAGACCAGCCAGACCAACATGGTGAAACCCCGTCTCTACTAAAAATACAAACATTAGCCGAGCATGATGGCGGGTGCCTGTAAGCCCAGCTACTCCGGAGGATGAGGCAGGAGAGTTGCTTGAACCCGGCAGGCGGAGGTTGCAGTGAGCCGAGATCGCGCCACTGCACTCCAGCCTGGGCGACAGAGGGAGACTTGGTCTCAAAAAAAAAAAAAAAAGAAAAGAAAAGAAAAAAAAAACCATGGTACACTTGCCCTGTCCTGATAGAATATTTATACATTTTCATTCCTGTTATGCTGATTATTTAGTCTATGGATTTTCAAAGAAAGCTGACTTATCGTTGTTCTGATATAATTATATGCAATGATTGTACCTATTTTATGTGATTAAAAATATAAAATATGTCTAAAATATCAATAAACTTTTAAATTATCTAAAAGAAAAATAACAAGAACAAAACCTCTGCCATTTTAAAAGCTCTACAGTCTGGCTAAGGTAAGAAATGGGTAATTAATTGACAAAAATGAAATAGTAAGTTATGAGCACAGAAGTTTAAGTGAACTTTAAGAAGTATCGATTTTTGTATTTGTAATGCTTGTTTGAACAGGGCATAGAATATAATGGCTACTGCTTGACAAGTGAGAAAATATAACACCTTACAAAAATACAAAAAAATTGCAAAATAATTAGGAAAACATAAATAGATTTCCAATTAAATGCCTACAGTAATCAGATTGAAAATATAAAATCAAAATGACTCATTTGAAAATTAAGTATTTTCTAATAAATGCAATATAATATATATGAAGCAAATATAAATAAATTTCCATCCTCTTAAGAACAATAAAAAAGCAAAATGGGGAAAAATATGTGATAGTCAACTAAGCTAGGCTATAGTCCCCAGTTATTCAATCAAACACTAATCTAAGTGTCATTGTGAGATATTTTGTAGATGTGATTAAAGTCTACAATTACTTTAAGTAAGGAAGATGAACAGGTGAGCCTAAGTCAATCAGTTTAATGCCCTTTATTGCACACTGAGGCTTTTCTGATTAAGAAGGAATTCCACATATGGATGGCAGCTTCAGCTCATACATGAGTTCCAACTTGTCCCCCCGCCATGACCTGTCCCACAGATTTTGGGCTTGTCTTGTCAGTATCCACTATCACATAAGCCAATTCCTTGCAGTTAATGTTTTAATATTTATCTACTACTGGTTTTGTTTCTCTGGTACAGCCCTGACTAATACAGATAATATATCTCATAAAAATTAGAATTTTAAAAGATTTTAAATTATTAAATTAAGATTATTATCTCAATTCAATCTATAATTTACCAAAATTGCAATTAGAATTATAATTGGGTTTTTAAGAACAAATAGCAATTTGTGGTTTCATATTGGTTATATAGGAAACTGGAAACTCCATCATTACTGCCATTAAAATTAGAAAAAACCTGGAACAAATCATTTTCTTGAAACCACCTGAGAACTATGGTGATCGGGCAAAGAACTAACACAAGGTCTTAATGCAAGAAATTATAGAGACAAAATTGCAACATTTGCTAATTTGGGATAGACTTGAGCTCACTGCTAAGTTGTTAAGAATATTGAAGTAGAAATATTCACCAAATGGTTAATGCTCAAGTATGGGTTAGCATGAGAGTATAAAAGCACTGGGGGGAAACATCTCCGGGGGAGCGGGGAGAGGGCAGGGATTTATACTTTCTAATAGGCTTTTCAACCAAGAACTCTGTCAAGAACACTCAGGAAAAATTGAGGCAAATCCTGAGAAAGTGCCTGTCTGGAATATGGAATCGCAAGCCGCTGCAGAAATCCACCAAGCAGCATCTCCTCTATGGAACAAAAGCCTTAATCTGTAGGGGGAAGAGGCAACACACTGAAAGCACAAACCTGAGGACATTGATGGAGACTTGCTGCAGCTTGGTGAAGAGAACAAGAGAAAAAAAGCTTGACATCTAAGAAAGGGGCAAGAACATTTGCTCGGCCCAACATAATTATGGAAGAAAGAACAGGAACATCTGTGAAGGCCATACCACTAAGAATCAAGCTAACAATGCCTGCCTAGGAGGTTTAATTGGAACGTCTGCCTCTGCTACCTATCCAACAAGTGTTGACTAAAAATAATACTGAAACACAGTGGGAATGCTATAAGAGACAGATTCACTCTGGCAAGCAGTGCAAGGGAAAGACACAAAGCCAAGTATAAAACACAAAACCAAGCAGAGGTCAAACTTTAAATCCAGTACAATTTCTGACTAGATTAACAGAAAGCTCCATGTTGATGGTCTAACTAAAGGAAAGTTATGCTCATCTTCAAGTGTAAAAAAACCCCATAAAATCCCAGTATCTACTGTCCTATAAAATATGTTAGGTTTTCATTAAGATATTACAAAAAAAATACAAAACATCAAGGAAAAACAAATGAACTAAAAAGACAAAACACTTATATAAGCTAAACTCATATATGGCATAGATGTTTTAACATCAGACAGGTAATTTCAAACAACTGTGATTAATATCTTAAAGGTTCCCATGGGAAAATAGATAACAAGCAAGATAAGAAGTATGATATCAGCAAATAAGGCAACCATATAAATGAATCAAATAGAAACACTAAATATAAAAGTACTGAGATAAAGAATTCCTTTGATGGAATTGTTAATGGGCTGTACATGACTGGAAAAGAAACAGTGAATATAAAGATAAGCCAGTCAAAATTACCTTAACTAAAATGCAAAAGGAAAAGAAAACTAAAGGGAAAAGAACTAAAATGCAAAATCTATGGTACAATAGAAAATGGTATAACATATACAAACATAAAAACTTAGAAAGAGAAAAAAGAAAAATGAGGAAAAAGAATAGTTAAGAATTCCCAAAATTAGTGATAGAAATGAAAGAACAGACCCCCAAAGTTAAGCAGGAAATATGCCAAACACACATACATGTGCACGCGCACACACACACATGTGCACACACACGTGCACACACAAACACACACAAGCTTAGCACATTCAAACTGCTACAAAGAAAAGATTGAGAGGGAGAGAGAGAGAGAGGAACTAGAAAGCAGCAGAGAAAAAAAGGCACATTGCAGAAATCCAAGGATAAGATCTACAGTAGATTTGTTGGTTGAATTTATGCAAATAAGAATATGATGGAAAAACATCTTGGATTGCTAAAAGAAAGAATTCTATGTCCAGTACACAAAACCTTAAATATGAAAAGGAAACAAAGACTTTTTCAGAAAACAAAAATAGAGAAAATTTATGACCAGTAGATGTACTCTATAATGAATGTTAGTGGGGGTTCCTTGGGCAGAAGGAATATGAGATAAACCTCAATTGGATACATATAAAAATATGAAGTGTTGAAAATAAAGGTAAAATATCTATTTACAAATATTTAATTGCTCCAAAAGATAAATGATGCTAAACCAAACATTTAAAAAATGTATTGTGTGTTTTTAACACATGTAAAAGTGAAATATATGCCATCAAAGGCACAAGAGATGAAAGGGAGGAATTGGAAATATATAATTTTTAAATTATGTATGTACATGTAATACCATTTGAAGGTAATCTCAGCTTACATTACAATGTACATTATAAATCCAATGTAACAACTCATATTTTTAAAAAGAGGAATAACACCCTTGTCAGTACAGGAGATCAAAATGGCATTAAAAATGCGATTAAACTGAGAGAAGACAGGGAAACAGCAAACACAAAAACAAAGAGCAAATGGTGCAACAGAAAACAGTTAACAGGATTTTAACCTTTTGTCTGGTGACATCAATAATTATTTTAAATATTAATCTTCAAAACACAAGTTAAAAATTGATAAAACTGCAACTACACGTAGTCTACAAGTAACCCACTGTAGACATAATGATTCTGATAAATTAAAATTATCGACAGAGATAACGTGTAAATATTAACCAAAGAAAGCTGGAGCAATTTTATTAATTCCAGGCAAAGTAGACTTCAAAGCTCAGAATTTTATTAAGAATAAAGAGTGAAATTATATCACTGTAAAGGAGTCAAGTCTCCAAGCATAAATAACGATACTAATTGTGTATGTACCCAACACCTGAGATTCCAAATATATGACAAAAAATAGATTTAAAAGGGAAATGGAAAAATTCACAATTATAACCAGAGACTTCAACATGCTTATATTGGCAATTGATATAAAAAGAGGTCAGAAAATCAGTAAAGTTATAAGTAACCTAATGAGATCATTATCCAAGTTGACTTCATCTGCTTTTATAGAATATTCCACCCCATAGGAGAGAACATACTCTTCTCAAGTGCCACTGTAGTGAAGGCAGTGTAGTACTGGTGAAAGGATTGACAGAGACCAATAAAACAGAATCCATAAAACAGAATAGTGAGCCTCCAAACTGACTCACACAAACACAGTTGACTGATTTTTGACAAAGGTGTGAAAGCAATTAAATGTAGAAAAAGTTGTCTTTACTATAAACTGTGCTTGCAAAATTGGATATCCATTGAAAGGCCAGTACTTTGACATATACCTCTCACTTTATATAAAACATTTTTATTAAGAACCATAAACCTAAATATAAAATGTAACTATATAACTTTTGGAATAAAACATGGGCAAACAATCTCTGTTCTGTGAATTTGAATTTGGCAATGAGTTTTTTTTATAGGACATCAAAAATGTGAACCAAATAAGACAAAACATGATAAGTTACTAAATTATAAAAATGTAAAACTTTTGCTCTTCAAAAGGTACTGTTGAGAAAATGAAAAGACAACGTATAGACTGGGAAAAATATTTGCAATTCATATATTCTACAAAAGAAATGTATCCTGAAAATGAAAATAACACATAAAACTCAAGAAAATTAATAATGCATTTTAAGAATATAATATTAAAGATCTGAAAGACACTTTACCAAAAAGTACATTGAGATGGTAAATAAGCATATGAAAGTATGGTCAACATTAAGAAAAATGTCATTAGATACATCCTAATTAAGACTCCAAAGTGATAACTACACACCTTTTAACATCTTTAAAATTCTAAAAATTGTGATGATATATCAGGTTGATGAGAATCAAGGGCAACAGGAATTATTCCTTGATGGAAGAGATGCAAAATGGTAAAACCACTTTGGTAACAGTATGACAGTTTATTATAAAATTAAAATTAAACATACAGTTGCCATATTACCCAACCATCTCGTTTCTTGTATTTATTCAAATGAATTAAACTTTTATGTTCACACAGAAGCCTGTATGAAAATGGTCATAGCTGCTATTTATTATAGCCAATAACTGGGAAGAGCCAAGGTAATGTTAAACAGGGGAATGCATAAACAACTTTGTACATCCGTGTGATGCTACACTACTCAGCGATAAAAGGAATATTTATTCATCCTACTTGAATGAGTCATGAATGCATTTTACTAAAAGAAAGATCCTAGATTTTTAGCGTATACCTCATACAAAAAAATACAAGCCAGGCTCCCCTTTGATAACATTGAAGCATAATATTACTCCGGAGCACCTTGGTGGGATTAGTGTCAGGTTAGAACTTTGCCTGAAATAAATTTCTTGTTCAACTTTTTCCCTCCCTTTTATCTGTCTTCTGCATTCAATTATAGATTCTTCCAGAAAGCACTTCTTTAATAAATCTTATGCACACAAATCCTTATCTCAGTATCTACTTCTGGAACTCAAACTACGTCAGGAAAAAAAAGAACTGAAATTGAAGCACTCTCTAAAATCTCCTTAGTGTTTTACGCAATGAAGTTTAAGTTTATAGAGCATTGTCATTTTGATCTCATAACTGTAGTGTAACAATTAAGAGAGAAGCTTTATGCAATGCACTTAACATATTTCTTGAACAAACACTATAACAAATATTATTAGTAAACGTGAACAAAAATGATTTTTAAAACATTTTAAAACAGTGAAACCTGCTCCTGAATTTAAAAGTGTAATTAACCATGTAATTGAAGACTGTTCAAACTTGTAAATGGGAAATAAATTATAAAGAAGTTTTTGTAATTTTCAGTATTAATTTCTAGATTCCAAAGCAAGAGATATCCTATCTGACTCATGTGTAGTATAATATACTTATGTTCAAGAATGCAAAAATGCCTGAAATTTACTTAAGAACCAGCAGAGAAAAGTAGTCACAATGTTTATTTTAGTTGATTGTATTTGTCTTAAATTTGCTTTAAATAATCAAATTTGTATGCATATATTGATTTGCAAAATATTTATATTGTTTTAATGTAAAATATGATGCAATAAAACATAAACGATGTTGGATAATGTGATTAAAACAATCCAGTGGTAAGGTATGGTAGCCTAACCATCTGGCTACTTAATCAAACAAGCAATAACTATTATTTGTTGCCACAAACTAAATTATACTTAATGAACTTTATGAGATAATTATGGGTTTCTCAATGTGTCATCATGGATAAAAATACTAATTCATGTGTTCAGACAGAGATCCTGATTTAGTAGATCTTGTGTGGAGCTGCGGTGCTAACGTTCGTATCAAATGCCACAGCTGAGTTATATGCATTTTACCGATAAAAACAGAATTGCCTTGCCAGGTTAAGGCTATTAACATACTAAGTAAAATAATCTCTAAAGTTATCAGTATGAGTTGAGAAAACTTTGGAAGTTTAAAGAAATGAAATCATTTAATTGGAAGACATGAAATCATGACATTTGTTTTCAACCTACAAATTCAAAACACCAAGTTATTGCACATTTGGAGTGACTAATATGCTCTTACTTTTTATGTTATGTAGCCTAGTTGCCTGGACTGCTATTTGTTTAAATTATTGTACCTACGGGCCTTGAAGCACAATTACCACTTTTAAAAAAACATAATTTAGCAAGTATTACATTAAAATTTAATACCTTTTACAATATAATAAATTTAGTATATGTGATTTAATAATTTATATAATTAAAAAATTTATGTATTTTTATACAGACATTCTTTTCTGTAATTATTACGTTCCAAGTGCTAATTTGTGACTTCTGTGTGGTTTGTTCAAATTAACATAAAATTTGTGTTGGGCAATTAATGCTGTTTTTTCTGTTACCCTAGTAACCAAAAATAATATTTTAATATTGGAAACTCACTTTCTAATAATGAAAACAACGTCCTAAACCCTTTGTGGCTCCAGACATAGCAGCTGTAATTTTTGTGAGGTTTGTGCATCAGTGCAGAAGGCTTGGTAGAAAATTCAAAGCCAAGGCTAGCAAAGAAAACATGCATGAGAGTTCTAGGCAGGTTCCTTAAGAAGTACTTCGTTTCTCAGATCAAGAAAAAAAAAATGTGTCCGGCAGAAATGGACAGTTTCTGGGGTTAAGAATAAAACAAAATTAGCTAGAGAAATTATGCAAGGGCAAAAAAGAAAAAAAAGGATAAATGGACCATTATTAGCAGACAACATAAATTTCTTTCCTGCATAATTTTGCTTAGCTCCTCACTTTCTCCATCAAGAAATCTTTCTACATTGCTCTATTTGTTAAAATAAAACATGGTTTGATGGAGGTATTTTGACTCTGAGGGATTCATTATAACTCTGTCTCACCTGCAGAGTAATTGTGAGGGCAGAAAGTTAAGACTTAATTTTTAGAATGGTCTCCATAGTCTAATGTGAAATACAGGTTTCAGAAGTTTTTATTTATTTATTTTTGTTGTTCATTTCTGTCTTTATTAACTGTCATTCTAAATTCATTGACTTTGCTGGAATCTATGGAAGACTGGTCCAAATTGCTGGTGATAACATAAATTGTTTTCAATATAAGTATTTTTAAGTTTTATTTTTAATCGGCACATAATTGTACGTATTTATGAGGTACAGTGTAACATTTTGCTACATGTGTACATTGTATAATGATCACGTCAAGGCATTTAGCTTATCATCACTTCAATAATTTATCATTTATTTGTAGTGAAGACATAGAAAATACTCTTTTAGTTATTTTGAAACATACAATAAAAGTATTGTTAACCATAATCACCCTACTGTGTAAGAGACAGCAGAACTTTTTCCTCCTATGTTCCATAATTTTGTTCCCCTTGATCAGTCCCTTTCCATCCTCTTCTCCCTGCTTCCCTCCCAGCCTCTGGCAACCACTATTGTCTTTTATACTTCCATGAGATCAGCTTTTAAATTCCATAAATGAGTGAGATAATGTGATACTTGTCTTTCTGTGTATAGCTTATTTCACTTCACATAAGTCCTTCAAGTTCATCCATGTTGGACTAAATAACAGAATTTCTTTTTTTTTTTTTAAGGACAAAGAATATTCCAAACAAAGCCAAACAATCCATGACCCAGAGTTTGTTCTATTATATTTCCATTGAGATGTGATTATCTCAAAGTCTAGGTTTAGTCCTTGTTCCAGATTAAAATCTGAAATTGGAAGGTGTAGATAACAACTAGAAATATAGTTGAAAAGAAGCTCCTAATATGGACTCCATTCATGAGGTGATATGATACTTAGTCTTATGTAATATCTTGAATGGGCTCTAGTACCCAGTTATTTAATTAAACAATCATCTAGTTGTTGTCATGAAAGTGTTTTGCAGATGTATTTGTTTAACACCTACAATCAGTTGACTGTAATTAAAGGAGATTGCCCTCCATAATGTGGATAGGACTCTCATAATCAGTTAAAGGCCTCAGGAGGAAAAACTGAGGTTTCCCAGATAAGAGATTTGACCTCAGCAGCATCAAACACTGCCTGAGTTTCCAGCCTGTTGACGAGCCCTACAAATTTCAGATCTGCCAGCCTCCACAATCATGTAAGCCAATTATTTAAAATCTCTCTCCCTCTCTCTCTCTCTCTCTCTCTCTCTGTGTGTGTGTGTGTGTGTGTGTGTGTGTGTATAGTTGGCCTTGAACAACTTGGGTTTAAACTGTGAAGTTCTACTTATATACAGTTTTTTTTTCAATAAATATATTGGAAAAATTTTAGGAGATTTGTCACAAGTTGAGAAGACTTGCAGTTTGACTGCATAGCTTAGAAATATTAAAAAAATAAGAAAAGTTAGGTATGTCACAAATTTCTAAAATATATGCAGATAATAGTCTATCATCATTTACTACCATAAAATATACACAGATCTATTATAAAAAGTTAACATTTATCAAATCTTATGCACATACACACACACAGACTGTACATGGTGCCATTTGCAGTTGAGAAAAATGGAAACAAACATAATGATGCAGTATTACAGAAGAACTGCATAAAATTAACTATAGTATGTACTGTACCACTGTAATAAATTTGTAGTTACCTCCTGTTGCTATTGATGTGGGCTAAAATGTTGCAAGTATCTGCTTAAAGCACTATGTCTCCATCTGAGTAGTTTCTCTCTCCAGTAAATTTAATACTGCAATAAAAAGTGATCTCTTGAAGTCCTGGCAAAATTTTCATTATGTTCACTGCAATATCATAAACCTTGAAAAATATCATGAGACCTATATGAAGCACCACTAGTAATGTTGGAAGTGCTCCCCCAAAGCAGAGGAAAGTCATGAGAATACAAGAAAAAGTTAAATTGCTTGATTTGTATTGCAGATTGAGGTCTACATCTGTGGTTTTCTGTCATTTCAAGATAAATGAACTCAGCATAAGAGTCATTGTAATAAATAAATAAATAAGTAAATAAATAAAGTAAAGGGAATTCATGAAGCTATATCTGAAGCTACACTAACAGGCCCAGAAACCTTGCACATTTTGTGAAATACCTTTTTTATTTTGTATTGAAAATGCATCTTTTGGCTGGGTGCGGTGGCTCACACCTGTAATCCCAGCACTTTGGGAGGCCGAGGCAGGCAGATCACCAGGTCAAGAGATCAAGATCAGCCTGGCCAATATGGTGAAACCCTGTCTCTACTGAAAATACAAAAAAATTAGCTGGGCGTGGCGGCACGCTTCTGTAGTCCCAGCTTCTCGGGAGGCTGAGGCAGGAGAATCGCTTGAACCCGGGAGGCAGAGGTTGCAGTGATGTGAGATCATGCCACTGCACTCCAGCCTGATGACAGAGAGAGACTCTGTCTAAAAAAAAAAAGAAAAAAGAAAAAAGAAAAGAAAATGCATCTTTTATGTGAATGCAGGATTGCTATAAGAAAAGCATATAGAATCCAATATGATTCCAGAAAAAGCAAATTCATTATATAACAACTTAAAACAAAAGAAAGGTGAAAGATCTAAAGCTGGAGAATAATGCCAGCAAAGGATGGTTCGATAATTTTAGAAAGATATTTGGCTTCAAAAATGTCAAGATAATAGGAGAAATAGTGTTTGCTGACCAAGCGGCAGTAGAAAAGTTTCAAGATCAATTTAAAGATCATTGAGAAGAAAGAATATCTGCCTGAGTAGGTTTTCAATGCAGATAAATGTGACATATTCTGGGGGAAAAAGACATAAAGAACATTTATTAGTGAGGAAAAAAATGTGAGCACTAAAGTTTAAGGCAGCAAGGGATAGGCTAACTACTATTTGGTATAAACACGATTAGCTTTGTGAGCAGCACTTTCTGCATTTATAAAGCTGCTAATCCCCAAGCCTTGAGAAGACAAAACAAACATTAGCTGTCAGTCTTTGAGATATACAACAAGCAGGCCTGAAAAACAAGACGATTAATTTTTTTTTTTTTTTTCTGGACTGGTTCCATCAGCGCCTTGTCTCTGAAGTCAGAAAGTACCTTGCCAGTAAGGGACTGCCTTTTAAAGCTTTTATGATATGAGAAAATGCCTTTGACCACTCTTAACCCCATGAATTTAAAACCAAAGGTATCAAATTAGTGTACTTGTCCCCAAACAAAACATCTCTAAATCAGCCTCTAGATCAGATGTCATAAGTACTTGTAAGGCTCATTACATATGGTACTCTATGGAAAGGATTGCCAACACTATGGAAGTGAACACAGGTGTACAGAACAATATGAAGGCCTAGAAGGATTAAATCATTGTTATAGAAAAAGCTGTGACAGCTGTCAAGCCCTAAACAGATTTCTGCTGAAGAAAACTGTATCCAGGTATGTGCCTGACTTCAGAGGATTTATGACAGAGTTCATGAAGGAATAATAAAAGAGGTTGTGGATATGGCCAAAAAGGTGCGGTAAAGGGTTTCTAGACATGGGTTTGGAGAAATTTAAGAGCTAATACACACACCAGAGGAATAAACAGAAGACAAGTATATGGAGATGAATGCTTCTTAACCAGTGCCAGAAAATTCAGAAGAAGACTTATAAGAAGCAGTGCCAGAAAACACATGGGCATTAGAGAATCTGAAAGAGGGTTTCTGTTATTTAAGACTCATTTTGACTTCTTTAGTGACATGGTCCCTTCTGTGATACATAGAGGAGCTGCAACTAAAGTAAATGGTGGAAGGAGGCTTGGTACTGTATGGAAACATTTTTAGATAAGTGAAAAAGAAAAAAAAAGAAACTATGATGTATTTCTGTAAAGTTACACCTAATATGCCTGCCTCTCCTGCCTCCCCTTCTGTCTCATCTATGAAATCTTTCATCTCTACCACTCCTGAAACAGCAAGAACAACCCCTCTTCTTTCCTCTCTTCCTCACCAATTCAATGTGAAGACAACAAAGATGAAGCCCTTTATAATGATCTACCTTCTAATTTTCTCTGCCTTATGATTTTCTTAATAATATTTTCTTTTCTACAGTTTACTGTAAGAATATGGTATATAATACACATAACATACAAAACAAAGTATGTGTTAATCAACTGTTTATGTTATAGGTAAGGCTTCCAGTCAATAGTAGGTTACTATTAGTTAAATTTTTGGGGAGGCAAAAGTTATATAAGGCTTTTTGACTGTGTAGAAGGTTGGCATTCCTTACCTCTATGTTGTTCAAAGATCATATATAGCCTATAATTCTAGCACTTTGGGAGGCTGAGGTGGGTGGATTGCCTAAGATCAGGAATTGGAGACCAGCCTGGGCAACATGGTGAAACCCTGTCTCTACCAAAACAAAAAATTAGCTGGGAGTGGTAGTGTGCGCCTGTATTCCCAGATACTCAGGAGGCTGAGGTAGAAGAATCACTTGAATCCAGGAGGTGGAGGTTGCGGTGAGCTGAGATCGCACCACTAAACTCTAGCCTGGGTGACAGAGCGATATTCCACCTCAAAAAAAAAAAAAAAGATACACACACACACATACACACACACACACATATATATATATTCTATATATATATATTCTATTGGTTTTGTTTCTGTAGACAACCCTGACTAATAAAGGTGTCTATTTAAAATATCAAATTATTATATATCTTGACCACAAAAAAATAGACATATGAAAATACCACTAATAAATCTTCTTTCTTTTTTTTCTTAATTGCAACAAAATAAATAATTTCAGTAGATAACCTTTTGCACTAGTCTTAATACATAAGCACACATGTGTATGCTGGACATGCACATATATGCACCCAAGTTTCTTTTTCTATTTAGACTCTACCTAATGTTATTGGTCTTTGTTAACTCTCTGAACATATTTCAGTGTTGCTTAATATTATGATCAGCATAAGGAATAAAGTTGAGAATGGATCAACAGTTGACATTTCTTAGAAGGGCTTAACCGAAGATAGTATCCAAGGGATAATGAGATGCCTATGGCTAAGATGTCAAACTTTTTATTTTTATTTGTGTGAACCTTTGACAGTAATGAATGGTACACAGTACAAATTCTCCATGAAGGAATGCTCAGAACATTCAAAAGAACAGAGAAGTCAGAGAAGCTTGGAAATATTTCACATTACTGAAAGTCATAATAGTGAGATGACAGAATAAAGAATAGAATTGAATAACATTGTCTTTTAATATTTCATTTAAAAATTACTATTAACTTTTATTTTTACTTTTAGATAATCTCAGGTTTGAACCATTATTTTTGAAATGAATAGTGATGATGTTAAAAAATCATGCAAGGGTAAATAATCCATTGAGAGTGCAAGATAGACTGATGTATTTTAACATAACAGTTCCTTGATGTATTTGAGACTCCACTATGACATGGTATCAAATTTTAAAAATTCACAATGATTTGAAAAAGCTATTAAAATACTTCTCTGCCAATATATGGTAGCTCATGCCTGTAAAGTCAACAGTTTGAGAGACCAAGATAGGAGAATCCCTAAAGTCAGGAGTTAAAGACCAGCCTGGGCAACAGAGCGAGACCTCCTGTTTCTACAAAGAAACTGAAAATTGAAAATTTAGCCAGGCATTGTGACACATGCCTGTAGTTTCTGCTGCTCAGGAGGCTGAGGCAGGACGATCGCTTGAGTCCAGGAGTTTGAGGCTGCAGTGAACTCTGATTGTTCCACCGCACTGCAGCGTGAGCGACAGAGCAATACCTTGTCTCACACAAAACAAACCAAAAAATTCTAATTTTTTCAGCTACAGGAAAGTAATTCCTTAATCTCTAATCAACAATTAAAAATTTTAACTACATATTTCTTCATATACTTCAAGTAACACAACCTATCAGGATATATTGAATGTGGAAACAGACAAAAGAATCCAGTTGCCTTCTGCTAAGCCTTTAAAAATTTTTCAAAAAATGCAAAACAATTCCTGAGTTCTCAGTGTTTATTTTTGTTTTCCAAAATACAGTTATATTATAACTTTATTTTTGTTAACCTATTATAGATTTATTGTATCACTTTTAAATGAATTAAGAAATATACTGAACATATTTATTTTAATTTTTAATGTGGTTAATATCAGTAGATAGTAAAAATATCTTTCAAGCATTAAATATTAATGTTGTTAAAACTTTATTCCTCTGTACATTTATTTTTTAAATGCTATGTGATGAAATGACAAGTATATACAAAGCAAAGCTGCTGCATACTGTAGTACAATAGTTGGTAAGCTGGTAAGTAATCATTCTAGACTGTAATGACATGCTGAGACTAACAAGTTTGAAAACATCCCATTATGGATTATTCATTCAAAGGAAATAAATCTGTGCCAGTTTTCATATTAATTTCAATCATATTATAAGGATCCCTTGCTATCTAAATGTCTGCTACCTTGAGAAATTAGAATAAATTTCCAAATAAATCCCTTGCTATCTGCATTTTTTCTATTCACTACCTAAAACTTAAATATGAAATATATTTATATGACAAGTTAGTCTGTATTCCAGAATCACTTTTAAAATCCATGCTAGCTACAATTTAAAAAATATATAGATTTGGTAATGAAAGGACATTTGCGTCTTAAAAGATTGCATTATCTATTATCTTTCCACCACTTTAAGATTCATGGTCAGTTATAGTTTTGTCTCTCCAAACACCCAAGTTTTTCATAAATAGTTTTTTATGATTCAGTTCTATGGAGAACCTTGTTTAGAATTAGTATCTGTATTTATACAAAATGATTAACTCCTTTTGGCATTGTTGATGAAATCTGTAACTGGCATCTGATGACAACTGAATCAGTGAGCCCATCCGCTATTATTTTTGGACAAAAAGTTCTTAATTGGTCTGATGCCCTTAAATGGAAGAAGTTGTTAGCTCTAGAGTTGCCAATTGCGATTTATCACTATGGGAATTACAAGTTAAGGAAGTCAGAGTCAGAAGCGTGAAACAGATACACATAAAGCAAGAAAAGTAGGAATGAGTAAGGGAAAGAAAAGACTTCTATTTATCTTTTGTTGCTGGTCTTATTCTTAACATTAGATCTTAAGATATTGCCCGTGTCACAATACATTTTGATCAGCCTACTTCCATTTGAAAGCAAATTATTCTAACTCATTAACTTCAAAACTGATCAATTATAATCTCTGATATGATTGTGTCTTCAAGATACATACATAATAATTGTGCCTTGGGCATATTACTTGTGCCCATGCTATAAAAATTATTATTTGATGGGACCACAAGTTTCTCTTCTAATTTTCTTGTTTTCTTCCTCCATCCTTGACAATTGCATTTTGCAAGTTTCCCTTTGTTCCCCCAGATTTTCACCTTGGCTTTCATTAGCAAATAAAATTTTCCCCATTGACTTCAGCTGCACCTAAGACTTTAAATTTTATCTGTTTACTTGTAACTTTCAAATCTACATTTCCAACTCTTATCTTTCTTTTGAGAATAAGATTCATTTAATCAGTTACTTGCTAACCCTATCCAATTGCTGCCATACCACAAACTTAAATCAAAATTGAATTTTCCATTTCCTACCCCAGATGATCTCTCTTTTCTACTCATCTACATTTCCAGTGAATTGTTTCTCCATCTGCCTATTTACTTGAGGAAAACAATCAACATCCTCCTTACAATCAAAGAATCCCTCTCTGTAAAGCTTTACCCACACCATACTTTTATTCACTAATACTGTTAATTGTGTCTCATAAATAGATCTTAAATAACCTTCTCTCCAACTCTGCAGATTTTTCAATGTTCTTCTGGAAAATTAAAAAGAGACTAAATAATCTACCTAACTGTAATCCCCCGCACCTCTAATCCATCTTTTATGTTGTTGGCAAACTAATTCCCAAAATGCAGATCTGACCAAGCCATCTTTCTGAGTATCCTTCTCCCATTGCCTATCATCACCACCATAGACAGGTATTTCAATCTGATATTGTAGTCTTTGTCTACCGAAATGATCATGAAAAAAGTCAAAAGCAACAGTTTGGTAGAGATAAGTACAAGTAAACCATGCACAGAAGAGATTTTATATTATACATATAATATGTACATTATATATTTAATCGATATTACCTATATATTACCTAAAATGTATATATTTATGTACATGCATTGAAAGTTATATAATGTTTTACCTGTGGAAAAATATCTGGTTATAGGTGATACTAGCTTGAAGGTAGTGGTCTGTCTGCTTTGGAAAAAAAACACTGTGTTGACTCTAAGACCAGTGTATTTGTCCGTTTTTATACTGCTCTGAAGAAATACTTGATATTGGGTAATTTATAAAGAAAAAGAGGTTTAATGGACTCACACTTCCACATGGCTGGGGAGACCTCACAATCATGGTGGAAAGCAAAGAAGGAGCAAAGGCACATCTTACATGGTGGCAGAAAAGAGAGCTTGTGCAGGGGAACTTCCCTGTGTAAAACCAGCAGATCTCATGAGACTTATTTACTATCAGGAGAACAGCATGGGAAAACGTGCCCCACTATTCAATTACTCTCCCTGCACAGGGTCCCTCCCATGACATGTGGGGATTATGGGAGCTACAATTCAAGATGAAATTTGGATGGGGACATAGCCTAACCATATCATCCAGTAAATACTAATGTGATCTCCTTTTGCTGTCTTCCAAATTACAGACCTTATAACTAATTTATATTTCAGAAACTGCTCGATACATGCTAATATTTCAATCGAAGTCCCAGCATTAGAAAAAAAAAAAAAAAAACAGCACCAATAGCATTCTTTAAGACTTATAAATAAACCTGAACTCATTTCCATACAAAATATATATGTACCCACTAAGCTATGATCTAAAATTTGTGAAAGAAGGAACTGTCGATTACCCTATACCCAACACATGCCATGGCACGTGTCATAACTCAGGAGCTTAATAGATCTTTTGAAATAAATAAATGAATAAATTAATTGATGCAATACATCCTTGAAAGACTTGAGATACTTATAAACCATATTCTATGGCAACTATACTATTGATAGTCTATTTTTCCCATATAAAAAGTAAGTTGAAACAACATGTGTATAACACCAAATCATCTATAGTTAGGTTTTTGGTTGTTTTGTTTTGTTGGATAGCATCTGATGAACTGAGATGTTATAATATTACTTTTCTGGTGCTATGAAAACAAATATTTAGGGATGCAGAAGACTGCAGGAAACAATGGTGATCTTTGTGGATACAGATATAAAGCTTGGAGAACAAGAGAAATAAAAAGCAGCAGAGGAAATGAGGCCTAAAAACAGTGGTGGCCGGGCTCGGTGGCTCACGCCTGTAATCCCAGCACTTTGGGAGGCAGAGGCGGGTGGATCACAAGGTCAGGAGTTCAAGACCAGCCTGGCCAAGACGGTGAAACCCCATCTCTACTAAAAATACAAAAATTAGCCAGGCGTGGTGGTGGGCACCTGTAATCCCAGCTACTCGGGAGGCTGAGGCAGGGAATTGCTTGAATCCAGGAGGCAGAGGTTGCAGTGAGTGGAGATCGCGCCACTGCACTCCAGCCTGGGCGACAGAGTGGGACTCCGTCTCAAAAACAAAAACAAAAACAAAAAAACCGGGGTTGGAGATGGCAGAGTTTGGTTTATTTGTGTGCTAGGTGTTTAGTTTTAATTATAGACTTTTAAAAATCACAAACTCCTACCCAGGGAAATTCTGAGTAATTAGGCCTGTGTTACAACCCTAGAATAGATATTTTTAAAAAATAATAAATAATCTACAGTGCAACGAAATTTGGGGAATATTTCTTCTAAGGACATTTTTCACTTAAAAATAAATTTATAAATTTATCTCACGTTATAAATATTTGCATTCTTTTTTTTCAATTTTCATAAAATATTATATTACCTCTAAATGCCAGTATGGAACTAATTGTTATCACTTTAATATGGAAGTCTTTATTTTATTTTATATTAGTAATTGAAATAATCATTTTTTACATTTTTGCCCATTCTCTTTTTGGCGTATTTCCTATAGATGGCTAGTGCTTGTTCTGAGGAACTCTGACTTCTCAGTTCTAAGTTTGATTTAGTCTGTTCATGCTGCTGTTACAAAATAACTGAGACTGGGTAATTTATAAAGAACAAAAATTTGTTACTCACCGTTATGGAGGCTGGAAAGTCCAACATCAAGGCACATATGAGTTTGGTGTTTGGTGAGGGCTCAGTCTCAGCTTCTAAGATGACCCCTTGTTGCTGCATCTTCTAGAGATGAGAAATGCTATGTCCTCACATGGTTAACAGGATAAGAAAGAGGAGAAAAAAGAGCAAACTCTCTATCAAGCCCTTTTATCAGGGTACCTAATTTCATTCATGGAGGCAGAACTCTCATCACTCAATACCTTCTAAAGTATATGCCTCTTAATACTGTTGTCTTGGAAATGAAGTTTCAACATGAATTTTGGAGGGAACAAACATATTGAAATCATAGAAAATTTGCATGAGCACTCTGGTTCTTGCTAAGAAAGTTCTGTGTGTCTAGCTTTAGCAATTCATGTAATATAATTTTATAAGCAACTTAGAACTCATGAAATTACTATTCTGCTTACTTAGTTTACTTACTTTTTAAAGGAAAAACAGCCTAGCAAAGTATTTTAGGCATGAATAGAAGATTCCAAATTATTTCAATGATGAAAACCTTATATTTTTCTTATTAATATTATCTGTCTCTCAGTTGTCCAGGTGAAATATCCAGACATTTTCTTCAGGGTAAACCATGAAAATCATAAATCTAGAAAACTTTTTAAACTTTAAAGGTTATCATTTTGGAGAAATGATAATGGAAATTATTCTAAGTCATTTTAAAAATAATTTGCAACCTTCTTACCTCAATGACACTGTCTACTCACCTTTGAATTGTTTCCCCTGAAGAAGATAAAATATTTCAGAACACTATGAATCTGCTTGATAGTCACATTTAAATTTTGAACTAATTTTAATTAGTGAAACTGACCAGGATCAGTCTGATAACTTGCCTTTTTATTCATTTTGACTTTGTTAGGTAAACTTCGCATCAGCATTTAGATCAATGCAGTAGGTCAATTAAGTAGAACTGCCTAGAACTTCATGACTTAGCACTATTTCAAACCTACTATTGGAGGTATTCCCCTCATATCTCATGCAAAGCAGTTCTTTCTTCTTTTCATATATCTTTTAATTATGAGGCTATTAAAAGACTTTCTTTGAGAATTTACTGTCTATATTAGTTTGTTTTCACACTGCTATAAAGAAATATCTGAGACTAGGTAATTTATAAAGAAAAAAGGTCTAATTGACTCACAGTTCTGCATGGCTGGGGAGGCCTCAGGAAACTTACAATAATGGCAGAAGGGAAAAAGTCACATCTTACATAGTGGCAGGTGAGAGAGAGAGGTGTGAAAGGGGAAGATCCCCTTATAAAACCATCAGAACTCATGAGAACTCATTATCATGAGAACAGCATCGGGGAACCACCCCCATGATCCAATAACCTCACAACAGGTCTTTCCCTAGACCCGTGGGTATTACAATTCAAGATGAGATTTGGGTGGAGACGCAGTCAAATACAATCACTTCCCCTGTTGCTTAGTAAGAATAATGGATAGAGGTGGCTGGGCGCGGTGGTTCACGCCTGTAATCCCAGCACTTTGGGAGGCCGAGGCGGGCGGATCACAAGGTCAGGAGATCGAGACCCTCCTGGCTAACACGGTGAAACCCCGTCTCTACTAAAAATACAAAAACTTAGCCGGACGTGGTGGCGGGCACCTGTAGTCCCAGCTACTCAGGAGGCTGAGGCAGGAGAATGGCGTGAACCCGGCAGGCGGAGCTTGCAGTCACGCCACTGCACTCCAGCCTGGGCGACAGAGGGAGACTCCGTCTCAGAAAAAAAAAAAAAAAGAAAGAAAAAAATAGAATAATAGATAGAGGTGATGCTACACAGCATTTCTCTTTATATTAGTTAGTTTTGAACACCATCTCCAGTGCAGAAATCCTAGACTTCTTGAACTTATTTATTTCACATTTCTGCTGGAAAATTCTTTTACTCATCTGGCATGACGCCTAGACTCAAAAGCAGATCATCTTTCCACAGATTCTTTATACTCCCCACTTCATTCTTGGTGATCAAAAGAGATAAAGAAAAGTCTATTCAAATAAATAGTGTCTTCCTAAAGCCTGGGTGCGTCTTCCAACATTCCACTCACTATGTTTTCTTAATCATGACATACATATTTAAAATATTTTCTACTTGGAAAAATGTAATTGTATTGACTTGTGGCACAGTTCTACTAACCCAACACTGATCCTTAGTTCTTCAGAAAATGATCAAGTATAAGCATCATTAAAAGGAAATCTTAAGCTTTCCAATTAATGTAATTTATACAAATTTTGTACTTCCTTTTCTGTAGTTGTATGAAAAGAAAATGTGCCAAATCCTAACTTCTAACCTGGGGATTAGACAGATTGGCTAACAGCCATTTCACACACTCCCTCTGTCCTCTTCTAATAAATCCTATGTCTTAAAACAGCCCTTAATAAAATAACACGCTGAAATGAAAGTAATTTTAACATGTGTATTACCATGACTGCAGAGCAGAACAATTCTGAAATCTGCACAGAGACACTTGAGTTGTCCAGATGAGATAGACAGTTGTCCAGATGAGATCAGTGTGTGTTCACTAATTTGTATATTTAAGTGATGGAACCAAGAAGGAATATAAAAAACTTAATTTGTCCCCAAAAATATTTCATCCTAATACTTCTACCATTTGTAAAGTCATTTTCATTAGTTTTCGAAAATGCTGTATTTGATAAACATTCTTCCTGTAGTATCAGGCTTTTTCTCAACTTGCTATGGGACTCCTTTGTATAAATTATTCCTGGCTCCTAATTACATGATTCTAACCTGTGAACAACTTGTCTTCCCCAATGATGACAAATGCTTATTTGGTATTATCTGCATTTAAATTCCACTGTAGTTTCATCTCCTCTGATATTCTTTATAGTGAATTAAAATTTTATGTTGCCTTGGCATCTATTCTGAATACAAGTTGGACTTTCTTATACCAGAAGCAGGGCTTATTTACCCTTGATGAGGTGCCTAGTTCTTCACCTCTTCCTAGTTTGTCAATGCAATTGATCCAGATGTCTACCTTGCATAACCGCCTCCTGGTGACCACCTCCCTGTGGGATACCTACATACAACCTACTTGACTAGTCCTACTGATGTCCATACTCTGCATGGACTGGCAGATATGTCACCATGGAATGGAGATTTGTCTTGAACAGTGTTCTATAATCAGAGATTTTAGTAACTAATAAAAACTTCTCCACTTAAACTAAATTTTTATATTTTGCTAGAAAATTCTCCATGATTTTAAGGCTAGTTTATTCCAAACTAGCAATTTATAAAACTTTTAAAATTGTAACTGGATAATTCACTGCATTTTTTAATTTCTGAAATTCAAAACACTTTATATCTAACATGAGTGTAGAAATATACAATTTTCCTAGGATTATTGCCATGAAAAACAGCTATTTCATTGTTTACAGTTTATTACCCTCCCCTCCTTATCTCTCCACATTCATACTAATCTACAAGACATTAATCATCATTATTGGTTTGAAGAAAATTCTTTTCTCTGGTAAACTCAAGCTCATGAAGTTCCCAAAGAAACAAGTAGAAAAGACAAAACCTTTCATAAAGAATGAATTGTGAGTTGTTTTTATAAATTCAAAGTTGGAGAAAGTAACAGTTATCATCTTCTAACCATTATGTATTAGGGAAGAAACGATTTACTGAAAATCACATACCATTTCACCCTCTGGAGTCATCATTCTGCATCTTGAAATATATTCAAGGAGATCAAAATACAGTGTGACCTCAGAATGCTCACGTTTTAAGACGGTCACTCCATTTCTGATTCCTTTCCTACAGGTCGGCCTTTTCTTAAAGCCTGGAGATTGCAGCGGTTTCTTGGTTTGACATCATTTTTTCCAAGCGGTAACTAATTATCCTAAAAACTTTACACTTCAAGTACTGTCCATCTTGATTCACGTTTATAAACTATAATACTTTTTCTTTTTTTCCTGAATACAGTGAAAGTTTTCAAATTGTTAAAAACAATCTTTATACTTAGACTAAATCCTAAATTTATTAGATACTGAACAATTCCTGGGGGATGCACTGCATGTTACTTTTAAACCACTCTTTAAAGTACAGTGATTAAGCAGTACCACCAAAAACCAGGCACATTGCCAAACTACTATCACTTTTTAAAAAATCAAATAAGCTGAATTGTGTTGCATTAGATTCAGTGATTCTAAGAAGAATGTGTATAACAGAACAGAGGCCTCAAAAATAACACCACACATCTACAACCATCTGATCTTCGACAAACCTGACAAAAACAAGAAATGGGGAAAAGATTCCCTGTTTAATAAATGGTGCTGGGAAAACTGGCTAGCCATATGTAGAAAACTGAAACTGGATCCCTTCCTTACACCTTATAGAAAAATTAATTCAAGATGGATTAAAGACTTAAATGTTAGACCTAAAATCATAAAAACTCTAGAAGAAAACCTAGGCCATACTATTCAGGACATAGGTATGGGCAAGGACTTCATGTCTAAAACACCAAAAGCAATGGCAACAAATGCCAAAATAAACAAATGGGATCTAGTTAAACTAAAGAGCTTCTGCACAGCAAAAGAAACTGCCATCAAAGTGAACAGACAACTTACAGACTGGGAGAAAATTTTTGCAATCTACCCATCTGACAACGGGCTAATATCCAGAATCTACGAAGAACTTAAGCAAATTTACAAGAAAAAAAACAAACAAGCCCATCAAAAAGTGGGCAAAGGATATGAACAGACACTTCTCAAAAGAAGACATTTATGCAGCCAACAGACACATGAAAAAATGCTCTTCATCACTGGTGATCAGAGAAATGCAAATCAAAACCATAATGAGATACCATCTCACACCAGTTAGAAGGGCGATCATTAAAAAGTCAGTAAACAACAGATGTTGGAGAGGATGTGGAGAAATATGAACACTTTTACACTGTTGGTGGGAGTGTAAACTAGTTCAAACATTGTGGAAGACAGTGTGGCGATTCCTCAAGGGTCTAGAACTAGAAATATCATTTGATCCACTGATCCCATTACTGGGTATATACCCAAAGGATTATAAATCATGCTATTCTAAAGACACATGCACACGTATGTTTATTGCAGCACTATTCACAATAGCAAAGACTTGGAACCAATGTAAATGTCCATCAATGATAGACTGGATTAAGAAAATGTGGCACATATACACCATGGAATACTATTCAGCCATAAAAAATGATGAGTTCATGTCCTTTGGAGGGACATGGATGCAGCTGGAAACCATCATTCTGAGCAAACTATCACAAGGACAGAAAACCAAATACCACATGTTCTCACTCATAGGTGGGAATTGAACAATGAGAACACTTGGACACAGGGCCGGGAACATCACACCCCAGGGCCTGTCGGGAGGTGGGGCAGGCGGAGGGGTGGCATTAGGAGAAATACCTAATGTAAATGATGAGTTAATGGATGCAGCAAACCAACACGGCAAATGTATACCTATGTAGCAAACCTGCATGTTGTGCACATGTACCCTAGGACTTAAAGTATAATAAAAAAGTTAAAAAAATTAAAAAAAAAGAACCACTAAACAATTTATACAAATAGTCAACATCCATTGGGATTAAATAATTATCTCCCAAAAGAAAATCTCAGAAAACTCTTTAAGAAGTAACACTTAGGCCCTTGCTTTACACACAAATAGATTGTATTATCTTATTTAGGCTCTATTGAAATATCATGAGTACGGAAATGGAAAAAAACCTGTTTTCTTGCCTTTTCACACTTACCTGGTGACCTAGACCCACCTAGATCCATTCCTTTTCTATTTTATTCTGAGGGTAAAATACCCATTCCACAGCCTGCATAATTTCTAGAATGCTGTGGCGAAGCAGTTACTTGCAAAATTACTGATGCAGGGCATGGTGGCTCATGGCTATAATCCTAGCACTTTGGGAGGCTGTGGGATGGGGATCACTTGAGCCCAGGAGTTCAAGACCAGCACAGGTAGCATAGCAAGACACCATCTCTACAATTTCTTTTTTTTAATTAGCAAGGTGTGGTGGTGCACGCCTGTAGTCTCAGGTACTCTGGAGGGTGAGGTAGGAAGATTGCTTGAGACTGGGAGATCCAGGCTTTAGTGAGCTGTGGTCACACCCATGCACTCCAGCCTGGGCAACAGAGTGAGACCCTTTCTCAAAATATATAGGTAAAGAAATAAATTACTGATTTCCAAGGACAATGAATCAAAAGATAGCCTTGCCTTATTACAACATAGAGAAGTGTTAGAGCTATGTATCCGTGGAAATAATGTTGGTAAAAATTACCTAAGAATATAAAGAAGAGAAAATATTTTTCAAGCAAAGCATGCTTTACTACTTTAATCTGGATTAAATCTCTTTTGTAAAATAACTAAGATTGTAACATATCCATCTCATTTATTATTTACACTTTAGCAAATGAAAATGTCAAACTTTCTAAATTATTTGAGTTAGGATGACCAAATTATGTAGTGCTTAATTTTTTCCCATATTTCCTTTATTTTCTCTTATCCTAGAATTTTTCCCTTTCCTGTGTCAACATGACTTGGTATAGAGAGAAAATTTTATGGGACTGAAAGGAACTTGAAAAATTTTCTTCACATATTTTGCAATTACTTCAGGCTAAAGTTGCTTTTTAAAGGTGAAACTTTTTTTTCTCTTCTCAGACTTAAAAAAAAAGCAAGATCAAAAATTTATTCCTATTCTAGACTGTATTTGAGTTTCATATTATCAGTGGTAATGTAAAAATGAAATCTGTAAATTGTTGCAGTTTTTCTTATCTGCTTTCTATTTACAGTATACAACAATTGTTAGAACTTCTCAGTGAGTGTGTAAGTAGTAATGGTTTTACTATTTCCCAAGCCTCTGCATTGTAAGAGTTGGATTTTAAATATTCATTGCTTAAAATGCCAAAATGTGTTGCTGGAGTGAGGTTATATATCCTCTTTTGCTGGAGATCTTTAGAAACAGAATAGACACCTCTCTTCCTGTTTTAGTTTTATGTAGCTGTGTCTAGAAGCAAGGAAAGATTGTAAATGACCTCTGGAGACACTTTTAAGCTCTATAGTTTATGAAATGGATATACAGAATTTCAGAGTAGTGTTTAGACATAGCATCTAGTGGATCTTCACATAGTTAAAAATTTATAAAATTTGCCTTATACAGTACACTTAAGTAATATATTTCAGTGAGTTGTAAACATCTTAGTTTCAATTTATTTATTTAATTTACTGATCAGATAATACTTATTGAATGCCATAATCACATGTAGTAGGATAAAAAATGTCCCCACAAAAGAGAGATCAAGCTGTCAGTAGGGTTGATTCCCTCTGAGGGTTGGGAGTGAGAACCTTTTCCATAAGGATTTCTCAGCTTCTGGTTGTTTGTAGAACATTTCTGGCATTTTTTTTTTTTGGTCAAAATTTGCATCATCCCAATCTGCCTTCATTTTCACATGCTGTTGTTTCTATATGTGCGTGTCCAAATTTCCACTTTTGATAAGGACACAGTCATATTGCGGAGTGTGACCCACCTTGGTAACTTTATCTTAACTTGATCATATGGAAAGATTCTATTTCTAAATAAGGTCATATTCTCCGGCCCTGGATTATCAGGGAGTAGAACTTCAGCATCTTTTGAGATACGTAATTCAATCCATAACAGAGAGTATGTTAGAAAGAAGTACTCCACATTTCTGTTTTTAGGTAATACGTATAAAGCCACTCTAATCTGCAAACAGAGTAGCTGCCACCACATTTACCATCCAAATGCATGACAGAAGTTTCTTGAGGAGATTTGCTTTGTTCACCCACTTTTGCAACACTCATCACCATCTTTCTCACTATAGTCATCAAGAGACTAGGCCTGTAACTAATCAACATATTCAGAGGAAAAGGGGAATAGAGAGTAAAACATTACTCTGTGAAGTATGTAATCTTCTTGAGTAGCAATTCCATGTGAGAAGCATGGAGATAATTCCCGGTGAAGGGGTGGAAGGAATTGACTTACCTTTTAGTACGTAAAACAAATACATGAGAGGTGAGAGGATAGTAAATACAATGTGTATAGATTATCATGTCAAAAACCTTGCCTGTGAAAAAACAGGTAATATTGAGGAAGCTGTTATGGAAGGCCAAGGATTGTAATTTGGTTGGGTAATTAGTCAGTCAGCTAGTTAGTATATCTGTTTTAAATAGGACAGAACTGAGTTGAAAGTAAAAACCTAATATAATGAGAGAAGGGAAAAATATATTAAAAAGTAGGAGAGTGAAATATGACAGAATGACCAGAGGCAATGGGATTTACAGAGGTGGAACCATTGGTGCTGGACATAAGGTGAAATCTTTTGCCTTATACTGCTGTTAGGGCTTTAAGGATTGTGAAGGACAGAAAGTAAGCAGATTTTTAAATAAATTATTATAAGCATACATTTATTTTCTTGTATTTTTTCACACTTTTTGAATGAGATATTAGTTCCCCTGTGTCTTTGCAATGTAGCAGGGTAATGTGTAGGGATCTGATCATAGATGGTAAATGAAGGGCTAAAGAAATAAGGCTGTTAAAATTCTAGACTTAGTGTGATGATGACTTTCAGTTCTAGAAATTTTACTAATTAAATAATATTAATACAAAAAAGGAGTACTGTGCATATTTATTTAGAAATTAGTTGTCAATAGTTGTTACTTTGTCTGTCACTAGAGCTTCATAACTTGGAAATGTTTGAGGAAATATATGAAGATTTTATGTTTTAAAATAGTTTGTCGGCCGGGCGCGGTGGCTCACGCCTGTAATCCCAGCACTTTGGGAGGCCGAGGCGGGTGGATCATGAGGTCAGGAGATCGAGACCATCCTGGCTAACAAGGTGAAACCCCGTCTCTACTAAAAATACAAAAAATTAGCCGGGCACGGTGGCGGGCGCCTGTAGTCCCAGCTACTCGGGAGGCTGAGGCAGGAGAATGGCGTGAACCCGGGAAGCGGAGCTTGCAGTGAGCCGAGATTGCGCCACTGCAGTCCGCAGTCCGGCCTGGGCGACAGAGCGAGACTCCGTCTCAAAAAAAAAAAAAAAAAAAAAAAAAGTTTGTCAAAATCATTTCAAAAAATGAAGATAATCTTTTCAGAACAACATTAAAAATTACAAATAAATATATGAAAAATAAGATCATCTGTGGCCAAAAAAAATTGATTTGCACATTATCTAGCCACTCTTCTTGAAACAGGTATTACTTTTCATTTGACCTACAAATCCTAGGAATAATATTTTTGGTTAAAAGTGACATTTGGACTTGAACATTTTCCGGAACACTCTTTTGCAGTGTTTGAAGTTAGCTATACTCTGAATGCCATGAACACAATAAAAATATTAATTTAAGAGAAATGAATGTATAGTTTGCTAAATATTTGACATCAACACATATTTGTTTATATATTCTCATGTTTGTTTATTTACATACATATTTATCTATGTTTCTGTGTATGGTCTATTGTGGTAGTCAGCTTCTAAGATGTCTCCCAATAACCCACATCTTTTAGTGTTCTAGTATTATACATAATCTATACTTAGTATGGGCTGGACCCAGTGACTTACTTTTAATGAACAGATTATGGTAAAAGTAATGATCTGTCACTTCAAAGATTAGGCAACAAAAAAACTTCGACTTCTCTCTTGCTCACCTTCTTGTGCTCTCTCTCACTTGCTTGCTTGAATGGAGGGCAACTTCCATATTGTGCCCTAACCTACTGAGAAGCCCATGTGGCAAGGAACTGAGGAAGGCATTTGACCAACACCCAATGTGAAACTGAATTTAACAACCCCCAGGAAATGAATCCTGCCAACAACTACATGAGTGAGTTTGGAAGCGGATCTTTGTTTCCCTGCTTCCAAGCTTCTCAAGCTTGTTGAGACTTCAGATGAACTGTAGCCTTGACCGCTATCTTGACTATAGTTTTGTAAGGGACACTGAACTAGATGTGGCCAGATTCCTGAGCAACAGAAACTGTGAGTGAATAGATTGTTTTAAACCACTACATTTGGAGATAATTTGTTATGCAGCGAAAGCTCACAAATGCATTTATGTATTTATCTACATTAGCACATAAAACAATATAAATGCCATTTGTTTGGGTATTTATTACTGATCCTCCAGCTTACAAAGGTAGAAGTAAACATCTTAGATAAATGTCATAAAAAGAACTCCAGTTATTTCTTTTCCAATTAATTATTGCACAAATAAATTTAAATTCTAAAAATTAGAAAATGTACATTTTTCAAGTGTGAACTGTGGAAAATACTGTCACCACAGCCTGCAGATACTTTGTGATAACTTTTTCTCTCTGCTGGTTCAGCAATAACATAAATGTTTTTAAAACTTTTCTGACATCGTAGGCTGAGTAGGCTGCAATGAAGGCTATTTAACGTGTCTTTATTTTTTTCTTATTTTTTTTTTCAGTTGCTTCCTCCTGCTTCCCATTATGAGATGACATTCTCACTTTTTTCCATATTCTACTTCTGATATAGCAGCATGGTGCTTTCCTTTTCAATTATATCGTGTACTTATTTGTGTCTATGCTGACTTTGGAAAATTAACTCCTGGACTTCATAACTGTGTGTTTCAAAGATAGACTTCTCAGAACAAAATTAAAAAGAAAATGCTGACATTCATTTCCCAATTCACACAGCGATTCAATGTTTTAAGTAAACTCATTGCATAGATTGCCTATAAAGTAATAATATCTTGCTTTAATTTTACTTGTTATTAATAATACTAATGATAAAAATAATATTTAATACCTTAGAATAAAGCATTCACACATATTACCTTATTTTATCCTACTTAAAAAAACATATTAGCTGGTAGTATTTTCATTTTTCACATGAAGAAAATTATGTTCAGAGATGTCAATCAACTTGGATGAGGTCACAAAGCCAATGGAAAAAAATATGTTGGAAATGGAACTGATATAGTTTTAATTCAAAATCCTGCTTTTTACTGTGATTAAGAATATTGAACCTAAATGCTATTATCTACAACTAAGTTATTAGCAATACAAAATTACATAACTCTGCTTTCTTATTCTGCACTAAATTTCTCATTAATAGGCTATCGTATTATACTAATTTCTAATGACTCTAAAAACATCAATGCACCATGACTCTCTTCAGCTTACTCTACTTCACACTTAATGGCAAGCCTTATAACACTGTGTAGAAATAACAGTCTTAAAAATACCTGTTTTTTAAAAATAGGCTCTATTGGAAGATGAAATAATACATTCCAAACCAAAGCTACTGAAGTTTCAATATACAAATGGTCCCCAAGTTACTATTTAATGGTTTGATGTCTTGATTTTTCAACTTATGATGGTGTGAAAGTGATGAGCATTCAGTAGAAACTCTACTTTGAGTTTGAATTTTGATATTTTCCTGTGCTAGTGAAACACGGAATAACTGATGCGGGGCAGCAACAGCAAGCCACACTACCAGTCAGCCACATGATCACCAGAATAAACATCTGGTACTCTACAGTGTACGGTGTGCCAGACAATTTTGCCCAATAGTAGGTTCATGGAAGTGTTCTGAGCACGTGTAAGGTAGGATAGGCTAAGCTATGATGTTCAGTGTGTTAGATATATTAAATGCATTTTTTACTCAGCAATATTTTCAACTTAATATGGTTTTATTAGGATGTAACCCAATTGTAATTTGAGAAGCATCTGTGGTGTGTTACATGGGCTTATATTTCCTATTTTGGTAAGAAATTCATTCAGTCATTTATTTTTCACAAAAGGGTACCCTATAAGTTACAGAACAAATAATCTATATTAATATAAGATTGAATTTTATGAGACAAAATTATTACAGAAATTATAGAATAAAGTCATATACTGAAAACAAAATAGAAGCATTAAAGGAGACGAGATTGATTTGCTCATTATCTTTTCTGTGTCTTAATCATACAGGCCCTTTTCTCTACTTCTATGCTCTCTTCCAGATAATTCATTCTTTTTAAGTTACAAAATATGACTTTACAAAATCATTGTTTTATAATTTTTTTATTATTTTTATATTTTATGGAGATGAGGCTCTTGCTGTATTGCTCAGGCTGATCTTCAACTCCTGGCTTCAAACAATCCCCCACCTCAGCCTCCCAAAGTGTTGGGATTACAGGTGTGAGCCATTATACCAGGCCTGGATTTTTCTTTAATGTCAGTTTAAGTGGTTTTCATTCAGTTATTCATTCAAATATCTCTATTACTACTTGAATCATAGTAATGATTTTTAATTTTCTTTCTTCAATATATGAAGCTTTATTGTCATTTTTGGCTTTCAATCATGTCAGTTTGTTTTCCTGTGGCTTCAGTGAATGTGGATTTTTCATTGGCAAAGTTTCCATGAATTTCTTTTATAGAAAATTGGGACCTGGAGTAAAATTGAATCCCTTCAGAAAGAATTTTAGTTTTGCTTTGGTGAAATGCCTAACTTTACTATCATGCGGGAGATGCTGTAACAAAATTTTAGTTTAGATTTTTAAAAATCATATAAGTGTTTATAAATTTTGTCTGCAAATCTGTTTGAGAAGCTTACCAATTGTTAGGAGAGATATTTTTCTGTTGTGTTCAGCAAGAGTGACGTTGGAGCGGAACAGGGTGCATATAGGGATGGTGATGGATATATGGGTTTATTTCTAGCTCACCTTTATTCTTTCAGAACAATACCATTGCACCCAGCCTTATGTAGGTCCACCTATTAGATTCCCCTCCAAGAGTCTGTCCCTCCTTTGTCTTTGGTTTCCCAAGCTCCACAAGGCCATCATCAGTGATACCTACATTCACTGAGTTTGGCTAATTTCCTCAGAGCAAAAGCTGAATTATTTGCTTCATTTCTCATTTTCTCCATTTCCTCTCACCTTTTATTTAGATTTTGGCCTCAAAATTTCTTACTTCCCTATAAGCTCAAGGAATAATATTTTACAAATTAATGTGTTTTTTTTTTTCCTAAAACAGGAGCATAAATACAGGTTCTAGATTTACAATGTGTTCAAAAGAGAGAGTTCACTATCAAATCTGTGGAATTGGTATTTATGTACGGTTAGTCTGGTTTCTTATAACTGGAAGTGGAAGTTAGTCCTTTAAGCAGTATTATGCTACAAAGTAAATTCACTCTTATTACCATTGCAAATTTATAGTAACAAAAACATTTCTTCGGTTTGTAATAGCCATATTTAGTAAATTTATTCTGAATAAACACATGAGGTATTCTGAATTAGAGGTTAATTAGTTATTAGTAACATAATTTAGCTATCTTTACAGATAGATATTTGAATAGCAATAACTTGTCTGCTTCTCTTTGTCCCAGTTTTTACCACTTGAGCAACATGATGAAAGCTAGATGAAAAAATCTAATATGTCTAGATACTTCAAGGTTGAAAAAAAGAAGAAAATGTATTTTTTCTTATGTATAACAGAAAAAGTTAGTTACATCTGCTCCTCTCTTCAATAAAGACGGAAAACCTTTTCTCTCTGGAAAGGAGATGGAAGGGTCCTGGGTTTTCCTACTAACTTAGCGGAGAGCAAATACATCCTGTCAAAGGCCAGATAAACCCAAGTGTCTCTGATTTCTAAAGCCTAGGGATGTCTCCAAGATCACAGGCCTTATATTCCTTTCAAATGTAAACGCATACCTTTATATTATGTAAATCCCTTTGGAGTTCACTCAACTTCAACTGTACAACTATCTGTACAGTTGTAAATTAACTTTTCAATGTAAGCTCTTAGCCCCGCTCCTAGTTTTCAGCAAAATGTATTCATAAAGTCCCAACTCTGCACAAGCACTCAAAAAAAATTTCTCCATGCCTCATATTTTATCAGCCTACTGAAGAAGTTATGTTTCTAAGATTCAGGGAAGAGGGAAGATAGTGTAAATGTATTCAGCTTATTTTAATTCAGCTATAAATTTAAAAGAATGGACAACATGGCATTTTCTCTATCACATAGAATTATTTGATTTGCCAAGTTTTAAAAAACTACTTAGAAGTTATTTCTATAAAGGTTCTATATAAGCATCACCAATTATGAATAGATATTAATCTCATAAAATTTAGAAAATGGACAAGTGGGATCTAACTAAGCTTAAGAGTTTCTGCACAGCAAAAGACACTATCAACAGAGTTAATGGACAATCTACAGAATGAGAAAACCTTTGCAAACTATGCGTCTGTCAAAGATCTAATATCCAGCATCTATAAGTAACTTAAATTTACAAGAGAAAAACAAACAACAAGATTAAAAAGTGGGCAAAGGACATGAACAGACACTTTTCGAAAGAAGACATAATATGTGGCCAACAAGCATATGAAAAAAAGCTCAATATCACTGATCATTTGAGAAATGCAAATTAAAACCACAATGAGATACCATTTCACACCAGTCAGAATGGCTGTTATTAAAAAGTCCAAAAATAGCAGCTGCTGGAGAGGTTATGGAGAAAGGGGAACACTTCTACACTGTTGGTGGGAGTGTAAATTAGTTCAACCATCGTGGAAAGCCGTATGGCAATTTCTCAAAGAGCTAAAAGCAGAACTACCATTTGATCCAGCAATCCCATTTCCATGCAGCCATGAAAAAGAACAAGATCGTGTCTTTTGAGGGAGCATGAATGGAGCTAGAGGCTATTATCCTTAGCAAACTAATGCAGGAACAGAAAGTCAAATAATGCATGTTCTCACTTATAAGTGGGAGAGAACATGAGAACACATGTACAGAAGGAAGGAAATAGACACTGGCCTACTTGAGGGAGGAGGGAGAGGAGCAGAAAAGCTAACTATTGGGTACTGGGCTTAATAGCTGGTTGATGAAATAACTTGTACAACAAACCTCCATGATATGAGTTTACGTAACTAACAAACCTTCATATGTATCCCTAGACCTAAAATAAAAGTTAAAAAAATTTGAAAATTCCTCTACTTTGAAACAAATATCAAGAAAACTTCAATGAAATTTAAAAACTTCAATGGAATTTAAACCTTGAAGTTTAAAATGAGTAAACTATGTATCTGCACTCAATCCTAGTCTTCTTCTCTTAAAAAAATTAATAGGACTGCCATGAATAATATATACATTATATCCTTTTGTAGAACACCATCTCTGAGTACATATTCAAGAAAGGAGTTCTTTTCCTTAAACTCAAGAAGTTATATAATTGTAAAAAGAAAATAAATTCTTATATTTTCATTATATCCCAAGCAAAAGGTTTAAAATGTTGACAAGGGACAGAGAGTTATCTGATAGAACAGTAGTAGTATAATCTCTATTCTGAGTCCAACTATATATAACTATAGTATAAACTTAAAAAGCATTTAAAAATTTCCGTTGATTAAAGCAGCATAAAATGTTGGAAGGAAATAAAACTTCAGTGTCTAAAAAATTGGATTTGATTCTCAGCTCTGCCACTTTTTGCGTCTGAGCTAGGTTTTCTCTTTTATAAAATATGCACTTTTATAAATACTGTATAGTCCATTTGGGATGCTTTAACAAGATACCTTAGACTGAGAAATTTATAAGTAGTAGAAATTTATTGCTCACAGCCTTAGAGGCTCAGAAGTCCTAGGTCAAGACATCAGCAGATTTGGTGTCTAGTGAAGGCTTTCTCTCTCCCTCGTAGACAGCAACTTCCTGCTGCATCCCCAAGCTCCACTGGGCCTTTTAAATAAGGGAACGAATCCTACTCATGGGGGCTAATCACCTCCTAAGGGCCAAACCTCTTAATAATATTGCATTGGAGATTATAGATTTCAGTATATGAATTCTGAGGGGGCAGAAATATTCAGACCATAGAAGATATTTCCTGTATATTCATTAGCACAATACATGGTTTATAGTGAAATTACCATCTATGTCAGATTACGATGGCTATAGATTCACTGCTTGAAAGAGTGCTTGAAATATTTGAGGATGGAGATATATTCTGTAAGCTCTTTTTAGTTTGTTTTTGGATTAATTGTACTACACAATGTTTTTGTTTTTCCAAGACCTAATCAGAATTGGGCCCTTTCTGAGGAAGCAGAAGTGTATATTTGTACAATCAAAAAGTTATTCTACTTATAATTGAACACATGTTTTTGATATTAAAAATCCCATATATACAAAATATATGTGTGTGGATATATATATAAAAATATATGTAGTTGGAAAGATGAAAATATGCAAAACTAACTTATTTTTAATTATTTTACTTCTGTTTTCTTAAGGGTTATTCTTCCCTGCGTAATGTTAACTCTGCCCAAATTTGTAAATATTATTTGTGAAATGGGTAGAAAAAGCAGTGACGCATAACTAAATTATGCATAGGTTTGATCCAGCAGATATTCATTCAATAACTCTGGGCCATTTACTTAGGATATGTAGATTTGCACACTACTGCTGGGCAAATAAAACTTGAATTCAGATATTGCAAGATATGTTTTGATTCAGTTTCATTTTTAAGCTGTTTAATTTGTGAATCATGTCACTTAGGATAGTCCACTACAATCTTAAAATAGTAAATTTTGTCACTCCCCAGTGTTCATTATCACACTGTATTAAGATACACACAAATTTTAAAGAGTGGTAATTATAGTACAGATAACATGTTTTTATAACATTATTTTAGTATATTATTCTTTATTACTGTTATTCTCTACCATTGTTTTATGTAGTAAGTAGATCATGTGCATATGTCCATAGTGCCACCTAGTCTTAATAAATGACATCTTAATATCTTAATACCTTTAAAGCATTTAATTATTTTATCCCTTGTTTCATAATGATCCTTTTTAAATGTCATTCATATTATCCTCTCTTAAGAATATACTTTTTTCTATCTAATTAATTGTTACATAAAATAGGTTTTCCCCATATTGATAGTCAGACATTATTCTTATTGATTCTATCTGACTTATTTTGTTTCCGTTCAGCAGAGAGTAGAATTGTTAAATGTAACATTAAGATTTTTCAGGTGTCCACTCTTAAATGATGCAAAGCAGCTTCTAGGTCTTTTGGCAGATGCCATGCTATGGATAACCAGTTCTAAACTTCCATATCTGCTCTCAGTTATTTCTAGTGGATCTGAAATCTCCTTGAAGGGATATCATGTGAACAGTACTTGGTATCTTCTAGGTGTTTCCCATTTAGTACATTTAGGAGTGCAGGGATGATATGCATTCTAACAAGGAAAAGATGATAAAGCTTGACATTTGAAATTATCTTTTAATATTTTTCTAAAATTGGAGATAAATGAAAATATCGATTTAAATAGACCAACAGGTAAACTTAGAGGATATAACCAGATGAAACTCCTTGATGTCAATATGAAATGTTTATTATGACTTAACAATATATGAAATATTCAAGTGCTTCAGAATTGTGATACCCTAGTGTGACTTTTTAATACTAAAATCTTAGTAGAGAATGGACTGGTATAATAAACAATTATTATTTTTCTGAATGCATTCCCTATTTTTCTGGGAGTGGATTTTTCATCTTTCACTTTGTCAGTATCCTCTAGCCTAAGATAATCATAAATGCATTCATAATTTAACAAGATTGTTCTATTACTTTTTGCAAAGAGGGACACCAATCCATGGTGAACTATGGATATCCCAGTAAAAAAAAAATGATAGAAAGAATTTATTTGGTCTTGTGGTAGGTGATTTGGGGGAAGTTCAATAAAATGGGGCTTTGCTGTTGATTGGATGCTGTCAGGAGGCAGGGGTATATCTTTGATTGAGCATCTCAATAAATATTATTGAGAAGGGAAGAGTAGAGAAAGGCTAAAGCTGAAACTGATAAGGAAGTAACAGGATATAGGCCAGGATAGAGAAATGTTTACGGTTTTTTGTGGTTTGTTTGAACTATGCTTAGATAAGTTTATGGAGTGGGTTTTTTTTTTTTCACTTCTTCATTGTCTCAGGGTGGCCTTTTCTGATATTGGTGTCTTTTGAGATTATATTTAATAGGAAGTAACAGGATATAGGCCAGGATAGAGAAATGTTTAGGGCTTTTGTGGTTTGTTTGAACTATGCTTAGATAAGTTTATGGAGTGGGGTTTTTTTTTCACTTCTTCATGGTCTCAGGGTGGCCTTTTCTGATATTGGTGTCTTTTGAGATTATATTTAATAGGAAAAAACTAAGGCCTACTTGTGTGTAGTCCAGCTCATAAAAGTGCAGAGGTTAAGATATGTCAAAACAGCTTCTCTGCCATCAGAGGCTGAGCTGCATTTTTTCTTTTCCAACTTCTTTCCATGTGAAGATAGTATCACTAGATGTGGTCCTCCAGGGGCCAAGGGGAACCTATATACTGGCACAAAGACCATCCCTTCCATAAAAAGGGCCAAGAGTTAAACCTAGGGCACTGGGACTAAGAACATGTCACTCTAAGTCCCTTCAAGTGCTATTGGCATGGGTTAAAAGAGTATTCCATACTGGAAGTAATACACACCTTTCACACAACAGTCAGTGATAGTCAGAGGGAAGTCTTGCATACTTGAAGTAACTTTTTCCTACCCTAATAGAGGCAAAGAGTGTCACTAATCACTGGGACTAAGAGCTATCTCCAGACCATACTTAATATCTACATAAAGAGGGGTCACAGGAGAGCCCCAGAACCCACTCCACTCTTACCCCAAGACTCATATGTGACCACCCTTGGTATCCTTATCCATCAAGTCAGTTTCCTTTCTGTCCTTAAACTTTACTCATATTAGTTATCACCAGATGACTAATTTCCAGGTCACCTCTCATTTTTTGCATCCTAATTCCAATGAAGCTCTGTATATTCCTGCTCTCCATTTGTCTAACTTTTCAGTAACTCTTGAAGCCATTCCACAGTGTTGTCCATAGTGCAGACATTATTAGCAAGAATCTTTATGCCTGCAACCTCTTTTGTGAATGCTCCCTTTACATGTCCACTCTACAGAAACCTGTCTCTTCTTTGAAGGCACAATATCTCTGATGCCCTATTCAGTATTGGCTGGTTTTAGTGTCACACTCTTCTGAAAACCTGACATCATGGTTGATTCTAAATCATTTGTATTCCCTTTTCCCTAAAAAAGTCCAGCATTGACGCCTCTTATGTGATCAAATATCTTACTAACAACTCACTTTTTTAGTCATTTACTGGCTGTCAGGCCATTCTTTTTTACTTCCAAAGTAGTTTAGCATCATGCTGTTTGTCATTTTCTCCAACACTATTCTTTCTTAAATATTGGTTATTTCAACATAGGCAGAGATTATAGTGCTATAATCCTAGTCTGTCAGTCCCTTAGCTTCCCTTTTGTAACTCTCTTGCAGCCACTAACTCCCAGTGCCATACCCTCCTTGATCTTGTCATTACTAATAACAGCAACTCTTCAACTTTTCCTTCTCATTTTCTAAAAAGAATCCCTCATTTTCTAGCTCACGCCCTCCAGTTGTTAGCACAACTCCAGTAATCCATACACCCTTCAGCATCTTACAAAACCTTGCTTTCATTTTTCAATGTTTCTTACCCTTTTGATGCCTTTTTTCTGTCCTTATCCAAATCAAAAGGAAATAGGTATAATATTTTCATTAAATACACCCTTAACTCTTTGTTAATTTTGTGCTCATATGAAAAAAAGTAGGATCCCAGTTAACTGCCTAATCATTGCCTTTGCCTATATCAGGATAATCTATACTTATACCTTTAAAGCATATTTAAAATCCAACTACTTTTCAGCATCTGCACTGCCATCACCCTGGTCAAAGCCACCATCTTTTCCCACCTAGATGATGGCAGTAGACTTGCCACTTGTCCATTCTCACCCTTGCTTCTCTATCATGTGGGCTCAACATAGTGACAATGGTCATCTCCTTAAAAATTAATTCTAATAACATCACTTATCTACTTTTTAGAAAAGTAATATCTTGTCAATTCACTCAAAGGAATACAAAATTTATTAACATTATATACAACCAAGGTGAATATCTGTCCTGGTTTACCCTGGAAAATTTCAGGTTGCCTATTTTCTTTGAATAATTATAATGAGTGACCATTTTTATTCTTGAAAGGGTTCTAGTTAATACAATTAATGAGGCTGTTACTCTACCCTTAAAGCCCTATAAAAGTTGACTTTCCTTCTCTTATTATGCCTCAAACTTCACCTCCTTCTTTGCGCCCACTTGCTCACTTATCTTTAATTTCCCTCTTGATAATTGCTCATGCCATCTTTGCTCCCTTGAACAATGCAGCATGTTCCTACCTGGAGGCTTTGCAGTGATGCTTCCCTCTGCCTAAACATCTCTTCCCATAGATAATCAAATAACTACCTTTCTAACTTCTATCATACCTGCTTTTTATTAAATTTCCCTTTCTCAGAGCAGTACAGCTAACTACCTTATTGAAAATTGCAATGTGCCTCTCTGACATAGACTTCCAAGTTTCTCTTACCCCATTCTATTTTTCCTATGTTATCGATCATTTCCTAATTGTCTTTAAAATGTACTTTAAAGTAACTTATCTCTCTATTTGTCTATTATTGGTGTATAGGAATGCTTGTGATTTTTTCACATTGATTTTGTATCCTGAGTCTTTGCTAAAGTTGCTTATCAGCTTAAGGAGATTTCGGGCTGAGATGATGGGGTTTTCTAAATATACAATCATGTCACCTGCAAACAGAGACAATTTGACTTCCTCTCTTCCTATTTGAAAATGCTTTATTTCTTTCTCTTGCCTGATTGCTCTGGCCAGAACTTCCAATGCTATGTTGAATTGGAGTGGTGAGAGAGGGCTTCCTTGTCTTGTGCCAGTTTTCAAAGGGAATGCTTCCAGGTTTGGCCTATTCAGTAAGATATTGGCTGTCGGTTTGTCATCAATAGCTCTTATTATTTTGAGATACGTTCCATCAACACTTAGTTTATTCAGAGTTTTTAGCATAAAGGGGTGTTGAATTTTATTGAAGGCCTTTTCTGCATCTATTGAGATAATCATGTAGTTTTTGTCATTGGTTCTGTTTATGTGATGGATTATGTTTATTGATTTGCATGTGTTGAACCAGCCTTGCATTCCAGGCATGAAGCCAACTTGATCGTGGTGTATAAGCTTTTTGATGTGCTGCTGGATTCGGTTTGCCAATATTTGATTGAGGATTTTCGCATCGATATTCATCAGGTATATTGGCCTGAAATTCTCTTTTTTTGTTGTGTCTATGCCAGGTTTTGGTATCAGGATGATGCTGGCCTTATAAAATGAGTTACGGAAGAGTCCCTCTTTTTCTGTTGATTGGAATAGTTTCATAAGGAGTGGTACCCACTCCTCTTTGTACCTCCGGTAGAATTTGGCTGTGAATCTGTCTGGTCCTGGGCTTTTATTGGTTGGTAGGCTATTAATTACTGCCTCAATTTCAGAACTTGTTATTGTTCTATTCAGGGATTTGACTTCTTCCTGGTTTAGTCTCAGAAGGGTGTATGTGTCCAGAAATTTATCCACTTTTTCTAGATTTTCTCCCATCCACAATTGCTACAAAGAGAATAAAATACCTAGGAATACAACTTACAAGGGACGTGAAGGACATTTATCCACTTCTTCTAGATTTTCTCCCATCTACAATTGCTACAAAGAGAATAAAATACCTAGGAATACAACTTACAAGGGATGTGAAGGACGTCTTCAAGAAGTACAAAACACGGCTTAAGGAAATAAGAGAGGACACAAACAAATGGAAAAACATTCCATGCTCATGGACAGGAAGAATCAATATCATGAAAATGGCCATACTGCCCAAAGTAATTTACAGATTGAATGCTATCCCCTCAAGCTACCATTGACTTTCTTCGCAGAAATAGAAAAAAACTACTTTAAATTTCATATGGAACAAAAAAAAATTCCTGTATAGCCAAGAGAATCCTAAGCAATAAGAATAAAGCGCTACATTACTCTACCTGACTTCAAACTATACTATAAGGCTACAGTAACCAAAACAGCATGGTACTGGTACCAAAACAGATATATAGACCAATGGCACAGAACAGGGGCCTCAGAAATAATGCCACATATCTACAACCATCTGATCTTTGACAAACCTGAGAAAAACAAGCAATGGGGAAAGGATTCCCTATTTAATAAATGATATTGGGAAAACTGGCTAGCCATATTCAGAAAACTGAAACTGGACCCCTTCCTTAAACCTTATTAGTGCTTCACTAAAATAATCGTAACCCAAGATAGAAGAGCCAGCAACAGAAGACCCACAAGACATAAGTGAAAGTATAACCCAAGATAGAGAATGAAGATCCAAAGTTAGCAAATTAAAAACAGTGGCAGAGCAACCAGCTCAGGCCAGAGCTTGGAGACCTGGGGTTCTGATTGTCAATCAAGAATTGTTGAGCAAGTTGACTGCTTGTGTGGAGAGAGATGGAGTTGGTCTTCCTGAAGAAAACCAGAAGTCCTGAGAGGTTGTGTTATATTAAAAGACAGCTAGTTGAGATTTACCCACCATCATGAGCAAGAAACAGAAACCTTGACAACCTTTCAAGATGATGACTTGAAAATAATCCACCTAGGAAAAACTGAAACTACAGGTCTCAGCTACCTGTAGCAGTGGGATGGTAATTCACACAGCTGATACTGTATATGAATCTTCAGAATAATGAATTACAATCCAGCTGTTCCAGAACCTACAGGCTTTTGTCCTAGAAACCATGCAAATAATAAAAATGTTCTCTAAAATGCAGTAGACTGTGACAAAAGGTGGTAACCAGAATACAATGTTGAATCAATGGAAGTTTATGAATATAAAATAGACTCCAACCTGTATAAAGGCAAAGCAATTTCATTTTAAATAGAGAACAGCTAAGAATGCAGGTGAGTTGGTATTCAAAGATGAAGTGATATTCTTCAAGTATGAGAAGAGAAAACCAAGAAACAAGGAAATAAGGTAGCTCTTCCTTTGTGACACAAGGAGAGAAATGAAATATCAATGCATATAGTTAATAATATATTTGTGCTAGTTAAGTGTATGCTAAAAATCGTCAGTATCTCAGACATTGTATAGAAGGTAGTTGTTACAAGAGTAACATACTTGCAAATTTACTTCATAAAAACTCCTTAGAGTTATTTAAAAAACAGAGACAGATTGAGCTCTCTCTTCTAATTTTAAAATCAATTGTAAAAAAAGAATCTACCACATGCAAGATTGATTTGTTCAATAAGCATTTATGAAGAACCCTAAATAGCCACTACAAAAACACTGAAGTACACAGACTAATGACACTATAAAGCAACCACATAAACAAGTCTGAAAAATAACCAGCTAACATCATGATGACAGAATCAAACCACATGTTTCAATACTAACCTTAAATGTAAATGGGCTAAATGCCCCAATTAAATGACACAGAGTGGCCAGTGACATAAAGAACCAAGCCCCATTTTTAAACTGTCTTCAAGAGACCCATGTCACATGCAATAACACACATAGGCTCAAAATAAAGGGATGGAGAAAAATCCAGGAAGCAAACAGAAAACAGAAAAAAGAAGGGGTTACAATCCTAGTTTCTGACAGAACAGACTTTAAACCAACAAAGATCAAAAAAGCCAAAGAAGGGCATTAAATAATAGTAAAGGGTTAAATTCAACAAGAACATCTAACTATTCTGACATGTATGCACCCAACACAGGAGACCTCAGATTCATAAAGCAAGTTCTTAAAGACCTTCAAAGAGACTTAGATTCCCACACAATAATAGTAGAAGGCTTTAATACATCACTGACAATATTAGATCATCAAGACAGAAAATTAACAAGAATATTCAGGACCTGAACTCAGTACTGTATCAAATATCTACAGATAGATATCTATAGAACTCTCCACTCAAAAATAACAGAATATACATTCTTCCCATTGCCACATGGTACATTCTCTAAAATTGATTACCTAATGAGAAGTAAAACACTTCTCAGCAAATGCACAAAAACTGAAATCATAACAAACATCTTCTTGGACCACAGCACAGTCAAATTAGAAATCAAGACTAAGAAATTCACTCAAAAACATACAATTAAATAGAAATTGAATCACCTGCTCCTGAATGACTTTGGGGTAAATAATAAAATTAAAGCAGAAATCAATAAGTTATTTGAAATTAATGAGAACAAAGATACAGCATAATACCAGAATCTCTGGGAGACAGCTAAAGCAGTGTTAAGAGGGAAATTTATAGCACTAAATGCCTATACCATAAAGTTAGGAAACTCTCAAGTTAACAATATAACATCATAATGAAAAGAACTAGAGAACCAAGAGAAAATAAATCTCAAAGCTAGCAGAAGACAAGAAATAACCAAAATCAGAGCAGAACTGAAGGAGATTGAGACATGAAAAACCATTCAAATAAACACAGTTAGAAACAAGAAGGGGGATATTACCACTCACCCCACAGAAATACAAACAACCATCAGAAAATATGAACATATCTATGCACATAAACTAGAAAATATAGAAAAAAACAGATAAATCCTAGACACATACACCCTCCCAGGACTTAATCAGAAAGAATTTAAATCCCTGAACAGACCAATAATAAGCTCTGAAATTGGGAAAATAATAAATAGCCTACAAAAAAAAAAAAAAAACCCAGGACCAAACAAATTCATAGCTGAATGCTATCACATGTACAAAGAAGAGCTGGTGGTACTATTTGTACTGAAATTGTTCCAAACATTTAAGGAGGAGGGACTCATCCTTCACCCACACTATAAGGCCAGAATCATACTGATAGCAAAACCTGGCAGAGATACAGTAAGAAAAGAAAACTTCAGTCCAATATCCTGGATGAACATCAATGCAAAACTCCTCAACAAAATACTGGCAAACTGAATGAAGCAGCACATCAAAAAGCTTATCCACCATGATCAAGTTGGCTTTATCTCTGAGCTGCAATTTTGGTTCAACATATGCAAATCAATAAATGATTCATTACATAAACAAACCTGAAGGCAGAAACCACATGATTACCTCAATAAATTCAGAAAAGACTTTTGATAAAATTCAACATCCATTTATGTTAAAAATTCCTAATGAACAACATATTAAAGGGGCATACCTTAAAATAATAAGAACCATATATGAAAAACCCACAGCCAACATCACAATGAATGGTAAAAAGCTGGGAGCATTCCCCATTGAAAACTGGCACAAGACAAGGATGCCCTCTCAGGACTCCTACTCAACATAGTATTGGACATCCTGGCCAAGGCAATCAGGTAAGAGTAAGAAATAAAGGGTATACGAGTAGGAAGAAAGGAAATCAAACAATCCATGTTTGCAGAAAGACATGATCCTGTAACTAGAAAACCACATAGTCTCAGACCAAAAGCATCTTAAGCTGATAAACAACTTCAGCAAAATTTCAGAATAAAAAATCAATGTGCAAAAATCACTAGCATTCTTATACATCAGCAACAGTTAAGCTGAGAGCCAAATCAGGAGCACACTTCCATTCACAATTGCCACAAAAGAAGAAAATACTTAGGAATACAGCTAACCAGAGAGGTGAAAGATCTCTACAAGGAGAACTATAAACCAGTATTCAATGAAATCAGAGATGACACAAACAAATGGAAAAATATTCCATGCTCATGGATAGGAAGAATCAATATTGTTAAAATGACTATACTGCCGAAAGCAATTTATAGATCAATGCTATTTCTATTAAACTACCATTGAGATTCTTCACAGAACTAGAAAAAAAAATTAAAATTCCATTATTCTATGTGAAGTAACTCAGGAATGAAAAACCAAACATCGTATGTTCTCACTTATAAACAGGAGCTAAGCTATCAGGATACAAAGGCATAAGAATGATATAGTGGACTTTGGGGACTTGACAGGAAAGGTGAAGCAGGTGAGGGATAAAAGACTGCACATTGAGTACAGTGTACCCTACTTGGGTGACATGTGCACCAAAATCTCAGAAATTACCACTGAAGAACTTTTCCATGTAACCAAACACCACCTGTTCCCACAAAACTATTAAAATAAAATTTAAAATACGCTATCAAATAGCATCACACATTACAGAGAAATCTTTCATGGAAGAGTCAATGAATGCAGCAACACTTCCTCATTGCCTTCTTTTAAGTCATTGCCAAAGCTAAAGCAACTTTCAACAACCACCTTTTTTGTCAATCAGCAGCTAGCAACATCAAGGCAAGATTATACAACAGCCAAAAGATTATGAGTTGCTGAAGTCTGAGATGATCATCAGCAGTTTTTTTTTTTGCAATAGTGTAATTTTTATTTTTATTTTATTTTATATTTTAATTTTTATTTCCACATGTTTGTGGGGAACAGTTGGTATTTGATTACATGAGTAATTCCTTAGTGGTGATTTGTGAGATTTTGGTGCACTCATCACCCCAACAGTATACACTCATCACCCCAACAGTATACACTCAACCCAGTTTGTAGTCCTTTACTCCTCACCTGCCTCCCGCCCTTTCTCCTGAGTCTCCAAAAACTAGTGTATCATTCTTATGCCTTTGCATCCCGGTAGCTTAGCTCCCACTTATGAGTGAGAAGACAGAATGTTTGGTTTTCCATTCCTGAGTTACTTCACTTAGAATAATAGTCTCCAGTTCCATCCAGGTTTCTATGAATACCATTAATTTGTTCTTTTTTAATGGCTGAGTAGTATTCCATTGTATATATATACCACTATTTCTTTATTCACTCATTGATTGATGGGCCTTGGGGCAATAACATAAGTTTTAATTAAGGTATGTACTTTTTTTGAGACATAGTGCTATTGAAAACTTAATAGATTGCTGTCTAATGTTAACATCTTTTATATGCACTGGGAAACAAAAAACAAAATAAAATTCATATGGAACCAAAAATGAACCCCAGTAGACAAGGCAATCCTACGTGAAAAGGACAAAACTAGAGGCATCACACTACCTGAGTTCAAACTATACTGCAGGGCTACAGTAGTATAGTACTTATAGTAGTATTTCTGTTTTGTTCTTGTACCAAAACAGCATGGTACTGGTACAGAAACAGAAACATAGACCAATAAAACAGAATAGAGAACCTAGAAATAAGATGCACATCTACAAATATCTGATCTTCAACAGACTTGAAAACAAAGAAACAATGGGGAAAGGACTCCTTATTCAGTAAACAGTGCTGGGATAACTGGCTAGCCATATGCAGAAGACTAAAACTGGACCCCTCCCTTACACCATATATAAAAAAATTAAATCAAGATGGAATAAAAACTTAATTGTAAAACCCAAAACCGTAAAAATCCTGAGAGACAACTTAGGCAACACCATTCAGGACATAAGCACAGGCAAAGATTTCGTGATGAAGATACCAAAAGCAATTGCAACAAAAGAAAAAATTGACAAGTGGGATATAATCAAACTAAAGAGCTTCTGCACAGCAAAAGAAACTATCAATAGAGCAAACAGACAACCCATAGAATGAGAGAAAATGTTTGCAAACAATGCATCTGACAAAAGTCTAATATCCAGCATCTATAAAGAACTTAAACAAATTTACCAAAAAAACAAGCAACACTGTTAAAAAGTGAGAAAAGGAAGTGAACAGACATTTTTCAGAGGAAGACATATATGTGTCCAGCAAGCATATGAAATAAAAAGCTCAACATCACTCATCATTAGAGAAATGCAAATCAAAACCACAGTGAGGTACCATCTCACAATAGTCAGAATGGCTACTACTAAAAATTAAAAAAAAGACGCTGGAGAGTTTTGAAGAAAAAAGAACACTTGTACACTGTTGGAAATGTAAATTAGTTCAACCATTGTGGAAGACACCTTGGCAGTTCCTCAAAGTGTGGCTATTTCCTCAAGTAACACATAAATAGCATTTGAGCCAGCAATCCAATTACTGGGTATATACTCAAAGGAATATAAATTGTTCTATTACAAAAACACATGCAGGCCTATGTTCATTGCAGCACTATCCCCAATAGCAAAGACATGCATCAACCTAAATGCTCATCAATGATAGACTGAATAAAGAAAATGTGGTACATGTACACCATGGAATGCTATACAGCCATAAAAAGGAGCGAGATTACATCCTTTGCAAGGACATGAATGGAGCTGGAAGCTGGAGGCCATTATCCTTAGCAAATGAACAAGAGGACAGAAAACCAAATACCACATATTCTCACTTATAAGTGAGAGCTAAATCAGAACATTTGGACACGTAGAGGGGAACAACACACATTGGGGCCTATCAGAGGATGGAGGATTGGAGGAGGGAGAGAATCAGGAAAAATAACTAATGGGTACTAGACTTAATACCTGGGTGACAAAATAATCTGTACAGCAAACCCCCATGAAACAACTTCACCTATGTAACAAACCTGCACATATACCCCAGAACTTAAAATAAATGTTAAAAAATAAAATCAAAAAATAAAGTAAAAATTTCAAAAAGAAACCAAATATATGACAAATAATAAAATATATTAATGTAATAGAGATAAAATAATTATCATTTGATTTCTATATTCTTTCTCATTGTAATACCATTTTTCTCTTGAATAACATGTCATTTTCTGAAGTGGAGGGATTCTGCAGAATTTCATGGGAAGGTGCATTTACTTTGAGAGTGAGATCATGACCTTTTTGGGGGGAGAAAAAATATCGAACTATATTAATGGAGAATAGTAGTTCCCACTTTCTGTAATGATGCCATGTTAAATTACATAATCTGAAGTTAAAGAAACTACATTCAACTCCACTGACATTTACTTTTAAAATGAGATGAGAATCACTTTTATTTTCATTTTGTGTCGTCTTCTTATTTCAAAAATCAGCCATTATGTACGTAACTATTTGTTAAGAGGTTGTCTGATATAGTATATGATTATATTGTCACCAATATCCTTTTGACAATTATTTTTCCCACAAACACATTTTATAACAGAAGTCTAATTTATGCAGCTTTGCAAAAAGGTAATAGCATATTATTAAAAGAAAACACACAGCCTACATCTTTCCTTTAAACAATCTTACAAAAGATACTTCACCTAAATTATAGTTCATTTTCTTAAAACAAAGAATTGTTTCAACAAATCATACTTCAGATAGAATGTCTATAAAAATTATAATTATATTTCAAAATACAATGTTTTAATTTCAAGCCCTTACTGCGCTTGGGCTCATTACTATAAATAACGAGATTTTTACAGTTGTTTTTCTTACTGTTGGAGTACTCCATTAAAAAGGAAACAATCGAATGAATGTTTCAAGTACTATATTTTGAGACTAATTATTTATATATACATTGAAGCTGCATTTTGAAGATATGCTTAGAATAATAGCAGGACAGAACTTTCTATTGAATCACTGAGGATTTAGAAGAATCAAATAATTTTTCAAAGCAAAATTTTTAATGGTCTGCAAAATATTCATTTGCACAATATTTATTAGCACTTTAGTATCATGTATGAGACACTGTGGTAGGTAATGGGACCATAGATATGTATAAAGCATGGTAACTTTCCTCCAAGCACACACAGTTTAGTAAGTAAAGAAGATTACCATATATTTGCATACAGATAACAGTAAGAAACGTCAAAAGAAATGTGTAAAAAAACAATGGATGGGGATCAGGTTACTTTCTGAAGGTGAGAATGTTTCACTGGCAGGATGCCAAAGGATAAATGGAATTTGGTAATTTGTTCAGTATATTAGTATTATAGGTCTACTGTAACAAATTACACAAATTTGATACTTAAAATAACAGAAATGTATTATCTTATGGCTCTGGAAACAAGTTCAAAGTTAAGTTGGCTGGGCTGTACTGCCTCTGAAAGCCCTAAGGGAAAATCATTCTTTTTTTTTTTTCTTTCTTTTTTTTTTTTTTTTTTTGAGACGGAGTCTTGCTCTGTCACCCAGGCTGGAGTGCAGTGGCACGATCTTGGCTCATTGCAAGCTCCGCTTCCCGGGTTCACACCATTCTCCTGCCTCAGCCTCCCGAGTAGCTGGGACTACAGGTGCCCGCCACCATGCCGGGCTAATTTTTTTGTATGGGAAAGTCATTCTTTGTCTCTTCTAACTTCTGATGGTTCCAGATGTTTCTTGGCTTGTGCTTCCAAAAATCTAATCTCTGCCTCTATCTTCATATGATCTCTTCCTCTATCTGTGTCTTCTCTTCTGTCCTTTATAAGGACATTTGTCATTGAATACAGCATCCACCAAGGGTGATCCAACCCCAAGATTCTCAACTAATTAGATCTGCAAAGTCCCCTTTTTCCAAATACGGCCGAATTTCTAGGCTCAATGAGGTGGAAAGCGAATATATGTATTCTTGGTGGCCACCAGTCAACTGACTACAGTCAGAGATTGGTATGTGGGAATAGGAAAAAGAAATAATTCAAGATGGTTTACAAAAAAGACAAAGAAACATGCTTTAAATGGAATAATTGATCAATTTAGAAAAATAATACAATGTATGAATATTTGGAAGGTCAGCTAGAACGAGAACAGAAAAGACTTTGAATGTAAGACCAAAAATTTTGGAAGCTCTCTGGTAGGTAATAAGGAAGTATGGAAATTTACATAGCAGAGAGATCACATGATTGAATTTTTAAGAAAATTATTAGATGTGAAGAGGAAATATAAATGAGAAGAAAAATAACGGGAGACTAAATATTCTAGCCTGGTATTTTAGACATGTGACTTAATTACAAAAATAAATAACTTAAAAGAATGCACCAGAAAATAATACTATAGGATAAACAGACAAAAGTTAGAACAAGATGCAAACAAATATAGAAACATGAGAACATGATACATATGGCTGTGGCTATCAAATTTGATAGTGCATATATTAAATATATCCATCGGCTGGGAGCAGTGGCTCAACCTGTAATCCCAGCACTTTGGGAGGCCAAGGTGGGTGTATAATGAGGTCAGGAGATCAAGACCATACTGGCCAACATGGTGAAACCCCATCTCCACCAAAAAATACAAAAATTAGCCAGCCATGGCAGTGTGCGCCTGTAGTCCCAGCTACTCAGGAGGCTGAGGCAGGAGAACTGCTTGAATCCGGGAGGCGGAGGCTGTAGCGAACCCTGATCGCACCACTGCACTCCAGCCTGGGCGACAGAGCGAAACTCCATCTCAAAAATAAATAAATAAATAAATAAAATACAAAAATTAGCTGGGTGTGGTGGCGCACACTTGTAATCCTAGCTACTCTGGAGGCTGAGGCAGGAGAATTGCTTGAACCTGGGAGGCAGAGGTCGCAGCGAGCCGAGATTGCGCCACTACACTCGGGCCTGGGTGACAGAGCAAGACTCCAACATATATATATATATATAATATATATATATATATATATACAAAATATATATATATATATATACACACACACACACACACACACACACAAGCACACACACATATACATACACATATACATTACATATACACCACACACACACACACACATATCCATTACAGAAAGTTTAATTGAACAACATTATTATAGGTCATGTTCACTGTGCCAGTGCTCAATTTAAGGATGTGAGTTAGAAAACCTCACATTATCACCTTCATCACTTTTTCTTGGGACTTACCTGTGTTCTTCTGTAGTGGATCATAATACCTGCTATAACAGGTAAACACAAAACAGTAGCAAAACACAAGTCCTGACTCCATGATGGCTTCCAACTACCTAGTGCTTTGAAAAGAGTTTAGTGCTTTCTTCAAGGTTCTTATCAGCATAACCACCAGAACCGACAAAAACATGTTCTCCATGGGGGAGTTGTCTGTACCTGGAGGTGGATTTTGTTTGAAAATGAATATATGACAAATCCATTCACACACTGCCCAGAACTAGTAGAAATAAGTTGCAATTAAAGGTATGTCTTAAAATGTAATTGTTTTTTCAACAAGATTTTCAAGCTCTGATTTGGTAAAACAAAACAAAATAGCAGGATTTGTAGAATTATTTGAATGCACAAGATATGTATAGGTTTTTATTAACTATGCCCAGTTAAATTCATTTTATTTGTATATTATATTTTATTTATAAATATTTGGAGTGAACAACTATAAAAACATAAAAATGTGGATTCAGTAATGGTACTAGGAGTTTCATTTAGGGTATACTAGAATGACGTCTCCATGAGTAACAACCCCTTCCTAGTCATCCAAGTAATTTGCTTTTCCAAGTCTTTGGCTAGTGTAGACAGAGTCCAATATGGAAAAGAAAATCCCTGTAGTCTTTCAAGATGACCATTTTAAATTGATACTAATTTTACTAAATCTAATAACTGGAGAAGAAATTTTAAAAGCATTAGTTAAAACCATTTTGGTGAGCAGCCACTATATCTACAATGAAACTGAGATAGTGTGCACTAAAATTAAGAAGATCTGATATATGTATTACAAAAAGTCCGCTTTCTCCAGATATACTTAATTTCCTGCAGATATTTTAATCTTTTTCCAATAATGAAAATTAGGGTTTGACATTACTTAACTAACTTATATTTAATTCCCTTCAAATAAAATATTTGGGGGCTAATAATGCAGAAAGTTTGTTCAAAATCCCAAGTCCCTTAGCTATCTGTCTTGGTTTATTTTTAGATGTTCCTAAAAGAACGTGATGTAAGAGGTGAGAAAGACATAAAGAGGAGTTGTTCCTCCTGAAATGGGATGTAAGAAATTAATAGCAGGTGCTCTGGCACATGAACAAATGGCCCCTGAAGGCCCAGTGTGAAGCAGCCTTTTAACAAAAGGACTCACTTGCCTGTTATTGAATTCCGCCCAGGGAGTTAACAAATTTTCACTCCATGGGTTTTCTCTTGTTCATGTTGCTGTTATTTTCTCATATATTTTTAATTTATTTTCTTATGATAAAATGGAGAGGACTGAGGGTCGCCTTGCTCAGTAGTCATTCTCGTATTGAAGAGAAAAGCTTTCTGCAGTCCTAAATATCAAATGCTCTCTTGCCATGATGCTGTTTATTACTAAATAAAAGTTTGTACATTATCTTTCTAGCACAACATGGAGAGCCACTACTTATCTTATTCATATTCTATGACCATACAAAGTACATCTTTTTTAAACTAAGATATTGAAGTGTATGTTAACATTCTCAAGACTTTTTGTAAGCCATCAGCTTCATAACCCTATTTATATCTTGAAAGTATATTTACCAGATGTTATTTATAAACTTATCTGTTATTAAACTTTATGAGAAATTATAAAGTAGGAGAAATAACATGTTGAAATACATTATTATCATTCATGTGAAATGTTTGGGGTACATACATTGAAGTTTTGTCAGTGGAGAAATTAATTATATCAATGACTCAACTGCTGCTGCTAGTGATGCTGCCGGCATACTGGAGGAAAATAAACATAACATTTGGAAATTATTATTATTATTAAGGTGTTAAAATTAGTAAAGGTCAAAATGCACTTTATGTGCTATTAATTGAAATGCCAATAATTACCATGAGTTCTGGATTTTCTTTACAAATAAGCAAGAGCAACACCTGACACAACATTTTTTCTAAAAATCCAAGGTCATACCTCAAGCACAATGGCCAGTCCAAAGAGACTCAATATCAAGATTTTGCCAAGAGCTTAAGTGTTGACAAATCAACCTGATTTCTGTGACTAAGCTAGTTAGTTATTAGCATTTTGATTTTAGGAACTCTGGCACATTCAAAAACATCATAATAGAGAAAGTGAGAGAGTGTGGTTTACTGATTCTATATCATAGATGGGAATTTTTGTCTTATTTTAACCATTTTAGTGTTTGTTCATTTTGTTATGTTTTCTCTATATAAATAAAATTTATAAAAAATAAGAAAGTGACTTTCAGCAATTGAAGATAATTAATTTGAAGAATTGTTTTCACAATATTATTTTGATAAAATATGAGCAATTGTTCATTTTAAATTACATGTCCATTTGGCATAGAGGCTTCAAGGTGGAGAGTTTTATTCTAATAGGAAATAATAAAGCTATCAAGACCACTTTCTACAAACAGTGAACTTTACAATTTACCTCTTTATTTGATATTTTTGTCTGTGTGTTTTGTATGTTAGAAAATATATAAAATAATGAGTCTTCTTGAATAGTGCTATTCAAAACCAGCCCCAAAGCAGATTTGTTCTGCACATTTTTTTAAAATTTATAACAATATTAGCACAAAACTTAAAATTAAATATTTAGAAATGATCATAGAAATTTGACAGACTAATTATGTCTGTTGAAGCTACAAAAATAAACTTGTATTTTATATGTGTTATTATTTTTTAGCAATTTATTTTGTGTATTTTACAAAAGTATTAGTCCATGATGGATTGATGAGTCTTTTATCATAAACATTTTAAGAAACACTCTTCTGGGAGATCTTTGACATTTGAGCCAATATAGGTAAGATAAATCTCCATTTATTTCCCTCTGCTTGCTCTTTTATAAGGAAATACTTTAATATACAAGTTCTTAGAAAGGTGACATGAGGCACGTGTTCTCTACCTTCACGCAGGTTATAATCAAAGCAAGATCAAGAAGCCCGGGTCCACATGACCATGAGTAGCTTCCAGATTCTGTGGATCACTCAGGCAACAGCAACACAAACTGAATTTCCTTATTGCTGATAGCTGCCTGTAGAGGGGTGGTCAAAGAGACTCTACCTGGAAAACTCTTACAGAAAAACATTATTGAATACCCTCTTAGTTTCAGAGTTTCCAGTCTCATTTCTCCTTAAATCTATTCACCAAAACACCACCAGTTTCCCCTACCACAAACACACACATAAGTACACACTCACCTATTTTCACCTTCTCTTCCACTTCCACCTTTGTGTTGAACCTGATTAAACTCTGATACTTTTAACTCCAAAATATGCTATGCTCTTATTAACAACTGGATCTTAGTAGTTTGCAAATGTTTATTTCTCGTTTATATGCAGTTCATTGTGAGCAGGTGGATGTTCTGCTCCATACCCACTGCAGTCCGAGATCTAGACAGAAAAGTAGCTTTTCTCTAGAATATTGTGGGTTCCATACCAGACAGGAAAAATGAAATTACACAGTGGCTTATATAATTTTTGCTTGTCACTTTCACCCACATTTCATTGCAAAAGCAAGTCACATAGCCAAGGTTATTGGGTTTAGGAGGGGTCTCTGAAAATGGCCAGTAGGGGAGACAAGGGATATTTGTGAACAATATTGCAATCTATCCTATATGTCATTCTTTAAGGTTTAACACAGTAACACTGCCTGCTTGGCTCTATCATATCCTATGACTCTGTAATGGAAACATCTGTGTCAGGTTTTTTCGTACTAGTCAAAAGATGATTATAAATTTGTAGTGTCTATTCCAATAACTGGCATATATTTGGCATTCAAAATATTTGTGCATAGAAAAACAGAGGAAGGAAGGAAGGAGGGAGGGAGGGAAAGGAAAGGAGGTAAAAAGGAAAGAAGGGAGGGAGGGAACAGGAAGAGATGTAATGTACTTTTAATGTAGCATTGAATCCACTTAAGGAAAAAGTCAATTTTGTGCAGTCAATAGTTTACTTACCGATTATTCAAGGGTCAGACATATAATTATCTGAAAATATGTATTTTGCTTAAACAGAAGAGAATTGTGTTTTATTATGTAGTTTGCAAGAGGCTCTACTCTCTTTGAGGACTAACAGAGTCTTTTTCTTTTCTTTCTCTTCCCCTCCTCCCCTTTTTTGATGTTAAATAGTAAACATACTATTTAAAAGTGTTGAGTTTGGAATCAAATGCCTCTGATTTTACAACAAATTATGTCTGTGAATGCCTTTATCAGCTCTTTGAATCTTTCCAACCCCCCCAGATTATCAGCATTCTTCTGCCATATTGACTGCTCCATGTAACTTGGACCTGGTTGGTATCAGTTTTATAATTAATTGATCCCTTATCACATTATCAAAAACAGCCTTTCCAGTATTTCTCCACTACATGTAGCCCTCGATCGCTCTTTAACATTAATACAATTGGCAGATAATTCTGCATCCTAAGTACTGTAGTGATTCCACTGGGTTTCCTCAGGTTTTTTTTTTTTTCACTCTTCTCTACACTAGAAACTGCCTATTGTGCCAAAGACACATTCCTTTGCTTTGAAAAGATAACTCCTTCACCTGATCAATAGAATCAACAATTTTCCCCCTCAACTTCCCAGTTCAACTAATTATTCTATTTTCCATCTTTAATTTTCTAGTGTCTGTTCTCTGATCTACAGACAGACAGACAGACAGACACACGCACACACACACACACACACATTTCTCCACTTAAATAACAAGCAAACCATGCATTCTCAAACTTTGCATCTTTTACCACTAAACCTCTCTCTTACCCTCTATATTGTGAAAGCAAACTATATGTGCACCTTCTCCATATCTGAAATACCCACTATGTACTTGGTTCTCTCACCAACTAGGTAAGTTTTTTTTTCTAGTTGTCAAAGATAGTAAACAAATAATGAAATTTAACAATAATTAAATGGCTTTACTGCAATCTCTGACCTTTTTTAACTCTAGAGGAGGACATTGATTTTCTTATCCTCCATATGTAAAATTTCATACAGTGTAAATAATTTAAAAATTATTATCTTTTAAAACCTTGGATAATCTTTTAAAAATTGTTTTCAAGAATTAATAAAATAATTTAATGTCTCATTTATGTTTCAGTAGAGCCTCTATATCAACAGCTTTTCTTGTCCAACAAGAATATATAATAGTAATACTATAATCTCAATACATGCCTATGGAGCAATTATAATTTAAACATTATTCATCATTTTGGTATTCTAATTTATTAAACATAATGAGTTTTTCCTATCTTTATTTTTTATGTATCAATAATGGGAAATATAAGCAAAAACATCAATAAACAAATGAATAAAATGTACGTATATTTAAGTATTTCCCATATCAGATTTTATTATTTTATTAGACTTGGGTAATAACATAGTAATAACATAGAATTTGGTAATAACATAGTAATAACGTAGTCCTTAATAGGTTGCAAAATTTTAAGTCATTTGCTTTGCTTGTGATTTTCTAAATTTCTTGTTTTTCTATGTTTACACTACTTACATGGAAAGCATGCTGCATGTGTACACAGACAAAGGGAGAGGCACATTGACAGAGATTATGGATAGATGGATAAATTGGATTTATGAATGAGTGAATAAAGGATAAACATATGTGAGTATATATATACATATACATATACATATGTATATGTATATGTATATGTATATATATACACACACTTGTTGATGCATATCCATATCCCAAAACATTGTGTTTACAACAGTACCTTGAATTTACTTTGGAGAAACAAGCCACACACTCTCTGTTTCAGACAGCTATTTGGATTTTGATCCTCTGAAGCACCAAAGGAAGGCCCCGATTGGGTTAAGCTAATCATTGTAATTCTGTTATTGCTGTTGCTCTTGGTGTTTGTCAAGGTGATTTTTCCAAGGTAAGCAATGATCTAAAAGTCAGCCAGATTAACAGATGATATTCTCCTATCCCCCAGTGATAGGTTCTGGGAAGCCATGGAAATCCAGTTTGAGAGATTCTCACCATTTCTCTTAGATAATTTCAGGCTTAATGCAATGCTCTTTTCCTAGAAGTTATAAAAAAAAAAGTAGATCAAGAAACTGCAGACAGCCATTTAGCCACCAAGAGAACTGACAGGCTAAGGTGGAAACAACACAACAAGGAAGATACTGTTAAAGAATCAGAAACAAATGCATATGTGCCTTGAGGGCATTGTGAATCTCTGGATCTAGCAAAGTACCCATTAGCTGTAAAATTTTCAGCTTGTGAGCCAATAAAGTCCTTTTATTATTTAATTGATTTTAATTTCAATCTTATGTTACTTTCTCTGAAGAAAGTAGAATTCTAAGTGATATAGATAAATGCATAGGTAGGTAGGTAGATATATGATGTGTAGATACATAGAAAGGGAGATACATAGATTCATAGAAATAAGAATATAGCACAAACATCATGACATCAATAAAGAAGATGATTCATTTGTACTTATCATAAAAATTGGTATCTTATTGAAATTAATATTTATCTATGTGATCTACAAAAATTTTATTCATTTTACTGGTTGCTAGAACAGTTTAGTTTTCTAAATGATGGAAACAACCAAGCTTTAATATATGACCATCTTCATCATCAAATCAGTTCATGTGGATGACAGTTGATGATCAACCTTCCAATGTAATATCCAAGGAAATACAATGACCATATGTTAGTTGATCTAATACTAACTAGATCCTACAAATATGCATTCAAGTATCATACAAATGATTGCATTTACCAGAAATTTTAATATATATAAGGTAAAATGATTTTTAATAAACTTTATAACCTCTAAAGAACAGCAAAAATAATCTTCAGTTCTTAGAGTATGAGCTAACAGAAGTCTCTTAGTTTAGTGTGAAGCTAGCAAACTTTCATTTGATTTCTTATAATCTTATAATTATATAAGATTATAATTTTTTATAATCTTATAAACAGCCCATGGCTAAGTGAAAGTAAGGACCATAATGACTTATTCACACTGCATTATCATCACCTAGAGTAATTTGCCTAGAACATCCACCAGAGATTCAACACTTGGTGAAATGATGAAACTTTATGATATTAATAAATTTAGTTATCTAAGCCTACCTGGAGAAAATGTTGTCTGTTAGTCAAATAATATCAAACAATTTTCTCTTCAGGTTGGTTGAATTAAAACACACACTTAACGAATTCCTTATAGCACAGAAGAAATATTGTGACTGAGTCTTAGCAAGGCCAACCCCTGGATATGACCTGTCTTCTAACACCTATTTGTTTGGTTTCCAAAACAAAGTTGTGTCTTACAGCAATCCTTAAGGGGAGGAAAGAACTGAGTTGGGCCTGATTCCTGAACTCTAAATCACAGCAAAGCAGAAATTTTGTTTGAGGGGCACATGTGAAAGAAGTCTTTCCTGACAATTCCTCTGAGCTTACAGTTCTGAACCATGGTGCTATTTTATTTAAGACTTCTCACTAGGCAGTCTGTTTCATTATAAAATGTGAGAGAAAAATAGAATCTCAGAACCCCAGATTCACTATGCCAGAGGAAAGTTAAGCCTGGGAACTGAGTCACACAAAAAAATGGCCTTCCTTTTGTTCCCAAACAGATAGCCATAACTTCACATGCTTACTTTATGTTATATAAAATGTAGAGTTACAGAACATGAAACAAATGCATAATTGACCTTTTCCTCTATACCCTTCTTTTCACATGTAAAATGTAGAGCCTTACAAGAGTGTAACCATTTGCCTCATTGCCTACCCACCCACCCTCCTCCTATTTTTTTTTCTTCCCCTCCTGCTTACACTTTTCCCTTTAAATATTGAAGTTCCCAAAACCATCTTTGGAAAAAGCACAGGTCACAGATCCTATTGTGACTTGTGTTTATTTTTCCTGGGCGTGTAGTCAACCTTGGTAAAATAGACCTCTGATTCAGGGGTGTCCAATCTGTTGGCTTCCCGGGGCCACACTGGAAGAAGAAGAATTGTCTTGGGCCACACATAAGATACACTACCACTAACGCTAGCTGATGAGAAAAAAAAAAAAAAAAACGCAAAAAAAAAATCTCATAATATTTTAAGAAAGATTACGAATTTATGTTGGGCCACATTCATAGCCATCTTGAGACACACGTGACCCCTGGGCTACGGGTTGGGCCAGCTTTAATCAATTGAGACCTGCTTCAGTCACTTTTTGGTTTACAAAAAATATGTTATAAAAATTCATTAAAACTTTATTGTTGTTTATTATAACTTTGTTAAAGTAAAATATTAATTCAAATTAAAAAATACTTCAGATTGATATATAATTTTTTAGAATGTTTATTTATTTGAAATATATCCAAGATCTGAGAAAGTTAATAGGGACATTTTGTTAAAATAGTCACCACTTGTGACTGTGTAAAGAAAAGTATTGACAATTCCATTCCAGTAGACTTTTTCAGAATTCAAAAATGTGTAAATAAATAAATGCTCGGTACCAGTTTGTATAGCATTTCTCTAGACCAGAGAATGATCTTGTCTTAGGTAGGAGGACATTATTATTACCAGGACTGAAATGTTTGTTGGAGCTTAAGGAGATCAATTAAACATCACTGATTTTCTTCACCAAAGTTTGGAACAACTTAAGATACACAAGCTAATAATGAAGCATTTAATTCACATCTGCTGCTGATAGGCAGTGCTGTACAATGGCAGTTGATTCCTTTTTTCATATGTGAATGGCTCCTTTAAAGCTCATACAGTTGAAGAAAAATTACACCTCCTTTACTGAACAGGAGTGATGTGAAGACATGGAGAGGGACCACATTATAGGTGAGTTGAGATCTCTCCACATGGAATAAAATATTGAGAACAGGAGGAAAAAACCCTTCCCATATGCAAAGGACGTAAAATATTTTGGGGAGAAAAACTAAACTACTTAAAACTGGAAAGCTAATTTAAATGTGTGGAGGGTTTTTTCCAGTGCTATAAGTTTGTTTTAGAATTTTTTATTTATTGAAAAATTTGCTCATTGAAGTGTGTTAAAAGAAAAAGTTAAGCCAAATTAAATTTCAAAGAGTTTAACTGAGCAAAGAACTATCGCAAATTGGGCAAACTCCTGAGCTAGAGGCTCAGAGACTCTAGTGCAGCGGCATTGTGGAAGAGCTTTTATGGACACAAAAAAGGAAAGTGATGTATAAAAAAATGAAAGTCAGATACAGAAAGAGCTCAATTGTTTATAGCTTGGCATCTGTCTTATTTGAACACAGCTTCAACAGTTGGCCACATTTGATTGGCCAGAACCCAGTGATTGGCACAAGAGTAGACTGCTGTCTGTTTACAATTCGATTTAGGGTATAGTTCACGATGTATAGAGAAACACTTAGGCTGAATTTGAAATAAATAAGGTGGGAGTGTATTTAGTTCAACCATTGTGAGAGACAGTGTGGAGATTCCTCAAGGATCTAGAACCAGAAATACCATTTGACCCAGCAATCACATTACTAAATATATACCCAAAGGGTTATAAATCATTCTAATATAAAGACACATGCACATGTATTTTTATTGCAGCACTATTTACAATAGCAAAGACTTGGAACCAACCCAAACGCCCATCAATGATAGACTGGATAAAGAAAATGTGGCACATATACACCATGGAATACTATACAGACACAAAAAAGAATGAGTTCATGTCTTTTGCAGGGACATGGATAAAGCTGGAAACCATCATTCTCAGCAAATTAGCACAGGAACAGAAAACCAAACACCCAATGTTCTAACTCATAAGTGGGAGTTAAACAATGAGAACACATGGACACCAGGAGGGGAACATCACACACTGGGGGCCTGTTAGGGGGTGGGGGTCAAGGGGAAGGAGACCATTAGGACAAATACCTAATGCAGCGGAGATTAAAACCTCCACATTGACAGGTTGATGACAATGTTGATGACAGGTTGATAGGTGTAGCAAACTACTATGGCACATGTATACCTATGTAATAACCTTGCATATGCACATGTATCCCAGAACTTAAAGCAAAATACAAAAAAAGAAATATGGAAGGAGTTAGCTTTAGGCTAAACTTGATTTAACAGGTATAACTACCTTGACTTTAAAAAATAAGTATTTACTCCTTGTCTATATAAAATTGTATCTCTTCTATAAGGGATGTTTCAGGAGACTGACTCATTTTTAACACAGAAATAAGAAAATTTGAATGGTGTAACAGTGGAATATGCCATCAAATAGTTAAAAATCTTCTTTTGTATCAAGAGACCAGGACTAGGATCAATGTGCCAAGGTAATATGAATGCAGATTCCAGGTCCAGATAAGTACAAATATAGCATACTGTTGTCTCTGAGAGTCTGTGACACTAAATTCAATGTTCTAGAGTCAAAGTCATCCCATATGAGGGCTGTGGAACCCCAAGTATTAATACAGCAACATGTGTCTGTCATTGGTTGAGTGCTTTTGGGGTAATAAATTATCTGGCTCTAGTGCCCTGTCTTGAGCAAAATCATAGCTCTTTCCTCCAGAGAAATCCCCTAGACAGTTTGAAGTCAGGCACATATGTGTGACAGTGACAAAAGGGAAGGGAAATGTGTAGGGCACTGTGAGCTTACTTGTAAATATAAGAATGGGATCCCAAGCCAGGCATGGTGACGCACATCTGTAGTTCCAGCTACTCAGTGGGCTGAGGCAGGACGATCACTTGAGTCCAAAAGTTTGAGGCTATAGTGAGCTATGATTGCACCATTGCACTCTAGCCTGGATGACCAAATGAGACTCTGGCTCTAAAAAAATAAAAGTGAAAGAATGAGGCCCCAAAAAATGCACGAAAAGAAAGAAGCATTTTACAGCAGAGATTATGAAGTCTGAAGAATATAAAAATTATAAGTATTTTATCCAAGGTTAAATAAAATTTAGTTGGCTTGAATAAGTGAGAAAAAAATTAGCCCAAAATTGATTTTTGTTTTAGTCGTACTCCAAACCTTGCAAGTCAATTCTGAATGATGGCATGGCAATTGTTTTGCATACCAGAATATTGAAGAAGTATCTTCTTTTCCAATCTGCCTTCATAAAGTAGATGCCATAGATAGACAGATAGAAGACAGATAGATAGATAAATAGATAGATAGATAGATAGATAGAAAGATATAGTAAACAGACGATATATATATATATAATACACATCTTTGAAAACTTAAACACATCTTTGAAGACTTAAAAAGGAATAAATGTAAAAGATTTCATTTTTTTAATATATTGATTAGGTATTGAAATGATATATCTATACATATATATGTATAGATATATTGTCTGTTTACAATTCCATTTAGGCTATAGTTCACAATGTGTATATATATATACAGTATACAACACACACAAACACAGTGCTCCTCCCACCCCATTATTTCTTCTTCTCTTCTCCAGATGGTGGAGTCTATACAGTATAGTGTCTTATAGTAACATATCTCATAAAAAGGAAGGCGAGGGTTTTAGTTTGTTTTTTTTTTTTAATCTGCTTTGCTACAGGCTATGGAAGACTAGCTCTACTCAATATAATACTTAGCTCAGTAAAATTATCATTACACACTGACAACAGAAGGAAACTCTGTGGCTAGCCTTGCTAAAAGAGTCTTAAAACACATATATCCTTCAAATGGTATGCATTTTGAGTAACTGCAATGGTATTGCTCCAGGCAAGTTACTTACAGACTTAAGACCAGACTAATTGGTCTTAGAATGGGCTGAACAATTAACTTTTGCTTTAAATTAAAACAACTTTATTTTAATTTCAATTGATCATAAGGCATGAAACATGAAGTTAAAAAAAGCTGAAGGGTATATGGCAGAAAAAAAATTTTACTGTTTCAGATTTACTAGTAATTAAGACAGCTGTGTGGATAATGAAACATGCAGAAGTCAATTTTGCTTGCCACCAGATATTTAGGAAATTTTGGCCTGAATTTATAAAAAGTCATAAATTCACAAAAGGAAATTTGAATGCTTTTTTTAATTTAAAGAAAATATCAAAATTTCTTGATTATACAATATTTTTTTTTCATTGCCCAGAAGTTGCATGATACAGTAAGTTTTAAGAAAATAAAGTTGCTGAATATCTACCAAACCCAACAATTCCTATCTTGAATTTGGGATTTTATTCTGTACAAATATATTCAAAATTATATCTTTATTTTATACAAATGCATTCAAATTAAAAGGGAACCAATGATATATGTACTATTTTATAACTCTTTAAACTGCAAACACAGCTTGAGTATTTCCATATTTTAAAGAAGTCTCAAAGCATGAATTTAAATTTGTATAATATTCCAAATTATAGCCCCTTATTATTGAAATTTTAAATTGTTATTAATGTTTTATTATTCCAACCAATGTTCTATGTTTAAAACATCTTTATTCATAAATATATGATTATTATTTTTAATGCATTCTTATACATATATATACACCTAAAACCATATATATAATATGTAACATTCTATGTGTACATAATATATACAGTAAGTATTCACTTAACATTGTCTATAGGTTCTTGGAAATTGTGATTTTAAGTGAATGACATAATAAAAACCGATTTTCTCTTTCTCATCAACATTATAACAAAAAGACTTTGAAGGAAACAACACTATTTGAGAACCTGCTATGTGGTATTTTGCTTAAAGTTACCAAGAACCTATACCAAGAAACTATATAGTTTCCAGGAACCTACTGATGATAGTGAGGGCTTACTGTATATAGTTTTATACACACACACACACACATATATATATTCAAAGAATATATATATAAATTTCAAAGAATATATATGTATGTTTATATATTTAAATTTTATATGTATATATATATATTCAAAGAAAAATGACAGTCAACACAGTTAAACAGACAGGGATGACATTATTCAAGACTATTGTAATAGGGTTCAAGACTGTTGCAATAGGAGAAAGAAGCTGAACTCAACTCTGCTGATGCAAATGGTGGAAGGATTTTTAAGGGCTAGGGTAAGCTAACAGAAAAGTACTGGAGTGCATTATGGAGAAAATTGGTCAATGTGATTCGACCATCTGCTTGTTAATTAGCACTTATCTAAGTTAGATTACTTCCCCTCCTCAAAGGCTTGAATATGGGGTCGCTATCTCCTTTCCTGCTTACATTTCTAAGACATGGCTTTCAAATCCTTAAGAAAGACATTCCTGGGTTGTAAAACTGGCAAGAGTCTGGGAAAAGATTTACATCTCAAAAAAGTAAAGGTTTAAGGTACAATGGCAAGTTTTCTAAAGTAAATGCTGCAAGAAAAGAGAAGTCAGGGTCCTATAATCTGGAAGAAACATGTCTAAAGTTTAATTGAGCCAAGGGTAGTATTAAGGCCATCTTAATTATGTATACAGATACCTATTGACAGATATGTCTATATTTTATGTATATATCCTAATTGTCCTTGTATATTTATATATGTGCATGTATATACATATATATTTTTTGTTTTGTTTTGTTTCTTTTGTTTAGTTTTGTTTTGAGACAGGGTCTTGTTCTGTCAACCAAGCTGCAATGCAATGATGTGGTCATAGCTCACTATACCCTCAACCTCCTTGGCTCAAGTGATCCTCCCACCTCAGCCTCCCTAGTACCTAGAAATACAGGTGCATGCCACTATGCCTGTCTAATTTTTTATTATTGTAGAGATAGGGTATTGCTATTTTGCCAGGCTGGTCTTGAATTCCTGGCCTTAAGTGATCCACCCACCTTTTCCTCCCAAACCCCAAACTGCTGAGATTACAGGCATGAGCCACCTTGCCCAGCTCTTATATATTTAATATTAAATATTTTCATATATAGTGCTACCACCATCACTAGCCTAGATTATTTTCTTCTATCCCCAACCCTAACTTTGAGAATTGCAGTATTATAATGTGGAATATAATCTTAATATTATATATTTATCTTCTTATGCAAGAATTATTTATAAGACACATAATCTGCACTAATATCACATTTACAATATATAACTGCAGTAGTTTGTATTGAAATACACAGTTTAAATTTTAAAAAAATATCTATCTAACCAGTAACTAACTGGTAGATTTTATGAACTCTTCTATTTGATTTTTTGTAAGATATCAAAGTCAACTATTTTCATGAAAATAAAATGCAAGTCTCATTTGGGGAGCTAAACAACAAACATGTGTTTTCATGAGATTACATAACAAATAACAGCCCTTAGTTTTTACAACTCTACTATAACACAAAGATACAGATCAATTTTCATGGGAGAAATATTGGCAATGAATACAAAATTAATAGAAAAGCATTACATGACACTAATATAACTGAGTTGTTTAAATGAATTTAAAGGGTCGGCATCCAGGAATTGCTGTTCTTTATACTATAGTTACATTTCTCATCAAAGAAAATGAAATTCCCAAGTACTTTGTATGAATTATTACAAATTCATGCTTCTGGGTTTCTATCTCTGCCAGTGTTTTTGCCACTGTCCTGTCATGTGACCTCAGACAAGCTAATTAATCTTTCCTGTTTGTTTTAGCCCTTTCATCCATTAAATGTGCCCACAGGGTGAATTGTCAGGCGAGCACTTACTGTAGTTCCAAAAAAAGATCCAATTTCAAGCCAGAAGAAGAATACAAGACAAAAGTGCCCAATAATTTTGCTTTCAGGAGCACTTTTGTCCCTAACTTCTGTACTTCACATCAAATTGCAATGTGCAGTTGCTTCTGAGAATATCTGGGGAATGTAAATGTTAATTCCAACTCTTCAACATTTGGGGAATCACAATGTGAATAAACTAAAATTTAACTATAGTTGTGATGTGACTATAGTCATGGTGAAACAGGTTGTCATTAATGGGAAACATGGAGTAATAGAGGAAATATCACAGAAAGGAATACACAAACAAATTTGGGATGCAATTCCTATGATAAGTGGATATTATTTTCTACCCTAAAATGGAAGGAAAGGGAGCAAAACATGGTGTGTATAGAGAAATGAAATAGTGGCACGTATAGACTTACATTGTTATTTTTTTTCTATACCCTTCTTTAAGTCTATGAGGTGTGGCCACCAGATTTCAAATCATCTTACTGAGACAACTAAATAGACAAATATGTGTTGCAGATCTGTGATGATGGGTACATAGCCACTAGCCCCCTATGTCTATTAAGCACTTGAAATGTGGTTAATCTGAATTGGGATGTGTTGCAATACAAACACATCTTTGAAGACTTAAAAAGGAATAAATGTGAAAGATTTCATTTTTTAAATATATTGATTAGGTATTGAAATAATGTTTAGGCTATATTGAATTAAAATGTGTTATTAAACTTAAATGTACCTGCTTCGCTTGCTTTTTAATGGAGCTTTTGAAAATTTAAGGTGGTATATGTAGCTCTCCTTTGGGTTCAGGAAGGGCATAGGAAGTTGCTGAAAATAAGAACATGATAAAGTGGAAATGTTGAGAGCCGCTTAGCACATCAGCATGCGTGCAATAGAACCAGCAATGTGTAGGTGAGGCTGTCCCTTTTTCTCTTCAACTGTCACTGGTGAAGGTCATCCATAGACTGAAACATGGTGGCCAAGAAAAGGTTAGCTGTGATTTTCCTCCTACTAGTTTAAGTTTCTGGTAATTAAATTTCTGTTACAATGATTTTAGGGGAACACGTTAGAGAGGTCATTAAGAGGTATGCCTGTCCAATATTTCACCTCTAGGCAGAATGCTGAAAACATTCAGGGCCTGGCACCATGGCTCATGCCTGTAATCCCAACATTTTGGGAGGCCAAGATGGGTGGATCATTTGAGGTCAATAATTTGAGACCAGCTTGGTAAACATGATGAAACCCTGCCTCTACTAAAAATACAAAAATTAGCCAGGCGTGGTGGCATGCATCTGCAGTCCCAGAGGAGGCTGAGGTAGGAGAATCGCTTGAACCCAGGAGGTGGAGGTTGCAGTGAGCCGAGATCGCGCCACTGCACTCCACCCTGGGTGACAGAGTGGGACTCTGTCTCAAAAAGAAAAAAAAAATGTTGCACTTAACAAGAGAAGTGAAGCCATGTAACATTTGACTTTGTAACAATAAGATTCTATCACTATGCCTAGGACATAATAGCCTCCGCATAAATGTATTTCAAATCAAAGAGTAGATGCAGTTCTATAAAAACACCTATATTCAATGAAATATACTCACTGAACTCATGAAGGAGTCACTGACTGTTTTATTAGGCATAGTCTATCTTTTCTTGCATTGTGATTGCAAAGTGAAAAACATTGGTGTCAAATTAGCCTAAACAAAATTGTAAACTCAAATAAATAATACTAAAGCTACTAATAATGGCCAAACTTACTGAAAATTGATCAAGTGTGAAGGTCTCTCTCTCTCTATCTTAATGTTATTTCAGTCTTTACAACTTCTGAATCAAGTAGTCACTATTTAGATTCCCATTTCACACCTAAATAAACTAATAGAGGTTATACAATGTGTCCAAGGTCATGTAAGTGAAAAGTGGCCGAGCTGGGATTTAAATTCAATCAATATAGCTTCAGGAATAATGCAAGGATGAAATCCACACAGCACTTAATACATATAATCCTTCAATAAATATTATCTATTGTTACTATTAATATAAATTAGACTGCCGTAAAAGGGATTAGTTACAGGTTTGTTAGGTTTTCATGTAATAAAATCAACCTGAAGTTAACCATTTTAGTTTTTGCTTTCCTGGAAATAAAAAAAAAATTATTTGTGTTTTTCAAAAACATCTGTGTCAATGCTGTGTGATTTTTTTCACCTTCTTCTTAATTCACCACCTCCTAACTTTTATTTGAAAGATGATGAAACAAAAGACCAGGAGGGTTATTAATTTGGTTAAACCATAAAGCTTGTAGGTAGTTGGGCCACAACATAAATTTCAATCTGATTTCAAAATTCATTCACATAACCAACATTCTAGAGCCATATAGAAAATCTGCTTTAAAAGCTTTTATTTTTTTTTCTTTTGAGACACAGTTTCACCTTGTCACCCAGGCTAGAGTGCAGTGGTGCGAACTGGACTCCCTGTAGCCTCCACCTCTGGGGCTCAAGTGATCCTCCACTTGGGCCTCCTAAGTAGCGGGGTACTCACCACCATGCCCAGCTAATTTTTGTATTTTTTGTAGAGACATAGTTTTGCTATGTAGCCCAGGCTGGTCTCAAGTGATCCTCCTGCCTCAGCCTCCCAAAGGGCTAGGATTACAGGCATGAAATACCACACCCAGCATAAAAAGCATATTTTAAAAATACATAAATAAAATAATTTGAAAACTTAATGTACAATCAAGGTGAAGACACAGTAGGCATTATACAGAATTGAAAAATTATAATCACCATTAATTAATTAAAACACTAATAACTATTGGAAGGTTAGTAGTATCCATAGCATTATGAAGTATGGATAATCCCAAGTGCCTAAATTGTGTTGTCATTAAATGTCAGAATTTCACATAGTGTAATAAAGTCAAAAACTAAAAATAAGACATATTTACAAGCTTCAATGCTTAAATTCCAAAAATTAACTAATATTCTTTAACCTTTTTTCTCTTTTACAATCTTTGTGTTGTAAATTATGCAACATGTCTTAGAAAAAGTACATCTAGAAGAAATCAGTTTTAAAAAGTATCTTCACGCGTTTCTTTAAACCGCTCACTTAAAGCTAGTTAAAACAGTAAGCGTGATTTTGTTTAGCCTTTCATTTTATAAGTTTAAGATGCCATTTCCTTCCGCCCTCTTTCGAAGAATCATTACCTTGAAAAATGAGTTTGGCACTTTTAATCATTCCACAATAACCCTTATATTCAACTTTGAATGGCATTTTCTTTATGCAAAACTATTCTCTAGGAAATACATCCTCAAAAAGTTTCTTTCTAATTCTACTTGTTGGAGGAATGATTTTTGACCAATGCCTTTGTTTCTGATATGGAGACACATCAGAATCACTAGTGGGAAAGCAGGTAACTGGAGGAACTAGGCACACCATCAGGGGATTGCCCATGCCATGGACACACACACAAATGGAAAGGACTCAAGTATGAGAGGCTACCGCATGGCACTCTAGAGTAAAAATCCAAAGCAACAGGTCAAGGGAAGGGTCTTGGGGTTCCTGGAAACCATTTTCCAGGAACTGATTTTACCCTGGAGACAATCTTTGATATCACTGCTTATGTCATTTGCTACTAAATCTAATTACACAACGTTGTTAAAAGTTGAAAAAAAATTTTTTTGATCAGATGCAGCAAGAAATGTCCCTTTAATATCAAGAAATTGGTATGGCTAAACAATTTCACTATAAAATTTTCCAAACATGTGACCAAAATTAAATATTTATAAAATCTTTAAGGTTAAATATTTATAATATATTTTTGGCATTATTGGTTTTTGAAAAGTAATTTCATGACAGTATTCATAAAGTGAAATGTATTTGAGTTGTAACACATTTGTTTTTAAAAATTAAGAATGTGGATTTTTATTTTGAAACAATAATAGACTTGAGATTTAACTTACCGGCAAAATTGCAACCGTCGGTTTTACTAAGATTTCGACCTTTTAGAAAAGTCTCTGTGGGTATCTTAGTGCCCTCGAAATGTGGAGTAATTTTATAATTGATTTCTTCTGACAGGGTTAATTAAAGCCTTTAACAGCTCTTCCTTAATCTAGAAAACCAGACAAAATAGATGCTACAGAAGAGAGACACCAAAATACCACATTGGATATGGCTTTCTAACATACTTTTTTTTTTAGAAGAAAGGGGATATTGGGTGGCGATAGCTGAGAAGGATCAGAATCTTGCAGTCATAAGAAAGTAGTGAAAGCATGTTGAGTTTACCCCTACATTTTTGGTTTGGCCATAGATGTGTGACTTTCGGAACGATCAGTTAGCATCTCAACAATTTCCCTTATGGTAACATATTAAAATGCTTATCTGAATTTGTAGAGCCTACACCCCTTTTGCACATTTTCCTACTTGCTTCAGCATCCTATACATTTCTCCATGTATTCATATATATTTCAAGGAATTAGGTGATCCTGGGTTTTATTAGCTTAAAGAGAATAAACAGCTTCTTATAAGCACATAAATTAATCATGTCTACTAGCTCTGGTCATAAATAGAAGTCCATTACTTTTTATAAAATGGAGAAAAAAACAAATAAAATATTAATTAAATGTGTCACTCATGCCCATGACAATCAAGAACAGTTTTTTTTACACCTTTCTATGAAAGTTGCCAGTGAGTGATGTGTAAATGCTTTATAAAACATAGATAACCTAGGAATAATCATGCTTGCATCTGATTTAGATGATATGACAAGTTTCTAGGTCAAAAAGAAGTAGAGATCTGTTTCATGCCTTTAAAAACTGGTATTATTTCAAGTTAAATTTTCTTCTTAAATTGTATGCACAATTTCCTTGTTATGCAATGCACAACTGTATATGTTATGCTAGAACATTATGGAATAAAAACAATTGCAAACTTGTGTATTCAGACTTGCACTTGGGCAAAATCAATCATTTTGGAAATATAGTCTCCACTGTGATACAATGATTATCAGGAAAGCATACCAAGTCCCTCCCACTCTCCTTTGACTCTCTCTTCCTCAGACACATGCAGGGTTATCTCCTCAGTGATGTTTTAATTGGGTGAGGAAGATCCACTAGAGACACTGGTAGATAATATTTCCATCCAGGCCTCTATCCTGCTCCCTTACAAATAGGGAGTACCTGGTCCATTCTCATTAGACGTATCCGCTGGGTCTGAAGCAGGCCTGTAGTTAGGCGTCTTAAACAACTTAGTATTTTGAGAACACCAGTATGCATGGCCTCTTACATATGACTATATATCTTCAAAAGATGATTTTACCTGCTTTCTACTATCCGCATATGTGGGAGTCCTTATCGCCTATTACTTTAGAGAGTTAATACCCTCTTTGCATGTATTTACCTAGAATTTGTCTTTCTAGAATAAGTGTTAGTTTAACGACCCTTCTAGTTCCCCTGCTTCCCTAAACATTCTAGCGACAGAATATTTAAGGGTCAAACCTGTGACTTAAAGCCATTGTTTTTATTATTTGAACGATAATAGTAACACATGCAGTTGATTTAAACTCTGATCTCAATTTCAAATGCATATTCATCTTCTAAAAAGTAGGTGCAATTTTCCTGGCAACCTCCTTTTGCTTGAAAGAGATTCTTTCCATCACATTCAAAGTAAACAGTGTCTTGGGTTAAATCTCGATAGTATACTTCAATCTTCAAGTCCTGACTCAGACTTGATATAATTCTGAGTGAAGGAGGGATCAGAGGAGCACAGAGAGATTGGTGAGAATGAGACAAATAAATCATTGTCAGCATTTTGTTAAAATATAAACTTACATACCAGCATTTTTAAAGGCACTTTGCCAATATACTGGTAAATTCACACAATGAAATTATGCTACAGCTTTTTAAAGGTCTGAACATTTAACAAAAGACTTCGATTTTAATCTCAGTTTTGATGCCAACACATTATATGACCTTAGGTGAGTTGCTTAATATTCCTGAGAATCAATTCTTTATCTATAAAATTAGGGTTTTATTTTTCAGATTCTTCTGAGTTTTAAGTTTCCATGATGCTGTAGTCTCTCGAATATGCAAAAAATAAAGTTTTATGAACAAACAAGGAGAAGCTTCCTGCCAATCATTTCAAATATGTAGGCAAAAGAAGAAATTATCTTACCCTGCTTTAATATACAGATGAGGTTGTAGGGTTTGCTATAATATATATTTTAATGTGATGTTTCTGGTAGTCTACATGTACCCTAAAACTTAAAGTATAATTAAAAAAATAAATAAATAAAAATAAAATAAAATAAAATAAAGTTCATGCCATAATGTTGTCTGAGGATGTTGTTACTATGGGGCTTTTATCAAACATCTTGTCTAACACTTAATGTAGGAAGAAATTTAAATGACTTTTCAAAGTGATCAATAAAATCTAAAAATATGTATATGCAATGACAAATCCTAGCACTCAGTAAGATGATTTATATTACACAATTCTAACTGTCCTTTTGAACTGACATGTATTTGTTGTTTTAATAAAATTTTGTTTACTACTTTAGTGAGTCATTTCCAGTCCCTAGATTTCCAACAGAGTTTTGGTTTCCTCTCATTGACACTCGATATATTTCTAATATGTATAGCATGTACATACCTACACAATTATGAAATAGTATCTGCTGTAGTATCACAGCCAGTACTACATACATGAATTTATGATTATTTAGTATACATTTAATACTGGTACAAAATATGCTGTAAATCTGTTATTTCTAGAAAACCATATTTTAAAATTTGCACATTTTTTAGACACTACAGTACCTAAAGTAAGCAACTCCGTTAATATAAGCATTATTTAAACAAGCTATATTTTAGAATTTGAGTTTGGTGGTTTGGCTTTTTTGTTGTTGCTCCATTTATTTGCTATTGTGTTTATTTTTAACAGGAAAGTAATATACACAGTTTTAACATGGGGCTTCTCCTCGCCATGCAGCCCCGTACTCTGCTGTGTTGGTTGTGGATGGTCAGCGGCAGCAATCCTAGACCACACTCCTTCCTTGTTGCATATTTTTGCACCTTGCTCATGATAGTCCTCTCTATCTTAAATGCCTTCTACTATCAAGCCTAAATGGAAAACTATTATTCAGCCTTGCAAACTAATCTCTTTTTGGTTTGTTTTTGCAGAGACAGGGTCTTGCTCTGTCGCCCAGGCCGAAGTCCATTCATAGCTCACTGCAGCCTCAAACACCTGGGATTAAACTATCCTCTTGCTTCAGCCTCCCAAGTAGCTGGAACTATAGGAGCACACACCACTATGCCCAGCTAATTTTCTTATTTTTTGTAGAGATGGGGTTTCACTTTGTTGCCCAGGCTGGTCTCAAGCTCCTCCAGCCTTGACCTCTCAAGGTACTCAGATTACAGGTGTGAGCTACCATACGCAGCTTAAAACTAATCTTAAATCTAGTTTTCTTAGTCAAATACTGAAAACAATCTAATTAGTTTCTGAACATTACAATAACGTATTATGTGGTTGTAAAGAATTAAAAGCAGCTACATCTGTAAATAATTATACAGGAAGATCTGCAGATTATTCTGTAAAGAGAATATTATGATAAGCTTTTTGTAAAAAAGTACATATCAACATTTTTGCACATAGAATATTGAAGAAAGTACTATTAATACTTGGATCTGGGGTAGGATGAAGAATTTATTTTCATTTATATTTTAATTTTAACATTTTGCTCTCTTCATATATTACTTTCAATTAATAATGGTTTATTAAAAAATCCTTCACACAGTTATTTTTTGCCCACTCAAGTAAAATTAATTATTACTTGCTTGTGTCCTAAGATGTTAATATTCAGATACTTTATGTCTCGTGCTCCAGTAAGAATTTCAAAAATCGTTATACCACCTGACATATTTTTAGGGGAACATCTAAATTTTCTCATTGGAAATTCAAAAGCATATAAAGAATGTAATTTTTAGCATATGTAAAATATTTCAAAAACTCTTTTAAATATGTTCAATGAATATATATAAATATGTTCAATAAAATCTAAATATTATGACAATGTGTCACTTTTATCTTGTGAAATCTGAATAAGATTATCTTTAAGTTCCAACTTATACATTGCTTTAACATTTTCAATCTCATACAGAATGCATATGATATAATAAATGTTCTTCATAGGTTGTCCTATCATACTTCTTTGCAGTGAAAATTGACATTTACTTAATTTTAAATTTTCTGTTACAATGAAGATTTAATTGCCAGAAATTTTCTTTTGGATTCAATTGTCATTATGGTTGTCAATGGTTCCAATTTTAGTATATGTACTGTGGAAGTGAGCACTACAGTTATTAATGGAATTGATCACAACAATATTAGTATTATTACAACTTGATAAATATTAATTGAACACAAAACAATATTTTTTCTACATGATTCATGTATCCATGTACTATTTATTACTATTTATTACGACAAGGAGACAAGGTTCATTATTAATTGTATTACAGTTTTTCATTTCATAGATGCAAAGGTTGAAGAAATTTTTTCACAAAAATACAAAGTAATAGGCTGGATGCAGTGGCTCACACCTGTAATCCCAGCACTTTGGGAGGCCAAGGCAGAAGGATCACTTGAGTCTAGGAGTTCGAGACCAGCCTGGGCAGCATAATAAGACCTCATCTCTACAAAAAAAATCCAAAAATAATTAGCTGGGCATGGAGGGCACGTGCCTAGCCACTTGAGAGGCTGAGGTTGGAGAGGCGCTTGAGCCCAGGAGGTCGAGGCCACAGTGAGCTGTGATCTTGCCAATGTATACTCCAGCCTGGGTGACAGAGTAAGACACCCATCTTAAAATAAGTAAATCAATCAATCAATCAATATCAAGGAATATAAAGAGTTCTGATGTGGCGTCATCACTGAAGTTTGGACTCTTTCCAAGGTGTGACAGACAGAAATGGTTAGTTGATTGGACCTTCCTTCAATTTTTCTTGAAAGAAAAGAATTGAAGCCCATCTGCTTTTTTTTTCTTTTCTTCTCTTTCTTTTCTTTTCTTTTTTCTTTTCTTTTTTGAAGCATGGATATGGCATCTTTATTTTCTGAAAGGGGAAAGGTAAGAGTGGACCATGTATTGTATTTGCTGGTCTCCCTAAAGAAAACAAGCCAGAAATACAAGAAGTTGATGAAAGTGGTCATCTAAGGCGTCAGAGGCGGGTAAGAGTTGCCAGCCTCTCTGTATGTTTGGATTATTATGTCATGTGAATTTGCACTGATCCTAAAACCAAAACACAGATTCCTAGGCCCCGCCAATCAGAAAGTCTGATACAGCTGCCCTGCAGTGAGGAGTTGGAGGTTGTGTTTCCAAGAGGTGGAACCTATCTTCTTTTAAACAGTTGCCCAGTCATTACAGCCATGTGCTCAGTTTCCTCAAAGGAAACCGAATATTGAATGTTAAAACTTAGCAATAATGATCAATTATATCAAGTACTCTTTTACTTAAAGGCAATTTGTTTAGATATTTAAGAAAAGTTTGTAAAACTGATATTGTTATAAATTAAAACATTTTATATACAACATTTTTCAGGTCACAATGATGTGTTTCAAGTATAATGTTGCAAAAGTATTGTAGCTTTGAATTTAGCTCAATGTAGGAAAAAATATTGACCATATAAATAATTGAAAAGGTCTGTGATGGTTAATGTTAGGTGTCAACTTAGACTGCATTAAGGAATGCTTTGAGAACTGGTAAAGCATTACTTCTTGGAGTGTCTGTAAGGGTGTTTCAAGAGGAGACTGGCATATGAGTCCATTGACTGTGTGAGTAAGATCTGCCCTCAGTGTGGGCAGGCACCATTCAATTAGCTAGGGGTGGAATACAACAAAAAGGCAGAGAAAGATGAATTATCTTTCTCTCTCCTGGAGCTGGGGCACGTTTTTTCTCTTGTCCTTGGACATCAGAACTCCAAGTTCTCTGGCTTCTGGATTCAGGATTTCTCTATTGAGTAGTTTCACAGCATAAATATGAGTAAGAAAGCCAGTCTATGCATAATCATTTCATCAGTCACATTAGTTGAGATAATTGTGAGCCATTACCAATGTAAACACAAATTGGATTATAAAGTATCCAGAGAGGCAACTTCTGAAATGGTATAATAAGGACTTTCAAAAATCTGCCCCTTGATAAAAGCGATGAGAACACATGCACATGCTGTCAAATCCGACTTTCTCTGAACTCTGAAAATTAACTAAAGGCTTGCAGAAATCTACAGTTATTTATTCAAGAAGATAGCAAAATCTCTGTAAGAAGAGCAAGTCTCGTATTATCTTGTGCTGATCACAACTCCCTACCCCAGTTCCATGGTAGCCTTAAAAGCCAAGAGTTTCACAACTACAGTAGCCAGGAAACTAGGAGCCTTGTAGCCATTGGAAAAGGCTGGCATGATGGATTTGGAGTTCTCCAAACGTCTCATCCCCAGAGAACTTTTACTATTTGACCTGGTAGCTTGCTAAAAGTTTCAGTCGCAGAGTCTGTCTCTGTTTAATCCAAGTCAGAGCTTACTCTACAAAAACAGCCTTAGCCACAGGGGATTTGTCAGAAATAATCAGTGACAATTGCTTAAGGTCACAACTGAGGTGGTATTATCAATTGGGCTTAACAAAATGCTCAACAAAAACCTTAAGAGAAAAATTGAGGAATGTGATATTCACAGGGGGCTTTGAAAAGCTCCCCAATAAATCTTGAAACCTAGAACAACACACTTTAATGCAAGAAAGACCTGAGAAGGCCCAAAGCTCTGACCTCTCAGATCTTTAGATTCTGTGCAAGTAGGAAATGAAGCCTAGGCTGAGTAAACAGAGAATTCCATGGCCATATGTGGCAGGCAATTTAGGCTTCACAGAATTAGTCCAAGAAAGTCACTACACAACAAACAGGAGCAGCAGCAGCAACAACAACACACAGCAGCATCAATAAACCCTGGTGTGTGTGAAGAACTCTGGTTTCTATAGTAGCTAATATATATTATTTAAAATATATTTTTCATCAAAACACTAAGAGACATGTAAGAAACAGGAAAGTATGGGCTCTACACAGGAAATAAAGCCAGCAATAGAGATTGTAGCTGAGAAAGCCTTGATATTTGTATTACTATAAAAATACTTTAGCTATTAAAAATATGTTCAAACACTAAAGGAAAATATGTCTAAAGGATCAGAGAAAACTGTGATAGCAATTATTTTACCAAACAGCAAATAATAATAAAAATGTAAATTATCTTTTGTTTTAAAAGACCTAAAGAGAAATCCTGAAGTTAAAATTTACAATAATTTAAATGAAAATGTATTAGAGGGGCTCAACAACATATTACAAACGGCAGAAAAAATAAACAACAAATTTGAACACAGGGCACTTAAAACTTTCTAGTCTGAGAATCCAAAAGGGAAAAAAAATATATAAACAAAGCCTTATAAACACCACCAAGCATAACAACATAGGCATAATTTCTAAGAAAAAAGAGGAGAGAGAGAAAAGGGCAGTAGGAATATTTGAATAAATAAAAATCAAAACCTAACATGTCATGTTAAAAACATTAACCTGCACAATCGTGAAGCTTAAACATTTGAAGAAGAAAAACCAAGAGATTCAGCCCTAGACACATTTATTTTCAGCATTCCTTGAACAGTGGCTGATCACACCCAGACACATTATTCTTAAACTGTCTAAAGACAAAAGAAAAATATTGCAATAAAAACAGAGAAGCAATTTAATATAATATCTGCCAAATTTATCCATGGTGTCACGAATGACAGGATTTTCTTCTTTTAAAATGCTGAATAGAATTTTATGTGTATATATGTTAAATTTTCTTTATTCCTTCATCTATTGTTGGACATTTACATTGATTTCCTATCTTGGCTATTGTGAATAATGCTGCAATAAACATGGGAGTACAGATATCTCTTTGACATACTGATTTCAATTCCTTTGAATATATACCTAGTAGTAGCATTGCTGGATTATATGTTTGTTCTATTTTCAATTTTTAGAGGAATTTCCATGCTGTTCTCCATAATGGCTGTACTGATTTACATTCCCACCAAAAGTATCCAGACAGCAGTTTCCAAGGGTTCACTTATGTACCATCCTCTCCAACGCTTATTAGCTTTTGTCTTTTTCACAATAGCCATCCTGACAGGTGTCAGATACCACGTGTTCTCACTCTTCTCAATTCTAAAGAATTGATTTCACCAAACTAAGAATAGAATGGTGGTTACCTAGGGTTGATGCAGTTGGGGAGTGGGTTTGGGTCATGCTAGCCAAATAATACAAATATTTCAGGTAGAAGGAATAAATTCAAGAAATTTATTGTATAATATGGTGACTATAGCTAATAACAATACTTTGCATTTTTGAAAAAATTAAAAGATAGATGTTAAGTGTTTTCATCACAAAAATGATAGCTATGTGGGGTAATGCACATGTTAATTAGCTACATTTAGTCATTCCATAATGTATGTATAATTCAAAATATCATGTTGTAGATAATAAATATATGCAATTTTATCTGCCAATACTAAATAATAAAATTAGAGAAGCAAGGCATCCTCAATATCTTTAACAACTAACTTAATCAGAAACAATGTAGGCTAAAAGGCAGTGGGATGTTGTATTCAAAGTGATGAAAGAAAAAGAATGTAGCCAAGAATTGTGTCTTTGAACAAACTGTCCTTCACAAACAAAGGAACAATTGAGATGCCTTGAGTTAAATTGAAACAGAGAGAATTTATTGCTATCCGATGTGCCATAGAAGAAATAATAGAGTAAGACTTTCAGGCTTAAAAGAAGGGACACTTACAGTGTAATCTGAATACACTTAAATAATAAGATTATTATTGAATAATTAGATTATTATTACTAAAAACTATGTTTTATTTGTAACTCATCTCCTGATTTAAAAATAACTGTGTAAAGTGATATTTACAAAACTGACTTAATGTACTTATAACATATAACTATGTAATTTGTTTGACTATTCTAGTACAAGGAGGAAAGAGATGCAAAGCTGTATTTTAGCAAGGTTTTTGTATATTATTTAAATTAACTTGGCATTAATCCAAAGTCTATTGCTTTAAATTAAATGTAATTATAATCCCCAAGACAACTTTAAAGAAAATATTTCAAATGATATAGCAAAATACGTAACAAGCAAATTAAAGTGTTGTGCTGTAAAATACTTAATACAAATAACCAGTAATGAAAGAATACAGGATCAGAAAAGACGTAATATATGTAAAAATGGCAAAATGGCAGGCATACATTCTATATGATCAGTCCATGCATAAATGTAAAAGTACCAAGAGGCAGGTAAAAAAAGAGATTAGTAGTATAAAAAGTAAAAACATGAACAATTTTGAGTCAAAGTAGTAAATAAGTTCAAAGCAAAAAGTTTGGAAAATATATACCATGCAAACAGCACCCACAAGAGAGCTGGAATGGCTATATTAATTTCAGGCAAAATAGACTTTAACAAAAATTGTTACCAGAGACAAAGAATAATGGATTATAATAATAAAAATGTCAATAAATCAATTATAATCATATATGGATTCAGATTACCTTATTTGAGGCCAAGATATCTTGTTTCTAACACTATTATTTGCCCATATCAGAAATGTTTAAAAGCTTTGTCATGAATTTTGGTGCAAAAGATGTTCTAATTATGCATTTATTTGATTTTTCTACAGTTAATAATTATTTTCCATCTGAGGGATGTGCCATAATAAGATCCTAGATTAGTATAAGGAAGATTTTTGTTTTGTTTTGTTTTTTGTTTTTTGGAAAGACAGAGAGGGGTGATTTTAATAAACAAGTTTGGAAAGAAGAACTGCGCGACATGCCAACCATAGATAAAATCTCAGTAATCAATTGTATTAGATTGAATCATATATAATTGCCATTTTTGGATACAAGATATTTAAATATGTACAGTTTCATATGGTTCAATATTAATAAGAAGGAGCTTGTATAGAAATGAATAATATTCCTGGAGAAAATTTGTATATCCCTAGGGATATATAGCCACATCAGTTTGATAATGATTTCTATATCATGTCACACTTAACTCATTGCATTTTAAGTACTTGTTCATGTCTTTTCTCTAACTAGGCCCATGATCCTTTAAGTAATGAGCCAAACCTCACTTATTTTTTAGTCTCAAATACAAAGCATAATAACAACATTACAGATGTTACATGAATAATTAAATGAATACATGAAGATTTCACATTCCCTTTATTTTTGTCATTCTATATTTATAAAATCTTTCCAGCAAGCTCTCCAACATCATCTTACATAATCTTTACTCAAGCTACACTGGCTTTCTTTCCTGTCCTCAAATGCACTAACATATTGCTCACCTCAACATTTCCACAAATGTTCTTTTATTCATTCCTTGATTATTTTTGCCTTGACTAACTTCTATTAATAATTCAAATCATAATTCGTATTTGAATTCTTCTTCCAAAACGCTTCTTCCAAAACACTTATCCTGATTCATTCTTCCAACATTAATAAGGTCGTCCTTCTCATGTGTTCTACATAGCATATATATGTGTTATGTATCATATATATGTGTGTTATGTATCATATATATACTTAAATAGTCCAAGAGAAGGCAATTTATTTTCACTTTATCGATCAAACCATGCAATCATATGTTTCACTGAAGGAAAAACAACCTCCTTAATATATTTTTATATTTTCTTAATATAACTGTATTTCATGGATGTACTGATATATATGCATATATATATATATCTTACAGTGATTTAGAAACAAGGTAGGAACATTAATAAAGTTATAACTTGCAAAGAATTTATTTTAAATATATACATACTTATACATACAAACAAGTGATAGTTTAGAAGTTTAATATTAACTTAATACTAAGTAATATGAAGTAATAGCCATGTATTATTGATTCTTCTTTAGCATTTAATGTGCATTAACATTTTATAAATAGCAATGTCTCACTACATCTTCTAGTAGATGTCATTTGTCCATTAATTTGAACCACTGAGAAAAGAGAATTTATATGTCAAGGTTATAAGATGGTAAAATATGGCATTTAATTATCTTATAGTTGAATAGAGAAGTTAAGAAAGAGCATGATATGGAACTAATGGACCAGCAAGAATGCAAAGTACCTTTCAGCACTGAAGTAATCGGGCAGAACAGTGGAAGAGACCACAATAAATGATTACTTCATTAATTTTAAAATTAAAGGGCAAGATAAGGCGGCCACTATCATGGAGTTATTAAGGTAAAACAAGCTAATCAGCACATTTCAAGTGTAAAGTTGTCAGCTAATCATGCAATGAGTACCAATTTCTGAATAGTACAAGAGAAAGCAATTTATTCTCACTTTATCAATCAAACCAGGCAATCATACGTGTTTCACTGGAGAAAAACAAAAACCTCCTTAATTTATTTTTATCTTTTCTTAATATGATTTATCTATCATGCATTGGTAGGCAAACTATCAGAAGACAGTAATTTTTTATTTCATTCTCAAAAGCATTAGAAAAATGACTTTTTTTTCAAAATAACATTAAACATGAAAACCTTTCACACTTAGTCACACTGACATAGTGATTGTTGTCATGAACCATCAACTCGTTTATATCCTTAACCTCTTTTTACCAAAAAGTTTTACTGGTAGAAATATTTAAAAATAATTTTATACAACACTGTATTAACATAGTCTATATGTAGAATGCTAAATCTGGAAATGAGAGAAAAATAATCAGGATAAAGAAATCATTTTTTCCCAAAATCAGGGCTCAAAAATTTAGCCCCTAAAACAGAGCTAGAAAATTTTTTGACAACAAATATCTTAAATTAAGTGGCAAATAAGGAAAACAGCTCAGAAAAGGTAAAGGCTCTAGGATTACATTGAAGGCCTATATTTGTGTTCAGTTTACCTAAATAGCAAGGGGAAAAAACAACATTTAATTAATGCTAATGACCATGTCTGTGAAATGCTTGTGTATAAAAGCAAAATTGATAGGTAGATTGATAAATAGGTTAATAGGTAGAGATCATTCTGATACTGAGGATGATAAGATATCAAGGGCTAGATGTTCTCTCTCACCATAAAAAAACTGAAAACCTGGGCAGAGATACAAAACAACATTTTTCAAACATTGAATAAAAGATATCACAGAATTGTGATCTCTGAGAAAAGAGAAATGAATAAAATGAGCCATACAATTGCTCTAGCTTTCTCCCTGAATTCAATTTCTTGAATATGTGAGAAGAGAGGGGATAACCAAATAAGGCATAGTGTTCATGATGAATCAAGTAGACTAAGGCAGATAGAAATTATGTGACTGTGTTAGAAGGGAGGCAGTATGCAATAAAAGAACTCTAGGAGACCCCTTAAAGCTTTGTTAATTACTAAGAAGTATATCCACAGGGTGAAACTCTATGAGTCTGAACAGGAGGAATCAGAGAGGTGGGAGCTGAATTTATCCCAGTGCAATAGTAGGGCTGGGAACTGTTTGAATTTCAATCATTTAGGGTAGAGAGTACTCAATGATTACTTGGGGTATTCAACAGAAACCTCAGAAAGGCCACACTTAATATTTGGCTCAACTATACTTACATTAAAAGACACCTTAACAGAGCTTAAAAGTAAGTCTCCAAGGATAAAATTGAACCAAAATAAATTAACTGCTTGCCAAAACAAGCTTCAGTTCTCTTTAAAAGAAGATAACAAAACCCAGACACAAAAATATAAAATTTAAAATATCCAAGATCCAGAAAGCAATAAAGTATAATGCATATACAGAAGACAATCAGTCAACAGAAAGAAGACAATCAGAAATAACAGCCAGAGGTATTAAACAGCTTTTATAACATGCACCATTATTTTTTTAAATGAATGTAATTTGCAGAGAAATGGAAATATAAAATAGAGCCTGAAAGAACTTCTACAGATGAGAAATACAACATCTAAAAGGCAAAATTAGCTAAACAGAAATATATTTTATCTATTACTTATATAAAATAACAGATCAGTAAACTTGAACACAGCAGAAGAAATTAACTGAGGGAAGACACAAAGAGGAAAGCACTGGGGAAAATAGCGTCTTAGTGACTGTATTAGTCCATTTTCATGCTGCTAATAAAGGCATACCTGAGACTGGGTAATTTACACAGTAAAAATGATTTAATGGGTTTACAGTTTCACATGGCTGAGGAGGCCTCACAATCATGGCAGAAGGCAAGGAGAAAGTCACGTCTTACATGGATGGCAGCAGGCAAAGAGAGAGCTTGTGCAGGAAAACACCCCCGTATAGAACCATCAGATCTTGTAAGACTGATTGACTATCATGAGAACAGAATGGGAAAGACCTGCCACATGATTCAGTTACCTCCTACTGGGTCCCTCCCACAACATGTGGGAATTCAAGATGAGATTTGGGTTGGACACAGTCAAACCATGTCATTGACTTATAAACACCTAGTATCTAGTGGTCTAATATACATGTATCTGAACTCCAGAAAACAGTGGAGGGTAGTGGTGGAGGGTAAACCAAAAACATATTTGAAAGAAATCTTTGTTGAAAATTTCTAAATTTAAAGAAACTATAAGCCCATGCATTCAAAGTTATAAATTCTAATAAGAGTAATAAATAACAAAACCATACCAATGCACATTGTAGTTAAAAATCCTAAAAAACAGAAGTAAAGAGAAAAAGTTTAAAATAGCTGGAGATAAATGACACATAAAATAAAAAAAGAGCACATTCATTCACAGACTTCTCATCAGAAACCTACAGCTCTATACCAAAACCAATACCTTTCATAAATAATGGCAAATAAAAGTTGTTGTTTAGATTTTGGGAATACAAGTGCAGACTTTTAACATGTATACATTGTGTAGTGGTGAATCCTGGGCTTTTAGTGTACCTATCACCTTAAAAATATTTTCTTATAAAAATATCAAAGAATTTCTTGCCAGCATATCACCAGCACAGGAAATGTTTAAAAGAAGTTTTTAAGAAGACAAAATACCAGATGGAAACGTAGATATAGTGTTCTGGAAGTAAATATTTTTCCAAAAATGTGTAATTATTTAAAGCCAACATATTAACAATGTGTTATAGAATTCAAAGCACCTGTTTGTGTGTGTATATATATATATATACACACACATATATATACTATATAGAAATAATAGCACAAAAAAGCAAGGGGAAATGGCAGGGTCCAAGTGTAAAGTTCTTATATTGTATTTGAAGTGGTATGAAAGTATTTGAATGTAGAATGCAGTAAGTAAAAGATAAAATGTGCCTTTCTTAGGTCAATCACTAATCAATCAATCAATCATGATGTATACTAAAAACAGTGAAAATAATTTGAAATTTTATAAAATAAATAATTTATTCAAAATAAGGCAGGAGAGCAGAAAAGAGAAACAATGAACAGATGGAGCCTATAAAAATCACATAAATTGATAGATTTAAACCCAAACATGCTGATAACAATATTATATCTAACAGTCTAAACACTGCAATTAAGCTACAGAGTTTTCTCATAGAATAAAACAATAAAACCCAAATACGTGCTGTCTGTAAGAAATCAATTTAAAATACAAATATGCAGATGGGTTAAAAGTAAAGGAATGAGGAAAAAAGAGACCATGCAAACACTAATGATAAAGTTTAAGTGGCTGTGTAATTATCAGTGTAAACTATAAAAAGAAATATTGCTAATGATAGTGAAAAGTATATTGTACAAAGATTAAGTATTCAATGCAACAAGGCAAATAGTATAACAATCCTAAGTGTGTTTATACCCGGTAAAGTACTTCAAAATACATGACAGAAAAACTGACAAAACCAAGAAAAAGTAGACAAATTTGTCATTACTATTGGAAATTGCAACACTCTTCACTCATAATTTATAAACCTCAGTAGAATACATATTTTTTTCAAGTACACTTGGGGTGTTTACCAGGGCAGATTATGTGCCAAGCCTTGAACAAATCTGAACAAACTCAAAAATAGATTAACTTACACAGTGTATTTTCTGAGCACAATAGGAGTGAATTAGAAACCAATATCTCTTTCCAGTGTATATATACACATATATATACATATATATATTTTAAGAGACACAAATACTTTTAAATTAAATACCACATGACTAACTGAGCTATGCACCACAGAATACATTATGAAGTAAATTATACGACACTTTGAACTGAATGACAATGGAAGCTCTACATGTAAAATTTGTGGGATGAAACTAAAGCAGTACTTAGAGGGAAAACTATTGCTTTATATACTACATTAGAAAAGAAGAAAGATCTAAAACCACTGATCTAAGCTTTCACCTTAATAACTAGAAATCAGAAGGAGGAAATTAAATCCATAGTCGATAGAAGGAAAGAAATAACATCGAAATGATAAAAAATATAAGTGATTAAAATAATCTATAACATTGAAAGTGAATTTTTTAAAGGATAATTACATTGATAATAACTCTATACAAAGTGACCAATATAAAAAAATGAAAGATTAGATGGAAGTATTTTACAGATATTTAAATATAATGATAAACTATTATGAGCAATTTTTTTGTTAATAATTTTAAAAATCAATCATTGCCTTGTGGCTGCAGTGAAATATGAGGGGATTACTTGAATGGACCCCAAGAGAATCAATTGTGATAATAGACATGTTTGATATATTTAAATTGTGCTGATGGTTATATGCATGTATCATATGTCAGAAGATATCAATCTGCACAATTAAAATAAGCCCATTTCATGATTTGTAAATTGTCATTTAATAAACAAGGAAACTACAAATATTGAAAGACTATTGTGTTAAAAGTTCAAATAGCATTAAAGGTTACTATTGATATGTGATATTTTGATGCTGTCATGGTGTTGTTAGCTGGTTGTTTTGTAGACATGATTGTGTAATTGCTTTATAGTGTTTGTGGGTTATATACATAAGTGTATTTTTGTGGTAGCAGGTATCTTTTGTTTCCAAGTTTAGCGCTTCCTTAAGAATCTCTTCTAAGGTTGGTCTAGTGGTAATGATTCCTTCAGTGTTGCTTGTCTGAAAAGTATTTTATTTCTATTTTAATTTTGAAGCTTAGTTTAGTGGAATATGAAATTCTTGGTTGGAATTTCTTTATTGAAGGATGCTGAAAATAGGCCCCCAAATTATTCTGGCTTGGAAGGTTTCTGCTGAAAGGTCTGCTGTTAGCCTGATAAAATTCCCTTTGTAATTGACTTGATCCTTCTTTCTAGCTACCTTTAAGACTTTTTTCCACATTGACTTTAGTGAATTTGATGACTATATGCCTTGGGGATGTTTATCTTACAAACTATCTCACAAGAGTTGTATATTCCTTCTACAAGGCTACAGTAACCAAAACAACATGGCACTGGTACAAAAACAGACGTATATACCAATGGAACAGAATAGAGATCACAGAAATAAAGCCATACATTTACAGTCATCTGATTTTTAACAAAGTTGACAAAAATAAGGAATGGGGAAAGGACTCCCTATTCAATAAATGGTGCTGTGTTAACTGTCTATCCAAATGCAGATTAATAAAACTAAACCCCTACATATTACCACATACAAAAATTAACTCAAGATGGATTGAAGACTTAAATGTAAGGCCACAACCTATAAAAAAATCCTAGGAAACATTCTTCTCGATATCAGCCTTGACAAAGAATTTATAGTTAAGTCCTCAAAAGGAATTGCAACAAAAACAAAAATTGATAAGTGGAACCTAATTAAACTAAAGAGCTTCTGTACTGCAAGAGAGACTATCAGTTAAGCAAATAGGCAACCTACAGAATGGGATAAAATATTGGCAGACTATGCATCTGACAAAGGTCTACAATCCAGAATCTACAAGAAACTTAAATTTATAAGCAAAAAATCAACTCCTTTAAATAATGGACAAAAAACATGAACAGACACTTCTCAAAAGAAGACATGAAAGCAGCCAACAAACACGTGAAAAAATGCTCAACATCACTAATCATCGGAGAAATGCAAATCAAAACCACAATAAGATACCAAATCACACCAGTCAGAATGGCTTTAGTTAAAAAGTCAAAACTTAACAGATGTTGGTGAGGCTGTGGAGAAAAGCAGATGCTTAAACACTGTTAGTGGGAATGTAAATTAGTCTAGCCACTGTGGAAAGCAGATTGGAAATTTCTCAAAGAACTTAAAACAGAACTACCATTCAACCCAACCATCCCATTACTGGGTATATACCCAAAGAAGTACAAATCTTTCTTCCAAAAGAACACATGCACCTGTATGTTCATCGCAGCACTATTTAAATAGCGAAAACGTGGAATCAACTCAGGTGCCCTTCAACAATGGATTGAATTTAAAAAAAATGTGATACTTATACATCGTGGAATACTATGAAGCTATAAAAAGAATTAAATCCTGTCTTTTACAGCAACATGAATGCCGCTGGAGACCATTATCTTAAGCAAACTAACACAGTAATAGAAAATTGAATACAACATGTTCTCGCTTACAAGTGGGACATAAACACTGGGTAAACATGAACAAAAAATGGCAACAATAGACACTAGAGGCTACTAGAGGGGAGAAGGAAGGATGGGGGCAAAGGCTGAAAAGCTAACTATTGGATAGTATGCTCACTACCTGGGTGACAGGTTCAGTCACACCCCAAACTTCAGCATTACACAATATACCTTTGTAGCAAACCTGCACGTGTATCACTTAATTCTAAAATAAAAGTTGAAAAAGAAAAAAAAATCAAATAACAAGGAGAATTTGGGTGGGAGAAGAAAAAGTAGTAGAACTCTGGGAGTGTTTGAAAAGAGAAAAGTATTAATAGAATTTGGTGGATTAATGACAAGATGAGGGCAGGGGACAATTAACCTCTCTTTATCATTTACTTTATTACTTAATGAGAGAATAAAAGTAAGACACTCTATCAATAGGAGTACCTTGTTTTTGTGCACTTTGCTTTATGACACTTTGCAAATATTATGTTATTTTCCAGTTGAAGGTTTGTGGCAACCCTGCCTCAAGCAAGTCTGTCAGTACCCTTTCTCCAACAGCTTCTTCTCACTTCATGTCATATTTTGGCCATTCTTGCAATATGTTAAACTTTTAATTATTATTACTAATATATTTCTTATGGTGATTTATGATCAGTGATCTGTGATGTTATTATTGTAATTATTTGAGGGCACCTCAAACTGTACTCATAAAAGATGGGCAACTTAATCCACGAATGTTGTCTGTATTTGGACATCTCCACAGATCAACTGTGCCCTTGTCTCATTCCTTTTCCTTGGCCTTCCTATTCCCTGAGACAAAACAGTATTAAAATTAGGCCAGTTAATAACCATACAATGACTTCTAAGTCTTCAAGTAAAAAGTGGAGTCGCATGTCTCTCACTTTAAAATCAAAACCTAGAAATGATTAAGCTTAGTAAGGAAGATGTATCAATTGCCAAGACAGGTTTAAAGTTAGGCCTCTTGTGCCAAACAGCCATTTATGAATGCAAAGGAAAAGACCTTGAAAAAAAAATTACAAGTGTTATTCCAGTGAATATACAGATTTTAATAAAGTGAAACAGCCTTATAGCTGATGTGGGGAAAGTTGCAGTGATCTGGATGGAAGATAAAACCAGCCTTAAGCCAAAGCCTAACTCAGAGCAAAGCCCTAACTCTTCAATTCTATGATGGCTGAGAGAGCTAAGAAATCTACAGAAGAAAATTTTGATTATTATTTGTATTTTAAATATAGAGGCAGGGTCTCACTGTTTTGCCCAGGCTGGTCTCGAACTCCTGGGCTCAAGTGATCCTCTCCTCTTGGTCTCCCAAAGTGCTGGGATTACAGGCATGAGCTATCCCACCTGGCCTACATATCTTTAAATACACAAATACCATTGTGTTAAAAAAAAAAAAAAAAGAAAATTTTGAAGCTAGCGAAGGGTGATTCATGAGATTTAAGGAAATCTCGTCTTCGTAACAAAAGTGCAAGGTGAAGCAGCAAGTGTTGATGGAGAAGTTGCAGCAAGTTATCAAGAATTTCTAGCCAAAATCATTGATGATGGTGGCTACACTAAACAACAGATTTTTAATATATATAAAATATCCTTATATTGGAAGAAGATGCCATCCAAGACTTTCATGTAGCTAGAGAAGAGAGGTAAATGCCAGGCTTCAAAGCTTCAAAGGACAAGCTGACTTTCATGTTAGGAGCTGATGTAGCTGGTGACCTTAAGTTGAAGCCAATGTTCATTTATCATTCTGAAAATTCCGCGACCCTTAAGAGTTAAGGTAAATCTATTCTGTCTTAGCTCTATGAAAGGAATAACAGAACGTGGATGACAGGACATCTGTTTATAGCATGATGTATTCAATATTTGAAGCCCACTGTTGTGACTTACTGCTCAAAAAACAACAACAAAAAGATTCCTTTAAAAAGGTTGACAATGCACCTGGTCACCCAAGAGCTCTGATAGAGGTACAAGGGGGTTAAAGATTTTTATGCCTTCTAACACAACATCTATTCCTCAGTCCTTGGAGCAAGAATTAATTTCAACTTTTAAATCTTGGTATTTGAAAAATACATTTTGTAAGGCTAAAGCTGCTATAGATAGTGATTCCTCTGATTAATCTGGGCAAAATAGGTTGAAAACCTTTTGGTAAGTATTCATAATTCCAGATTCCATTAAGAACATTCTGCGATTCATGGGGGAATGTCAAAATATCAGCATTAAAAGAAGGTGTTGATTCCAATCCTCATGAATTCAAGACTTCAGTGCGGGAGGGAACTGCAGATTTGGTAGAAAGAGCAAGAGAATTAGATTTAGAAGTGGAGCCTAAAGATATGATTGAGTTACTGCAATTTCATGATAAAACTTTAACGGGCGAAAAATTGCTTTGTATTGATGAACAGAGAAAGTGGATTCTTGAGATGGAATTTACTTCCTGGGGAAGATGCCGTGAACATTGTTGAAATAACAACAAAAAATTAGACTATTACATTGTCTTAGTTCATAAAAAACAGCAGCAAGGTTTTAGTAGATTGACTCCAATTTTGAAAGAAGTTCTTTTGGGAAAATACTATCACAGTATCACATACTATAGAAATCTTTCATAAAAGGAAATGTTCATAGATGCAGCAAACTGTATTGTTGTTTTGTTTTAAGAAATTGCCGCAGCCACCCCAGCATTCAGCATGACTACAGTGATAAGTCAGCATCCATCAACACTGAGACAAGACCCTTCACCAGCAAAAGGATGAAGACCTGCTAGAGGATCAGATAATAGCATTTTCATCAATAAACTATTTTTAAATTTAAGTATGTACATGTTTTAGACATAATGCAATTGTACACAATATGCTATGGTATAGTATAAACATAACTTTTATACGTACTGGGTAACAAAATTGTGTGACTCACTTTATATTATATTCACTTTATTGCAGTCTGGAAGCAAACTTGAAATATCTCTGAGGTATGCCTGTATTTATTTATTTGGAAAGAGTTACAATACAAAGGGGGAGCTCTTATTAATTGAGCAAGCTAAGCCTTGTGAATAAATAAATCAGATGAACTAATGGATGAATTATATAAGTATTTATGTGCAAGACATTATCTGAGCACTGTAGGGAATTTGAAAAAAATCTGTCAAAAATAATCCTACTTTAAAGCACTTTTTATTAATAGGTGAAATCTGCATAAATAATGGCAAAAATAAAGTGTTTAGTTCTATATAGAGTATAGTTTTAAAGCAAATGTGAAGAAACAAATAGGAAGGAACTAGTTTTCCCTGAACAGAACTGTGAAGAGTTTATACAGCAGGTAGTACTTGAACTGGTCTGGGAACAATAGCATAATGTGACAAGGAGCATATTTGCTGTCCTGAGTACTAATGCCCCACATCCTAATATAGTATCTTCAGAGTTCAGAAGAAAAAAATATTTTGTAGTTCTCTCATTGTCCTAATCACATTAAAATATGAAATAAATACTTATAACTGACTGTGCATATGGTAAAATAGGATACAATTACAATTTTCTGTAAATATTTAAATATCATTTTTTAACTTGAATGTTTTTCATTTAGATTGCTACTAGTATAGAATATCAAAATTAAATTCTGAGAAAATTCAAATTGACTGTTAAGAAGTTTACTTAGAACACACTAGACATTTGCTTTGCAATTTGTATTTGTGAATATCCTGGGTGTGGAAAATAAAATTCTGAAATTTTGATACAAACAATCTCACCCCTTGAAGATTATACTTGAATTCTGAAAAGCGAGTGAAAGACAGGAGAATGAAGATTTAGGTGATCAGATGAGAAGAAACAACAAGAAGGGGAGTACTGAGAAAGAAAAGATTAGAATGAACACATAATTTTCTGTAGTTGGTCTTAGATACTTTTTGGGGGAAAGAGAGAAGATGGGAAATAGGGTTGTGCAGTGTGTTGTCATCTGCTTCGTAAGAAATTTGGATGGCAGATTTGGCAGTCTGAACTTTACCCTTCCCATAATAAGGAGCTATTAAAGTTTGTGTTTGTTTTGCTTTATTTTAGAACTAGGACAAGCCATAATCAGGAAAACTATGTGATTCAGAGAAACTAACCAGTTTAAGTAGGTGACATTCAGGCTGGGCACGGTGGCTCACGCCTGTAATCCCAGCACTTTGGGAGGCCGAGGCAGGCAGATCATGAGGTCAGGAGATCAAGACCTCCTGGCTAACACAGTGAAACCACGTCTCTATTAAAAACACAAAAAATTAGCCAGGCGTGATGGCGGGCGCCTGTAGTCCCAGCTACTCGGGAGGCTGAGGCAGGAGAATGGCGTGAACCCGGGAGGCGGAGCTTGCAGTGAGCCGAGATCGTGCCACTGCACTCCAGCCTGGGTGACAGCGAGACTCTGCCTCAAAAAAAAAAAAAAAAAGGCATTCATTTCAAGAAAGTTTGTTATCACTTTCTTTATTATTCCTTTCATTTCCTTATCCTCAACAGTCCTAAGGAGAACAAATTTCGTTGTTTTCTCATTTTTTCTTCACGTACGGGATACTTTCAGGGTGAAATCCTGGACATGTGATTCTGAAGTTAAAGCGTAAATGCAAATACATAAGTACTTCTGTTAGATATTACCAAATTCCCCACCATGTTGGAATGAATTTTTTTTTAATTCCCACCAGCAATACCCAGGGATCACTTCGTCCCCACATTCTCACCTACAAAATGGATTTGTTGAGCGTAGAATTTTTGTTAAGTTTAGTGATAAAAACTTAACTACTTTTCTTTTGTAATTAAGAGTGTAGCTTAATATATTTTCATATGGAGAAGTTATTTTGCATTTTCATTTATGAGTCATCTTCTGTTCGTTTTTCCAGAGGTTTTCATTTTTTTCTTTTAATTAAATAACCATTTATGTATAAATAATAAACAAAGGAGGTTAGCCCTTTGTATGTAATATATGTTGCAAATATTTCTGAATTTGTACACCTTCAGATCTTGTTCAGTATTTTCCTGGGTATTATTGTTTGTATATTTTGCCATATTAACTCTAGTATCATATTTTCTAGCTCCAGAAAAACCTGAGAGTTAAACGAGGGAATATTAAATTTACAAATTAACACAAGAAAACTAACATCTTGATGTAGTGGCAGTCTAATAATAACAAGGGCATATTTTACTTTTGGTCCAAGTATATTTGTATATATTTTATAAGTGTCATAATTTTTCTCAGTTTTAAGTATTTCTTAAATTTAATCCAAGATGTTTTCTTTTTTAGTATTATGAATGAGATTTGATCTGCCATTAATTCTTCTAATAATCTATATTTATATATATGAAGGTTCCTGAATTTTGCCTGTAAATTTGTATCCCAATAAGTGGTTGAATACTTTTAATACCCGAATCTTTTTTTCAATGATTATTGTTTTATTTTAAATTCCTGCTATAAAAAAATTACCACAAGCATTGTAGCTTTAAAAAATGTACATTTCTTTGTCCACAGTTCTGTAATGTCAGATGTCAGATATTTAGGCATGGCTAGCCTCCCTATTCAGGGTCTCAGCAGCTGAAATCAAGATGCTAAAAGAGCTACTCTGATCTGAGGTTCAGTTTCTTCATCCTTGATTATTCAGGTTGTTGGCAGAACCCAGTCCCTTGTGGTTGTACAACCGAGATCTCCTTCTACTGGCTAGCTTTTAACTAGGTGCTTCTTTCATCATTTACAGGATACTCATGTGCATTCTCACGTGGCTGTCTCCAGGTGAGAAATTCTCATGTGGCTGTCTCCAGGCGAGGAATTCTCACATGTCAAATCTCCCTCATGCTTCAGATCTCTGACTTTCTTTGCTTCTAATCTCCAGACACAGAGTTAGAGGCCTCATATGATTAGACCAATCCCATTCAGATAATCTTCTTACTTTAAGGTCAACTGATTTGGTACCTTAATTAAATCTGCATAATCCTTTCCAGCAGTACTTGGTGTTTAATTGAATAACTGGGAGAAGTTGTGTGTACAGCAGAGGTCAGGAATCTTGGTGGCTGTAGTGGATTGGATAATGGCCCCCAAAATATATGTTCTGCAATTTCAGAATGGGACCTTATTTGGAATAAATATCTTCATCCACCAGAAGCCAGGAATGAGTCATGGACCCAGTGCTGCTTCAGGGCCTGACGATGTTACCTACAAACACCTTAAGCTTGTACTTCTAGCCTCCAGAACTTTGAGGGAATATATTTATTTGGTTTTAGACCACCAGGTTTATGGTAATTTGTAATAGCAGTCTTAGGAAATGAATACAGGGGGCATTTTAGGATTCCGTGTATCACAGTTTCTACAATTTTCTAGGCTGGGAGACAATTCTCCGTGGATCTGTTGCATTTTTGCATATCCTGCAAAGCAAGGCATTGTCTTTTTTTTTTTTTTTTTCTGAGCTGTATCTGCAGCATAAAACAGACGTAGTTACTGCTTCTTAGGAAATATTTGGCTCTCCAAGCTCAAGGATCCTCTCTGTAAAACAGCTTTCTGTGTATGCAGACTTTCATCTGGGCTCAGTTGCATCACTGCTGTGGGTTTTGTGGACAAGAAAGATTGGTGCAAATAGTCTGACAATCATGATGCTTGCTGTGTCACGAGTTAATAAAGTTCTTTGTCTCTAACCCAGGAGTCTCGTGTTTCCTATCAGTTTCCATAAAACTGTGGCAAGCTCACTTGTTAGTTTGCAAGTAGTGGTAAAATCTGAGACCCTTTCTGGTTTCTAAAAGTATATGCTATCATATCATCTGCAAAGAGAGATAGTTTTATTGTTTATGTTCAGTCTGTATTACTCTTTTATCTAATTGTTACTAACACCTAAAATGCAATGTTAAATATCAGTGAAGACAGCGAGCATCTTTGCTTTATTCATTATCGGAGTGTAAAAGCTTTCAATGTATTCCTATTAAGTATGATGCTGACTTTAGGAAATAGACACACACAAACATACACACACACACACACACACACACACACACACATGATCATCCTAAGGAAGTATCCATTTATTCCTATTTAATCAATGAATTGTATTCATCTTGATCAAAGTTTTCTTCTGCGTCTATTGAGATAATCATGTGATATTTCTCCTTGCTCCTATTGAAATGGTGATTTACATTAATTGATTTCCAAGACTTGAGTCATTCTTGCATTATTGGTATGAACCCACTTAGTCTTAGTATATTATTTTTTAACTAGCATTTAAGTCTGTTTATTAATGCTTTATTCAAAATATATGCTTTAATATTAATAAGTCATATTAGTTTGTAATACCTTTTTGTGCTATCATACAACATATCCAATTAGTTACAAAACAATCATTTCATTCCTCAGGAATAGCCTAAAACAATTTATGTCACATGGGGATTATGGGGATAATGTACTTTCTTTTTTTTTTTTCTTTTTTTTTTTTTTTGAGACAGAGTCTGGCTCTGTCACCCAGGCTGGAGTGCAGTGGCGCGATCTCGGCTCACTGCAAGCTCCGCCTCGCGGGTTCAAGCCATTCTCCTGCCTCAGCCTCCTGAGTAACTGGGACTACAGGTGCCCTCCACCAAGCCCGCCTAATTTTTGTATTTTTAGTAGAGACTGGGTTTCACCCTGTTAGCCAGGCCTGTCTTGATCTCCTGACCTCATGATCCGCCTGCCTTGGCCTCCCAAAGTGCTGGGATTACAGGCTTGAGCCACTGGGCCCGGCCTGTACTTTCTAAGATTTAATAGAACTCCCTGTGAAACTCTTTGGACTTGGTTCTTTTTGGAGAGAGTTTAAATAATTTTCTGTACATATTCCATGAAAATTGGATGTATTTAAGCTAAGCTTTCTGTTTCTATTGAGCTTAGTTTTAATAAATTCCATTTTTAGGAGCTTTATCTATTTCATCTACTTTTCTAATTTATTTGCATAGAAAAGTTCAAACTAGTGTGATTTTAAACATTGTTTGTCACTGGTTATTACCCTTTTTCTTATATTTGTATACTTGTGTTTTCTCATTTTTTTTTCTGATTCCAATAACTAAAGCTTGTCCACTTTCTTAAACTTTTTAAGAACCATGTTATTGATTTATTGATTTTTTTCTATTGATTTCCTGTCTAATCTTTTTCTCACTGTCTTTTGCTTTATTATCTTCTTCCTTGCGCTTCAGTTTGTTGATAATTTTCTACATTTTTGGGTTGAAAATTTATATTAATATGACTTATTTATTAGCCTTTTTTTTTTTTTTTTTTTTTGAGACAAAGTCTCGCTCTGTGGCCCAGGCTGGAGTGCAGTGGTAGGATTTTGGCTTGCTGCAACCTCCGCTTCCCGGGTTCAAGCACGTCTCCTGCCTCAGCCTCCTGAATAGCTGGGATTATAGGCGCATGCCAACATGCCTGGCTTATTTTTGTATTTGTAGTAGAGACAGGGTTTTGCCATGTTGGCCAGGATGATCTTGAACTCCTGATCTCAGGTGACCCACTCGTCTTAGCCTCCCAAAGTGCTGGGACTGCAAGCATGAGCCACCGTGTCCGACTTTGTTATTCTTATCACATAGGAGTTTAAGGTAATGGGTTTTTTTTTCTCTGTCCACATTGTTAAATGTATCTCATAGATTCTTATATGCAGTGTTCATATATTCATAATTTAAAAAAAACTCCAATTTCTGTGTGTTCTTCCATTAAGCAAAGTAATGTATAATACAATTTTTGTTTTTTCTCTTCATTTCCAGATGGTAATTATGTTTAAAATTTTTTGATGTATAATTTTTTTGTTTTGCTGTCATAATTTTTTGCTGTAAACTTTCTACCTTAGATAACTTAATGATATTTTCTTTGTGTCCTCATATATAATCACTTTTAATGAATGTTCCGTTAGTCCTTGATAAAAGTTATATTTTATATTATTGGGATATAGTGTTCAATTAAAGACTATAAGAATTGCATGATTCTTTATGCTGCTTAGATCTTACATAATGTTTTGTAGTTTTGTACACCTCATTCATTTTTTACTGGTAGACTGAGCATTCGTACTGTATGGTACTGACTTGTAAATATCTACTATTTTTAAGCGTGTTTACTTCTTGCATCTTCTTTATCTTGCTTTGTATATGTGACTGCTCTGTTATTTGCAACATAGATATTACAATCTATTATATTTTATTTTAAATTATTAAGCATTATATAATTTTATTTGTATTAGGTGATGTATATTGGCCCAAATTCTATCTATTATCAGTATCACAGCTATGTTTTCTTATTATTTTCTATTTGCCTGATATAACTTTGTCAAACCATTTATTTTGTGTTAAATTCCTGCCTTAGTTGCTCCTTGTATGTAACATAAAGTTGGATATTATTCAGCCAATTTGTGATTTTAAAAAGTGTAATAGTTAATTCTATTCATGTATACTGATATCACGAGTAGGCTTCTTCTCAACATTTTAATGCTCTTTTATAATTACTATGTGTGTTATGCTGTGTTTACTAGGTTTCTCTATTTGGTATGTTTTGCTTATTGTTAACTTCTTTTGGAGTTTAGAAAGATTTGTATTTTTTGTTCTAATATTACCTTTTCATTCATGCTCTTTATGGAGCTCATTTAAATATTTACTCTCTGGTTTGTCAGTTTTAAGTGCTAAACTTTGACTCTGCTACCAGTTATTTCTACTATAGACAATTGACTGATTTTACTTTCCTCATATCTTCGTTTTCTTCCAGTTTTTGTTTCGTCTATTGTACTTTGTCAGAACATGTAACATCTCCAGTTACTTTTCCATCAGGTATTAATTCTTATTTTGACTTTATGTATACAATTAACCATAATAAACACTTATCAGAAGTCTTTTGCCCAAAATTTCTAAGGTTATGTGCTATTTATATGAAGCTCAACCTCTAGTAGATTCCTTGGGGGGTTCACGTTATAGTTTTTTCTAAAATTTTATATATTAAAAACTGTTTTCCTATAGGTATGATACTTGAAGGCCAGCTTGGTTGGATGTACAGTTTTTTTTTTGTTGTTTTTTTTTTTTCCCCTGCATTTTTTCACTTGACTTTCCTGAACATGCTGTTCTACTTTTGTCTTCCTCTGTATGTTGCTCTTGAAAAAAATCTAAGACTAACCTAATTTTCTCACTTTTATATGTAATATTATAATGTTTTTGTGAAGCCATGTTAAATTTTTCTTTTTCTTATACTTTAACGGCTTTGTTGTGACATGTCTTGAAGTTGAACTTTTAGACCAGTATTCCAGGGAAATATATATATACACACACACACACATATATAATATATATACACACATTTCTATATATACATGTATGTTTTATATGTATGTGTATATATACACATACATACATATATATACGTATTTCCCTGGAATACATAATATTTATATATATAATCATCTTTATACATATATATACACATGTATATATGTATACACACAATTATATAAAAGATTATTCATATAATTTCTTATTTCTGGCCTATTCTCTTGGAATAACATTTATTTGTTAGTTATGCACATTGTTGTTTATTTTACTTCTTCAATTATTATAGTAAACTTCTTTTTCTGTCTGGCTTTCCCACCACCTTGCCTTTTTTTTTACTTTTATCTTTATTTCAGTTTTATTTTATATATTATTTTCTTACAATTCTTTAATGCTTGCTACTAGATGTTCATTTAAGTTTGTTATTCTATTCTGCCTTCGGAAGTTTATAATTTATTCTTTATTTCTTATATGGTTTGGTATTTTAAGTTTCTTTTCTCTGTTTGGTTGAGATTCTTCCTGATTTTTTTTTTGTCTTTTTCCCCTATGTGTTTGAATTTATTATCTTATTTTTATATCTCCAAATGTTTGTCTGAATATATTTCATTCACTTTTGAGTGTTTAGTGAAACTCAGTTTTCTTTTGATTCTTGTTTTTGTGTGTGTGTGGGTGGAGGGAAGCTTCATAAGCTAAAAGATTTTTATTTGAATTTTACAGACTGTCTTATTCAATAAATTTGAATGATTTTAATTTTTTTTCCTACTTCTAGACGTTTGTAGACACTGGTTGTAGTTCAAGTGCACCCTCTTCTGACAGTATAGTGAAGTACATAATAAAATATAATCATTTGATTGATTTGTGAGTGATGTGGGATATCTATATCTTGTTTGTTTCATCTCCGTAAGCGTTTTAATTTTCCGTTACCTTGTTCTTCCTCTTCATTGCCACATATGAATGGGGTATTACCACTTCCCTCTTTAAATGGCTTTCCCTAGTGGCAATATCTCCTTGAGACTCACCGTTTTCCTACATACTCTGAAACGCGCATCTTGTGTTGAGTGTTGTGAAATATCAATTCCTAGAACTATGTCTGTGACAGTTGAACTCTAAGTGTTGACTTGCTGTTCGTAGTAGCAATTTTGTTTATATTCTATCTATATCATCCACCTCCCTCTCCTCTTAAGCTCCCTTTCTTTTGATAGGTGTGAATCTTGCTTGGTAAGAGCTCTGTTGTAGTTTGGTGTTTGTAATATTCTCTGCCTGCAGCCATGTTAAAAAGAAGGTTATGTATGTTTGTCTCCCAGTCACTCTCTCTCTCTTCTCTTTCTCTCTCTCTCTCTCTCTCCTGCTTCATTTATCTCTATTTATTTCTCTTTCTTTCAGAAGATATATGGACAGAGTTTCTGGTTATCCTCCAGACTCACAGGTGTAAAAATATCAGTTTATGATTTTATTTCTAACACCATTATTTATTAATAACTTAAAATAACTAAATGTACTTTAACTAAATATATTTATTTATAACTTATATATACTTAAAATATATTTGAAATATGTTCGTAATTTGCAAACAAATATTCACAATTGTTTATAATTTTATATAGATTTACATTTTTCAAAATGTTTTCTCACAAATTAAATTGTCTCAAAATTACATTTTATTAATAAGAAAATTATAACTAGCCAGTGACTTGGCCAAGTGCCAAAAATAGCAGAGAGAGAGACTTTAATCAAGCCTTTTAATGTTATGCTAAGGTTCTCTGAGTGTGGACACCTAACTGAACAAATAATTTTGTGAGTGAATACTAACATTTAAAATGCAAATTATAGCCTCATTAATAATGGCATCCCCCCTAGTTTACCTTGGTAATGATGCTGTTGTTGACTTTGCCAGATGGCTTAGCAAACCTCTTAAATTCGTTATGTATGTAAACATATATAACAGAAATTTTTTCTTATTAAGGTTTATTGGACAAATGCAAGTGACCTCAAATTCCTCTAGAAATAACATTTTATTACATTTTATTCAGTAACCGTAATATTGAGAAACATAAAATACCTACCATAACTTTGTAAGCCATGAGTTACAATGATTTGCTTAGTTGAAAGAAAAAATTTAATTTGTCTCAAGTTCAAACATGCTTGCCTGCCTGTATTTTTTATTTATTCATTCCAAATATAACATTGAAAAGTGCCATCTCTTGTCGCTTACTAGCCTTTGGGTCTATGTTTTTATGTTTAATTTATCGATGTGTGGCTTCTTTTCCTTTTGCAGATTAAAAATGAATTAAAATAAAATAATGATCTGCTTTTACTGCCAGACAAGATGCTAGATGTCCTGTCTGCCAAATTTACAGTGTATAAGTAGCAGTATGCGTCTAATAAAAAGTTTCACAAAAACTCAAAATATGAAAATGTCAAAATGCTTACTGTTTAATTTAGATCATTAGTTTTTACCATGCCTAATCAAAGAGCACTTCACTTATGTTTCCGTAATGGCCAACAAATGTTTTGACAAGCAGTAAATCCGTGTAGGAAGTATTATCTTTCAAAAATCAAGCATTCAGTGATATAGAGGGACAGTTTCTTGTCAAAACATGGTTCATCATGTAGTTGTCAAAGAGAGTCCAACATTAGTGCCCACTGTTTTGTCTGTGTTGAATGTAATTTTTAATACTGTTAATCTGAGAGTTTTGCCTACTAAAATGATCTTCACTTACATATGAAATCTGTGGCTATGCATGACCTTGATAGAAAAGACAAAATGACCCTTTTGTTATTTATTGGGCACTGGATGAATTCTAAAAAGAATATGGTTCAACTGTTATTTTGATCTTGGCAACTATTTGGACCACTGGTAAATTGGATATGTAAAATAGGACATTATTTCAAACAATTTAGTGATTAAGCACTGCATGCTTAACTATCTGAATTGATGAACCCAAAACTAAGGTTTCTGAACTAAAATGAAAAATCCATGTTTATTGTTTTGTCTCTCTGTTATTTATAAGTGTTATATAATTAGAATGTCTAAGAATTACTCTATTTAGAGATGGGTATACGTTAAAAAGTGAATTTGATCTTCAAACCATACCTCAAACTCAGGCAGGGCCGTGGCAGCAAAGCGTCACTGAGCTGCGGTGATGGAGCCTCATGGGTGTTTTTCCTTCTGAGAACCTTTCTCACTCCTCTGAATTACAACACTTGAAGGTAACACATGATTGTGGACTGGAGATTTAGAATCATTGCTGGTCCTTTGACTGTGAAACCCAAGGAGTCTTCTTCTTCTATGGCCTCAAAGATCTTCCACATTTGAATGAGGTACAGAGCCATGTTCTACAGCAGAGCCAGGTTGGGCCTTTTCTTTGGGCCTCTTTGAGGTCACTATGCAGCAGTTGGAATGACAGACCAAAAACTCCAAATATGATCAAAATTGTAGATCAGGAAATCTTATTAAAAAAAAGAGAGAAGAAAGAAAAAGGTTGAAAATGCAGAAGGAAGAGAAGGCAGCCAGGAACAAGAATAAGAAGCCACAAAGGTGGCTAAGATGAAGATTCTTCCCACTGAGATGCTCTTGACAGAAAGTGACAAATGTGCCAAGCTTGATGACATGGAAGACAAAGAATTGAGCAAAGGAAAAGCCAAGAAGCTGAAGAAGCACAGGAAAAGTTCCACAATGAGTATGTGCAGATGGTTCAAATCTGAAGCTTCAGGGAAAGAGACATGGGATTGACTTTTTAAATTAAGCCACTGGTGGGCTGATGTGTCTCTCTCTGCCCAGTAGTAACGACACCCTGACACTCAGATCATGTTTACAGTTGTCTTTGGGTCCAAAATCAAGAACTGTGTTCATGTAGGTTCATGTCATCATCACCTCTGAGACTAGTTAATAAGTCTATCAATAGCTGGGTGTTCTGGTGTACACCTACAGTCCCAGCTACGAGGGAGGCTAGGGCTGGAGAATCCCTTTAGCCCAGGAGTTTGAGTTCAGCCTGGGGAATATAGAGAGATTATGCTTCAAAAATAAATAAATAAATAATAACAATAAACTCTTCTAAATAGTAAAAAAAGTGAATTTACTTATATTTGTAAATCTAATAACTTACAAGATTAAACTTTTTTTAATAAGAAGACGTGTTTAATTCCCACATATCCAGTTCCTAGAAAAGCTAATGGAAAGGTAACTTAATTTTGATTAGTGATACTTACCAGCAAAATAAAAACTATAGATTTATTTATCATCTACCTCTGGAAATTGGAATGTTGCCTTAGGAAAACATGGCCTTTGCTCTGCTCACTATTGTAGCCTTAGTCCCAAGGACAGTCCCTGGCACATGATGAAAACTCCATAAATATTTGTTGCGTTGAAAAGAATATCTGAAATTCAATACATTTTAGTGAGATAATTAATATAAATTTATGTCATTAATTTAGAACTCTAACATTGCCTTGTGTGACCAAAATAGCTTTTTCAAAGATAGATATTTGTCAAAAAAAGGAAATACTTGGATGCAGACTTGAGAGATGGCTACTGCAATGAACATATTTTAAAACTAACTGTTGAAATAAATAAAATTAATACCAATATACATACTAGTGTATAAACTCACTGAAGCCATAAAGGTGTGGCTTTGTGAGCCTGAAGTCCAGTAAATCAAGAAAAACTTTCAGGAATTAATAATTCAAAAATAAATTCTGAAAAGAAAAGGATGCATAGTAAACTTGAAGGGAGAAAGGTGTTTCTGACATTTGAATTACCAAAATACCATACAGTATTGAATAGGTAAAACAGAGGTGATCTGATTATCATGTGACCAAGTAATAAAAATACATAAACAATTAAAAAAATACTGTAGTTGTTGTATCGAATGCAGAACAGCCCATGAGAACTGTGTGGCAGTTACAAAATAAATAAATTAATTAAATAAATAAATACTAGAAGCAATAGGACTGTACGAAATTAGAATTTACATTAAAGTAGAATTTATTTGTTTGTTTGTTTATTTGTTTATTTATTGAGATGGAGTCTTGCTCTGTCACTCTGGCTGGAGTGCAGTGGCATGATCTTGGCTCACTGCAACCTCCCCTTCCTGGATTCAAGCAGTTCTCCTGCCTCAGCCTCCGGAGTAGTTGGGACGACAGGTGGGCACCACCACGCCCTGCTAATTTTTCTATTTTTAGTAGAGATGGGGTTTTGCAATGTTGGCAGGCTGGTCTCCAACTCTTGACCTCAGGTGATCCACCCGCCTCAGCCTCCCAAAGTGCTGGGATTACAGGCATAAGCCCCGCACCCAGCTTAAAGTAGAATTTAAGAAATCAAAAGTACTTCAAAAATAGTCATTATACTTCTTCTAACAATTAAATAAAACCAGTTCTTAAATACTTTTTAAGATTTTTTAAATTTTTATAGCTTTCTGTAATTTGTCAAATAATTTCCCATTCAATATCTCACATAAATGACATAGAAGCTATAGTTTGTGTCTATGAAAATTCAGCCATTGTGATAAGATCTGGGGATCCACAAATAAGTGGCATTTTTTGCCTTTCAAGAAGTACGTCTACAGGTAAATAAGTTGGGTTTAAGAAGTAAAATAGATTTTCATTTATTGTACAACCAGACATTCTTGCTCTAAATTCAGTGGTTTTTGAAAAACTACTTCCCTCTGACATTAGATAGATAGGTAGATATTACTGTACAAGTTACTAAGAAAATGGTAATGGATGAGCATTATTTCTCACAGCAGGGTGCATAATAGCAAATGAAAATCTAAAGCAATCTCAATAATCAAAACTTGTGAATTTGTTCAAAAAATATGGTGTATTCTCACAAGGGAGTAATATCTTGTGCAGTAAGAAAGCATTAGGTCTAACTATTAGAAGTAGGGGCTCTGAAGTCAGAAAAACCTGGTGTTAAAAGCAGCCTTCAAGACGGCCCACAATGGCCCTTATATTCTGATGTTCATGAGATTGTGTAATCTCCTCCATGGTGGGCTGGAAAAATATTCTTGCTTTTCATTGAGAGAATATGGCAGAAGTGTTGGGATGTCACTTTCAAGCTTGGTTATTTAAAGACAGTCGCTATTCTCTTGGGTGTGCTCTCACTTCCTCTTGGATTGCTCATTCCAAAGAAGGCCAGCTGCTCTATCCCTGAGCCTGGGAACAGATCTTCTGTAGCCTGACAACACCGTGTGGATGAGCTTGGAAGCAGATCCTCATGCAGCTTGAGATTATGGCAGTCCTGGCTGACAACTTGATTGCAGTCTTTTGAGATATCCTAAGCTAGAGCCACCCACCAAAGCCACTGCTAGATTCTTTAGCCACAGAAACTGAGAGATAATAAGTATTTGCTCTTTCCAGTCAGCGTTTTATAGGAATTTGTTACACAACAACAAAAAACAGATGCACTTGACTTTACATTATCATTCTTTCTCTTCCTGGCTGGATGTCCTTAGGTATATTACTTAGCAATTCTTTTACTTTCAATTTCTTGATCTGTAAAATATGATTAAGTAGATTAATACATAAAATATGAATAAGTATGCATAAAACAAAATTATTGTAAAGTTTCATGACATAAGACATGTAAAGCACTTAAATTAGGGTTTTATTATCTTGTAAACATGCGATTAAATATTTCACCCATTAAGTTATGCAATAATATTTACTGATATTTACATTGTCCAGAACATAGTAAATGATAAGAGAATTAAAATAATATGTACTTAAGCAGATGGCACAAGATGTTAACAATAGTTAAATCTAAGTACGGGGGAGATGTGTGTTCTCTGTACTGTTTTTCTTTTTAATACATTTGTATAAGCTTGAAAGGATTTCAAAATAAGTGGTTTTTAAGTATGTGCAGTATAATCATTCCTTTAAAACAACACATTTTGTAGAAATAAACGGAAAAGCTATATATAAAAATATTTGTAATGCTTATCTCTGAGTGTAGTGATTATAAGATACAGGTAATTTAAATTTTTGTTTTTAAAATTGTGTACATTCATTATACACTGAGTATAAATATTAAAATATCACTTTATTCTTAAGCTAATTTGTAACCTATATTAGCTAATAAGGGAACAAAAATCAAGAAGGAAAAACTAGAAAATCTCATAAATATCTAATAACTGAGTAGACAATATGGAATTTCAATTAGAATTTTGAATTTGGAAAGAATTCATTCAAAAAGCAAAGGAAGCTCTATTTCAAACATTCTTTTTAAAATGTTTCTTAAAGCATTTTAAATTTCATAACTTTTAGTTATGCTTCATTGTTATTATTTCATTTGTAAAAGGAAGTTATATTCAGCAAAAAAGTAGAACAGAAAACTAACTTAATCTCAACATTGCTTCCATATGCAGATAATATGCATGGAATGACAGACTAGAGTCCTTTTTTCTATCAGTATAATGCACTTTTATCTTAGCAAAGACATGAGAACCCAAAACGCTCTTTGGATGTTAAAGTCAAAGATTAGTTTGGTTGCCTCATTCAGTTTGAACTGAAAACTCTGTCACAACCATGTATATTTATTTTCCCAGTGCATTTGCTTGGTCATTTATCATTTTCAATCTGTACCTACAGCTCTCATTTATTCTCTATGTTCAGATCAGGAAAAGCAGTCTCATTTAAGATAAAAGCACCTATTTTTCCTCTTCACTTTTATTCTAATTCAAAAATGTCCTTGTCTATAAACTCATATGACCGCCAAAACTCAATAGTGAATGTTATATAGACAAGTGAAAAGACATTTTAATTCACAAATATTACCTAATTTTAGAACATTATTTCCAAAACTATTTAAACATGGTACATTTCTGAAGTATGCTAAAACCCACTGTAATAAAAAAACCTAGGTATTTTCTTTGGTGGATTGCTTGTGAGGTAATCATAGTTTTTATTGATATATGTCTGTTTATCTCAATGAACCAATTTTCTTATAATTTCATTGGAAGAATATTTTACCTTATAATTTAGCAATTCTAGAAGATATTTCCAAGAGGACAAACGCAGAATACATATATGGTATAACTAGATCGACATATTTTTGCTCCTTGTCTTCATCACCACTCCTCAAAAAGCCTAAGATTTAATCATCACTTTGGGATTCCAGTTTCACTGCTCAGTGAACACATGATCCTTTGTATGTCTTTCTCCTCTCCTTTTTCTGTCTTGAAGGCATAAACCTAGAACAACAGCATAGCATAATAATGAATAGGTTAGAACTTGAAAGCCCATATCCGAGATTCAAATCTCAAAAAGGTTTCTTAACTTTTTTGTGTCTCACTTTCTTGCCAAGACCAGCTTGGTCGTGGAGACCCTAACACAGTGGCACGAGAGGAATTAAAGACACACACAGAGAAATACAGCATGTGGAGTGGGAAATCAGTGGTCTTACGGCTTTCAGAGCTGATAGCCTTGAACAGAGATTTTCCCACATATTTATTGACAGCAAGCCAGTGATAAGCATTGTTTCTATAGGTTATAGATTAACTAAAAGTATTCCTTACGGGAAACAAAGGGATAGGCCGAAATAAAGGGATGGGTCTGGCTAGTTATCTGCAGCAGGAGCATGTCCTTAAGGCACAGGTCGCTCATGCTATTGTTTGTGGTTTAGGAACGTCTTTAAGCGGTTTTCCGCCCTGGGTGGGCCAGATGTTCCTTGCCTTCATTCCGGTAAACCCACAACTTTCAGCGTGGCCATCATGGCCATCACGAACATGTCACAGTGCTGCAGAAATTTTGTTTATGGCCAGTTTTGGGGCCAGTTTACGGCCAGATTTTGGGGCCTGTTCCCAACACTTTATAACGTGATAATTGGAAGGATAATGGTACAATTTCATAGAATTGTGAGATGCAAATGACTTAACATTTGTAACCTGTTTAGAACATTGACTGATGTGTATTAGTCCTGAAAGTATAAGCTATAATTTTATTATGTTATTAATTATGGAACTGGACCTCTTCTACATGACTTTGATCTTTTATTTCTAAGGGATTTTAATTAATTTCATTATCTATTGCTGCATAACAAAGTGTTAATAGCAGACTAGCTATTGTATTCTTATGTCATCAAGTTCCCATTTTTATGACTTGCTACTTGTACACACTCATATTTCCCCATCTGTTTAAAAATAAATAAACACCTCCACAATCCCTTTATTCATCAATCAATTTCTTCTCTCTCTCTCTCTTCCCATCACAACTAAACTTTTTGCAGAATGGTTGAAGAATGTCTACCAACAATATCCCAGAATACTTAATGCTACAGATAACAATTGTACCCCTAAAAGAGGAGGAGGGGCAGGGCCTGGGGCACTTTGTTGCACTCTGAGCTGAATACTCGTGATATTTTTATTACTTGGATCTTTTTCCTCTGATCGTTTCATTGAAGTTGCTTTATCTCACCACTAAATCTTAGGTACTTCCCTCTTCTCATTCGTCTACACGATGAAATCACAGGAAGATCTTATTCATTCCCTTAGCTTCAGTGCATGGATATGACATGTCTTCCAAATCAAGACCTCCATTTCAGTTCTCTCTTATGGGCATCAAGTCTCCACTTGCTATTTAGCACCTCCTGTGTAAAACAGATGCTGCAACATAATACATCTACAAATTATTTCAACTCTTCAAGCACCCCATCACCAAATCTGATTCCTTATCTGAACAATCTATCTTAATGCTTGGCAACATCATAAATCTTGCTTTATAATTATCATGAAATATTAGATATACCAGAGAAGCAACAAGAAATAACATAAAATGTGTCTTATACCCAGACTCAGTTTAAATAATAAGTATTGTAAACTGTGCCTTCTGAATACTCCTTCCTGTATCGTATTACCCTTCCTAGTCAGAAATAATCATTATCCAAAAATTCATACTTATGCTTGTTATGAATGTCTTGGTATTTCAGTCAATGGATATACATTCCTAAGCTATATAAAATATTATTTGTGCATTAAAAATCATTTAAAGTATTTGTATCACGTCTGTTCTATTAATCACTACTTTGATTCAATACTAATGTTTTAAGATTTATATCTGGTAGTACTTTTAACTAGTTTACAGTTTTTCAAAGCAATAAAATAAATATCTCATATTTGAGAGAAGCTAATCCATCCTTCTGTTGCTATTTAGGTGAATTTCAGCTTTTTTTCTTACAAATGCAGCTGCTATGAAAATTTCATACACATTTGCTTCCGCACACTGTGGAAATTTACCTAGGGCATAAATCTAGGAGTAAAATTGTTGGTCAATAAAATATTCCACTGTCTTTAGGTCTTGCCAAGTTCATCTTAGAATTATGTATATCAACCTTTACTCTTATCAAAAGTGGAAGAGTTTGTGCGGAGTATTCTCTACCCTTGCCATCATTTGGTATTGCTTGATCTATGTAGTCAAACATGTGCAAAGTATTATCTCCTTAAAGTTTTACTTTGTACATTTCTCATTGATAATGATCTCAAACATCTTTCATATAAATGACCCTTTGTGTTCCTTTTTTGTTAGTTATCTATTCATATTTTACCTCTGTTTTTCTAGTGTGTTTCTGCCTTTTTCTTGTACTATAAAAGTTTGTTTGCTTTATTATATTGAGAATTCATGGGCTCCCTTATGTTCTAAATATTATAGAAGTTCTATTTGATTCTTTTTCAAATCTGCCTCAACTTTTAAAAAAAGTTATATATGTGTCTTATGTTTATAATTTTATATTTTCTTAAAGCATTTTAAACACAATTTCTGGCATAAAACAGAGGTTGGAAAACTGTAGCCTGTGAACCAAAGTTGTCCTAGCTTCCACTTTTATAAATAAAGTTTTATTTGAAAACAGCTATGCCCATTTGCCTGTGTAGTATGTGTGGCTGGCTTTGTATTACAATGGCAGATTTGAGTTTCTATGATGGAGACCTTGTGGATTACAAAGCAAAAATATTTCTGTTCCATGATCTATAAGGCAATATATTTTTATATTTATTTACTTATTTATTTTTGAGACAGAGTCTCACTTTGTTGCCTAGGCTGGAGTGCAGTGGCACAATCACTGCTCACTGCATCCTTGGCTTCCCAGACTCAAGCAATCCTCTCACCTCAACCTGCTGAGCAACTAGGACTATAGGTGAGCGTCTAATTTTTGTATATATTTTTTCTTTTGTAGAGACAGGGTTTCACTGTATTGCTCAGGCTGGTCTCAAATTCCTTGGCTCAAGCAAACTGCCGGCCTCAGCCTCCCAAAGTACTGGGATTTTAGGCATGAGCGGCCGGGCCCAGCCTATATTGCAATATACCTCATTATCTGAATTTATTCAGGGCCTAACGTTCTTATTGGTTGTTTTTGCTGGCTTTTATTTATGGTGGCTTATTGGTTGCATGTTTAGTAATGTCACATTTCAAATTTCTTAGCTCATGATTGGTGAGGATTTTTGAGGAGAAATTGGGGAAGTCTGGAAGAAGGGCTTTTTCCTTGAATAATCATTTGATTTTTTTTTTTTGTCTTCTAAACAACCTGAAGGGCCTGGCACAGTGGTTCACGCCTGTAATCCCTGCACTTTGGGAGGACGAAACAGTTGGATCACTTGTAGTCAGGAGTTCGAGACTAGCCTGGCTAACATGGTGAAACCCTGTCTCTACTAAAAATACAAAAATTAGCCAGGCATGGTGGAAGACACCTGTATTCCCAGCTACTCTGAAGGCTGAGGCAGGAGAATCTTTTGAACTTGGGATGTGGAGGTTGCAGTGAGCCCAAATCATGCCACTGCACTTCCGCCTGGGTGACAGAGGGAGACCCTGTTTCAAAAAACAAACAACCTGAAGAACTATTAAAAAGAAACTGCTGTGAATTTATTGGCATAGTAAAGTAGATGGTTTATAGCCTACCATTCTGTAATTGGTATTTCTTATATTGTCCCATTTGTAGTCAAGGCTTCTCAATTCAAAAGCACAGCATGTTGGGGTTTTTTGATTGTTTTTCATCCAGTGATTGATGGTTAAATCTCTACATTCTCGATTATCATATAGACATCTGAAATACTCCCAGGCTCTCATAGTGTTGCTGTCAACTTGCAGTGCTGATTTTCACCTCCCCTCCTTGTTGCTGCCCATGGAAAGTCAGCCTAATTTCTTGCACACCTAACTCTGTATTGTTAAAGATGCTTAAATTTTTTTATTGAGAATGTATAAGTCTTTTATATCAGAAAACTTTTCAGGGTATTTTGTTTACCAGACTACCAGAAATTAAAGTCATGGCTTAACTTTTGAAGCCAGGTATATGGGAATCTGTTGAGAGCAAGCTCCCCAAAATCTGGCCATAAACTGGCCCCAATACTGGCCATAAACAAAATTTCTGCAGCATTGTGACATGTTCATGATGGCCATAACGTCCAAGCTGGAAGGTTGTGGGTTTATGAGAATGAGGGCAAGGAACACCTGGCCTGCCCAGGGCAGAAAACCGCTTAAAGGCATTCTTAAGCCACAAACACTAGCATGAGTGATTTATGCCTTAAGGACATGTTCCTGCTGCAGTTAACTAGCCCAACCTATTATTTTAATTTGGCCCATCCCTTTGTTTCCCTTAAGGGATACTTTTAGTTAATTTAATATCTATAGAAACAATGCTAATGACTGGTTTGCTGTTAATAAATATGTGGGTAAATCTCTGTTCGGGGCTCTCAGCTCTGAAGGCTGTGAGACCCCTGATTTCCCACTTCACACCTCTATATTTCCGTGTGTCTTTAATTCCTCTAGTGCCGCTGGGCTAGGGTCTCCCCGACCGAGCTGGTCTCGGCAGGAATCATCCCAGATGCCCTCTCTCTAATCCCTAGGTAATTAATCAATCAGCAATTGTTATAATATATTCTTCTAAATGTCATCCAAATCTTTTTATTTTCTGCTCCACTTTTACCGTTAAGCTGTTGTGGATTTAGATGATCACCAACCCTTGTTTGAATTACTGCTTCCTAAGTAATCTCTATTCAGTAGTATCTCTCTCTCTTTATCTCTTTCTCTCTCTCATCCATTCCATTATTGTAGCCAGAGTGTACTTTTAAGACAGCAAACCCTTTAAGGTTCCCTTTGTTCTTAGTGGACTTTCCACTCTTTATCTCAATACAGGTATCATTTCCAGGCTCTCCATCTCAATACACTCTCTGGTCAGTTTTAGCTCTCTTTTTCAGCACAAACCCTTCTCCCTTTTATCTCAAGCTTTTGTATAACTTATTTTCTCTGCTAGAGAATTCTGAAACACATGTCTTCTAAGTAATCCCTAGTCACTGTTCATATTTGAGCCCAAGTATGGGCTGAAAACTGACCCTGATACGTACTTGACATCCTCATAGTTGTCTATATGTCCCTCCTACGTCCTTTGTACCCCATGCTTCTCCAACCTGAAAACTCACAACAATGTGTTTTAGTATGTATCATTTAGTTACAGATTACTGTATATATTCACAAATAAGTGGGAAAAGGTATCGAGCAAAGAATATCATTGTTTAAGAACTTTCCTTGATGCAATGGTAGCCTGTAAGTATGTCAAGCCATCCCAGAGGTGGTAAAACATAGATACTCACAGTCAAATTCAAATGCTTGAATCACATGATTATTAAGATTGATTAAAACACACATATCAAGAAGTGAAGGGGAAAATTATGAACAATTAACACATGTACAATAGGAATACAGAACCATGATACCTGAATCCTGAGGTTTACAATGTTCACATTCATTCTCAATCTCTCTCTGTGTCTCTCTCTCTGTCTCCTGCAACTGTACTTTCATTACTGGTGAGGTTATGAGTATGAGAAGTGAGGTTGCAGCAAGGGGATCTCAGATGAAATGTGCCTTCAGCTAGTGAAACATTCCTGGTCTATGAGAGGTACAGGAACATGCCTGATAAACAGCCATGGATTTCTTTTGTGTTTGGGAGATAGAGAAGAAATAGGAGCAGAATGGATGTTACCAACGTGTCCCTAAATAAGATCTCATGAATACTAAGTGTTTCTCTGTATTTAGTGTATTCTGAATATTTAGTACCGATTGTGCATATAATCTCATATATAGTTGCCTTATTATTAATATCTAGTACTCGTGTGCCTAATGAATTTTAAGTATACTTTGTTTTTTCAGTCTTTTTATATTTAACATGCACATGTCTTATTTACTACATTTTTTTTTAATATAACACACCTCGTGATTCGTCTATATCTAACAATCTTTTTGCTTGACAGCTACTTCTGTATACTTAAAAATCTTAAAATATGTTATCTGTATTTTACAAACTACAAAATCACTGACCTATAAATATTGAATATTTTTTAAAGCCAGTGTAAATTACTCAGTTTCAAACAGGACACTTCAACCCCTTTCCAGGGCCTGACAGAAAAAGTAACCTCCCCATCTGTCATGAATATATCAGTCTTTTATAAGATTTATATCCTCTCCCAAGACTTCTCCATCCAAATCCTTTTTTTTAAATTTATCTAAGTCTATGTCTTCTGCACCAAAAAAAGAGGCAACTTCTTTTGTTATAAACATGATTATAAAGTGAAAGCAGATCTATAACCATGTTTGTCTTGGGTTCTATATTTAATTATTATATCAACAATCCCTAGACTCATATGCATATGGTTTTACTTGAAATATAACTAATGATTTATACATCTCCATTTGGCAGCTTTTATTTTCTCATTTCACCTATCTTCTTCTTGCCTTCAAGATTTAGTTCAAGTTAACTTACCCTAAAAACACTGTGAGTTAAAAAACTCTTCTTGGTGTTCTATATCAAGATACACATACCTCTTCTATATAATTTATTACAATGTATAATAGTATTACATTTATTATTTTTCCCAAATGTATTCTAAAATCATTGAGAGAAGGATCTATATATTTCATATATCTTCACTGGAACATGTAGTAAATATATAAAACCAATTCAGCACTCAAACAAATTTTGTCAAATTTTTGCCAAATAAATTATGAGAGCTTAAAGAATATTTCTTACTTGATAGGTGTTCTGAATTAATAGGGCTAATGAGTTTAGTGATTCCTAATGAATAATTAATATAAATGAAGCTATTTAAAGATAATTTAGTGGGTTTATAATACTGTTCAACATACACCTAATACACTAGATTGTATTTTATAGAGACTATTCATCTTTAGGACTGAGAGGAAAAAATAACTGCAGAATAACATAATCCTCATAAGGACTATAGCCATTTTTTAAAATGGTAACAATGATGTGTCAGAATTGAGCAACAGCCTGTTACAACACAGAAGAGAAGCAATGTCTAAAGGAATGAGGTCCTGGGTTGCTCTTGTTAGCACAAGTTCTTTTTTATAGGTCTACATTGTATTCTCTATGTCCTTGGTCAGATTTCTCACTCATAAAAGCTGCATAATATAAACAGTAAGACTTTATGCAAACTGGACAAAACACCCTACAAAATTGGAATAATAATACTGACCACCCACCAACTTCACAGGAATAACCTGAGGAATAATGAGATCATGTTTGCCAGGTTTTATGACATCCCTGGATGAAAGCAGCTATAAAAGTACAAAGCCCTGGAAGAAATTCTGCTGTGTTCTGAGTGACAGGTAGTGTCCATGCAAGAAGAATAAAAAGTTTTGTGTGCTAACTGAACTAAAGGACATTGTAAGAGTCAGATGTTTAAAGAAGAAAGAATACAAAGGAAATGAAGACCGCTGAAGAGGAGGAGGACCTATCCAGAACTCTGTAACGGATACTATTTGAATATCCTTTGTATTTCTACTCTCAATTAAATTCTTATTTAAGAACTAAGATGCATTATAATTGCTTTGGATGAGTATATATTAAAGAGAAAGGATAGTGTCCTCTTTCTCTGAATCATCCTTTACAAGGATTCTGACCAAATTACTATTTCTTGAGAAGAAAAGCTATTTTCTCACAGTATGAAATAGGATCATAAATAAAATTTCAAAATCTGCATTGTTCATTCCAGTTTCCTTATTCGTTAAGCACATTCTTTCAAGTATATAAACAGGACAACATATCATAAAGCAGATCAGAATTTCTCAAACTTTGTCCCATGAAACATTATTAGTTGGATGTATTCTGTGAAAAATATTAACACTCTAAGATGTAAATAAATAAATTTAATATAATTGTTCCCATTATTTCCCAAACAAACTTTCTTACAAAATACTTGTTGATATTGAAGATATTCACTTCTAAGAACTGGTTCTTCTAGAACATGCATTTGAAAATAATGAAAATTTACTAAATGTATGATAGTGATGCTAGGCATTCAAGGGGCAAAGTTTCAAATAGCATGAAAATTTAGGGGCCCAGCCACTACAGCTCAAGAAAGAGAAAACCTAACGTGGTAAAATTAGATAGAGAACAAAGTCATAAGTAGGAAAAAATTCAAAATATTTATATTCTGTTTGTTGGAGAAGGGTAGGAATGTCCCTTTTTCTAACTAATTAGTTTAATCTGTATTCTAGTAGGTGTGGAAGATTTTAGATAATCTTATTCTTGGCTTTGCATTTGAATACAGGAAGAATAACCAAGTGTTTGGCTTAAAATCATGTATAAATAATCATTTCATCCTGAGTACATTAACTTAAAACTTAACATAAAAATAATAAATTTTATCCTATGTGCACACACAGACACACACCACACAGATACACAGATAAAACATAATATATTACATACACAGTATATATGATAACACATATACAAGCATGATACATAGAAACTTATTTTGTTTTCTAAATATAAACTTAACAGATTTTTTAATATATATGTCAATGATTCAGAAGAAAACTTTCAATAATATAAATATATTAGAGTGCTTTGACTATGAAGTATTATTTTTCTGTCAAAAATATGACTGATTCAAATATCAGGACTCAAAATTCACCAAAGGAAAAATTGGGAGATATTTTATAAAACACTTCTCAAATTCTAAAAACCAAATGAAATTTAATATTACTAAGAAACAGATAATTGGGGATTGGGAATATATTTATTTTCAAATCAGAAGCACAATGACTCTTAACTACCACCTAAAATGTTGAGGCTCAGATAATACAAGAAGGTAGATGTCTGAGATAAAAAGTTATTTAATACCTTAACCATCTAATAACACAGCATGGTATAAATTTGACTCTTAGAAGGCTGAGCAAAAGACAGTTCTGGAGCAGTATGGAAAGTGCTCTGTTCTAGCCCTCAACACATTCAATTCACACCCCATCTTCTGAGATTTTTCATCATATACTGGTACTGTCTTTTCTGTCTCATAAAGGTATTGAGAAATTTAAAGAATCAAAAGCCCTGATATTAGGGTTCAAAGATACAGATTTTAGTCATAGCTCTTAAAACTCAAAGCTTTCTTTTATTTTTTCTGTAATGTAGAGTTGAAACACCTCTTTCAAAAAATTACGAGAACTAAAAAGGAAACATGGGGATTGAATATTCTTAACTGTAAAGATCAAATCCAGAAGTGTATTACAGTTCTATCACTAGCCAAATTTTAAACAAAATCTTACTTGAAATCTCAAGATTAAAAACAGAAAAAAGCAGAGCTAGCTGTAGCAGACCTATATTCCTGTGACATCCCTCCGGTCTCCAGATGTCTTCACCAGGATGTTTCATAAAACACTGAGATTTCCAAGAAAAAATATGGAAACAAACTCTCTATAGCTACTTTTAAAAACAACCTATTATGTTACATTAAGTAACACATAAAGTCCACATAAAAACTTGCTAATATACATTACTGTTCAATTTTATAGCATAGGAAACTGAGACTCAAAAAGGTTAAAAATTTCCCCAAGATTGTATAGCCAATGTATGGTAGACCTAAGAACCAAATGCAGGTCTAGGCATTTATTACCATATTATTCTGCCTTGCAGCTATAATCAGTTATACTTGAGTGTGTATAACTGATCTAGTATCTACTAGAGTAGCAAGTCATTAAGGACTGGATTTCATAAAAACTCAAATCATTTGATTTATATTGATTTGAATAGGCATAGGAAGCTTAATAAACACATTTCCATTCTGTTCTTTTAAATATAGCTTTTGTTTCTATCATTTAGGAATTAAGAATTAAATAATATTCCTATACGTTATCATTTTATTCCATCTTATTTCCATTCATCAGCCATCTCAGTGACTCATAGACAGATATGTGACTTCTGAAGTGGGAAGCAATTCTTTAATTCTGTAGAATAAACCCATTATTCTACACTGAAACAATGGAGCCATAATTGAGCTAGCCTGATTATTTTAATCTCTTATTCACAACTTAGGGCAAGTACCTGAGGAGGCATGTTTGGAACTGCAGATTTCATAACACTAAACGCACACACTTTTTCAAATCAACACTCCAATTTTCATCCTTGAGACTGATGATGTACATAAGGTTCCTTCATTAATTAGATTTGCACATTTCACATTCCTACTTTTGTTTTTATATTTTATCTCTGCTGGCAAATTGTCAGCTCTTACATCATATATTCCTATATTATCAAATACAATCTTCAGTATTAGTCATCCAAGATTTCGGAATACAGAGTTGACATTGGGTTTCTGGATATTTATGTGGCTTACAATAAAGAAATTTATCTCTTCTACCCTAATTTAAATTCCTGATTATTGCTTCTGTTTATTTTATAATGTCTTGTTCCATTTAGATCTTCCTGGAGCTATGGCTTTGATATGCTGATAGCTCTCAGGAAGCATTTGCTTCACATACTGTCCGATATCCTTTGCTTATCTTTTGGGACAGCATGATCTTGGAGCTAGGGTCTAAATCGCTGGTGAAATTTCTCCCCTTTTTGGTATCATACTTCCAGTACCAAATTATTTATCCACTATGATTATATTTGGCTGCATGTATTAGACAGCCAAATTACATTGACTTAACCATATGCAGCTTTACTTTTCTCACATAAACAAAGTCCAGGATGATGCAGCTACTAAAGAATATGATCAAGAAATCCCTCCATCTTTCAGTTTTATTTTCATTAATGTATGTTTTTTTTATCTAGCTTATGGTGGGAAGGCTTTTCTTTTGGTCTGGTTGTCCTCATGGAGAGAATTGGGTCAACAATCTGATTTCCTGTTGAGATTTTTGTTTGGGATGAATATATTAAGTTGGATTGTTGTATCATCAACTGGGTTTTCCAGAATCCCCTTGTTTATATGATTCCACATTGCAATCATATTGTTTGGGTTGTGTATTATTTGGAAGGTGAAAGCAAAATGTTAGTCATAAAGTTCTGAAGGTGACCATTGGTTAGAAGTGGTGGGAGGCAGGCAAAGTGATGCCATTTTGTTCTTGTTCTTCCAGCTCAGTGTCTATATTTTATTTCCAATTGCTAACCCAGCCAAGCAACAGCAAACCTAGCCCTACGATGAACATTTAAAGAGGCAAGACCTAAAAAGCCAACAATGTTTCATAGACTTTGCACAGTCCTATTGCAGCAGCTGCACATCCATAGCTTCCAGATTACCATGTAAGATCAGGCTCATTCTTCCATACCAGGGTTGATGAATGACCTGCCTTGGATGACTCAATTCTTCCTTGCAAATATTTATTTCCATATCTTCTCACATAATTGTGTAAGGTTTAATTCTTATAATAAATTCCTTTTCTACAATACACCTAGGGATTTGGTTCCCTATTGGTATCAGAAATGAATTTGGTATAAAGATTATAGAAAATTGTTAGTATATACACTGAAAGCATTTCAATATTGCAAGAGTTTACCAATTTATATTAACTGAAACCTGGGGAATATGCATAGGAATTGATCCTTTGAAGTTTGGATAAGAAGAAAGTGAATATAATTTTGGATTATGTCCCAGCTCTTCATAAATGGGTTTGGCAGATGTACTGGATTCAATTTGCTAGCTCAAGCAGCTATGAATGGCTCTAAAACATTGCTTAGTTGGTTAACTGAAACCTGGACACCAAAGTACTCTATAGTGTATTAAGTGAAATGCCACAATTTCATTGGTGTACCATAGAGGACTGTATTAAAATGCCTAGGGAAACTGGAGGGCTAGAATGGATTTTCTATGAAGTACTTATTCACACATCTTCTCCTTATTTTTCCTGGAATGTTTCTATGAATATTTGCTTCACCAAGGTTTTGAGAAGTCTATTGGTGAGGAGAGTTTCAACACCGTTGAAGAGCTTTGTGTTAAATATCTTCTGCAGGCCAGGGATGACCATAAGAATGGCTGCCATAATTCTGGTTTCCCTGGATTCAATTAGTCTGATTGGATCCTGGGGTGGCCAAAGGTAGCACTTAATCACTAGAGATGTAGTGGACGTTGTTACTCTGCTGGGCAAAATGAAATAAAATAAAATAAACTAGTCATCACCATTTTTAATCTTTTAAATTTAAATGTTTTAATCAGAGATCTTTGATGTTGGCTAATTGATTATATTGTACCTTGCACTGAAATAGATGGGCAGCCTAGTGAAGACTTAACTTGTAAAAAAGATAAAATTCTGAGTTTTGTAAAAATAAATAAAGTCAAAATTAAATAATTACACTGGAGATCCCTAGTCCTTTAACCAAGTTTGACTTGACCCTGTTCAAACATCCAGATTTTCTTGAATAAAGAGAAAGCCAGTCCCCCTGAAAAAGAATCTGCTTCATTACTATATGTTATACCCTAATTCACTTTCTTAATTGTCCCCAAATAGATTTATGCATAATATATGCATACCAAACAAAAATTTCAACAGAAAATAAGATTGTTGACCCAATTCTCTCTGTGAGGATAACCAGACCAAAAGAAAAGCCTTCCCATCATAGGCTGAACCAAAAACATGCATTAATGAAAATAAAACTGAAAAGATGGAGGGATTCCTTGATCATATCTTTTAGTAGGTACACCATCCTGGACTTTGCTTATGTGAGAAAAGTAAAGCTGCATATGGTTAAGGCAATGTAATTTGGCTGCACATTTACCAGGTCTGTCACTCAGGAAGAGAAATTACCAAACTTTTCAGGTGTGACTGAATACCTGCCAAACTGAAATTTGAGTAGGACCATGGAGAACCCAGTGCATCTATGAACATATTCCACAGTTTTTTTCTGAATTCTAGGATTTGTCATTGAAATAAACATACTCAGCAAATGACAGAATCCTCACATTGGTTCACTAGCCTATGAATGAGAAATATTATGTTAGAACATTTTTTCTTCTTAAAAATTACAACTGTTTTAATTGACAAATCATAATTGTATACACTTGTGAGGTACAATGTGATATTTTGACATAGATATAATTGTGGAATAAATAAAGCTAATTAACATGCCCATCATCTCATATACCTGTTATTTATATAATGAGGCATTTGAAATGTACTGTCTTACTTTGAAATAGATCTCAAAACTTATTGCTCCTTTCTATCAAAACATTGTTTCCATTGACTGATAACTCCCCATTTCCTCCCTCCCCAACCCTTAACTCAGGACAGCCTCTGGTAACCATCATTCTGCTCTCCACTTCTATGAGTTCAACTATTTTTAGCTGCCATATAGAAGTGAGATTATGTAGTATTTATCTTTTTGTACCTTGGCTTATTTCACTTGGCATAATGTCTTCCAGGTTCATCTACATTATCACAAATGACAGTTTTCTTCTTGTAAAATGCTGAATATTTTCCATTGTGTATGTATATGGTAATGTCTTTATTCATTCATTCACTGATGGATGCTTAGATTGATTCCATATCCTGACTATTGTGAATAATGTTGTGGTGAACATGGAAGTGCAGCTACCTCTTCAACATATTGGTTTTAAATCTTTTAGGTACATACACCAAGAGGAGGGATTGGTGGATCAAATGATAGTTAAGTTTTTATTTTTTTATGTTAAGTTTTTATTTTTTTGGTGGACTTTCCAAACTATTTTCCATGATGGCTATACTAATTCACATACCAACAATGTATAATAATTCCTTTTTTCTCCATATCTCCAACAGTGCTTATTATTTTTCCTGTTTTTGATATAAGTCATTCAAATAGGTGGAGGTGATATCTCATTGTAATCTTAATTTGCATTTCCTTAGTAATGAGTGTTGCTGAGCATTTTTTCTAGTACTTATTAGCATTCTTTATATTATCTTTTGAGAAATGTCTATTTAAGTTATTGGCCCATTTTTAATTGATGTACTTGTTTCCTTGCTATTGAGTTTTTTGCTCTTATATATCTTTGGTATTATACCCTTATCAGATATATGGTTTGCAAGTATTTTTTCCTGTTCTATGGGTTTTTCTTTACTTTGCTAATTATTTCCTTTGTTGTGCAGAAATTTAACAAAGTTAAGATTTTATTTTTCAAGACCAGCTCTCGCTCTGTTGCCCAGGCTGGAGTGTAGTGGTGTGATCACAGGTCACTGCAACCTCAAACTCCTGGGTTCAAGTGATCCTCCCATTTCAGCCACCCAAGAAGCTGGGACTGCAGGTGTGTGCCACCACACTTGGCTATTTTTTCAAACTTTCTGTAGAAACAAGTTCTGCCTATGTTGCCCAGGCTTGTCTCAAACTCCTGAGCTCAAGTGAGCCTCCTGCCTCGGCCACGCAAAATGCTAGGATTACAGGCATGAGCCACAACACTTGGCCCAAAGTTAAAAGAATTAAAATTATATCAAGTATCTTTTAAGACAGTATGAAATAGAAATCAAAAACAGAAGGCATCTTGGAAAATACACAAATATTGGAAGTTCAACAACATGCTCCTAAACAACCAAGGGTAACAAAATACATTTATAAAAATCAGAAAATATCTAAGGCAATTGAAAATGAAAGTACAACATACCAAAACTTATGGGATGCAGCAAAACAGTGCTATGAGGAAAAGTTATAGCAATAAATACTTATATCAAAAACAAGAAAGATCTCAAATAAATAACCCAATGTTACACCTCAGGAACTAGAAAGAAAGAAACACACTAAGCCCAAAGTTAGCAGAACTTAGGAAATGACAAAGATCGTAGAATAAATAAATAAGAGACTATAAAAAACAATAGAAGAAAACAATGAAACTAAGATTTGGGTTTTTTAAAAAGATAAACAATACCAACAAATCTTTATCTAGACAAACTAGAAAAAAAGTACAGAAAATTCAAATAAATAAAATCAGAAATTAAAGGAGAGACATTACAACTGATACCACAGAAATACTAAGGCTTATAAGGAACTACTGTAAATAATTATATGACAACAAAAAGCAATCTAGAAGAAATTGATAAATTCCTAGACACATATAACTTACCAAGAGTGAATCATAAAAAAATATAAATTCTGAACAGAAACATGAGCACAGAAATTGAATTAGTTATACAAAATCTCCCATCAAAGAAAAGCCCAGGACCTGAAGCCTTCACTGCTGATTTCTACCAAACATTTAAAAACTATTACTAATGTTTCTCAAACTTCTGCAAAAAATCAAAGTAGACAGAATGATTTCTTTCCAAACTCAGTTAATATTTACAGTAGTACCTTGATACCAAAGCCACACAAGGACACTACAAGAAAATTACTAGCCAATATTCCATGTGGACATATACACAACATCCTCAAGAAAATACTAGGAAACCAAATTTAGCAAAGCAATAAAAGAATAATTCACCTCAATCAAGTGGGATGTATCCCTAGGATACAAGGATACTGGAACATATGCAAATCATTATATGTGATACACCACATTATCTAAATTAATGATAAAATTATATGGTAATCTCAATAGATGCAGAAAAGGCATCTGACAAAATTTAATACCTTTTCATGATAAAATTCTCAATGGATCAGGTAGAGAGGGAGTGTACCTCAAAACAACAAAGGCTACATATGACAAATCCATAGGTAATATTTTACCCAACAGTAGAAATATAAAAGGTTTTTCTTTAAGATTAATGACAAGACAAGGCCCATCTCTTTTCAACATAGTGCTGGAACTCCTAACCAGAGCAATCAGGCAAGAGAAAGAAACAAAAGGCATCTAAATTTAAAGGGAAAAATGAAATTGTCTCTATTTGCTAACAAGATGATCTTATATCTTAAAAGCCCGAAAGACTTCACCAAGAAAGTGTTAGAACTGACACTAAATTCAGTAAAGTTGTATGACACAAAATTGACGTATACAAGAATAAATAGCATTTCTATACATGAATGACATACTGTTCACAAAAAATTAAGAAAACAATCCCATTTACAATGGCAACAAATAAAATACTTATGTATAATTTTAACCAAGGAGGTGAAAGACGTTTATACTGAAAGCTATAAAACACTGATAAAAGAAATGGAAGAAAACACAAATACATGGAAAGATATCCTATGTTCATGGATTAGAAGAGTTAATATTGTTAAAACGTCCATAATACCCTAAATGATCCACAGCTTCATTGCAATCTTTAAGAAAATTCTCATGTAATTTTTCACAGAAATGGAAATAAAAGTTTAAATTCATATGGAACCACAAAAGACCCCTAATAGCCAAAACAGTCTTGAGCAAAAAGAACAAAGCTGCAGTCATCACACTACTTGATTTCAAAATATGTTACAAAGCAATTAAAATCAAAATATCACGGTACTGCCATGAAACTGTACACATCAAACAACGGAACAGGATAGAAAGCCCAGAATAAATCCAAGCATTTATGGTCAGTTGATTTTCAAATAAACTACCTAAAACACAATAGGGAAAGAACAATCTCTTCAATCAATGGTATTGGGAAAACTGGACATCTACCTGCAGAGGAATGAAATTGCCTTCTTATCTGACATCAGATACTAAAGTCAAATCAAACTGGATTAAAGAATTCAACATAAGACTTAAAAACTGTAAAACTACTAGAAGAAAAAATAATGGAAAAGCACCTCAACATTGGCCTGGGCCACAATTTTTGGGATATGACCTCAAAAGCAGAGGCAAAGAAAGAGGAAAAATAGACAAATTACTAGAACTGACTCTTTCTATGAAAATAGTGAAACAAAACTTATACTGCATTTATGAAACAATTATAGTTTATGAAACCTCTCAAGATTGAACTAGTAAGAAATAGAACTGGGCCAGGTGCGGTGGCTCACGCCTGTAATCCCAGAACTTTGGGAGGCTGAGAAGGGCAGATCATGAGGTCAGGGGATCAAGACCATCCTGGCCAATGTGGTGAAACCCCGTCTCTACTAAAAATACAAACAATTAGCCAGGCGCACTGGTGGGTGCCTGTAGTCCCAGCTACTCGGGAGGCTGAGAAGGAGAATGGTGTGAACCCGGGAGGCAGAGCTTGCAGTGAGCCGAGATCGCGCCACTGCATACCAGCCTGGGTGACCGAGCAAGACTCTGTCAAAAAAAAAAAAAAAAAGAAAAAGAAATAGAACCCTAAGCAGACTAATAATGAGCAATAAAATCTAATCAGTAATAAAAAATATCCCAAGGAAAATAAGGTCCATAACTAGATGGATTCACAGCTGAAATTTGGCAGATATGCAAAAAGTAGCTGGTACCAATCTTCTTAAAACTACTCCAAAAAATTGAGGAGGAAAGATTCCTCCCTAACTCATTCTACAAGTCCAGTATCACCCAGATACAAAATCAGCTGAGAACATAACAAAAAACTGCAAGCCAATATTCCTGAAGAACATAGATGCAAAAATCTTCAACAAAATACTAGAAAATCTAATCTAACAGCACATCAAAAAGATAATTTACCATGATTCAGTGGGCTTCATTCCAGGGATTCAAGGATTGTTAAACATATGAAATTTAATAACCTGGTCCACCGCAAAAACAGAACTAAGAGCACAAACCATATAATCATATCAATAGATGCAGTAAAATTTTGGATTTTAAAAAAATCCAACATTCCTTCATTAAAGAAACCCTCATCACACTAGGTACAGATGGAACATACCTTAAAATAATAAGAGCCATGTATGACAAACCCACAGTCAACTTCATACTGAATGCAGAAAAGTAGAAAGCATTTTCTCTAAAAACTGGAAGAAGGTAAGGATGCCCACTGTCACCACTCCTATTCAGCAAAGTACTGGAGGTCCTAGCCAGAGAAATCTGGCAAGAGAAAGAAATAAAATACATCCAAGTTGGAAACGAAAAAGTCAAATTATCTTCCTTTGCAGGTGACATTATTGTATACCTAGAAACCCGAAAGACTCCTAGACTTGATAAGCAATTTTAGTACAGTCTCAGGATACTAAATCAATGTACAAAAATCAGTACCATTTCTATACATCAATAACGTTCAAGCTGAGAACCAAATTGAGAGTTCAATTTGATTTATAATGGCTACAAAAGAATACATATCTAGGAATATATTTAACAAAGGAGGGAAAAAAAATCTCTATAAAAATAACCGTAAAAAATTATGGGTGATATTGTAGATGACACGAACAAATGAAAAAAAATCACATGATCATGGATTGGAAGAACCAACATTATTAAAATATCTACACTGCCCAAAACCATCTACAGATTGAATGTAACTCTTACCAAATTACCAATGTCATTTTCCATAGAATTAGAAAAAGCAATTCTAAAGTTCTTATGGAACCAAAAACAGCCTGAATAGTCAAAGCACTTCTAAGTAAAAAGAACAAATTCGGAGGCATCATCTTACATGACTTCAAGTTATACTACATATCTATAACAACTAAAACAGCATGTTACTGGTAGAAAAATAGACACATAGATAAATAAAATAGAACAGATAACCCAGAAACAAAGCCACATGCTACACCCAACTGATCTTTGATGAAGTTGAAAAAAATAAACAAGGAAGAAAGGAGATACCCTTTTCAATAAGTAGTGCTGGGAAAACTGGCTAGCCATATGCAGAATAATTAAAGTGGAATCTTATTTCTCATTCCATACAAAAATTAACTCAACATGGATTAAATATTTAAACGTAAGATCAGAAATTATAAAAATTCTGGAAGAAAACCTAGGAAAAACTCTTCAAGACATCAGCCTAACCAAAAATTTATGACAAAGACCACAAAAGCAAATGCAACAAAAATAAAAATAAATAAATGCGACTTAATTAAACTAAAAAGTTTGTGACTAGCAAAAGAAATAGTCAACATAATAAACAGGCAACCTACAGAATGGGACAATATATTCACAAATTATGCCTATGACAAACAACTAATATCTGGAATCTACAAGGAACTCAACTCAACAAGAAAAAAAACAACCCAATTAAAAACTGGGCAAAGAACATGCACAGACGTTTGTCAAAAGAATAAAAATACAAAAGGCCAAAAAACATGAAAAAATTCTCAGCATCACTAATCACCACAGAAAGGCAAATTAAAACCACACTAAGATACTACATTATACTAGTCAGAGTAGCTTTTATTAAAATGTCAAAAAGTAGCAGATGTTGGTGTGGATACGGAGAAAAAGATAAACTCATATACTGTTGGTGGGAGTGGAAATAAGTTCATCCTCTAGGAAAAACAGTATAATGAGACAGTATCATCTCAAAAAACTAAAAATAGAACAGCCATTAGAACCAGTAATCTCATTACAGACTATATATCCAAAGGAAAAGGAATAATTATATAAAAAAGATATCTGCACTTGTACATTTATCACAGCACTACTTTTAACAGCAAAGTCATGGAACCAACTTAATTGTCTACCAGTAGTTGATTGGATGAAGAAAATGTGGTATATAAACACCATGAAATACTACCTAGCCATAAAAAGAATGAAGTCATGTCCTTTGCAGAAACATGGATGAAGCTGGAGGTCATTATCCTGAGTAAACTCTGAAGCACAAAATCAAATATTGCATGTTCTCACTAACATGTGGGTGCTAAATAACTGATACACAGGATATAAAGACAGAGAGAATAGACTATGGGGACTCCAAAAAGGGATTGATTTGGATGAGGGTGAGGGTTGAAAAATTACTTATTAGGTACAATGTTGGGTGATAGGTACACTAGAAGCCCAACCTCCACCATTGCATTTGTAATATCCGTGTAATAAATAAGCACATGTACCCCTTTAATCTAAAAAATGCAAGTCTGCACCAGAAATGTGTCCGCTTAGCATTTCTCTATATTTAAAAAAATTAAGCAAAACTTTGTGTGCATTTTGTTAATAAAATAAGCTTACTATATTATAAGTTGAAGAAAATTATGAGAAGTATTAATTTTACCATAAAAATGAGAACTGTGTAGGGGTATACATTATTTTTATTTATGAAACTTATCATTGACTCTGTTACTCTGGCTAACCAAGTCTGTCTTTGGAGTATGATGGTATTCTGAGAAGGGTGCCGTTATACACTCACTGCTATAATCTTAGCATGATCTGCTGAGATCATTTCAATAAGACCCAGACTTAATTTTTTTCCTTCTCAGTTGTAATTTTACTGGAATAAAAATTGATTATATTTCAAAAAAATCACAGTAATGATGCTCACAATGCAGAACTTTTCAACAATAAAGTATCATAAATATTAACGTGACAATGATGTAATTTCTATCATTATAAAAGATGAGAGAGTACACAGTAGTTTTTCTTTCACTTGGTTATGAGCAGAAATTACTGTTGCCTGGTACTTAGGCTACTTAAAAACAATATTTTTGTTAAGTCATTTGCCTACTAATAGTTCCCTCTTTCCTCTTTCTCTGAAGGTAAAAATAAGCAGAACTATAGATAAAAAACTGAGTACCAATTCACATTTATTGCTATATCTATTAGACCTATTTCAAATATTGATATTAAAACCAAGAGTTGGAAAATATAGAAAGTTTCATTTAAAAAAATACTGATTAATGTTACTTGAATGACCTGTACACATTTTTTATAAAAGCGAAAAATAAGATTAAAATTATGTAACTTTTATATTAACAAAATATTTATTCTAAGTGCTTATAAGAACATATATTTGCAATTTTACTTGACAATTCTCATGTGTAGTAAATATAGTAATTCATTATTCTAGATAGAAAAATACTGAAATAAAATATGAGCAGGTAATAATGAGTAAGATGGTGTTGTAAATGTCCTAAATACAGATTGAAGGAGCACCCCAGCAAAAATTTTTCAGCAGCCTTGCAGAGGATTTTTCACCTCTCTCTCTCACAAACTCTATTTCTGTCTCTATAGAGAGAGGTGATGGATAGGTAGATAGATAGATAGATAGATAGATAGATAGATAGATAGATAGATATAGATAGATAGATAGATCCAGTTATCTTATAGTTAAATAATTCTCTCAGTATTAGCTGAATGCAAGCTAAGAAGAACAGAGACTTCAGAGGCCAAACATAAAAAAAAAACATAAACTTCTCAAAAACATTAGTAAAGTCATTAAACAAATGAAGGCAGTAGCCTACAACAAGGGGAAAAATAGAAGAAAAGAGAAGAGTCTGATGTTCAGAGTTATAATATTCAAAACATCTAGTTTTTAACAAAAATAAATGGAGCATGGAAAGAAAATAGAAACTGACCTATTAAGCAGAAATAAATAAAACTTCCCTTAATGAAAGCATTAGATTTTCTAGAGAAAGACTTTAAATGGGCCAGGCGCGGTGGCTCACGCCTGTAATCCCAGCACTTTGGGAGGCTGAGGCGGGTGGATCATGAGGTCAGGAGATCGAGACCATCCTGGTTGACATGGTGAAACCCCGTCTCTACTAAAAATACAAAAAATTAGCCAGGCGTGGTGGCAGGCGCCTGTAGTCCTAGCTACTCCTGCAGCTGAAGCAGGAGAATGGCATGAACCCGGGAGGCAGAGCTTGTAGTGAGCCAAGTTAGTGCCACTGCACTCCAGCCTGGGTGACAGAGAGAGGCTCCATCTCAAAAAAAAAAAAAAAAAGAAGAAGAAGAATTTTAGAAAACTAGAAAACTGTGGTACATCATCAATCATACTAATATATAAGGAATGGTGATATCAAAAACAGAATTTACGGAAAAAGGATCAGGAACAATTTTCACATAGTGTCTGAATTATTCTCAAATTTAATAAAAGACATGAATCTACACATTCAAGAATTACAGTAAACTCCAAGAAGTATAATCATAAAGAGATCCACGCTGAGACACATTATAATCAAATTGTCAAAAACTAAGGGCAAATAAATAATCTTGAAAGTAGCAAGATAGAAGTGACTCATCACCTACACAAGCTCTTCAATAAGATTTTTTGAAGACCCACCAATAATTATATTTCTGGCAGAACTATCCTTTAAAATGAAAAATAAATTAAGATATTCCCAGGTAAATAAAACCTGAGGTAGTCTGCTGCTAGGAGACCTTACCTGCAAGAAATGCTGTAGGGTATCACTCAGGATGAAATGAAATGCCACTTGAGAATAATTCAAAGTCATAGGAAGAATTTTAAAATGCTGGCAAAAGTAACTACATTAGTATATTAGACTGTTCTTGCATTGCTATAATGAAATACCCAAGACTTAGTAATTTATAAAGGCAAGAGGTTTAATATTACTTTTTAGTTATGCTGGCTTTACAGAAAGCATGGTGCTGGCACCTGCTCAGCTTCTAGGGATGCCTCAGGAAGTCTACAATATGGTGGAAGAGGAAGTAGGCACGACATATTGTGAAAGCAAGAGCAATAGAGAGTGGGGTTGGAGGCACCACACTCTTTTAAATGATCAGAGCTCATGAGAACTCACTCACTATCATGCAAACAGCAGCAAGTGGGTAGTGGGGTAAATCATCTGTGAGAAATCCACTGCATGATCCAATCACCTCCCACCAGGCTCCACCTCCAACATTAGGGATTACAATTCAACATGAGATTCGGGCAGGAACAAATATACAAACTATATCAGTTGGTAAAGATATAAGCCTCTATTACCGAATTTTCAGTTGTAACTTTTTTTGGTTCCTAAAGATTTAGAAGGTGAATTCATGCAACTGTAATCATGAATCCATGTTAATGGTAGACAATACATAAAGTTGTAATCTGTGACAGTAACAACATATGTAAAATCAGATATTTGTGTGCTATAAAAACTAAGTTGCTACCAATTCAAAATAGATTATTATAAATTGAGAATTTTAATAGTAATTATCATGGAAACCAAAAGAAAATACCAAAACTATACCTATAAGGAAATGGAAAGAGAATTAAAATGAAACAACACATAAAAACCTGTTAATTGGAAAAGAAGCTATTGATGGAGGAAATGAGAGAAAAAATGTATAGGACATACAGGAGATAACAGCACAATGGCAGAAGTATGGCTTTCCTTAATAGCAATTACTTCAAATGTAAAAGGATCAATAAAAAGAAAGATTGACAAAAGGGATATTTTTTAAATGATTCAATTATATGCTATATACTCACTTGAGATTCAAAGACACAAATAGGTTGAAAAGGAAAAAAGAAAAATATATATATATCTGATTAAAAGAGTAACCAAAGAAGAACTGAAGTCTGTATTCATACCAGACAAAATACACTTTAAATAAAAACTTTTTCAAGAGACAATATGGTAAATTATATATTGATAAAAGATTAATTAATCAAGAATATATAACAATTTGAATATATAGTTATCAGTTAACAAAGCACCAAAATACACAAAGCAAACATTGACAGAATTGAAGAGAAAAATAGAAAATTAAAAAAAATAGTTAGAATCTGTACCTTCAATAATGGACCAAAAATGCAGACAGAAGACAGGTAAATGGATTATTTATAATGTTATAAATGTACTAGACCTAACATACATTGATAGAACATTCCATCTAATATTCACCTAATAACAGCATATTACAAATTTTTGTCAAGTGCCCTTAGAACATTCATCAGGATTGAGCATATGTGAATACCTAAAACAAATTTTAATAAATTTAGAAATATTGAGATCTTCAAAGCATCTCATCCAACTATCCTACAATGAATGTGAACATCGATAACAGAAAAACAAAAATTAGAAATAACACAAATACTGTATTAGTCAATTCTTGCATTGCTATAAAGTAACACCTGAAACTGGGTAATTTATAAAGAAAACAAGTTTATTTGGCTCATGATTCTGAGGGCTGTATAGGAAGCATAGCAGCATCTGCTTCTTGTGAGGCCTCAGGAAGCTTACAATCGTGGTGGAAAGTCAAGAGGAATGGGTACCTCAATGATGAAAGTAAGAGCAAAAGAGTGAGAGAGGAGGTGCTACACACTTTTAAACAATCAGATCTCGTGATAACTTTCTCACTATCCTGAAGGCAGTACCAAGTGGAATGGTGCTAAACCATTCATGAGATATCTACTTCCATGATCGAATCACCTCACACCAGGACCCACTTCCAACATTGGGGTTACATTTTAATATGAAATTTGGGCAGAGGAATACTATAAAGGTAGAAGCATTGGGTAAACATTCCTACTCCTAAAGGGAGAAATTGGCCAAAAGAAATGGGCCACAGACCCATGCAAGTCCAAAACCTAAGAGGGCAGCCATTAAAACTTAAAGCCCCAAAAGTATCCCTTTTGATTCTACTTTCTACATCCAGGGCACAATACTGTGTGGAGTAAACTCCGAAGGCCTTGGGCAGCTCCATCCCTGTGGCTTTGCACTGTTGGCTTTGGAGGTCACTCTCACAGGTTGTTGAGTGCTTGCAGCTTTTTCAGGTACAGGATGGAAGCTGTTCATGAATCTACTATTCTGGTGTCTGGAGGATGGTATCCCTTTTCTCACAGCTAGTAGGCAGTGCCCAGTATGGACTCTGTGTGGGGGCTTCAACTGCATATTTCCCCTCTGCACTGCTCTAGTTGAGGTTCTCTGTGAGGGCTTTGCCACTGAAGCAGGCTTCTCCCTGGACACCCAGGCTTTTTCATACATCCTCTGAAACCTAGGTGGAGGCTCTCAAGCCTCAATTCCTGCACTGTGTACCTGCAGGCTTAACACCACATGGAAGCTGTCAAGGTTTATGGCTTGCACCGTCTGGAGCTGCAGCTCAAGCTGTATCTGGGCACCCTTGAGCCATGGCTTCAGCTACAGCAGCCAGGTTGCAGGGAACAGTGTCCTGGGGCTCTACAGGGCAGTGGGGCCTTGGGCCTGGCCCATGAAACCATTCTGTCCTCCTAGGCCTCTGGGCCTGTGATGGAAGAAGCTGCCTCTTAGATCTCTTGAAATGCCTTTGAGGCCTTCTTCCCACTGGCTTGGCTATCGGCATTTGCCTCTTTTTTAGTTATGCAAATTTCTGCATACTGTTTGAATTTCTCCCCTGAAAATAGGATTTTATTTTCCATCACATGGCCAGGCTGCAAATTTTCCAAACTTATATGCTCTGCTTTGATTTTAAATATAAGTTCCAGCTTTGAGTCATTTCTTTATTCACACATGTGAGAAAGCCTGGTAGAAGCAACCACCAAATCTTGAAAACTTTGCTACTTAGAGATTTTTTCCATCAGATATCCTAAATTAACACTCTCAAGATTAAAGTTCCACAGATTCCTAGGGCAGGGGCACAATGCCACCAAGTTCTTTGCTAAGCAAAAGTTCTTTGCATAGCAAAAATGATGTATACCTTGGTTCCAAATAATTTTCTTATTTCCATCTGTGACCTCCTCAACCTGAACATTATTGTCCATATCAGGATTTTGGTCACAACCATTTAACTAGTCTCTAAAATGTTTCAAACATTTCCTCACCTTCCTGTATTCTCCGATCCCTCCATACTCTTCCAGCCTCTGCTCGTTACCTAATTCCAAAGCTACTTTCACATTTTTAGCTATCCTTATATCAATACCCGACTCCTAATATCAGTTTTCTGTGTTAGTTTGTTCTTGCATTGCTATAGATAACTACTTGAGACTGAGTAATTTACAAAAAAAGAGGTTTGATTAGCTCATAGTCCTGCATGCTTTACAGCATGGCGCTGACATCTGCTTGGCTTCTGGGAGGTCAAAGGAAGCTCACAATCACAATGGACAGTGAAGGGGGAGCAGGCATGTCACATGGCAAAAGCAATAGCAAGAGAGTAGGGGGGGAGTGCTACACACTGTTAAACAATCAGATTTCATAATAACTCATTTATTATCATGAGGACAGTACCAAGGAGTATCGTGCTAAACCATTCAAGAAATATCCAACCCCATGATCCAGTTACCTCCCACCATGCCCCACTTTTAACACTGGGGATTGCATTTCAATATGAGATTTTGGCAGGAATACACATCCAAACTATTTCAGTTACATATAATTTAAAACACACTCTTTTAAACATGGGTCAAAGAAGAAATCAAAAGAGAAATTGAAAATACATTGAAATATATAAAAAGGAAAACACAATATACAAAAAAGTGTGGGATATAGTGAACATAGATCTCTGGGGGAAATTTATAGCTAAAAATGCCTACATCGAAAAGAAGAAACACCTTAAAATAATAACCTACCTATATGCCTTAAGGAAATAGAAAAATAAAACAAAGGTAAACCCAAGACTAGCAGAAAGAAGGAAACAATAAAGATTACAGTGAGTATGAATGAAATATAGAAAAGAAAATTAATAGAGAGTATTACCAAAAGAAAACTTGGTTCCTTAAAAAGATCAGCAAAACTGAGAACCTATGAGCTAGATGAACAAAGAAAAACAGAGAAAAGACTCATTAACTAAAATAAGAAATGAAGTGGCCACATTAATGCCAACCTAAAAATATAAAAATTGTAAGAGAATTCCATAAACAATTGTACACCAAATTAGATAACATAGATAGAATTGACAAATTTCCTAAAACACACAAATTACCAAAATTGACTAAAAAAGAAATAGGAAATCTCCATAAAACTTTTGTAATTGGAGATTGCATCAGTAATAAGAAAATCTCCTGACAAAGAAAAGTCCTGGATCAGTGGCTTCACTGATGAATTCTGCTAAACATTTAAAGAATCAACAGTAGTCCCTTTTAAACTCTTCCCAAAAAATTGGAGAACAACCTGCTTCATTTTCTGAGTCCAGTATTATCCGGATACCAAAACCAAAGATAATGCAATAAAATTACTGACCTTATCCCTTTTGAATATGGATGCAAATTTTCTCAAAAATATATTATCAAACCAAATACAGGTGCATACTAAAAGGGAAAAATATTTAAAATAAATAATGCACGCAAAGTGCTTAACTTATTGACTAGCAGAGTACATGCATTTAATAATTGTCAGCAATTATTATTGCCATAAATGTTTGTATTGATTTTGTTGTTGCTGTGACTCTTTGTGTCCCTAACCTTCAGTATATAGCCTAGTACATATAATTTTTGTATTTATCTGATATTGCTTATAGAAATGATTTTATCTACCTTCATCTGTGTCCAATAATTGATACAATATATATAGAATGATAGTATTGTTTACTAGACTATAAACTCCTGTAATTGAAGAATATTTTTATTATTATTTAATTCCTTCAAACTAGGAAAACTTTAGTGCATTATTTAACACAATGCATGATTGATGATACACAATACATGGTTATTTGAATAAATTAATAAATATACAGTAAAAATTGGTTATACTGGAATATAGGTTTGAAAGCATGAAACATGCAATAGATAAGGCTAAAACATTGAGAAATAGATATTTTTTCTCCAAACTTTCAATAGTTTATTTAATAACATGTTAAAATACCAGAAAACCTCTAGGGTATAAGTTCACAAAGATCACTGGCCATATCCTTTTCTCCTTACATTTTGCTCAATGCCTATTACAGTCTGATAAGCATAGATGCAAAATCAATGAGAATAAATGAATGGCAGTAATTCAGTAAGTCACTCACACAACACTGCATGGGAAATGCCTATCTTTGAATACATTTTTCTCAGTTCTGTTTTTAAAGCCCAAAGGAAATGCTACCATATTGCATGCCCAGTTAATTAAAAATGGATGCAAAAACATAAATTTGCTTCAATGCATTAAGAATTCATCACATTATATTATGAATCATTAAAACAAACATGCAATATTAAATTAATGCAGTGCCAAAGTTAACAGAATATTCTTAACTTGCCTGTAAAAACTAATATCTGGAACAAAAATAATCCATTTTTATTTTAATTCATTTAAAAAGATTAAAGACTTTAAAAATATGGTTATTACTTGGGGATAGAGAAATTTATTTCAAAAGACTATCATAAATATGTTTTATCATTTAGTTTTTTTTTTCTGTTTTTAGCATATTAGCAAAATGCTTTAAAATATTTGACACATTTTTGTACATCGAGAAAGGATCAATTGATATCACTTGTTTTTAACTATTCCTCGGTTAGAATACATTAATAAAACATATCTAAAATGTACATGAAAAAGCCTTGTTAATGCATAGAATACAAATAAATGTACTGCATTGTTTTTATCAATATCAAAACCCCTTTACAATAGTATGGCCTGTTTTGGGGACTGTGATAATTAAAAGGAAATTAGACCTGTCCTGTTTTCACAATTACAGGCAATTTTACGTATACTAATAATGTTTTGCTGAACAATACAGTAACTAATTCGTGGTTATCTCCAAATGAGCTCCATAACAAATAGTAGGAAATGGGTAATATAAGCTATCTCTGCCGCATTGCTACGAAATCTTTTCCCTAATTCAGAAATATTTCTTAAGAGAGAATCCTTCCAAATTTCTCATGGCATGAATCTATATACACTGGACACATTCACTAATATCTTCTTTGTACTGGTATAAACTTTCTTTTTCACGGATATCTGAAATTTGGATACAAAGGGACATTTTACTAATATCTCCACCCTCTCCTTTCTAAATAATGCTTTCATTACAATGAAAGTTTTAAAATTTTTAAATGTGTTTAATGAGTTAATGTATATGTACATATAGATAAATGTATACATATATATATATATACTCCTCACTCATTTTCAAAGAAATTAATTACATAAGTTTTTTTTTCTTTTTCTTTTGAGACGGAGTCTTGCTCTGTTGCCCAGGCTGGAGTGCAGTGGCGCGATCTCGGCTCACTGCAAGCTCCGCCTCCTGGGTTGATGCCGTTCTCCTGCCTCAGCCTCCCTAGTAGCTGGGACTACAGGCGCCCACCACCACGCCCGGCTAATTTTTTGTATTTTTAGTAGAGACGAGGTTTCACCGTGTTAGCCAGGACGGTCTCATTATCCTGACCTCGTGATCCGCCTGCCTTGGCCTCCCAAAGTGCTGGGATTACAGGCGTGAGCCACCACGCCCAGGCAATCACATAAGTTTTTGAAACCCACAGATAATTTCCTCTGGAGCATGTCATATAAGCTCTTTTTATTCTACTTATTTTTATTTCTTATACAGACAGGATCTCACTCTGTCTCAGGCTACACTGCAGTAGTGCAATCAGTGCTCACTGCAGTATCAAACTCCTAGGCTCAAGAGATCCCCCTGCTTCAGCCTCCTGAGTAGCTAGGAATACAGGCATCCCCCACCACATCTGGCTAATTGTTAAACAAAATTTTCTGTAGCAACGGGGTCTCGCTATGTTGCCCAGGCTGGTCTGGAACTCCTGGCCTCCAGAGATTCTGATTACAGTTGTAAGCCACTGCATCCATCCTAGAAACTCATATTTAAATAAAAATGTATTATATTGTAAATCCTGATGCCATGCCTATGGAAATTAATATATTTCTCTTTGGCAAGTATTGTTTTATTTCTACCTTCATAAGGTATATGTTCTCTTTGTATAATAATTTTTGTGCTATTTATTTGTATTTAAATAGTGTCAAGCACAAATTATTGACTAAGTCTTCTTAAATTTTAATAAAATATAATTGCTTATAACATTTAACTTATTACAGCCACATATTTGCTTCACTTCTACATGTTAGAAATTAGTTTGCTAATTTTGATATTAAAGCAAAATGATAAACATCTATTTGAGGCTGCTATGAGGCATTTGATCTTATCTCCCATGTAATTTTTTTCTTCCTTTTAAGTTGGAAAGCTTCACCCTTACTGATGAAGAGTATAAATAGATTAAGCACTATACTCACTGTCTTGCCTGTAATTGTGTATTTATAATACAACTTTTATTAATGGAATTTCTCTAGTTCTTAGCTTACCCTATGAAGTACTGATTTCTTTGGTAATTTTTTAAAAATCAATTAATACTGATAATATGTCCCCTGAATTGAAGATAAACTAATGTGTTCTAAGTAATTTCAAGTACATTAACTTCAAGGTAATTGAAAGAAGTTTTTCTTATGTATTTGATTCTTAGGAAAATGTTGTCAACACATTTTTGCATATGAATGAATATATACAAGGGGAAAGAACTGATAACATATTTATGGGAATATTACAAAGTCACATCTCATACTTCTAGAAGTTTTATGTAATGATATCTATTTTAGTTTTTTATTGATACATTCATTTATCTAATTAATTCTGCCAGTTGAGTACCTACTAAGCATAAGGCATTTATAACTCCAATATCTGAGAACTGTTCAATCTTTTAGAAACTTTGTAATGAAAATGTGATTTTTGTAAGAACTGTGTATAATACAGGAATATATCATGCAGCATCCTGCCCTTTAAGGAGTTAACAGTTTAAAAGTAACTATAAAACCGGATAATATGTGTAGATCATGGGTGAAATGGCTGTCTCCATTGCCTCAAAGTGAGACTTATCCTATGTTGCAATTCATGCTCCATTGTTTTTCTTGAAATCAGACTGCAGCTTTACCCCATCTGAGACTATTTCTTTGGTTAGCTTCTTTTCCTGTCCTATCTTGCTTCCCTCACTTCCTTATAGGTTTCTATTGCGTGCATTTCTTCAATAAATTACTTGCTTACTCTGGTTTTAAAAAATCTGTCTCAATATATCCATTTTAGGCAGTCTTCATAGGTATTAAATAATTAAATCCTAACAATAACCCTAAAATATAGGTACTATAACTTTTCCTACTTTATAGATGAGAAAAGTGAGACAAGAAAAGTTAAATAATTTGCCCAAGAAGTGGAAGAGCTAGAAAACAATAAAAGCTATGTTTATTGAGCATGTAGTATACTCCAAGCTTTTTACTGATTATGTTCTTATAATGATGATGTGAGATCAATTACACTATTAATTCAATTTAATCCATTCCTGATGAAGTACATATTAGTGGTTAACCACTCCAGTAACTCTGATTGCTTTTCTATTTCATAGCCGAGTAATATTGGACATGCGTTACTTACTTCAGTAACTCAGTTTTTAAAATTTGTATATGAGAATAACAATAATATACTGTAAATCATATACAGTCATTATGATAATTAAACATGATAATACGCAAAGTGCTTATAACACTTACTAGTGTGTAGTGAATACGTAATAAGTTTTAGCTGGTATTGTTATTAATATTAGCATTCTTACAATTTTTAGAGTAGTTAATTCTGAAGATCAAATAACTAATAAATGTTGAAACTGCAATTCAAGCCCAAACAATTTAGGAGACTAAATTTAAGAGTCAAATATATAGATGGTATCTCAGTAGTTGGAATGTTATATATTTTGAAAAAATGACAGATTTTTTTGCAGACCTTTTCTTTAACATGGTATCTATATGGTGAAAAACTAACTTGAAAAACTGATACAAAACTGGATAATGGAAAACATTGAGCACCATGCAAAGACTGTGAGATTTAGGACTAATTTTCTCCATGAGCAAAAGAAGCATTAAAGACCTTTTTAACAGTGGTATGACTTTGGATATTAATGTAGTTCATTTTGGATTGATGCTATTGATGAGCAGTAAAATGTTGAAAATTGAAATGCAGAAGAACACTCAAGAAGGTATAGAAATAGGCATATGGTAGGCATATAGATGTAGTAGGCTTGGCTTTAATGTGTCAAAAAAAAAAAAAAAAGTCCTGGGATAGGAATCCATGTCCGTCTCATCACAAAACCTGGACCCTTAAATACAATCACTACCACACACGATATGGTACAAAGACAGAATTTGTGAGAGACAGTAAGATACGGTGTTGAATAGTATTGCGTTTGCAATATACTTTATAGTTCAAAAACTTGTTCTATTTTCAAACTTGTTAAATAAATATGCCAATTAAAAATAGTTTGTAAAGCTCATTTGGGTAATACAGCCAGAAAGAGGAAATTACTAATTCAGTGAACACATAGAATAACTGATGTAATTTTAAAATCCAAGCAAAGATGCCCATCAGTAACAAGAAATTTTCCAAACTAAGGAACACACTGAAAGTTTAAAATTTGTATTATGAAATTCACTTACCTAGAAGTAGCTGTTGAATTTTTGAAGCCAGCTTGATTATCAGAGAAAATTACTTCAGTGTGAACATTTTTTTTAAAAAAAGGGAAGGGAAGTAAATATGAAGTAAAGAAAGGCCTGGAAATAAAGGAAGAAGAGAATTTTTGAGAGACTGAAGGAAGAGGAAGGAAGCCATTAATGAGTCATTACTCTTTCAACAAAAACATAACTACATAGTTGGAGCTTAGTGATCAACTTGTGTTATATGGAATCATAACATTCCATGTTCCCACCAGTAAATATAATCACCAAAAAAATAGGAAATGGTTATTTTGGATCAATCATCTCCAGAGTAAAACATACTTATTTTATAATCAGGTCCTGTTTTAGAAGTTGAGAAAACAGAAGTGAATACCAATGGATTACTGATCTATATTATATTATAATCAAATGAGGGAGAAGGAGTAGGGAATTAAATATCAGTAGTATTTTCAATCAGTACCTAGAGAGAGCTATGGGAGGAAGTAAACATCTTCTTTGTTAAGAGCAAAAATCACATCCTTTACTCTGTAATCTCTAGCATAGACTTTCTGTGTATGGTTGTTCAATATATACTTGCTGAATTTAATCAGATTAATGTGATTTAGAACATGGCAATATCAATAAACTAATGTCGGGATTCAAAATTGTGGCATTCATATCTCTGAGTAAACTCCAGAAAAGAGGATACAATTTGTGTTATGGGTATCTGGTTTATTTCTGAAATTTGAGATCACATTATTGACATAATATTTACTACATAGCCATATAGGACTGTTTTTACCCTTTTTTCATCTCCTTGCTCTCTGTATATCACTTGGCAGAATGCAGCCCCAGGAGCAGTTTTCTATAACAACTTTCAATTCAATTCTAGTTTATCAACAAAATATTTTGAGTTTCAAGGCAGAACTTTGTACTATACAGTCTAACAAATGATCTCCATTTTCAAGTTTATTGGCAACTTGTAACCACTGACTCAGCATAACTATTCATCATCCTTTCTTATGAGTGAGCTTTCTGAATGCAGTTATCAGCATATGGCAGATTCTATATGACTGCTTCAAGGGCTTTTGTAGAGGTTTGAGCTGTTCCACATTTGTGTCTCTTCTCTGGATGCATACATTAACAAATGATGCAGTGAGCTTTCAAGGGCTGGGTTGGAATCACTTATTGCTCCACATTTTTCATTTTACCAGAAGCTTAAATGTCAAAAGAAATGTTCTCCACCATATAATCAAATTTTATTAAGGTGAAACACTTTTCTGATGATGAGTATATTCAAGTATATTCAAGAGGGATTCTTTCCTATTAAAACTATTTGAAAAAAATTACATCAGTTATTTATTTAGATTTTAAAAGATTCATAGCTTATGTCTTTTTAGGGACATTGTTATTTTGGGTTATAAGTTTACGGCCAATTTGACATATTTCTGCGTTTATTTTATTTTAAAGTTCCTGAGAACATAGGTGATAATTACAAAATTGTGGTACCACTAAAAGCAAATTAGAGAGAATGACCACCTTGGAAGATAAGTAGTATGTCAATAATATTAAATAAAGCAGATATTTAAAAATCTTTGAAAATACATTGTGCATTCAGTAAACAGTTGTTGTATAACACTACAATAGTAATTTATTATTTTCTCCTATAGTATTTCATGCCTTCTATAAACTCTAATACTATCATCATGCTAAAGGCAGTTTTTATCATGCATGCAAATGTATATCATATATATGTAATATACAAACATGTATATATTGAACATAACATTACTTTCAGATACCTACATTTAATAATCAAATTTGATTATAGGGAACAACTTTCTACTTTTCACTACTTTGCAATATAGGGAGATTATAGGAATGAACTTGGAACAAGATTTCTGGTTACAAATTAGAAACATTTAATTTCAGCTTTACAGTAAGTCAATAGCAAATAATTTTAATATGCATGAAAAGCTCTTAGTACTGCACAGGCGCTAGATTTATACTTCCTGAGGCGTGAAAGGAAATTGGTCCCTAAATGGATTGTTTAAATTTAAAGGGTTTTTGTTCCAACAAGGACATTAGCTTTTCAAATAAATAATATGGATTTTAACCCTTAGAGTGAAAGTTGAAAGTTAAATAGCTCTGAGCCTAATGAGCTCCTGTATGAGTGACCCAAATATAGAAAATGGTTTGGCAGATTCGGTAGCTTATGATTGTCTTTGCGACTAGATACTAAACCAGTTTACCAATACATGATGGTCTTATCATATCTGTTTTCAGTAACGGGTAAAGGATTTCAATGACCATTCAAATTTTTTTGATTTTGTTTTATTTTACAAAGAATTACTTTTGATGAAATAAAATATCAAGTAATCAGTCACGTATTTTAAACACCATGTCGTATACTAAAATACATATGTTCTCAAACATGTGGGTATACGCATGAAACATCTCCAAAAAGAAAACAAAACCCTTAGAGGAACAGAATGTGGGAACTGGAGAAATGTTTCAAAACGATGTGTTACTGTCTATTCTCATTTAATTTCCAAATTATGTACACTCTGCACTCTTAAAAGAAATAGTTTTACTATATATTTTATCTACCCTTTTCCCATTGGCATACCTAGTATGCACTTTCTCTAAAATAATTTGAAACAAGTTTTCCTATTTAAATTTCTTCAGCGAGATTTGTTCTACTTCTATGTGTTAATTCTCTTGACAGTTCAATTATGTCAAATACAACTATCTAATACTAAAGATAATACCTTAGTCTTGTGGCATGGTACGTATGCTAAAATCTCAAGCTCTTTCACGCCCTTATGATATATATATTCCTTATGATAGCCCCTTTAGGGAATGAGTCATATCATTGCCTGTGAAATGCTTTAAAAATCTGAGGATAATAAAAAATAGGTTTTAATTGTGTAATTGACAACAGAAAGCAAATCACATTTTTAAAATCTAATGGTACCCATACAAAATGAGGCTAGTGAAAATTTAAGTTAGAAAGCTCAGTTGTTTGGATTAGTCAAGACACATGTATAACAAATAGTAACATTTCCAAATTAAGGAACCTATCCTGTCAACTATTTGCACCCCCAACGGAGAAAAATATTTACAGCGGTAATAAGAGAGTGAAGAAATGTTAGGAGAAAAACAGTTCTGTTTAGGAATAATCGAAGCACAGCCTGGAATAGCTGTGCTCCTCATTTCACGTGATACTTTCAACTTTTGTCCATAAAACACTTTACTAGGTTTTGTTTTTATTTCCTACTTTACCTGTGCTTCACTAATTTATTTGTTATATGTTCTCAGATATGTATGTATCTTTGTAAAACACATGGTTTTATTTCACATGTATGATTCATGTAAGTGTATTTGCTATTAACTCATTCACTCCCATTTTACCTAACATTGTATTAAATTCTGTCTATGTTGCTATACACAAACTAGTTATTTGTGTTGTGTTCAATAGTGTGTATATATCACATTTCATTTGTTCATTTCCCTAATGATGAACACATAGGTTGCTTTCAGCTCTTCGTTAGTATATGTTGGAAAGAATATTCCCATACAAGCTTTTGGACTAATGTGAGTTGGTATATATATATATATATATATATATATATATATATATATATATATACTATATATTTTATCTACCCTTTTCCCATTGGCATACCTAGTATGCACTTTCTCTAAAACAATTTGAAACAAGTTTTCCTATTTAAATTTCTTCAGTGAGATTTGTTCTACTTCTATGTGTTAATTCTCTTGACAGTTCAATTATGTCAAATACAACTACCTAATACTAAAGATAATACCTTTATCTTTATATATATATGTATATATGGAATATAGAGATTACAATATATATGAATATTGAGTATATATATGTACTAGCATATTATTGTATTATATAATTTTCTAATTGTTACCAATTTGATGGTCCTAAAAAAAGAGTTTAAATTTTTAAAATTTGCAATTATCTAGTACTAGCAATTAAACCCATCTCAGTTATGCTTTTCTTTCCGTGAATTGAATATCCAAGTCCTTTTTGTATTTCCCAATTAGATATCAATATATTTCTTGCTGATTTGCAGAAATTCTTATAAATTCTAGATATCAGCATATGCACTATATAAAATAAACTTTATGTATTAAAACATCTCTAAAATGCATATGTATTTTACATGCATACAATTGGCCATAGATGTTCTTACAGATATCACTTTTATATCTAAGTAATATTAAATTGATGCTTTCAATATTTGTAAATTAAACATTCTAAAGGATAATAAAAATGTTGTACCATAATTCATTTAATATACATTTTTAAATTTTTTGATGTTACATAAAACAATGATACTTCTAAAAGGTCAAATTCATGTTAAAGCTGATAAAACATAGTTTTACTTAATGGTTTTAGTTACTGAAAGTTTTTTTTCTAAAGTGTATCATTTGTCATTTAATTGACATTTTGTATCTTTGTTAACAAAAAATACTTAATTTCAAGGTAATAAAACCCGGGTTTCATTTTCTTTTATATGCTTTTGAAATCTTTTGGGATTCTGTTGCAAATTCTAGATCATAGATATTTTCTCCTCCTACACTTTCTTCTGTTAGTCTTATAATTTCAAATATCTAATTTAGACAATCTCCTCTAATAAATGCTATTCAATTTTATGGTGCAAAGTAAAAACATAGCTTTATATATTTTAATGAGCTGTTTGTACAGGGATATAGGCAATGAACCAATATTAACTGCAACATATAATGAACAGTCCTTCCCATTGAATTATTATACCGCACTTACCATTTATAATAAAATGTGTTGCTAACCTCTACAGTCTCTTTCATAGATCTGTGTTTCAAATCTTATAAATCTATCTTAATGCTGTTTTCAAAACTACTCTACATTAGAATTTGATTGGGTAATTTTCCCCCTCACTTCTTTATTCCTAGACCTCAACTTAGTTACCAGTAGGAATCCATTTCCACAAAAGTTTTAGAACCTATTTATTTCATTTTACAAAATAAATTGTAGGAATTCAGATTGGGATTCCACTAAAATTATATTAAAAACTGTTGCCCCATCTGTCATAATATTTATCTCTCAATTTTGTCATATCTTCTTTAAATGTTTTTATATAGATGATCAGAATTGATATTTTGCTGTCTTTTTAAAGGATACCTTATTTTATATTTTATTTTCTAGCTGTGCATTTATGATACAGAAAAAAAATTGTTATCTATTTTGCAAGTGTATCTCTCCAGCAAAATTTGCTAAATCTACTATTAGTATAAATAGATTATGTTTCATTCTCTTTGGCATTCCATATTAATAATTATATCATCTAAGTTAAATAGTTGTATTTCTTCCTCTCTAATTCTTAGGCATCTTTTTTGGTATGTTATTTTAACTATAATATCCACAATAATGTTACATACCAAAAGTAAATATATTGTATTTTATTGTTTTTTTTCCTTCACCCAAATAAGGAAACACATGTGAACTTCCTTCATTAAGTATAATATTTACTGTAAATTTTTCATAGCTAGTTCATTACATAGAAAAGTTTGCTTGTGATTTCTAGTTCTCATTTTCTAGAAACAAGTAGATAATGAATACTTGCAGATTTTTTGAGGTATAATAAAATTGTTTTGTTAGTAAATATGATGAATCACATTGTTAAAATTTTTAATGTTATTCTTGGTAAATATAGCATACATACAAGTAAATGTATATAGCCCATATTTAATATTTAAAAATAACAAAACAAAGGAGGTCCTGCTTCCAATAATAGCATAGTAGATTTTATTAAACAAACTCTCTTATAGGTAAAATATGAACTATAAGCCTAACATACAATAAAAATTGACAATGGAAAGAAAACAAAGACCAGAAACTAAAGAGTACTAGATCCTTGAAAGAAGAGAATGGAGAGAGATCTGTATTTTCAATCAGCACAAATTCCAGTTCACTAAATATAAGATAGCTAGGATTTAAACAAAAATTTGCAACCTTTTTGGCTTGAATAGTTAAAGAATAAAGTTTGCATTTATAAGATTGAGAGGAAACAGAAAGATAACCCAGATATAGAGAGTGAGCCCTAAATCTACATACAAACTTCACTCAAATCTTTGTTTTTCTCTTCATTTGGTATTTGCAAGGGACCCAGTGATAAGCAACAGCTGGAAGGCTGAAAGAGCAGCAGTAGAGATTTCAGCACCTGCCAACCAACCAGATTTCTCAGTCTGAAGAACACAGAAAAGAATGATAGTAAACACACAAATCCAGTGATTTATGAAACAATCTGAAGCAGTCTAACATTTATCTGATTAGCATCCCAGAAAGAAATGAGAACTAGAGTGGGGAAAAGCCATTCCTTAATAAGTAATGACAAACACTTCTGATATTTGAGGAAAATTATAAAATTACAGATCCAAGTATACAAATAATAGAAAGATAATGACACCTAAGTACAACAGTCATACAGCTGATAACCAAGGATAAAATGAAAATCTTGAAAGCTGCCAGAGAAAATGACACATCACATAAAGGGAAACATCTATATTTCTGTAGCTAACTTCCCATTAAAAATAATGAAGAGCTGGGCTCCATGAATCACCCTTGTAATTCCAATGTTTTGGGAGGCCAAGGCAGGAAGGTCACTTGAGGCCAAGAGTTCGAGACCAGCCTGGGCAACATAGTAAGATCCCATCTCCATGAAAAAAATTAAAAATTAGCTAGGCATGGTGGTGTGCCTGTAGTCCTAGCTATTTGAGAGGCTGGGGGCAAAGGATTGCTTGGGCCCAGGAGTTTGAGGATGCAGTGAGCTATGATTTTGCCACTGCAGTCCAGCATGGATGACAAAGCGAGACCCTGTCTCTAAAAAAATTTTTTTAATTAAAAATGGAGACTGGAAGACAATGGAATAGCATTAAGTTTTGAATCTCTGAAAAATTCATGTGAACCCAAAATTGTACATAACAAAATATATTTCAAAAATAAAGGTTAAAAATTTAATATTACAAAATGAAAGAATTTGTTGTCAGGAAACTTGAACTTCAAAAATGCTGAAGAAAGCCATTCTGGATAAAGATAAATGATATTAGAATAAAATTTATATCTACAGAATACAAGGAGAAATGTCAGAAAGGATAAATCTGGGGAAAATGTAAATATTATATATATATAGTTTCTTAATTTTGTTCAAAGCAAAACTTTTTGTGCAATAATGTGAAATTTATTATGAATGTAGATATAATATGTGGGACAACAATAGTACAAAATATGAATGCAAATAAAATAGTATTGTTTCAAAGTTGTAACATTTTATATAAAGTCATTCAATTTTAACTCTAAATAAACTGTGAAAAATTAAAGATAACTTTATCATAATAATCATTAATGTAATAATGCAAAAACACAAGTCTTGGCAGATTCAATATGACTGTTAGACCCAATACTTTCTTGAAAATACAAACTTTATATGTAAAAACACAGAAGTATTGAAAGTAAAAGGATGGAAACATATGCACCATGCAAGAATTAAGCATAAGAACACTTCAGGGGCCTTATTCTTTCAATTTGTCATTCCTTCTGACTCTTCTTGCTTTTCTCTCTTCTTGTGCTCTATTTTTTCTGGTCATTTTGCCTTTCTTCCTGAAAAATTCAGAGCAGAGATACTAGATTAAATCACGTATGGCATGAGGCTATGTGTCTAGGCTGAGGCTGGGAGAGTGACCAGTAACTCAGCATGAGTTTTCAAAGCGCGAGCAGGGTGAGGAAGATCTCTACAGGAGTGGGCAACTCTAAGCAGGCACATGCTGGAGCAGGCTGAGTCGGATACTCATGTGGAGTGGTGGCAAACATCCCGTAACAAGTTTCTGATGCCAAACAAAGCAAGGATGTTTTCCAAATACTAGTGGTAGGTCACAGCAAGAACATGACTTATTATCTTCAAGTATTACCAAAAATTAAAAAAAAAACATATGAACGGAACACACAAAAGAAGGGCACATATCTCAGTAGTTAGTAAGAAAATAGAGATAACATTTTTCATAACTACAGAATGATGACAAAGAATAAAATGACAGTGCCAAGATGGAGGCTCCGATAATCATTTTTCTAAATTTACAGTTTTGTACGATCCTGGAAATCTCTTCAGTAATCAGATTTTTACATTGTTCATTTTTTAACTGTTTAAAGAAAAATTTCTGAAGTAAGTTTACTAACAACCAATCCCTCCACTGCATAGAGGACATCAAGAGATCATCACCATGCCAACCACCAGGAATACGAGTGCAAACTTCTGCTCACTGCATGCCGGGATGCAATGTTACCAATGCCTGAGTCCAGTGAGGCAGAAAACACTCCCATGCAAAAATTATATGAAATGGGTTTATTACTTATATAAAGGCAGCAAAGGACAAAAGAAGCCTAGGATCTATGGTGAGCCAGTCCCCCAGGGCTCAAGAAAGCTGCCCTGGGCAAATGGAGGCTTGACTGTGGCTGTCCTATTTGTAGCACAGCTGAGGGACCGCAAAAGGCAACCTGCCCTGCGTTACAGATCTCAAGCACAATGTGAATTACTGGGCAAAGCTTTCAAGGATATCCTGCTTCTAGGGGTAGGAAGAACAAACCCCAGGCGGTCCTGGGCAGTTTGTCCCAAACTTGTGATATTATATTCTGTAGGAGGGAGAGCAAAAGGTCTCAGGCTGTTTTAGGCAATTCCTTCCTATCTTAGGATAGATAATTCCCAGCACATTTATACATATTCTTGAGAACTCCAAGGAAGAAAAAGGAGAGAACTGAGTCGATCCAAAGCCACTGAAAGAACTGGTCTGCAAAAGTGTTTTCTCTATTTTCCTGAAGCCCAATATTTTGTTTATTTAACTAATATCGTTTCTCTAGTTCTCAGCCAAACTTCAAAGTTTTGTGTGGCAGTAGAGAAATTAACTTCATATGACCATATGCATAAGGTTCACTTTTTGTTCACCTGCATATCTATCCATTATCCACACAGCAAGTCAATATACATTTATGAAGTACTTACTCTAAATAAGTCACCATGATAGGTAACAAGAAATACAAATATTACAGTTATTTTCCCTTGAAATACCAACTGTGGGAATATCCAGAATATCAATGATAAATATAATTTCTTTTTGGCTGTGGATCTCCCATCAGTACTGCCTGATGACACGGGATCCTTAAAATTAAATTAAAAGTTAAAGACATTACTCTCATTTGGTTATCTGCTGCTTTTGCGGTTGCCATCCTTAGTCGCTTTATAACAAATAATTGCTTATATCTGGTATCATCGATTTCATTCTTTCCATTCTCTCACTCGAATCAGGCATTCAGCTTTATCAATCTATTGGAAGATCTCTGTGAATGTTGCAAAGATGCTAACATGTTGTTATGTCCCTATAATTAGCTTTCATCTTATGAACCCTAGAAGCAACTTGTGACATTGCTGTCATGTGACTTCCATGACACTATTCCCTCTTGATTATTCTTCTATGAGGGTCTCCTTTTCAGTGCAAATATATAGAGAGATATATAAAACAAGAGTCCATATATATATATTTGTTTTTCGTTTTGTATTGTTTTTGCTAGATCCTTCTCATCCCCATATTTTCTATATGTGGAGCACATACTTCAGATATCTTTTCTTCCTGGATGATTTCATTAAGTATCACAGCGTTAAACAATATCTAAAATTATAATCTATAAATTTACATTTCCGGCTCAGACATCTCACATGAGCTTCTAGCTTTTATTAGTCAGTTGCCTTTTCAACATCACTATTTAGATATAAGCATTTCAAATGTAATATGTCCTAAACAACTCCTAGATTTCAGTCCTGCAACCTCAGATTCATTCTTAATTCCTCTCCTTTTCTTATCTCCACATTCAATATTAGTATACCCTGTTAGGTCTACCTTCAAAATATATCCTATAACTACCTCTTCCCACTACTACTACACCAATTACCCTGGCTCTTTCCTCTGCAATGAGCTTTTGAAATGGCCTCAGTGCATTCCCCTTGTCCTGTAACAGTCTATTAACAAGAAAGAAAACAGCAACATTTTTAAAGACATAAATAATAACCTTCTCCTGTTCACCATCTTTTAATGGTTCCCCATGTCTTTCACTCAAAGAATATAGGAAACATCTTTATTTGGATTACAAGAGTCCATGCTTTCTGTCTCTCAAATACTTTCCTAACTTCATCTATTACTACTGTCCCCCAGCTTCCACTGGACTTCATGGAGTCACTCAAATACGTTAAGCATTCTCCTTCATCAGGGTTCTCTCTCTTTGTAGATGCTCTTCTCCATATTTTCATTTTCCTCCAGGTCTTTGCTCAAAAGCCAGCTGACCAGTGAGACTATCCTTGGTCACCCTAAATAAAGTAGCACATTCCAAAATTTCAATTCTTGTCCAAGCCCTCTCTTTCCTCCATATTCTGATTTTTATTTTGTTTTGTTTCAGGCTCATAATACATATCACCACCTGACATCTATATCTGTATATATTTATTTGCCTCATATTTGCCCCATCCCCAATAGAATATAATTTCAATGTCCCTTTTTACTTTTATTTTTGTTCACTGCTTTAATTTTATTTCCTTGAACATTTCCTGCCACATAATGAATACCCAATAAATATTTAATAAATGAATGAAAAAAAAATTAGTACTAACATTGGTGCTTCCTATTTCTACATTTGTCTCCATAATTGCTTGTCATTGTAACTACTTCCTTGGCCATTTTTTTACCTCTGCCTCCTATGATCCCACATAATGTTGCCACTTTCTTCTAAATCAATCTGCCTCTTGAAGCAAGGAACAGAATGTTCTGGAAGGATATTAGAACAACCTCTCTAGAGAGACTCTAGAAAAAAAAAATTAACCGAGTGACCCTACCCAGTACCAGCTTCAAATATGTTCATTGCATTTGATGTGGAGGACTGGCTTTTTAATATTGGTAATGATAAATTTTTTGGTTTCCCATTTCTCCCTCAAGTCCTTGGGGGTACCTTCAAACTATGCCATTCTTAATGGGTAGTAACTTGATATTATTGAACTCCCAGAGTGGGCATTACAGCCAAGTATCCCATGTGGAATTACACTGAATAAATCAAGGTACTTTTCCTAAAGAGGTAACTAAGATAACATAATGAAGCGAGATATGTGATAGTAGATATTAATAAGATGCATTGGCAGTGCAGAAGAGACAGTAGTTAATTCTGGGTGTGGAGGCTGGATAGTTCTCATAGCAGTAGAAACTTTTGAACTTAACCTTAAAATAGGCATGATTTTTTTATAGGTGAAAATAAGGAAGAAACATCCCCAGGCTATGAAAACAACATGAGTAAAGACAAAGAGGAATGAAGTATTGATGTGGTTGAGAAATACTGAATGATTCAAGGTGATTAGACCGTAGGGTGCATGAGACAAGTTGAGGCTGATAAAGTAGGCTGAAAATTCAATTAAAAAGGTCAAATGGGAAATACAGACTAATAAGAAACACACAAAACTTTGTATTTCATATAAATGGGAACAAGTGAGTAGACATTTCCTTTACAAAAATAACTTCATGTGAGAGTTACTGGTGAATTTTGATACCTTCAAATGATACTTGTTTTTCTTTAGGTTATTTTCTCTTGGATTACCAAATCCTATTGTGTAACTGCTTGCTTGCTGCTGCTTTACTCCTTATTACCCTATTTTATCTTGCCTTTCAGTTTCATATTTATTATATGAAGGGTTTTGGAATCTCACTACTGTCTACCTAGCACTGACCACTGTTTTTCAGCTCTCTTTCTACCACCTCCCCCGACTTTGACAAGAGTTATCCCTATTTTAGACACTAAACAGATAACAAACCAAGGAATTGGCACATTATTTTATAAACATATTTATTTTATAAAACAGACAAATATACAATCTTTCCAGGGTTGAATTATTAATTCCTTAAATCTATAACATGTGAGTGTTCTGCTTCACACCTGACAACTCTGAGTGTCATAATGCAAGCGGTGCACTATTGTTAGAAAAGATAATTTCGTTTAGAAATCACACTCACTAGCCAAATATTCCAAAAATTTGGAGAGTATTTAAATTCATGAGCTAAAGGTAAAAACAGTTGGAATAAACTTGGTCTTTTATTGTAGCAGAGCTTCATTCCTGTAGCGCATGTTGGCTACTTCATCCCATAGGATTAAAAGGCTTTGCATCTCAGGGATGAAGCCAACTTGATCGTGGTGGATAAGCTTTTTAAAGTGCTGCTGGATTCGGCTTGCCAGTGGGATTGGGGGAGGGGGGATAGCATTAAGAGAAATACCTAATATAAATGACTAGTTAATGGGTGCAGCACACCAACATGGCACATGTATACATATGTAACAAACCTGCACGTTGTGCACATGTACCCTAGAACTTAAAGTATAATAATTTAAAAAAGGCTCTGATTCCCCCATAAGCAGTAAGTTTTCATAGTGACATATTAAGGAGATATAGTTATTTCTGGAAATTGAAGATTTATTTTGCCAAAGGACACATACTGGTTTTGATGTGACTCTTTCTAGGTCCCAAGTTTTAAAGATATAGAAGGTAATGCACTATCATACTCCCAATTAGAATAATAAAATGCTGGTTTTATTTAAGAAAATACTTAAGAGTGGGCAGTGCTAGTCCTCACACACAAACCCATAACTAAATTTGCAATATAGAATGTTGCTGCTGATGGAAGAGATGGAAAAAGCATTTATCCTTGACCTCCTTGAGTGTTGGCTGCAAAGGTCTCACAGCTGCCCAATTCTCCAGAGAAATATTTTCTTTTTTTAAAAAAAGATCATATAATGATTTTATTTTATTTTTTTAAATTTTACTGTAATTAATTTCTCTATTGATCAGGCAGTTGGCCATGCTTGCTTAGTATAGCTCCTCTCCTTGCCTTTACATTCTCTCCTCACTTAGTCCCTCCCTCCCACTCACTTATTACATGATATATACCTCCTCAGATGACCAGTCATCCTGATTTTTCTGGGATTTTCCCATTTTTGATTCTGAAAGTCTCACAACCTGAGAAAACCATCAGTCCTGGGAAAACTAAGATCACTGGTGTTGCAACAATGCACCTCATCCTTGATGCTGGCTCAGCTTCTTGGAAAACTGAGAAAATGTATTTAGAAATGTACTGAGATAAATTTTTAGATGAAATGAAGATAATTATCTTAGATAATATAATGTCTTTGCTTTTCTTTTGTCACCACAATGCCTCTTCTAATTTAAAGCTGTACATTCTAAGACAATGCTGAAAAAAATGATAGTCCAGATAGATAGAGCATCAATGCAATACTTCAAGCATGGTATTCTGATAAATGTGTAATAAGTCAATGGTTGGAGAAAAGTCAGATTCCAGAGAACTTAAGAGAGAGAGATTCAAATAGCACATTACATCAATAAATCTGGAAGATATAATGCAATCTGTAAATATTTGTTGAATAAGCTATTTTAGTAAAAGATAAAATGTACAAAAATACAGTTAGAAGAAATAAGATCTAGTGTTCAGTAGCACAACAGGGTGACTACAGTTAAGAATAATTTATTGTGTATTTCAAAATAGCAAAAAAGAGTAGATCTGGAATGTTTCCAACACAAAGAAATGGTAAATGTTTGAGGTGATGGATATCCAAATTTCCCAGATTTGATCAGTACACATTGCAGACTTGTGTTGAAATATCACATGTACCCTATGTATATGTACAGCTATTGTGTGTTCATAAAATTTGAAATGAAAAATAATTTTAAAAAGAAAAATAGATAAGACTAAGAGAGTAAACACCAACACAATCAAACTTAGTAGACGGTAGTATCATTAGTTATGGAAGGTCAAGTAGAAGGATCTGTATTAATTTATATGGCACAAAAATAGAAGAAAAGAGGAAGAGACAGTGGAAAAATAGAGTTCAGATTCTTTTAGACCCTTTTGATCAAGTTTTAAAACAGTAAGCCCTAATTTATAAATAGCATCCTGAATTTTGCTTCAGGTCAGCAAATCTATCATAGTATTTAAATCTATTTTTTAGACCCAGCCTATTCTAAGCATGAATATGTAGAACTTATAAGTAAATGAATACTTAAATAAACAATAAATTTATGCCAGTTTTTGAATTCTACCTCCATCGTATATAATTTCTCTGAAATTGTTTAAATTACTTGGTTAGGCTCAGCTTTGTCATCTATAAAGTGGGTAAAATAATATTGCACATGAGGTCATTGAAAAGAATAAACAACATCGCATGTAAAATTCCTGGCCAGTATGTATAGCATGAGATAAGTACTCTCAGATAATATTTGTTGTTCATGCTAGAAAGTAGAAAAACCCTTCAAGATTTCTTAGTCAATTTATTTCCTGTTTCCTGGAATGTAGCTAAATCATAGTGGGAGGGTAAATTTTTTTCTATTGAAGGAATACCAAAAAGTAATATTGCGCAAGTATGTTGTTAGGCAAATGGTCTTTATTGTATCCCCAGATTACAACCTTCCTTATTACCAAACAAAAACTGTTTCAATGAATACTCAATTAATCACAACTCAGTTTCTTAAAAATGTGAATTCTGACTTTTAGGGGCTTTCTGCATCTTAATCTTTTCCGTAGTATTATTTTACACACATATATGCCTCATTATTTCCAGTTTCCCTTGGAGGCTTCATCCCCAGGATAATGGTTATTTGTTCTCTTACTTCTCTTGTTCATCCCTCCTCCTTTAATAAGATTCTATGAACCACTGTAGTTGCAACTTATCACATTTCCTTTCACACAATCCTTGCCAATTTTCTCCAAAAGTGCTTTGCCATGGTATGTTCAGATGTCAGGCACTGCTGCATCTCAAAATATATAAAACATCCCGTGCATTATATCCTAGGTATTAGTAATTCCTGCTCAATAGTGTATTCTCATATATAAATAGAATTCCCAAGACTTAAATTAAACTCGGTCATTATTGGAGAAAGGTGACTTTATCAAGTGAATCTACTTCTTAAAACTATTACTATTATTTGTAAATAATCTGTTTCTATTGCTGAAGATAACCTCATAGAACGTATGTGTTCTCAACCCTTCCCTACTAGATACCTCTTTTTGAAAGTGTATACTGTAATTCTGACTCTACTATTTAAAAATTAAATTAATACATAATATAGCTTGCCAAACACAAAATTTTAAAAACAATAATAATGTCCAGAGTAGTATAATGGAGTAAAATGGGACATGAGTTATAATTGTTATGTAAATTTTAATATATAAATACTCAGACATCACCACAATGGAAGACAAAATAAAGTGGCCACATGTTTATGCATATCTGTGCTTTATAAGAAGTAATATTAGAAGACATTTTAGTAAAAACTTTGATATCAGAATAACTACTGGTATTTCACTAAGTTAGTAGTAATAGACCAGACTTTCTTGTTATATGAGAAGAGAAAAAGTATATATTATATAGTTTTAATTGAAGCAGAAACAAAATATTACAGCAAGTTAAGGACTTCCAAAAACGAGGAACTAAAAAATATCACGTTGTCACAAATGGCCTTATTAATAGGACAGTGTCCACATAATTCTTTCTTTATGGTATAGCATGCAAGTGCTACAGAAAATAAATCTTCTATATTGAATTACCACCACCTGACAAGACATACATTCAGACTCTAAAACTTAAAAAAAATCCAAAAGGAAATATATTTTACTCAGTTAAATGTAATATAAGACAAATTGGAGAGAAAAAGTAAGATGAGCTATACAGAAAATGAAATGTGGCTTGGGCATTGTGGCTCATGCCTGTAATCCCAGCACTTTGGGAGGCCAAGGTCGGTGGATCACCTGAGGTCAGGCATTCAAGACTAGCTTGGCCAACATGGTAAAACCCCCTCTCTACTAAAAATACAAAAATTTTTCTGGTGTCATGGCGTGCCCCTGAATTCCCAGCTACTTGGGAGGCTGATGCAGGAGAATCACCTGAACCTGGGGCAGTGAGCCAAGACTGCACTACTGCACTCCAGCCTGGGTGACAGAGCGAGACTCTTGTCTCAAAAAATAAGTGAAATGTGGAGACATTACCAGAAGACTGAAATAAATAGACACCCTCAGATAAATAACATTTTAATATGTAATGCTCAAAAGATATCTTTTTAATCATTGTTATAATTTTCAATAACAATAAAATGTTTTTATCAACTATTGTTTATATCCTTTATGTTTCTTATTTAATGGTTATTTCTTTAAATCTATTAAAATTGTGATTTATATACAAATGGGATTCAATGGATAACTATATGAATGACTAACACAACATTCAAAAATCATGTTAAAATCGAGAAAATTTTTTATTGTGTGAGACCATTCCACTAATTCCAGAGGTGCTCATAGTATAATCGTAGCGACAAAAATGCTCTTCCATATTTCAAAATGCTTTTCAAAGAGGATTAGTACCTCCCATAATGAAAACACAGCTCCAACGGGTCTTCAGCTCCCTCCTGAGGTTTATGACAACATAACATGGAAATTTCTCTTAGAGGAATAGACAATGTGAAGAAATCTATTATAAAGAGGCAAGGATACATGGTTTTCTTAATCAATACGAGTAAGGTTTAAACTCAAAACTTTTTCACTTACAAGCTCTGTGATATTGAAGTTGTTATCTTCACTGATACTCTGTTCTCATCTGACCAATCATCCTGGTTTTCCTGGGAGTTTCCTGGATTTCACCTTGAATATCCCATGTCACAGGAAACTCTTTACAGACAGGCAAAACAGGATGGACAGTTGGTTGCCTTAATTTAATCACTGGAAAAATAGAATATCCTCATAAGATTTTTATTAGATTAGGACATAAATGAGGAAGTATTGGAAGATGACTTAACAGAGTCTGGCACATACATAGTAAAGTTTCCTGAATTATAAAGGTTATTATTCTAAATAACCAATGTGATAAAATAATCTGGAAGGTGAATATATAGTTTAATTTTAAAGCTAAAAATCTCAATTTACATTTTGCTGCATATTGAGTATCTTAACACCTAGCCTAACAATAAAATCAACAAAAAATAGTAAGTCACAATTCATGAGTATTCTTGTGCATAATAGGAACTCTGTGAAGAGTTTGAATATTTTATTTTACATTTATAATTGTCCTTTTTCATATTAAAAACAGAGATATTAATTATTGTCAAAGGTCGCACAATAAGAAAATGGCAGAAGTAGAATACTAACCGTCAAATTGATCTGACTCTCAATTCTTTGCTTTTAAGCAGCGAGCTCATGGCCTGTTTTAAGTAAGAAAGCATTACAGGCATTGAAACAAAGGTCATATTTCTTAGATTATGGTTAGGATTAGGGTTAGGGTTTAGCCAAACACTGAAATGTTCATCTTTCACAATCACATTACACCAAATTATATGTTTATATTACTTGTCGTATACGTTGTCTAGTGAGCTTGAGAGAGTAGAAAGCGATATTGGTACAGATCCATGACACAGAATATGAGAAGGCATAATTGTTCTCCAATAATATTACATATCCATTAAATATATGTGTCTTAGTTTACATTCCACAAGCAGCAGAGAGTATGACAGTCAGTTGAATCTGTTTAATTTATTTATATTTAATTCCAGGCTACACCAACAGAGAAGAAAGTGAGACAGGAAAAACAAGTCAGCCAATAAATAATGCAGTATTAAAACCATTATCATGGTGTGATTGGAGCCTTATCCTTCTGGGGAATTCAAGGAATTAGTGAAGAACATGTACCTTAGAGTTGTCCAGCCAAAAGGTGAGGGAGCTGGAGTATTAATACACCAACTAACCTGTATTCATTAGCAAAAGGTAGCTCCAGGGGACCATTATTCTCCAGAGCAGAATACGTCCAGAGCAGGCTTCAGCCACCAGAGAGAGCCCTCAGACAGTTGAAAATAGGTCAGGATGCAGTAGAGGATACAACCCAAGGAGACATGGCCAGGCCACAACAGTGTCTGCTACACCATGGTACTCTACTTATCTTTTCTTAATGCTACTTCTATTTGAACATATTTAATTCTATTATATTATCTAATTTGTCAGATATACTAAGCATTTTAATCTTTCATGCCCCTGCTGAAACTGTAGTCTTTATTATTAAATTATTTTCTTCCTCTACTTGGAGAATGCATATTCTAAAAAGCTTGTCTTAAATATAACCGTTCCTATACCCCTTCCCAGTTCCTCTGAGAAATATTATTTACTTTCTTCCTTGCATTCTCTTAGTATATTATCCATAAGTGTTTCTATTTTAACAAATCATTAATAGCTTTTATCTATGCTTCTAAAATCACCCAGAAGCTGCCTAGGAATTTTATGCTTTTAAGAGGTTTCAAAGTACTATTATTCCAGCTACCTACCATACTACCCAGTACATATCATGTATTCAACAGAAGGTGTATTATAACATAACATAATCATCTTAAAACTTTCAAATCACAAATGTTGGCTAAGAATTTAAAACACTAATATAACTTTCTGAATAAACAGTTAATATAATATTTCACTAATTTTTAAATATTTACATGAGATTAAGTGCAGGACAGCTTACCCTCATTCCTAATAGCATACAAAAAATCATGTAATATATCTAGAATTTAATTCTCAGGTTATGTTTATGTATATTTTTACCTTTGTGTATGTTGATTTGCAAATATTCCAATCTAGGCAGACAAGTTTTAGAAATTTCCTTTGAAATTATCCAGTGTAAATATTTTTCAAAGCCTGAGGGAAACCTAGGAAAATATGTTTAATACTCTGAGATTATTTTTCCATAACTTTCAACAAATTTTGCACAGCACATCAAAATTGCATCATATAAGTGATTCTTATGCCAACTTAATTCATTAGTGATTTTCTTCAAATCTCAAGTGTTGATCAAAGATATTAACATTACTGTGATTCTCTGTCATTAACCAAATACTCTTCTGGAAAGAAATCACTAATTCAGAAACAAAGCTACTATTAACCTCTGTAAACATTTGACAAACTATATTTCAAATGGAAAATTCTCGATGTTTGAGAATTTATATTTAGATGTACAATTGTTAGGAGTAGGTTAATATTTATCTCCTAAGTATACTCATAAGAAATAGAACCTAAGATGAAGGAGGATGGGAGGTACCATATTTTGGTATAATATAATCATTTATACAAATGGGTTTTATTTAAAATAAAGGATAGTACAAGTGAGACCTTAATTCATCACAACATTTTTATTTTACAAGTGTATGCCCCAAGAAGAGTAATCATTCTAGTAACCAAAGTCTAGAATGAAATAAGTTTAAATCCTTTGTTCTCTTCATAGCATGTGTTTCATGAGACGGCAATAGACAATCTCCCTTTCTCCCTTTTCTCAAGTTCAAACAATTAAGAAATCAGACACAGATAATGACAAGTGGCAGTCAAAATATGGTACAATGGATTTAACCCACTGATCTAATGACCTATCCTTCTTCCACGGGGAAGTGATAATGAGACAAGAAGTGTTACTAGCATCATTACTCTAGGGTACTGGGTCTTAAACGTTTGGTCTCAGAACTCTTTTAGATGCTTAAAATTATCAGATACCTTAAAAAACTTTTATTTATGGATGAAATTCATTGACATTGTGCTGGAAATTTAAAGCTGAGAAATATTTAACATAGTTATTGATTAATTAATCTAAAATAATAAACATATAACATGTTAAAATAAAGAATATATTTTTATAAAAATGGCATTTTAAAAAATATAAGTGTTAGAAGTGTCATTGTTCTATATTTTCCCAAATCTCTATAATGCTTTGCTTAATAGAAGACAGCTAGATGCTCAAATCTGCTTCAGCACTCAATCTGTTACCCTACCACATGCCAGCTAGCCTCTTGAAATCGCTACTGTATTTTTGTGAGAGAAAGGGAGTTTATTGCGGCACTATTCACAATAGCAAAGACTTGGAATCAACCCAAATGTCCATCAATGATACACTGGATTAAGAAAATGTGGCACATATACACCATGGAATACTATGCAGCCATAAAAAGGGATGAGTTCATGTCCTTTGTAGGGACATGGATGAAGCTGGAAACCATCATTCTGAGCAAACTATTGCAAGGACAGAACACCAAACACCGCATGTTCTCACTCATAGGTGGGAATTGAACAATGAAACACTTGGACACAGGGTGGGGAACATCACACACCTGGACCTGTCGTGGGATGAGGAGAGGGGGGAGGGATAGCATTAGGAGATATACCTCATGTAAATGATGAGTTAATGGGTGCAGCACACCAACATGGCACACGTATACATATGTAACAAACCTGCACGTCGTGCACATGTACCCTAGAACTTAAAGTATAATTAAAAAAAAAAGAAAAAGTCAAATAACAACTTAATATTTCAAAAATAATTTTGACGTTATGGACCCTGTGAAAAGGGCTCCATATCTCCAGGGGTCTTTGAACTGAACTTTGAGAACGAATACATTAGTGGAAATCCCTCCACATAGAAACTGGAAAGCAGGGAAATGCAAACTTCTCTAAACACGTACAACAGTACTATGTCAAAAGCTTGAGTTCTGGACTAAAATTAAGGTCCATAATCTGTATAATTTTTGTGAAACCCATAAATTTTCTAAAGTTAAGCTTCCTCGGAACGATGATACCATGAATATATAAAATACTTATTTTAAAATCCAAATGTTATCAAAACTCTTTATGAACTACATGTTTCCTATAAGCACATTTTTTATCACTCACATTTTCAACTGATCATGGAACTTGTAGTTTTATTGCAACAAATCTTTCATAGGTTTATTTTTGGAAACATATTTTCTACATCTGTGTCATGTAGTTACAAATTATTTCCACTCCTTTATATTATCCTTGATATTATAGAAAAAGGCTATAATAAATAGGATACTAATTTAACAATAGAAAGTCTGCTTTCCTTTTCTTGAACTAAGTAAATATTTCTTTCCATGTTCATGTTTTATTTTCAACAAATATGTATTAGCTAGATGATTATGTTAAAGAGCATCATTGATATTTGCTTTAAACTAAGGTTGTTAGCTAAAGTGTCTTTTTCGTTGAAAGCTGCAGAAATATTTTATTAGGAAAATTTCCCAGTAACTCTGTTTTGAAAGTCAAAGAAATGGAAGTAAGAGTGAATCAGTCATCTAATTCCTTTCTATTTCACTAATCATGAGATAAATTTCTCCAAAATAGAATGACCTCCACCTCGAAATATTATCCAGAGATCAAACCACCTAGGGACTGAAATAAGCTGATGGATTAATGATAACAATAGGCCAAAACTGACAACAATTTAGGAAACTTTAGAAGCATTAAAAAAACAGAAACAAGGTTGTAAAGAATGAAATGTGAAGGGAAGAGCCATGGTAAAAAGTGCTGAATGTAAATTTCTGTGCCAAAACAACACGTCCATGTGATAAGCAGTTGAAGCGCTGCAGGTTTTCTCAAGGCTAAGGGAAATTTGAATATATTCATAAGATAAGTGATGATAAATATTAAAGGAAAAAGGTACAGGAGTAATTAATGAGCACGTATTTTAAAGGATCAATAACACAGACAAAATGTAGTTCACACTGGAAAGGCATTATTCCACTATCCAATGGTGAAGGAAGGAAAGAAATAATTAATTCATTTATTTAATAAAAATTTATTTAGTGTCTGCCTATTGTCATAGTTCTGTCTACACTTTTGGAGGATAGCAGTGATCAAAACAAGCAAAACTCCTTGACCTTGAGACTTACATTTTAGTTGGCAAAAGCAGTTATTTAATCATTCAGAGTAATTTTTCAATCAACTACATGATTTTAAAAGAGAGAGACAGAGAGGCAGGGCGCGGTGGCTCACGCCTGTAATCCCAGCACTTTGGGAGGCCAAGGCGGGCAGATCACGAGGTCAGGAGGTTGAGACCATCCTGGCTAACACAGCGAAACCCCGTCTCTACTAAAAATACAAAAAATTAGCCGGGCGTGGTGGCGGGCACCTGTAGTCCCAGCTACTTGGGAGGCTGAGGCAGGAGAATGGCGTGAACCCAGGAGGCAGAGCTTGCAGTGAGCCGAGATCGCGCCACTGCCCTCCAGGCTGGGAGACAGAGCCAGACTCTGTCTCAAAAAAAAAAAAAATAAAAGAATGACAGAGAGAGAGAGAGAGAAAGATGGAGAAAAGAGGAGGGAGGGAGTCAGAGGGGGAAGGAAGGAGGGAAGGAAAGGAGGAAGGATGAAAGGAGGAAGGAAGGAAGTAAAAGAGGAAAGGAGGAAGGGGGAGAAAAGACAAAATGATAAATGTTATAGACAATAATAAAGGGAATGGGAGTCCAGTTTTAAGTAAATTAGTCAGGAAGGGCTTTACTGACAAATTTAAACCAAGACCTGAATGAAGACAAAGGTTAGCTATGTAAACATCTGAGAGAAAAGAATTTCAGAAAGGGAAAGGGTTAGTACAAAGGCCCTAAGGTAGGATCATAGCTAAGGTGTTAGAGTAAAAGCAGAGAGAGGTCCCAGAATGAGCAAGGAAGAGAGTAACAGAGCATGAGGGCAGGGTGGCTATGAGGGTTTAGTTCATGGAGGGTACGGTTGGTTATTTTAAGATTTTTAGATTTTACCCTGAGTTAAATGGGCAGCTGATGGAAAGATTTGAATAGATTAGTTACATGAAAATGATTATTTCATCTGCTGTGTTGAGAAGAGATTTTAAGAGAGCAAAGAAGGCGGGGAGACCAATTTGGAGTCTTACAATACTACTGGTGATAGAAGAGTGTGGTTTACATTCAGATGGTAGCAAGGGGAATGGTCCAAAGTGGTAAGATTCAGGATATATTTTCATTCTAAAGCTCACAGGATTGGCTGAACGTTTTGATGTGAGGTGTGAAAGAAGTAGAGGAATCAGGAATGGATCATGAGCCTGAGGAAACTTGTAAAGAGGAGGAAGAAAAAGATATAATGAGTTCAAGTGCAATGGACTTAGACTCAACAGTAAAATATCTTTGCAGTCATATTCCAAAATAGAAGGCATTAGGCAATTTCAAGACAGTAGAATGTTTTGAAACAGCTGCTTGAACTTGATCAAGTGCAGAACGTGATATGGAAACAGAAAAATACTTCTTCACTACTTTCTGAACTCTCTCAACCTCCTTACTAACTTTAGAGAGCGTGAGGACTTGATGAGGCCCCTGACTGAAACCTCAGAATTACTTCTTACACCACAATTCTGGGTTAACTGCATCCAATACATCTAATCCTTCAACAGCTCCTGCCATCCACTACTTCATGAAACTCATACAAAGCACTTGTTTTTATTGACACACTTAAAAGTAAATCATTGAATTTCTGGCTTTGCCTACTGCCCCAAATCAGAAACCAGTTTCACATGGATATTATTAGTAGTATTATTATTTTAAAGATACCAATCCTTTTCCCGAACTTCTTTAAGAAGTCCAGGGAATAAAAATGTTTGAGAAAACACATTGGCTTGAACAAAATAATTAAAACAGCCAAAAATGTTTGCTCAAATAAATGTTTACTATTATCTGTGTGCTATTTAATAGGAACTCATGGTTTTACTGTATTATACAAAAGTTTAGCCTCCCAGAGTGTTAGATATGAGGAGCTACAGTCATTATGCATAAACTTTATCAGCAATTTTGCTGTAGTTACTACTATCTATATAGCTAAGTCATCTTACTTCTATCATGAGATGCAAGTAAACCACAGTGTGCCCAATCATGTAAAAGGAACAAAGATGTTCTGGAAATATCTATTAGGGCTATTTGGTCTATAGTACAGATTAAGTCTGATGTTTCTTTGTTGGTTTTCTGATTGGATGATATGTCCAATCCTGAAAGTGGGGTGTTGAAGTCTCCAGCTATTTTGCATTGGGGTCTATCTCTCTGTCTCCTGAGTTGTAATAATATTTGCTTTATATATCTGAGTGCTCTAGCATTGGGTGCATATATATTTACAATTTTTTTTTGCAAACATTTATTTTTTTCTTAAAGTATAATATATTTACAATTGTTATACCCTCTTGCTGAATTGACCCCTTTATCATTATATAATGACCTTGTTTGTCTCTTTTAATAGTTTTTGTCTAGATATCTATTTTTTTCTGATATGCGTAGCTACTCCTCCTTGTTTTTAATTCTGTTTGCATCCAATATATTTTTCCATCCCTTTATTTTCAGTCTATGTGTATTTTTATAACATCCTGATGGCTGCAGGATGTTATAACATGTGCAGGATACACATGTTTTCTTTCTATTGTCTAATTCATAGGCTAGGGGGGAAAAGAATATTATATATTGTCACTGAAATTTAAAGTGAAGAGAGAAAGAAATGGGACCTACCAGTTTCTGTACTAAGTTCCAAGCCTATGAATCTCTTTTAATTATTGACCTCAGAAATAAAACAAACCTTCGAGAATATTTTTAGTCTTGTATCTTTTCATAGGTTAATCAGAAATTAATACCTGGATTTTATAAAATAATGAATTTGAATACAAAAGAATCTTTGAAGATAAGTATTTTTAATTATTTTGTGATCTATGTATCTAAAGGTCATTTAATCTCAAGTAAATTAAGCATTTATTATATGCCATTTACTATGTGAGGCACTTGGATAAATAGTGACTATGACAGGCGCAAGTTCTTCCTTAAGACAGTGTTAGAACTGGTAAGGGGAGCAATAAATTAGAACCATAACAAAGCATGTAACCATAGAATCTGGAAAATGCAGATAACATGAAAAATTCTGAAGTGGTCAAGGAGGGCTTACAAAGAAGAAACTGCTGAAACCTGAGGAATATTTAAGAATTACCAAGCTGAAGTTGTGAAACAAACAAAGCACAGTATGAGTTAGAGTCTAGATAGGAGATTTGGCAAATCTAACAGGTTCTTTTGAATCTGAAATACATTCCACGTAAGTGCATTGTAAGAAAAACAGCTGGCAAAGATTAGGAAAGGCTGGCTAGGGAAATAGGCAGACTCTAGTTCATAAAGGCATTTTTATTTATTTATTTATTTATTTATTTTTTATTATACTTTAAGTCCTAGGGTACAGGTGCACAACGTGCAGGTTTGTTACATATGTATAAATGTGCCATGTTGGTGTGCTGCACCCACTAACTCGTCATTTACATGAGGTATATCTCCTAATGCTATCCCTCCCCCCTCCCCCCACCACGACAGGCCCTAGTGTGTGATGTTCCCCACCCTGTGTCCAAGTGTTCTCATTGTTCAGTTCCCACCTATGAGTGAGAACATGCGGTGTTTGGTTTTCTGTCCTTGGGATAGTTTGCTCAGAATGATGGTTTCCAGCTTCATCCATGTCCCTACAAAGGACATGAACTCATCCTTTTTATGGCTGCATAGTATTCCATGATGTATATGTGCCAACCTAAATGTCCATCAATGATAAACTGGATTAAGAAAATGTGGCACATATAAAGGCATTTTTAACCTAAACTAGAGAGTCTGGACTCTTACAGAGGCAAAGTAAAACCATTTAAAATTTTTAACAAGATTAATTGCATTTTCACTTTAAAAAGGTTTTACTCTTATTTGTTAGTTTGACTTTAAGTTGTGAGCTCATTAATACATAATGTGGACTGTGCATGTTTTGGCTTCTTTTTTATTTTTAGGACCTTATCTTGCCTTCATATTGCTTTTAATAAACCAGTACAGATACAACTCAATCTTATTTGTTCTCTTTCCCAACACATTCCTAGGCCTTTCCCTCTCTCCAGAGGAAATAGTTTTATTGATGCACATACATGTTTATAAATTTGTTTATATGTAAGTTCCACTAATAATACTTAGCATTACTTTGTAGTTGTAAAATCTTCAGAAAAATGCTATCATCCTCTGGTCATATTCTGAAATCACCTTGTTTCAGTTTTTTTTTTTTTTCTTTCACTAAACTTTTTAATTTTCTTCTTAATTTTTTCAGTGACCCACGGGTCATTCAATAACATATTGTTTAATTTTCATGTGTTTGTATAGTTTCCAAATTACCTTTTATTATTGATTTCCAGTTATATTCCATTGTTGTCAGAGAAGATACTTGATATAGTTTCAAATTTAAAAAAATAAATTTAAGACTTGTTTTGTGGCCTAATATATATCCTTGAGAATGGTCAATGTGCTAAGAGAAGACATGTGTATCCTGCAGCCATCAGATGAAATGTTCTGGAAATATCTATTAGGGCTATTTGGTCTATAGTACAGATTAAGTCTGATGTTTCTTTGTTGGTTTTCTGATTGGATGATATGTCCAATCCTGAAAGTGGGGTGTTGAAGTCTCCAGCTATTTTGCATTGGGGTCTATCTCTCTGTCTCCTGAGTTGTAATATTTGCTTTATATATCTGAGTGCTCTAGCATTGGGTGCATATATATTTACAATTTTTTTTTGCAAACATCTATTTTTTTCTTAAAGTATAATATATTTACAATTGTTATACCCTCGTGCTGAATTGACCCCTTTATCATTATATAATGACCTTGTTTGTCTCTTTTAATAGTTTTTGTCTAGATATCTATTTTTTTCTGATATGCGTAGCTACTCCTCCTTGTTTTTAATTCTGTTTGCATGCAATATATTTTTCCATCCCTTTATTTTCAGTCTATGTGTATTTTTATACACATAGACTGTTTCTAGCAGGCAATAGATAGTTGGGTCTTGTTTTCATCCATTCAACAAACCTGTCTTTTGATTGAAGAGTTTAGCCCATTCACATTCAATGTTATTGTTCATAATAAGGACTTACTACTACCATTTTCTAAACTGTTTTTTAGCTGTTTTGTGGTCTTCTCTTTCTTCCTTTGTTTCTGTGAAAGTAGATTTTTCTGGTGTTATGTTTTATTTTCTTGCTTTTCATTTTTTGTGTATCTGTTGCAGGCATTTTGATTTGTGGTTACCATGAGGCTACATGTGGTTATCATAAATAATATCTTATAACCCATTGTAAGAATCTGATAGGATTCTAAATTCCTTCTCTATGTTATCTTGAATTTGTCTGAACCTCCTCAAAACAGCTGTTTTGAATTCTCTGTCTGAAAGCTCACATATCTGTCACTCTGGGATTAGTCACTGGTTCCTTATTTAGTACATTTGGTGAGGTCATATTCTTATGTATAGTATTAATGCTTGTGGATGGTTTTTTGATGTTGGGCATTGAAGAGTTAGGTTATTTATTGTAATCTTTGCATACTGGGCTTGTTTGCACTTGTCTATCTTGAGAAAGATTTCCAAGCGTTCAAAGGGAATTGAATATTGTGATCTAAGTATTTGGTCTCTGCAGCCATATCTGCATTAGGGAGCACCCCAAACCCAATAATGCTGTAAAGCTTGCAGACTATTAGAAGTATTGCCTTGGTGGTGTTTAATAAGATCCACTTACAACACATACATATAGGACTTCTTCAAAATACTGCAGCCCCTACGCCCACCAATGCATAATCACACACTCCAGATAAGCACACCACAAATTTAAAAAAATGTATAGTGTGAAAAATTGAACAATGTTGGGAAATTCAGAATATTAAAGAATAATTTATATTCCACATCAATAAATAATAATCTAAATGTGTTTACAAATATTACAATTAAGATTAAAAATTGATGAAGAGGCTGGACACGGTGGCTCACACCTATAATCCCAGAACCTTGGGAGGCTGAGAAGGGCAGATCACCTGAGGTCAGGAGTTCTAGATCAGCCTGACCAGCATGGTGAAACCCTGTCTCTACTGAAAATACAAAAATTAGCCAGGCATGGTAGCGCATGCCTATAATCCCAGCTACTTGGGATGCTGAGGCAGGAGAATCACTGGTACCTGGGAGAGGGTGGTTGCTGTGAGCCGAGATTGTGCCATTGGACTCCAGCCTGGACAAGAGAGAAACTCCATCTCAAAAAAAGAAAATGATGAAGGAAGATAAAGAATGAGATGAGAACAGAACTGAATATGAACAGATAGTTAGTTATATAACAAAACCAAATAGAAATCCTTGGAATAAAAAGCATAGTTCTTGCAATAACTGTACTCAACGGATGTGTTAAAGAGTAGTCTAAATAAAGGAAGGTATTTCATTAATTGCAAAATAAGCTTGAGGATATTATCCAGAAATAATTACAAAATAATAAAGTGATAGAAAATTAAAAAGAGAATTTTTAGGTTATAAAAGCAAACAAGGTAAAGAATGGGAGAAAGACAACATTCCAGGTGCTGATGGTCAAATGATGTTATAATTAAAGAAATATATGTATTCAAATTTTGAAGGAGCATATGTGATCCTGAATAAGAAAGTTTAAAAAAATCTATATGTAGACATTTTACAGTTATGCTGCAAAATAAAAAGTACCGACAAAATCTTAAAAGTACAAAAACATTGATTATTTAAATATTAATAAATAGATTTACAGCTGACTTCTCCTGAGCAACAACACACCACAGAAGACTATGGGAGAGTATCTCCAGTGGTCATGAATGGTAACTCTCAATATAAACAGGCTTTTAAATATTAATTTAAGGGGTACAAATGCAGTTTTGTTACATGGATATATTGCATATGGGTGACACCTGGATATTTAGTGTAACCATCAGCAGAATAATGTGCATTGTGCCCATTAAGTAATTTGTCATCTCTAACCACCCTCTCACCCTTCTGAGTCTCCAGTGCAAATCTATATTTCAAGAGTCAAGATAAAATAATGACATTACTAATTATGCACACATCAAATTACACAAAAGTTATTCACAGAAAGAACTGCTGACTCAAGTATGTAGAAAACACAACGCCTGATAGAAAGTATAGAGATTATATCAGTACTCACAATAAAATATTATTTTGAACAGAAGATATTATGAAAAAGAGGGAGGCAGCCATGCTCACCACTATGCCAACAACGCTACACTTAAAAAATATATATATTCTACTACAAAGACACATGCACACGTATGTTTATTGCAGCACTATTTATAATAGCAAAGACTTGGAACAACCCAAATGTCCATCAATAATAGACTGGATAAAGAACATGTGGTGCATATACACCATGGAATACTATGCAGCCATAAAAAAGAATGAGTTCATGTCTTTTGCAGGGACATGGAAAAAGCTGTAAGCCATCATTCTCAGCAAACTAACATAGGAACAGAAAACCAAACACTGCATGTTCTCACTCATAAGTAGGAGTTGAACAATGACAATACATGGACACAGGAAGGGGAACATCACACACCTGGGCCTGTTGGGGGGGTGGGGGTTAAGGGAGGGAGAGCATTAGGACAAATACCTAATGCATGTGGGGCTTAAAACCTAGATGACGAATTGATAGGTGCAACAAACCACCATGGCACATGTATACCTATGTAACAAACCTGCATGTGCTGCATATATATCCCAGAACTTAAAGTAAAATTAAAAATAAAAAGAAAGAAAGAAAAAGAGGAGAAGGAAGTGGAGCAAAATGGCCAAATAGAACAGTCCAGCAACTGTCCTCTCCAATAGGAGCACTAAATTGAAAAACTATCCACACAAGAAGCCACCTTCACAAAAATAAAAAAATAAGCTAAGTGACCCACATACCTGGATTTGACATCATATCAAGAAAAAAGGCATTAAAGGGGGCTGGAAAGACAGTCTTACATTCCTTGCATCACCCCTACCTATTTCCTGGCAGTGATGCATGACATGGAGAGAATCTGTTTGCTCCGGGGAGAGAGAACAAAGTAATTTGGTGGCTTTGCACTGAAACGCAGTGCTGTCCAGTCCACCTGATTATCTTTCCTGGGAGACTACTGGGTTTCATGGTCCTAGATTTATTTTCATGTCAATGTCTTGGATTATATGCATTTTATTCCTATTTTCATGAATAATCCAAATTTGACATTGCAAAATATTTATGTGACTATTTTTCTACCACAGATATCAACAAACATCAGGCTTCTTTGTAGGATACAGGCTCATATTTTTAAATTTCTATTTCATAAATAGAACATTACTTTGGCTGTTATTTATATTACTGAACCTCAGTTGCAGCTCTCTGCATCATACAGACTTGAGTCTTCAACTTCTTTCTGCAAGCATTTTAAATACCTAATAAATGCCTATAATAACTTTCCCAATCATGTTATCCACTCAACTTCAAACATTTTTCAATATTATTTTTGAGTTCACTTTTTATTACTGATATTTGATAATTTATCATTCTTTTGTTTGAAGTTAGGTATCCATTTTAAGTTATTTTACTACATTGCATTCAAATGTAGAATTCCTAAGTTTTAGATTCCGGTTTGAGGTAGACTGTCCCAGTCAGCACTGTCTTCAATATCAACATGTTCAAGTCTGGAGGCATGGAACTCTGGAGTGTTGTTCAAATCCTGTGTGTGTGTATGTGTGTGTATGTCTGTGTCTGTGTGTGTGCGTGTACACATATGTGGTATTAGCAACAAATTAGTAAAGGAATCATTAGATGGCTGGATTTTTGAGAAAGAGGAAGAATGATTTTTCATGATTATGTTAATATTTCTATAAATGGTTTAACAACTATTATTAACTGAAATAGGAAACACATGAGAAAACTTATGGGGAGTTTAGATTACAAATCTCATTCGGGTATATTGATCTTGATATCCTTTGGAACATTTATTTAGGAAGACAGATTGACATATGCTTTAATGCCTAGGAGGAGACTTGAACTGGATATTTTTTAAACTGTACCTTTTATTTTATAATTAAAACAAATTTAATATTTAAATGACCCAACGTCTATATCTATGTATCTATCTTTTGATATCTATACAAAGTTATGTATTCAACATAATCAAAATAAAATTCCCATTAGGTTTTGCTTTCTGTGTAGAAATTAAAAAACTCAATTTATAATTTATAGTTAAATGCAAAGGACCCAAAAGAGTAAAATAGTAAAGATAAACTTGAAGATGCTGGAGGTCTCATACTCTTAGTTATCTAGTTAACAAAGCTGTAAGAATCAATACAGTATGTACTGACACAAGGATTGAGCAATAAAACAATGGAAAAAGTAGGATTTCAACATGTATTTATATGTATTATTTATAACAAAAGTAACAAAGTGGTGTAGTCTCTCTCTCTCTCTCTCTCTCTCTCAAACTCCTGACCAGCCCAGAAGCTCATTTGTCATGACCCATAAATCTATATGTAGTACAACATTGGAACACTTCTTATTCTGTACACACTGGATGGCAAAGTGTGCCACCTGAAGTTCTGGAAGTTCTGCTGAGTGAGATGATTATTCCTTACTAATGTCTTGTATGGCCACCCCTGAGTAAGGCTGTACTGCAATTACTATCCATTTTCAAACCAACCTTCTTTCTAGTTCCAGATATATGACCCTTTGTATCTCACAGTCATTGTTTTGCCTCCAATCAGGGCCAAGTAGCATTAAGAACTGTTTCTCAAAAGGTGTATAATTTTCTGCTGAACATAACCTTGCTCCAAAACTCCAGAATTCTGTGTTATAATTATCCCATGGGACTTACTACAAACTGCTCCCAGCATCTTTTTTCATCATTGGTATCTCCAACATTATAAAGCATGGTGCTTTGGCCTTAGTAACATGGCTTTGCTTGCAATCCTGCAACTGCTTTAGAACTATTTGTTGCTGGTACGATTTTGTGTCGCCTTATATATAGGCCACAGCAATATTCCTAGTTTCCTTAGAAGACTGACTTCAGAAGCTGAAGTTTATGAGGCTTCGTGCTTTCCTTTTCATCACAGGAGGTGCAAGATATAATTATGTCTCTTTTATTTCAAACAAATTTCCTGCCATGCCCCTGACAATGGGAACCCTGAAACTTCTATAAATGTTTCAGGCCCTGAATACTTGCATAAGTCTTACAATTACATTAACTATACCAGTAATATGTTGCTTATCTTTCCGGTTCAGTCTAATATCATTGATGTGATGAATCAATGTGATACTCTATGACATACTCAGATGATCAAGATCTCTGTGTTTTATATTGTGACACAGACAAGAGAACTAACATAGCATTGAGGAGAATCTTTCTACATATATTATTATTCTGTGTGGTTAAAAAGTATTTGTGATATTCTTTTCTGACAGAGATAAAAAGAATCTATTCACTAAACCAGTGGCAGTATAACATATCACTGCGATCATATTAATCTGCTCTATCAAAGGTATATCTGGCACAGTAGCTAAGATAGGACCCAATATTTGGTTAAACCTGCAGAAGTTTAATTGCTTTCTTGGTTATATTTAATTTCTGCAGGATCCAGCATATTGAATTAAGTATAATTATATAGGATCTGTCACCATTGTATCTTTTAGGTCCTTAAAGGTAGTACTAAATACCACCATCCCCTTCCCAGGGTAAAATAAGTTTGTTTGTTTTTGTGTCTGCTTCATTGATTTACTATCCTGGCTGGGATGGAGAGTAGTTTCAGAGGCTTCTATTTGGCTTTTTCACTGTCATATTATTTACCCTGGAGACAAAAGAATCCAACGTGGAGTTTCTTCAACTGCCAACTATGTCGATCCAAATTATAATTTAGGAGACAGGGGAAATAATCATTGTGTGGGTCTTTTGACTCAGTGTACATACATTGGTCAGGACTACTCCATTTATTACCTTGCTTCCATATGTGCCCACTCAGTCTCTAGAGAGAAAAAGAGATTTTCAATACAACAAAAGATACCCTCTAGCTTTTACAGTTAGTTTCAATTGCCTGTTATTAATACATAAATTTTCCTCTTCAGTCTCTTTGAATAGAACAAGGTTTTACAACAGTAGTGCAATTTACGTTTTATACTAAGTAATTCTTTGTTATGGGTCCTGTCTTGTGAATTATAGAATATTCTCTACCCCATATAATCCAGTAGCACCCCTCCCTCATCATGACAACTAAGATTGTCTTCACGCATTGCGTAATATTTCCTGGGTTTGGGGTACGGTGAGTAGTAAATTTATCCCTATTTGTCCCTATTTGCCATTGCTGTCCTGCAGCAGCAATGGCAATTAGCCCTTGTATCTCTTTACCTTATTGTTACTCTTTTCTTCATGCATATTTAACACATGATATATCTTGCCAGCTAGTACATTCTCTTCCATGGATGACATTCTTCAAATTAACTACTGGTGAATGTTTCAATAACTGGTTCATGAGCTGGTGCATGGGGTTGTTGTGTTCCACATACCACTGGTAATGTTGTCTTCATAGCCAATCAGATAGTAGTGTTCTAGTTCTAAAACCCCATTTTATTAAATACTTTTTTGGTTTCAAATATCACTGCATGGAATATCTGGAAGCAGACATGAAGACAAGGTGTTTATTAGGGAATCAGTGTCTTTTAGGGAAAGGAGAAGTTAAAGCATGATTGAGCAGAAGAACTGAACTGTAATGAAGGCATGACATAACCTCAGCAAATGCTGAGAAAGAGGTTTAATCTGGAGTGAGTATTGCTTATCAGAGTGTCCTTTACTGGGACAAAGTATACAGGCCTTTATGCCCTTGACCTTCTACAGTAGATACAAGCTGCCCTGGAGAAAGGTGCAAGGTCTATAAAAAGGGCATCTCTGTTCGAAGTAAGGACACTTATTAGGGATAATGAGGGGCAATACATGATGATAAAAGAGTCAATTCTCCAAAGAGACATAACAATGTTTAATCTGTATTCACCTAACAACACAGCATCAAAATACAAAACTAACAGACCTCCAAGGAAAAATAAATGAATCCACAATTATAGCTGGACTTCAATTCCTTTCTATGAGAAATGGACAGGCCCAGAATGCAGAAAACCAGTAAAGACCTAACTTCTTGTTGTAGTTAAACTCAACATCACCATCATCCAACTGGATATTCATAGACTACTTTATCTAATGACAACAGAGTACACATTCTTCTCAAGCTCACATAGAATGCTTGTAAAGATAGATCACATTCTAGGCCATAAAACACACTTTAACAAATTTTAAAGAATACATATCATTAAAGGTCTATTAAAATAGAAACCATTAATAGAAAGATAACTGAAAATCAATGAAATTCAAGAAATTGAAAACAGGAAATTACTAAGAAAAATAAAATCCAATGCTGGTTTTTTTTGTGTGTGTTTTTTTTGCAAAGAGCAATAAAATTGATAAGTCTCTAGTTAGGATAACTAAGAAATCAGAGAACACAAATTAATAATTCTAGAAATGAAAGAGAAGACATCACTACAGATCCCATGGACATTAAAATGATAATAAAATAATATAAGGAACTTAATGTGTATAAATTTGGTTATAGATTTATAAAAGTAATTATAGATTTATAGATTAAGATTAAATGGACAAATCCTTGAAAAACATGGTCTGCCAAAAGTAGCACAAGAAATACATTATCTGAATATGCATATAGTTATTAAAGAAATTAAATGAATAACCTCCCAAAACAGAAAGCACCAAGCCCAGATAAACTCACTGATGAATTATATCAATCATTTAAGGAAAAAAATTATACCCATAATTTGGTATAGTGGTATACTCTCCATAATCTCTTTCAGAAGATAGAAGCAAAAGAAATACTTTCTAATTTATTCTATGAGGCCAGCATCACCCTAATACCCTAGACAAAGATATTAAAAGAAAAAAAAACTATATCCTGGCAGAACGGCTCATGCCTGTAATCCCAGCACTTTGGGAAGCAAAGGTAGACAGAATACTTGAGCCCAGGAGTCCTAGACCAGCTAAGGCAACATGGCGAAACCCTGTCTCTACTAAAAAGACAACAAATTAGCCGAGCATGGTGACACTTGCCTGTAATCCCAGCTACTGGGGAAGCTGAGGTAGGAAAATCAACTGAGCCCAGGAAGTCAATACTGCAATGAGCTGTGATTGTGCCAGTGCACTTCAGCCTGGGTGACAGGAGTGAGAGATCCTGTCTCAAAAAAAAAAAAAAAAATCAAAAGGAAAGGAAACTACAGACCAATTTCTCTCATGATCATAGATGCAAAAATCTTTAACAAATTATCAGCAAGTTAAGTCCAAAAATGTATTAAAAAAGTTATACATCATGATAAAATGCAATTTATCTTAGATATGCAAGGTTAAATCAACATTCAAAAATCATTTAATGTAACCCATAGAATAAACATGCTATTAAAAAAAACTGTATATGGGAAGATGCAGAAAAAGCATTTGACAAAATTTAATACCCATTCATGGTAAAAATTCTCAGTAAACCAAGAATGAGGGAAACTTCAACAAATTGATGAAGAATTTCTACAAAAAAAAACAACTATAGCTAACATTACACTTAATGATGAGAAACTATAAGCTTTCTCACTAAAGTCAGGAACGAGGAAGTATTGTCCCTTCTTACCTATCCTTTTCAACATCATACTGGAAGCCCTAGATAATGCAATAAGAAAAGGCAAGGAAGTTGAAAGCATATTGATTAAGAAGGAAAAAATAAAACGTTGTAGATGATATGATCATCTTTGTGGGAAATCCAAAAGAATTCATTAAAACATCTCCTGGAATTAGTAAGTGATTATACTAAGGTTGCAGAATACAAAGTTAACATATAAAAGTCAATCATTTTCTATATGTCAGAAATGAAAAAGTAGAATCCCCAAATTCTACGCTTCCCAAAATAAAATACTTAGTTATAAATCTAACAAGATCTGTATGAGAAAAACTGTAAAACTTTGTTGAAATAAATCAAAGAACTAAATACCTGGAGAGATAGTCCATGTTCGTTGATGAGAATACTCAATATTGTCAAGATGTCAGTTCTTCCCAACTTGATCTATAGATTCAATGCAATCTCAATCAAATTCTCAGTGAGTTATTTTGTAAATATTGACAAACTATTTCTAGAGTTTATATGGAGAGTAAAAAGAACCACAATGCCAACACAATATTGAAAAAGAAGAATAAACTCAGAGGAATGAAACCACCCTAAACCAAGAGTTACTGTAGAGCTACAGCATTCAAGACAGTGTAATATTGGTAAAAGAATAGACAAACATAAGCAATGGAACAGAATAAAGAGGCTAGAAATTGATACACTTAAATATAGTCAACTGATCCTTGACAAAGGAGCAAACGCAATGCAAAAAAGTATAGTGTTTTTAACAAATGGTGCTGGAACAAATAGACATTCATATGCCAAATAAAAATCTAGACAAAGATATTACACACTTCACAAAAATGAACTCAAAATTGATAACAGATATAAAAGTAAAATGTAAAACTATAAAGTTCCTAGAGGATAACAGGAGAAAATCTAGATAACCTTGGATATGATTATGACTTTTTCCATACAGTGCAAAAGGCACAAAACATGAAAAAAATAATCAATAAGCTGTACTTCATTAAAATTAAATTTTTTGCTGTCTGAAAGACAGTCAAGAGAATTAAAAAACAGGCCACAGAGGGAAAAAATATTACAAAGCTGTATCTGTAAAGGACTATCATCCAAAAAGCACTCTTGAAACTCAACAATAAGGAAAAAAACTGACTAGAAAATTGGCTAAATCTAAAACAATCAAATTCAAAGAAGTAGAGTATAGAATGGTGGCTATTAGAGACTGGGCAAAGAAGGTGGAAGAATGAGGAGATGATGTTGAAAGGGTGCAAAGGTTCAATTAGACAAGCAGAATAGGTATATTTTAAGATATATTGTAGAGTGTGGTGAATATAGTATATAATAATGCGTTGTATATTTTGAAATCACTGAGTAAATTTCAAATCTTCTCACCACAAAAAAATTACTGTATTTGAGATTATTGATATGTTAATTCACTTGTTTTAATTATTCCGCATTATATGCATAAATCATAACATCTCTTTATACCCTATAAATATATACAACTATTATTTGTCAATTTACAATTACAAATTAAAACTACAAGTAAATATATATGGAGTAAAATTGCCAATATTACCTAAGAGCTTTCTATATTAAATAAAATATCATATGAATTAAAAATGGGCCAAAGACATCAACAGACACCTCACCAAAAAGATATACAGACAGCAAATAAGCTTATGAAAAGATGTCCCACATCATATGTCATCAGAGAAATGAAAATTAAAACAACAATAAGGTATCACAGCACATCTATTAAAAGGATCAAAATTCAGAACATCTACTACACCAGATTTTGCCAAAGGTGTGGAGCAACAGGAACTCTTGTTCATTGTTGGTGGTAATGCAAAACGATACAACTACTTTGAAAGACAGTTTGTCAGTTTCTTATAAAACTAAACATGCTTTTACCATATGATGTAGCAAGCGTGCTCCTTGGTATTTAGCCAAATGAGTTGTAAACTCATGTCCACACAAAAAATCTGCACATTGATGTTTATAGCAGCTTTATTTATAATTGCCCAAACTTGGAGAGAACCAAGATGTTCTTCAGTAGCTTAATGGATAAATACACACTGGTACATCCAGGCAATTGAATATTATTCAGGGCTATAAAGAAATGAGCTATAAAGTCATGAAGAGACATGGAAATAACTTAAATGCATATTACTTAACTTAGTGCCAGAAGGCAGTGTGGATAGATTACATACTCTATGATTCCAACTATATGATAATGTGGAAAAGGCATTTGTTAAAACCCATAGACTATAAAACACTAAGCTAAATCCTAATGTGTACTATGGATTGGCGTAATAATGTATCTATGTAGGTTTGTCAGTTGCAACAAATGTACTACTCTGGTGCAGAATGTTCATAGGAGAGGAGGTCATAGATTGAGGGGCAGTGGGTGTGTGGGAACTTTCTGTATCTTCTGTACAATTTTCCTACGTACATGTGAAGGCAGATAAGATGTGGGATATCTCTGTACCTTCTGAGAAATTTTGTTGTAAACTTGAAGTGGCTCTAAGAAACTAAAGTCAATAATTAAAAAGAAAGGAAGAAAGTGGTCCTTTGCAACTCAGGTAGATCCTAAGGTGCTTAGAACTGGAAACCATCTGATACCACACTCCCTGCAGTGGACAACAAACTCACTGTAGAGGGGAGATGTAGGTGGCACATCTCCAAATCAACTACATATTTTTCACTCAATGGGACGCTATAATAGAATAATGAACAAACAGTTGCTACATGATACCTCATAAGCATACCATTTAGTGAAAGAAGTCACTCATCACCCCCTCAAAAATGACTATACGTTGAATAATTCTAAATATATGCATTTCAAAAACAGGCATCAACCGTGTTGGAAGTAAACGTAGTGTTTACCTTCAAATGGCAAAAGCCTACAGTTTATGTGTGGATATGTTCTGGTGTGCTATAAATGTTTTATTTCTGTATCTCAGCACAGATTACACAACTGGATTCCCTTAAGGAACTCTACATTTTTCTCTGTGTATATAATACTTTAAAGATGTATTTTTAAAGGCATTAAAATATGGCTGTGAAATGGATCATAGAAATAGAATAGTAATTGTCAGTTATTCCATTTGAAAGGCATATTAAATATACTTCATTAAATATTGAATATGCTTTCTTGTTCTGAATTTTAGTGTTCTAAAATTTAGTAATGATAACCATGATGTATCATTTAAGGGGCATAAATTACAGAGACCACAAATAGTGACTTAAATAAGTTAAAAATGTATTTCCATCTTGAACAAGAAATTACAGGTAAGAAGATCAGGGATATAAAACATCATACTGCATAATTTAAATATATAATATATACTTTTTTTTTTTTTTGAGACGGAGTCTTGCTCTGTCGCCCAGGCTGGAGTGCAGTGGCGTGATCTCGGATCACTGCAAGCTCAGTCTCCCGGCTTCACGCCATTCTCCTGCCTCAGCCTCCCAGCTAGCTGGGACTACAGGCGCCCGCCACCACGCCTGGCTAATTTTTTGTATTTTTTTTTTTTTTAGTAGAGATGGGGTTTCACCGTGTTAGCCAAGATGGCCTCAATCTCCTGACCTTGTGATCCGCCCGCCTCGGCCTCCCAAAGTGCTGGGATTACAGGCGTGAGCCACTGCGCCCAGCCTAAATATATACATTTTTATTATTAAAAAAAAATTCAGGCTGGCATGTTAGCTTTGCTGCCCAAAGTCCCCAAGGATACACCTCATTCCAGGTGATTACTTCCAATTCCTGATGTATGCGTCTTGTTCTCATTGCATATGACAATGGCTAAAAAACTATAATAACAATAATACCTTGTTTCAGGCAGGAGAACTCAGGAAAGAATAAAAAGAAAGGAAAAAGTGCATGAAACAAATGTAATTTAAGGAAAGTTCCACAAGGCTGTATTTATTCATGCCATTAGTCTGAAATTTATCACATGTTAATCACTTGAAATAAAGAAGGTTAGGAAATAAAAGATTTACTTTCTACCGTGATGTACTCTTCTAAAAGCCAAGAAAGAGTTCTTTACTCTGGAAGAAAGAGGGACAGCTATTGAGTTTACCCATCAATCTCTTTCACACAGAGTAAATTTTAACAAGTTTTTTATACCAGCTTTAAAAATAACAACGGTGAGTTTTAAAATGTCACATTCACCATAAAGAACTTTAAGGAAGAGTTAGTATGAATGATTCTTACATCATTTAGGAAAAAATTTACCACTGTGAAAGTGAGGTAAGATAACATATAACTAAGACAAAGGAATATGTCATGAATAAATTGTTCCTAATTTTTCTAAAAATATTCTGTCACCAGCTGATTGCAAACACTTTTGAGGAGAGCCAAAGTTTCAGGAAACACCAAGTAAAGTTAGAAGAAAGTAAATGTACTAACAGATATTACATTTCATTATCTTAATCATACTGGATGGTGCCCAAGAAAGTATGTTTTCTTTATAATTTGTTAAAGTGAAAGTCGTGTTCACTGAAAATTGCTCATGATTTAGCTCATCCTGAGATAAATATTCTTAAAAGCAGGAAAATATTTTACACTTCCCAGAGGTAAGTTATAGCCATATGCATTGGACACATGTAAGAAATGTAAATATTATGTAATAAAATGTATTTCAAAAATGTAGGAAACTATTTCTATTTCTATTAAATTATGTTTAAATATTCTCGCCAATCCTATGTCCTCCTCTAACCACAATTGTTTCTTCACATCTTCAGAGCTAAACTCTTGAAAAGATGACTTTCATTACCATTTTCATATCCTCACCTATTATTTCTTATTTCCAGCTTTCCAGTCTCATATCTTTTTTACCAATGCACTAAATTGTCTCTCACAAATTTACCTTTAGTTACCAAATCTGATACTTCTTCAGCCTTTGCAATACATGATAACTATGTAGTTATTTGATACTATTGACCACTCCTTCTATTCATTTGTTTTTGAAATCCTGACCTCCGAAAACCTACTCATATAATCTCCATTTCATTTGATAGATACTCAGACTGAAATTCTTAGGATCATCGCAGATTGTTCTTTCTCTCATACCCTTCTTGTACGCCATCAAGAAATTCTATTGTTTCTACCTTAACATTTCACTGTCACCACCGTAACTACCTGGTTACAGAGTAACTTGCCATAATACCTTTCACCTGATTTACTGAAGAAGTTCCAATTCAGTTTCTTTTCTTTGTTCCTTTAATTCTGATTCTTAACACTTTAAGTGATTCTTTAAAAACATAAGTCAGATCATGCCACTTCTCTTCTCAAAATCTGGAAATGGCTTCCAAATTCACTCTGAGTATAAACCAAAGTCTGTACAATGATCTATAAGGCCCTGCAACATCTGCCCCTGTTCCTACGACCTCTAACTTCACCTGAAAACACCTTTAGCTCTTTTTCAGTAAGCCAGCAAGCATGCCTGCCATTTTTAAAACATTGTTGTAGATGAATAGATTAGAAAATCTGTTTTGATTGCCTAGGGAAAAGGAAAACTTCGTGACCAGCCAAACCACAGGAAATACAGGTGGCTTCAGGAGCAACCAGAACAAATCTTTAATGGTGTCAGTAGTCTTTCTTTCAACATTCATTCTTTTTTAACGAAAGAATTTTAAATTCTGTTGCAAAAAGACTACCGATACCATAAGAATGTTATCTGGATAAAAGTATAATGTACTCAGAAACTCTATCAATGAGCTATGCTCAGGATGAGCATGATTTTCTGGCCCTATGAGAACTACATTGGAAATGAGAGAGGAGTAGCTCTCCAAGTTGAGAGGGTTTTCATGTCCCCAAATTGGAAAAACTACAAGTTAAAGAAAACACATTACTATAATGAGAAAAACATTAGATATATTATATTTATAATATGACACCATGGATGTCCTGAGGTCTCATATAACCATGGTCTAAAACAAATCACATACTATATTGTGCTATTTTCAAGTTTTTAAAGCTTAATATCAGATAGTACTGGTTTATTTGTCATATTGATAATACCAATGATTGCAAAATCTTGACTTTATTAGCATCTTTATATTGGAACCACCTGAAAACACTAAAGTCTAAATAAGTGTCTATGCAAAGGAAAACATTACCCAAATGAGCATATAATGGGCTACCACTACAGTGTCTTGGAAAGCCTGAATCCATGGAGCAAGATTAGTTAACAAAAAAATGTCTGTCCAAATATTTAAATATGTCAGCATAGCACAAAGGAGGAAGGAAATTGATGATTCTTCAGTTGTCAGAATTTATAGTTAGCTGATTGGAATGATTCAGGAGCTCTTGCTTTGCCAGCAGTGTGAGTATATTTGTACTATGCCAAAATAAGATACAACACTAAGAATAATATATGGGCTCATGAAGCTCTGCTATTTGCCAAAAATATATCATTCTAAATTTAGAATTTGAATATTTATTGCAACTATGTAGTGTCTATTATATAGTAGTGTGTTTAAATATGCAACAGTGTGTTTAAATATAAGATTGGTTGAATTTTATTCTCTTTGTGGTTCCAAGATCAAAGGCTTATCATCAAGGGACTACATATGGTTAGAATCTGAAGTAGCCATATACCACCAAGAGATTTAATACAAATATTGTAAATGGAATTGTGGTTTCACAGCATACACCAAGTACATGTGGTTTAATATTGTTTGAAAAGAACATATAGATTTCAGCTTGCTATAAAGTTCATAAAGAAGTTCATTATGGCTTCACGAATCTCCCTTGTATCGAACACAGAAAATAAACACAGGAAAAGTAGAGTTATGAGTTGATTAGAAATATTCAGTAGCTAAGAGCTATGCTATTTTCTGATGTAACAAAAAGGTGTTCTGTATATTTTCAGTAATATTTGTGTGTGTGAACATGTGTGTGTGTGGATGTGTGTTGTACATGTGTAACTGTGCTTTCATACCTGCTTGAGTGTGTATTTAAAACCTCAGAGGTGCTAATGATTTTCACTGAGTTAGCCATAAATATCAATATGTCAACTGCTCATGACTCACTGAACACATTTTCAAGATGGTTGAAATGAGATATTCACTCTGGAATAGAATAAGTTTTCGTGTGAAACTTAAAAGCTTAATAACAATAACACAACCTTGTATTTATTATTTCACTGGGCAGTGCATATGTCTAATTCAAGTAACAGTGACAAACATTAAGAATGTTATTATTATATTTTTCATTCTGTAGAAGCTTGTTGCGTATCTAGTCCCTCTACTGAACTGTAAGCTCCACAGGATGAAGAATCAATATTGGTTTTGTTCCCTATTATACCACAGTCTCTGACTCCATGAAATATCTGGTGATTGAATGGTCTTCCATAATATAGTTAATTAATTTATAATTCAAAAATTTAAGTAGCTTGCCGATGAAACGACAGTTAATAAATTATGAATTTGGGCTTCAAGTTCAAATAAATCTTAACCTAGAATTAATGCCCCTCCTTACCCTACACAATCTTTGAAAACATTTGTTGTGGTGAAATATATAAAAATTTTATCATTTGAAACTCTACAATTCAGTGGCATTTAATACATTTACAGTGTTGTGAAAGTGTCAACATTATCTGGATCCACAGCATTTTCATCACATGAAAAGGAAACTCCAATCTCATTAATTCCCAATTCCTTCTTCCTCCAAGCCTCTGACGACCACTAATTTGCATACTATTTCCATGAATTTACCTATTCTGGCTCCTTCATTCATCATGACATTTATAATGCTCATTCATTTTGCAACATTTATTTATATTTCATTTAAGTGCTGAATAATATTCCATTGCAAGAATACAAATGTTATTTACACACTCATTAGTTGATGGACATTTCATTTTTTCCATATTTAAATTATTGTGAATACAGTTGTGACAGACATTCCTGTACAAGGTCTAGTCTGAACCCTTGCTTTCAATTCTGTTGGGTATACAACCAGAAGGAAAATTCCTGAGTCATATGGTAATTCAATGTTTAATATATTAAGAAATCACCCAATCATTTTCAACAGTGGTGGCACAATATTTTGTTCCCATCAGTAATGTACAAGACTTGCAATTTCTTCACATTCTTGCCAACATTTATTCTCCTTTTTTAAGTTATAGCCAGCCTAGGGGTTACAAAGTGGTATTCCATTGTGGATTTGGTTTGCTTTTCCCTAATGACGAATAACTTTGAGCATCATTTTACACATTTGTTGGATATTTGTATATCTTCTTTAGAGAAATGTCTATTCAAATTCTTTGCCCATTTTTGAATTAAGTATTCTTTTTTATTCTAGATGTAAGAGTTATCTGTATAATCTAGAAATGAGTCTCATCAGATTTATGATTTTCAAATATATTCTCTCATTCCATGTGTTGTCTTTTTACTATATTTATAGTGTCCTTTGTGGCATATAAGTTTTAATTTTGATGAAGTTAAATTTCTCTATTTTTTCTTCATTTAGTTATGGTTTTGTACCATATCTAAGAATTGATTGGCAAACCATGAAGAAACTTGATTCATATCTGTTTCTTCTATCAAACCATATGATCCACAAGATGTGGAGATTTATGTTCATATTTTCTTCAAGATTTAAAAATCTATTAGGTTTATATAGTTTATTAAGTTTATATTCATTTAGTTTTGTATATGGTATGTGATGAGGGTCCAGCTTTATTCCTTTGCATGTGGCTATCCAGTCATCCCAGTATCATTTGTTTATGAGACTATTTTTCACAGTTGAATGGTCTTGGTACCCTGGACAAAAATCAATTTAACATAGATATATGAATTTATTTATAGATTTTTATTTGATTTGACTAAGCTGTATCTCTATTTTTATGCTGGTATTACACTTTCTATTACCAAAGACTTGTATTAAGTTTTGTAATCAGGAAGTATGAGTTCTCCCACTATGTTCTTCTTTTTCAAGATTATTTTGGCTGTTAAGGCCTCCTTGAAATTTTACAAGAATGTTAGGATCACTATCCACCTTTCTAATAAAACATAGTGTATTAATAATGAATGCATCAAATCTGTAAATGTCTTTGGAGAACATTTAAAATATTAAGCTTTCCAATCCATGGATATAGGATATCTTTCCATTTATTTAGGTCTTTAATTTCTTTTAGCAATGTTTTCTAGTTTTCAGTGAATAAGTCTTGTCCCTCCTGGGACAAACTTCCTTCTAGGTATTTTGTTATTTTTGATGCTGTGTAAAAATAATTCTTAGGTTGGTGCAAATAATTGCTGTTTTTGCCATTAAAAGTAATGGCAATCCAATCACATCTCACCAGGTCCCTCCCTGGACACATTAAAAGTAATGGCAAGACTAGCAATTACTTTTGCACCAACCTAATATTTTATTAATTTCCTTTCAAGTGTTCATTGCCAGTATATATAAATACAATTAGTTTTGCTTGCTAATCTTGTATCCTGAAACTTTGCTGAATTATTGGGCTCTACTGGCTTTTTGTTTCTGTGGATTCTTCATGACTATGAAATCATGTCAACTGCAAATAGTTTTGCTTATTCCTTTTTGATTTGGTTGCTATTAACTTACTTTTCCTGAAAAATTACATGGAGTATATTTTCTAATATACTATTTAAAAGATATGACAGAAGTAGGCACCCTTATCTTGTCCCTGAACCTAGAGGGATGTTTTTATTTTTTCATCATTTTTCTTGACATCCTCTTCATCAACTTCTAATTCTATCTCTCTAACTAGAAAAAGAGACCATATCTTTGGGCTCTTTAGTTCTTCATACCTACTTATATACTGATCCAATTATGTTGGACAATTAAAATCTATTAGTAGCAATGGATTTACAATGATTTATTGAGTAAACTATTGAGGCCCAAATAATTTTTTGAAAATGGAAAAATTGAATTGTCCATATTTTATGCCTGAAGGATCTTATTGTTATGATATTTTATAAAACATGATAAGAGTAATAATGGAGAGGTGTTTGGGCTCCTATGCAAGATCTCTAATAAAAGAAGTCCTAACAAAATAGGACAGTTTATTGAAGATCTTTTCCTAGGTATTCAAAAAGTACAAGTCAGACTAAGTAACTACCATTCTTCTTATCCACATTATGTCATTCATATAGCTATATTCATATAGCTCTGTGGACACTGGCAATCTCTATAGTTTCCTCTGTTCCCATCACAGAGCCCTGTGCTCAACAAGTATCAATAAATAATTGCCAATAAGTTAAAGGAATGAAAAGAAATCACGGGAACTCAAACTTCCAGCTTGAAACTGAATCACTGCTTTCCTTAGCCAGTGCAACTAATTTAGTTATTGGTCTGGTAAATAGTCCTGAATATGTGTATTAGTTCATTTTCACACTGCTATAAAGACATACTGAGACTGGGTAATTTATAAAGACAGGAGGTTTAATTGACTCACAGCTCCACATAGCTGGGAGACCTCAGGAAACTCACAATCATGACAGAATGAAGAGGAAAGAGCCCCTTATAAAACCATCGATAGGCCGGGTGCGGTGGCTCACGCCAGTAATCCCAGCACTTTGGGAGGCCAAGGCGGGCGGATTACGAGGTCAGGAGGTCGAGACCATCCTGGCTAACATGGCGAAACCCCGTCTCTACTAAAAATATAAAAAAATTAGCCGGGCGCGGTGGCGGGCACCTGTAGTCCCAGCACTTTGGGAGGCTGAGGTGGGCGGATCACGAGGTCAGGAGATCCAGACCATCCTGGCTAACACGGTGAAACCGCCCTCTCTACTAAAAATACAAAAAATTAGCCGGGAGTGGTGGCGGGCGCCTGTGGTCCCAGCTACTCAGGAGGCTGAGGCAGGAGAATGGCGAGAACCCGGGAGGCAGAGGTTGCAGTGAGCAGAGATCACGCCACTGCACTCCAGCCTGGGGGACACAGAGAGACTCCGTCTCAAAAAAAAAAAGAAAAAAAAAAAAGTCAGATCTCGTGAGAACGCACTCACTATGATGAGAACAGCATCAGGTAAATTGGTCCCATGATCCAATCACTTCTCACCATGTCCCTCCCTGGACTGGTGAGGATTACGATTCAGATAAAAATTCAAGATAAGATTTGGGTGAGCAAATAGCCAAACCATATCAATACGTGCTATGTGACATGCCCAGTGTCAGACCCGAAGTTTAGTAGTAAGCATGAACAAACAAGATTCATCTCTCATGGAGCTTAAAAGTTAGTGGAGATGTGATGGTGCCGGCATAAAAATTATCACACATATGAGAAAAAGTATACTTACAAGTGAGATAAATTGGAGAAAAAGAACGTAATTTTAAGAAAGAACATGAAAAGGAAACACAAACAAATCTGGTGGTTTAGGAAAGTTTTTTTTTTTTTTTTTTTTTTTTTTTGAGACGGAGTTTCGCTCTGTCGCCCAGGCTGGAGTGCAGTGGCGCGATCTTGGCTCACTGCAAGCTCCGCCTCCCGGGTTCACGCCATTCTCCTGCCTCAGCCTCCCGTGTAGCTGGGACTACAGGCGCGCGCCACCAATGCCCGGCTAATTTTTGTATTTTTAGTAGAGACGGGGTTTCACCGTGTTAGCCAGGATGGTCTCGATCTCCTGACCTCGTGATCCGCCCGTCTCGGCCTCCCAAAGGGGAAAGTTTATGTAAGGAAGCGAGGCTCAAACTAAACTAGGTAGAGAGAGAAGATTGGGAAAATAATTTTCTGGACAAAGACTACAACTCATTCAAAATCTCTGGACTGTGATCTGAGGAACCATAAGGTCAGTCTGTCTCAACTTCAGAGGAAAAGTTGGAGGTTGATATGAAATGAGAATAATTTCATATCAGAGCAATACACCGTGACCAGGAAATGCATGGAGTATATGCTTGAGGCACAGACACATTTAAGATTTTATTCTTTATGCAAGAATCAATGGCAATCTCTCCAAGGTTGAAAATGTGTAATATAGGGGTCAAAATTAATCCTGAGATTTTTAGAGATCCCTTTAGTGACAAAATGAATGACAGAATATAAGGAGATTAGAATGAATGCAGTGAAATCAATGAGATATCATATTACACAATTTTAAATAATAAATTGCATTAGTTCGTACTTGCATCATAATGATAATAATAGGGAGATGTCATATTTTAAAGATATTTAAGAGAAATAATGTGCAACATTTGGTTATGACTTGTAAGTAGAGAGTGAAGGGAGAGTCAGGGAAGTATCATGTAAAAATGTGGAATAAGGAGGCATATTAAGGCTCAGATCAGAGACCTGAACTGGATTTTAACCCGGTTTTTTAATCTCAGCTTTTTAAAGCTGAGAATCATTGAAATGTAGATTATGACTGGACAAAGGGGGTTGGATAAGTGTCACTAGGGAGAGAGTATGATCTAAGAGTTTTGAAAAACTTTTGTTTTTAATATTTCATTACCAGTTAGAAAAAAATGAAGTACCACGTGTGACTGTCAAGGAATGACCACACAAGTAGGAACAAAACTACCACAAAAGTGCAGTAGAATGGAGGCCCATGAAAGACTGAAGTACTAAATACTATTCAGAATTGTTAGACTGTTAGACTGAAGGCTGTCCTTTGGATTTAAGAAAGCTATTTTAGGAGTAGCAGAAGAACCAGTCTTCAATAGATTAGAAAGCAATGCAAGTGAAATAAGAAAAAAAAATATGAAGAGGATTTTTTTTTTTAAGTTTGGCTGTTAAGAGAAAAATCAGCTAGTATATGTGAGCAAGAAAAGGATATGGAATCAATAAGGATTTTGAGAGCTTGGAGAAATTTGAGCACATTTAACATATTTGTGAAAAAGATTCACCCAAGAGTGCATAGAGTAAAAATCTCCCCAGGAATCTGAAGGAGATATGTCTATAGCACAGTAGATAAATTATATTCCTTCAGGAGAAAAAAACTTAGTGAATAGATAAAAGTGAGACAAGTGATTATAGGTAAGGTTTTAGTAATTTTACAGTTTTATAGTGGTAAATAGGGAATAATAGCTTTGCTTTTCTTCTCTGGGACATAGAATAAAATATTTTTTACTGGGTGCTGAAATAGTTAAATAATTGAGAAGAAGAGATTCCCAAGAAGGTCCAAATTTCTGGGAAATCTCTGAAAGTGGATGAAGCAAGGTTGAGTCCATATAATCTGACACAATAGAATCACACTGGTAGGGGAATTTCCCATTTATAAGCCACTCACAGATGTCATGTAAATGATCACAACAAATTCATTCATTTAGGGCTATCTGGCATAATGTTTTCTCCATAGCTGCAAAACTTTAGATAAGTTCTTATTTTTATGGATAACAAACCTCCGAAATACTTAAGAGTATTGAAAATCAGTGTTTTCCCCTGCACAGCCTTTCTTTTCTTCCTTTATAGGGAATGTGCTCTCCCAGTTTCTTTGCCTCTTTCTTACCATTTCTGAAAGGATCCTGCCATTTCAACCTTAAGGAATTTACTTTTATTAAATAAGAAACTGGGGTCCTTTTCCTTGTCTTCCTTGTGTGTTTAGTTGACCAGTAAAACTCTTCAATACAAATATTATTCCTCTTTCTCAGGGTTTTTTGTTTTTATTTTTGGTTTTGTTTAACAGAAGCCTTTCAAGCTTTTTAATCTTGAAAAGATCTCAGATAAACCAGAAATTGGTGTAATACCTGGGATAAGTGGCCCCCAAAGGGAGACTTAGCCAGTCTTAAAGCAAATTAAATCTATCTCTTTATCTATATCTACATCTATTTTTTTTTCATATGGGCCTAAATAGTACAAATAAATTGGGTTTACATTTTGCATACTAACTATAGAATTAAACATCTTCTTTAGAAATAAATCAGTGTTAGAGTTATGCTGTGTTATTGTCAAAATCTAAGCAGGAAGAATTTTTAAAGTTTTTAAAGGACCTAAACATTAAGATATTAGAAACTGTATACAGTTCTTCTTAATTACCAAATAACTAAAATGGTTATTTTCTCTAATAAATAAATTCCTTTGTAAGTGATAGGCCAATATTAGAGTACTTTGCTAATACATCAAAAATATATGAAGTTGATAATATAAAAACTACCTTGAAGCCCAATTTTAAATAAATAATATGTACATAAAGAGGTGATACAAAAAGAAAGCAGAAACAAATGTTATGAATTACCCATTAAAATGTTACCTTTTTAAAGTACACTTTTCATATACTAACTCCAAGTTTAATATAATATTCCATTTTTGTGAGGAGAATAAAGGAATCTCTTCCATATGTGTGTAAAATATATGCACTAAATTACATCTTGGACAGGATTTCCTTAATATTAGAGTAGCATCATGATAATAAATTATCTAGTATTTATGTATAATGAAGCTTATTTCCTAAAATTATCAAAGAAATTATATTGATTGTTTGTAGACTAAAAAATGACAAGAAAATAATTCTTATACATGACATTAATACTTTGGTCAGTAAGTTAATATTTTGCATCCATGATGAAGAGAAAATTCTAGAACCAGATTCCAGTCTCATCTACTGCATTCTGCAGCACACAACTAGGTATAACAGTACAGTGCCAGATTTTCCTTTCTCCTCCAGAAATGAATCTACTCCATCATCAATCAGTTCATTCAACACACATTGGAACGATTTATACTACATACTGCAATGAATGTTGTTATGTAAAGTGAATTTAGATATAGTCCATGACCCCTGAATCTTGCAATCTAATAAATTACATCCATATTGTGAATCCATTGTCCAGTGTGTCATACTGGACAATCGAGAGGAGAATTACCTCAAAACTCAACTCAAATTTCCTGCCAATCACCTAGTTGCCTTAAAGTTACTTGGTACTTACCTTCTTTATGAAAATAATCATGTCAAGCTCTACTATTTCCCATTATAAATTAGAGAAGTGAGTATTAAAGAGGTTAGGAAAATTAGCAAAGGATAAAATACCAGTAAGAAAAGATCCAGGATTAGAAAACAGGTCTTTATGGTAAAAATAACATCATCAAATGCCACAAAATATTAGCTGCTTGTAAACACTAGGAACACATGTTACAGAATCTTCTGTCATATCTTCCCCTTCTGTTTCTCCCAAAAACAAGCCTACTCCTTATCAGGGCTCCTAGCCTAAAACTACTACTAATTCCAAATCCCAGCCAGAGCTTCCATTATCACACATATGCTTAACCCAGGCAGGGAGCAGAGTCAGCTGCACATGATTTTTCAAAAAATAAACTCAATTTAGTATTGCATTTCAGAAACCTAAAGATGCAAGGGCCAACAATGGTTTAGAGCTGTACCCTTTACCACAGCAAAGAATCTGTGATCACAAAAGACTAGCAAATCTTATTAAAAATTTGTAAATATCAATAGACTGTCCCCCAAAATACACATAACCCTAAAATGCTCTATCTCCACTTGTAGCCAAAGAGATTTCAAACCACAGAGATGGGATTGAATTTTCCTTGAACAGTCTGTTTACACAGGAAAAATTTATTCAAGACATGGAACTGCTCTTGGCACCTGACTGAGACGCAGAAATATTTCCTCCTTGCTCTAATCATGTACGGCATTTCACACATGGATGCTCATCCAATCACACAGCATGCCAGATCTCTCAGAATCCTTTGGAATGCTAAAAACCCTATGTGTGTATATATAAGTCCAGCGAGTTGGGATAGGAAAGGTCCCTTAATGCAGAGTAGTAAATCTACACAGGACTGAGTAAAATGTTTTATCAGCTGGGATTTCCCTACACAATCTTTTCTACCATTTATATAGCAGTACAGATGCAGAAAACTCAAAAATATTAATATCTGGGCAAAACATCTTCAATGTAGTTCTAAAATTAATATTGATTATGGCACAAGAAAAATAGAGAATGGGGAATGTTACGCTCTGGCATCATTTATTTTCCAAAACCATGTTTTCAGTACGATAAATCCTTACACAATTTCAAAAATAACTCTGTAAGCTTTTTAATACACATAAGATGAAAGTTGTAACTGAGATAAAACATAATATTTAGTAAATACTTTATAATATTTTATTGACAGTGCATTTATTTAAACATTATTTGTCTGTACCCAAACGTCTTAGGGATTATATGTCCTCTTAGCTCCTATGAGAGGTAGATTGATAAAAAGCATTTATTAATTCAAGACTTATTACATGTGAAATGTATTAAATATAGCCCTCACCTCGGAAGGAGCAGGATAAATGTAATCCTCTCTGCATCTGTGGGTGCATTACTCTGCAGTTATTCTGTAAATCATCTGTAATAGTGAATACCTCATTCATAGGGTTTTGCATTATGCATAGTTTGCCCCCTGAAGGCATTCCACACAAACAGAAGCCATTTCCCATGAAAATATTTTATCCTTTAAAGTACAATAGCACTTAATAATATGGGGAATTTTAACTATATAAGCTATAAAAATCTTCACAATCTGCCAGCAGTTACGTCCTCATTGATGTATTCGTTTCCTTACTTTCTAGGGTCACCTGGGTTAACACAACCACTTAGATAAAAATATTACACAGTAGCTGATGGATGGCACTTCCCATTAAAGATGTTACCGAAAGTAAGAAGTATTTAAGGTATACCCCATTCACCATAGCAGCTCATATAAAATGTTAGTACAAGCTGACTAAGAACTGCTCACCTCTAAGAACTCACATAATCAAAAGCATTCTTTTGAGATACATTTCTTTTGGACATAAACCTTTGTTCCTTAAAATCATTGGTATTCTTCACAATATCAAATATGCTAAAACTGATCAAATATAAATGAAGTTAGAATAATAAATAGCATTCTTACTGACTGAGATGAAAGAATATGTATGGCTGACTATCAGAAATACATATAATCAGTGATTATAATGGTAGATTTATGGGTCTTCCTTTTGTCAAAGCCGTTCTGCATGACAACTTGGTTTTCTCTTGAATTTTAAAATTTGGTTTTATGACTGAAGACAAGGATACATAGTATTGGTATTACAATCCCTCTGGTATAGATTTTGCTTTCATAATTTTGCTCGTTCTTCATGAAATTTACCTGATTCCCTTTATTGACAGGTTCTCAGCATGTTTTCCATCTGGATTTTTAATCTGGGTAATGATCTAGTTCTATTTCTCTAGACTCTGCCCCACATTTCTTCTTTGTCACGTCTAGTTTATATAGACCAGGTATTCTCAACAAAGGACAATTTTCCTTTCCAAGGGATATTTGGCAGTGTCTGGATATAATTTTCATTGCTACAACTGGCAGGGTGTTATTGACGTCTAGTGGATGGAGGACAGGGATGCTGTTAAGTATCCTACAATAAACAGGACAGCCTCTCACAATAAAAATTATTCCAGCAAAAATATGTCAATAGTGCCAAGGTTGAGAAACCCAGATTTATACTTAAATTTTCCCATTTCCCTTCTAAAATGGCTGCTAATTAGAAGCATGTTTGTACTATGAAGATCAGAGGAGAAGGGAGGAATAATGCACATTCTTTTCAGATTATTAAAACCCAGCATAATGTGGAAAGTCATACTTTATAAGAAGGTATATCTTTTGTTAATGCAATTTTTATTGACATTAAGATACATAAGGAAAAATACACAAACCATAAATACGCAGCTCAAAAAAAATTCCATAATAAACACATTTAGATAGCCAGTACCCAAGTCAAGGAACAGAATGCTACCAGGACCAGTGTAGTGTCCTTCTAATTTTGAATATTCAGCCCTATACTTCCTTCTGAGTTATTGACTTATATATCCAACTACCTATAGCCTTTTTACTAATTTTAATGGGTACTCGAAGAGGAAATACATGTTTCTTTAGCACCATCTTAAGTCAGAATTTTTTTTCAGTAAAGTTGAGGATTGATTAGATAGAAATAGGGTGACAACAGGAGAACATTAGGTTAAAAAACTATTACACCACCATTTTTTAAAAAAATATAACCTTACTGAAATGTATTTAATGTATTTACCATTTTTGTGTTGCCATAAATTGTACCATCATATAAAACTCACATATATAAAGGTATATTGTACTGATTTAATTCTTAAAGATAAAAGCATTGTTGAATTTATCATTGTAATAGATATCAACAGATTTCCCTCCAAAAACAGCTATATTAATTCACATTTTCTACTGCAATATACAATCATACCTTTCCCTATATTCTCACCACCTACGTGATATTCCAAAATACTATATAACATGCATACCATGCCCAATTATATATACTGGATTTCAGTGATATGAGGTTAAGAAATATCCAGACCATATATAATATATAATATGTTGTTTTAAAAAATACAGGGCACATATTTGTATAGCTAAAGATATGATTACATAAGTATAGAGAAGGTTTGGGAGAATACATACCGACTTACTAAAATCAATTCATGAAGTAATAAGGGAAAAAAGGAAATTAGGCAGCGCAGGAGTAAGTGTTCTTAGCACTTTCAGAAATAACTGAAAGTCATTTAAATAAAAAAAATTCAGGTTGGGCATACTGGCTCACCCCTGTAATCCCAGCACTTTGGGAGGCTGAGATGGGTGAATCACATGAGGTCAGGAGTTCAAGATTGGCCTGGCTAACATGGAAACTCTGTCTCTACAAAAACACAAAAATTAACCGGGCATGGTGGCGGGTGCTTGTAATCCCAGCTACTTGGGAGGCTGAGGCAGGGGAATTGCTTGAACCCAGGAGATAGAGGTTGCAGTGAACCAAGATCCTGCACTGCACTCCAGCCTGGGCAACAAGAGTGAAACTCCATCTCAAAAAATACATAAGTAAATAAAATTAAAAACAAAATTCAGCAAAAGTTGATCCATAGCAAGAAACGGATATCCCAACAGAAACTGAATGAAGTCTACAGATGAAGACCTGGAATTACTTTGGAACTCTCTCCTTAGACCCACTGGGTAAAGGTTGTTACAAGTTTCTTAGACAAGAGGAGTTGGAGGCTGATACAAGAAACCATACTCTGCCCTATACATTTAACTTTACATTAGTATGTATGTTACGCTGTTGTATACTCTCATTAAAAATATGCTCCATACAAAGTATTCAGTTGCAATTTTGTAACTTTAGCTCACTGAGATCACAGAAATTATGTCTCAGTTCTTTTAATATATTATTCTAATAGGATTCGTGTAGAAATACAAATATAGGGAGAGATCATGTAGGTCTGCATTCTCTACAGCATATTTGTACCCAACACTAACTGGAAGTTGGAAAAAGTTATTTGATCAGATCTGTTTGGGAGCATTGGGCTAAGCAAAATTAAACAGATTGCTTCACCAGAGACTGCCAGTAGGCAATATGTAATAAAAGTCCCTAAGGGAATATAAATGGAAACTTCCTGGTCTTATTTTGAAGAAATAGATAACAGGATATGCCTCTTTTGCTGACATAACAAGAATTTAAAGGTGAAGAATCAAGCCATGAGGGCATTGAGATGTGGCTTGCTGAAAAGCAGTAGCATTCCCTTAAAGAGTGGTATGAATTGTTTCTGGATACTTACAGGAGCAGAGGATATAACAGGCAGTTTGTTTGCTCTCCTGGCTTCTCTCACCTGACAAATACTTTAATTCATGTTAGCTTCCAATACCACTGACCTAGATGTGCCAACTGAAGAAATCAGGAAATCAACAGAGATCTATTACTTCTCTGACACCTTTTCCTTCTATTTACCTTTTCCTTGTTTATTAGTTGCTTTTGGAGTAAACCAAAATAAAAACAAGAGGTTTGGGGCTTGCTAAAAAGTTCTCAGAGATTTCAATCACGCATCTCTGAGATTTTTGTGGATCACTTAGTTCAAACATAGAGATAATGCATGCAGCATTTTACACAATTGTTAGCCATTAGATTTGTTTATTGGCCATCTATCTCAAGTAATCAGTAGAGCACGCTGTGTGAAATAATGCCAAAATGTCAAAGAATGTCTAAAAGAGGCCAGGCTCGGTGGCTCACGCCAGTAATCCCAGCACTTTGGGAGGCCGAGGCGGGCGGATCATGAGGTCAGGAGATCGAGACCATCCTGGCTAACATGGTGAAACCGCCCTCTCTACTAAAAATACAAAAAATTAGCCGGGCGTGGTGGCGGATGCCTGTAGTTCCAGCTACTCGGGAGGCTGAGGCAGGAGAATGGCGTGAACCTGGAAGGCAGAGCTTGCAGTGAGCCAAGATCGCGCCACTGCACTCCGGCCTGGGCGACAGAGTGAGACTCTGTCTCAAAAAAAAAAAAAAAGAAAAAGAAAAAAGAAAGAAAGAAAAAAGAAAGAAAAAAAAGAATTTCCAAAAGAGTATTGCAATAGCATGGGAGACTAATATTGAAGCAGTGTTGAAGTGGTAGGAAAATAAAATATGTGGAAGCTAACCTTCATAGGACATACTATTAATAGAAAGGGAGACATAGGAATAGAGTTTATATGCTTGATTTGGAAAGAGCTAGGTCAGTAAAATAGTTCCTCATGTTTTAACAAATATAATTTACATATTACTGTAGAATATTTCTGGGTTTTTTCTTATTTTGAATAATTTCACCCACATATTATTATTCTGCTTTTGAATTTAGACCTGACATATTCAAATGAAACATATTTTTTACTTGCATCATAGTTAAACACCAATTAAAACATCACACAGTAATACCACATTTCCTTATTATTAGCATCGATTTTATGTTACTTGAAATTAGTTTATTAACCCAAATGTCAAACTTCCCATTCAAATTTGAACATTAATTTCAGTCCTTTAGTCCATATACTGTAGTCATGCTTTTGTTTTTTACAAAAAATAAAATCGTTTTAATTTATTTAAACCTTAGTAACATCTATTTATAAGTGGGGCATGGAGGTTTTCTGAGATTTGGTGTTACTGACAGGTTAAAGTAAAACAAGAAAATGTTTTCTAAAAGTTACTGAATATACAAATGTATGCATGGTTATTAAAACCTATGGATGACAAGTTTAATATTTTTATGGCTGTATATTTTTGTCCATGAATTATTACATATACAAAGATGGTGATTAAATCTCAATATTTGTTAATCACTCGAAATATGAGTAGAGTAAGACTGAGAAATCAGCACCACCTCTAGGTTTTATACATAGGAGTGGAAGCACATTCAAATTTGAATGGAACTCAAGGGCCTTAGCTAATTAACACAAATCAGTCCTTGAAAACCAATATAATGAGTCCCTCCTATGATGTCTTAACTTAAAATAGAAACTTAATTTTAAGAAGAAAATTATTTTGTCTGTTAAAGTGTCTAATCAGGTCAGAATCCCTGGGATCAAGCATTCTTTAAGCATTCTTCTTGAAGCAGAAGGCACACATTACAGATCACTGTCTGATTGCCTTGATGTATTTGCCTATCAAAGAAGATTGTTTTGGCTTCAAGAAGACTCAAACTATTATGGAAAGATATGTATATTTATACAGCTGCTACATATCAAGATCAAACTCAAATCCCTATCAACATGAATGTTTTTCAAGATTTGTATAACTTCATGTTATCAATTTCTTTAAGTTAATTCATTTTATTTTAGAAGTATTTATTGAAAACTGACTGTTTGCCTGGTCTTTTGCTGGGCGTTCGGTGGTAAGTCCTGACTTCTCTAAGCTCACCCCATGGAGATAGCTGATGAGACAAATGTAAAAGTTTAAAAATTATAAAACGTTTAAAATAAATATATAATGGCACATTGTAATAAGTGACAGTAAATACATGTATAGGAAATATTAGATGAATAATGAAATAATCAAATGGGAGTCTCTTCTATTCTAAACAATTTTGGCTACCTTCCTGAGTGGTAATATTTAAACTAAAATATAAAATATGAAGAAAGAATGAGTATTTTAAGGGATATACATGTTCTTACTCATAAGTGAGAGCTAAATAAGAACAAATAAACACAAGAGGGAAACAACAGATGCTGGAGCCTACTCGAGGGAGAAGGATGGAGTAGATAGAGAATAAGAGTACCTGACAACTATCAACTACCATGCTTAGTATCTGTGTGACTAAATAACCTGTACACCAAACCACTATGACATGAGATTACCTATATAACGAACCTGTACATGTGCCCCAGAACCTTAAATAAAAATAACAGCCGGGCACTGTGGCTCACGCCTGCAATCCCAGCACTTTGGGAGGCGAGGCGGGCTGATCACGAGGTCAGGAGATCGAGGCCATCCTGGCTAATACGGTGAAACCCCGTCTCTACTAAAAATAGAAAAAAAAAAAAAAATAGCCGGGCTTGGTAGCGGGCGCCTGTAGCCCCAGCTACTAGGGATGCTGAGGCAGGAGAATGGCGTGAACCCGGGAGGCGGAGGTTGCAGTGAGCCGAAATCGCGCCGCTGCACTCCAGCCTGGGCGACAGAGCGAGACTCCGTCTCAAAAAAAAAAATTACAAAAAAAGTATTGATTCTGTAGTTAGGATCTATTCCATGATTTAAGGTAGCTTTATTTTGAAAAAAATTAACCAGATCAGTAAAGCTTATATTTTGAAAAGAGCATAACAGGGTACCTGATCTTTCAAATATTAAAAAATATAGTCATTGAACAACATAAACAAATATTTTGATCAATGATATATTATCGCAAGGACAGAATTCTAGTGTTTGAAATAATTTAACATTATTTGCAGGAATTACTTATCAATAGGGAATGAATGTGTGATAAGATAAATTGCACTAAAAAATTAACTCATTATTAATAATTTATATCTCAACTTCACAGCATACACTTAAATAAATAATAAGTGAAGTTTCTTAAATAGATAAGTTTAGAGCTTAAAGTCTTAAAATTTTTTTAAAACATTATTTATATATTAACCTATCAGTTGACAAGAAATATTTGTCACAAATACAATGTAAGACATTGTAAAAAATTTTTGCTATAGTTGAAAACATAAAAATTCCAAACCATAACCTGAAGAATAGCTGTTTATATTCATGAATGAGAAATGATAATGTCTTTAATATTCAAAGAGTTTATGCAAGAAGCATCATAGATTAAAATTTCAGAGCTCTGATTTAAGAAGAGACAAGTTTGAATCTCAGCTTCACTGCATATTAGCCATTTAACCATACGCAAGTTACTTGAACTCTTTAAATATTAATGGCTTATATATAATGTAGAAATAATTATAGTATCAGCTTGTTAGGTTTGTTAGAAAGATCAAATAAGGTAATGTAGTGCTTGGCATATTTTAAGTATTCAGCTGTTATTGATAGTATCACCATTGCTCTTGTTATAATTATAAATCAGTATAAATGTTCATCATATTAGTAAAAGCATGAATATAATATGCCATGTTCCTTGTCAAAGTAGTTTAGGTATAGAAATAAAAAAATTAAGAGAGAAAATATATATAAGGTAGCATGTTAATTATTGTGGCTTGATTTTAGTGATTATTTCATAATTGATATATAAAAATAGATTATAACATCAAGTTATATATCTTAAATATATATAATTCATATTTGTCAATTATACTTAAATAAAGATGAAAAACAGTCCAAAGATAAGAAGTAAATATATATCCTGTTGTTGGTAAGAAATAAATTGCTTCAAGTTTCTTGTAAATAGTTCGGTTAATAACCTGAAAATATTAATGTCCTTTCTCCCAATGATATGACTTCTAATGCACTTTAAAAAAATCTAATCTGATTCCTTCTTATAGAGCCTCTTATTTGGTTTGCCTGTCTTTTTTCCATCAATACATATCATTTCCTTGTTTTAAAATATTTGTTGTGTTTGTCTTTATTTCTGGTGACTTTTTCAAGTCTGCTTTTACTATGCTAATTTAATTTCTATATTTTAAATGTTTCCATTATGACTTTAATAATTTAATTCAGTCCATAATTTTCCTCTTTAATATTTTCCTCAACACTTTATCTTATCTTTCATTTACACTGTGTATTTCATCTGATTCACTTACTTTATCAACAGTTTATTTTATTTTTCCCTCCCTCTTTCCTTTTCTTTCTCTTTCCTTCCCTTCCTCCCCTTTCTCCTTCCTTCCTTCCTTCCTGTTTCCATTTCTTCCTCTTTCCTTCCCTTGCTCTCCTTTCCCCTTCCTTCCTTCCTTTGTTTCTTCTTTCCTTCCTTCCTCCTTCCCTTTCTTCCTTTCAATATAATGCAGATATATAGTTGGTTTTCTATTCCTGAGTTAGTTTGTTAAGGATAATAGCCTCCAGCTTCACCCATGTTCCTGCAAAAGGACATGATCTTGTTCCTTTCTCTATCTCCTTTAGTTCAGCTCTGATTCTGGTTATTTCTTGTCTTCTGGTAGCTTTGGGGTTGGTTAACTCTTGCTTGTCTATTTCTTCTAGTTGTGATGCTAGGTTGTTAATTTGAAATCTTTCTAGCTTTTTCATGTGGGCATTTAGTGTTATAAATTTTCCTCTTAACATTGTCTGAGCTGTGTCCCAGAGATTCTGGTATAATGTATCTTTGGTGTTATTAGTTTCAGCGAACTTTTTGATTTCTGCTTTAATTTTATTTATTTATCCTTTTTATGGCTGCATAGTATTCCATGGTGTGTATTTACTACATTTCTTTTTCCAGTCTACTTTTGATGGGCATTTACATTAATTCCATGTGTCTTTGCTATTGTGAACAGTGCTGCAATGAACATATGCATGCATGTGTCTTTATGGCAGAACAATTTATATTCCTTTGGATATATACCCAGTAATAGGATTGCTGGGTGGCATGTAGTTCTGCTTTTCGCTCTGAGAAATCGCCTTCCAGAACACTGCTTTCCGTAATGACTGAACTAATGCACACTCCCACTAGCAGTGTATAAGCATTCCCTTTTCACTGCAATCTAGCCAGTATCTGTTACTTTTTTACTTTTTAATGGTAGCCATTCTGACTGGTGTGAGATGATAATCTCATTATGCTCTTGACTTGCATTTCTCTAATAATTAGTGATGTTGAGCATTTTGTCATATGCTTGTTAGCCGCATCTGTATCTTCTTTTGGAAAATTCTGTTCATGTCCTTTGCCCACTTTTTAATGGGGTTGTTTGGTTTTTGCTTGTTAATTTGTTTAAGTGTCTTATAGATTCTCAATACCAGACCTTTGTTAAATGCATAGTTTGCAAATATTTTATCCCATTCTGTAAGTTGTCCTTTTACTCAGTTGGTAGTTCCTTTTGTTTTGCAGAAGCTCTTTAGTTTAATTAGGTGCCATTTGCCAATTTTTGCTTTTCTTGCAATCACTTTTGTAGACTTTGTCATGTAATCTTTGCCAACTCCTAAGTCCAAAATGGTATTTCCTAGCTTATCTTCCAGGAATTTTATACTTTTGCATTTTACACTTTAGTCTTTAACCCATCTTGAGTTAATTTTTGTATTTGGTGTAAGGAATCCGGTTTCAATTTATCCTTTCCTGTTGCTTGTTTTTGTCAGCTTTGTTGAATATCAGATGGCTGTAAGTGTGTTGCATTATTTCTGGGCTGTCTATTCTCTTCCATTGGGATATGCATCTATTTTTGTACCAATACCATGTTGTTTTTGTTACTGTAGTCCTGTAGTATAGTTTGAATTCAGGTAATGTGATGCCTCCAGCTTTGTTCTTTTTACTTAGTATTGCCTTGGCTATTCAGACTCTTTTTTTTGTTCCATATGAATTTTAAAATAGTTTTTCTGGTTCTCTGAAAAATGTCATTGATAGTTTAATAGGAATGGCAATAAAAATACAAATTGCTTTGGGCATTGTGGCCAATTTAACTATATTGTATTTCCTATCCATGAGCATTAAATATTTTTCCATTTGGTTATGTCATTTCTGAAATCTTTGAGCAGCATTTTGTAATTCTCATTTTAGAGGTCTTTCACCTCCCTGGTTAGCTGTATTCCTACATATTTCATTCTTTTTATGGCCATTGTGAATGAGATTATGTTACTGATTTGGCTCTCAGCATGAATGTTGTTGGTGTATAGGAATACTACTAATTTTTGTACATTGATTTTATATCCTGAAACTTTGCTGATGTTCTTTATTAACTGAAAGGGCTTTTGGTCAGAGGCTATGGGGTTTTCTAGATATAGAATTAAGTCATCTGCAAACTGGGATAGTTTGACTGTCTCTCTTCCTATTTGTATGCCATTTATTTATTTCTCTTGGCCAACTGCTCTGGCCGGGACTACCAATACTATGTTGAATAGGAGTGGTAAGAGAGGGAGGGCATACTTGATTTTTGTTGGTTTTCAAGGGAAATGTTGCCAGCTTTTGTCCATTCAGTATGATGTTGGCTGTGGGTTTGTCATAAAAGGATCTTATTATTTTGAAGTATGTTTCTTCATTAACTAATTTTTTGAATGTTCTTAATATGAAAGGATGTTATATTTTATTGAAATCCTTTTCTGCATCTATTGAGATACTCGTGTGGTTTTTGTCTTTAGTTATGTTTAGGTGATGAATCACATTTATTTGATTTGTATATGTTGAACCAACCTTGAGGCTCAGGGATAAAGCCTACTTGATGAGGTAGTTTCACTTTTTGAAGTACTGCTGGATTTGGTTTGCTGGTATATTTTTGAGTATTTTTGCGTCAATGATCATCAAGGATATTCATCTGGAGTTTTATTTTTGTGTGTGTGTCTCTGCCAGGTTTTGTTATTAGGACGATTCTGGACTCATACAATGAGTTGAGAAGGAGTCCCTCCTCCTCAATTTTTGGGAAAGTTTCAGTAGGAATGACACCAGCTCTTCTTTGTACACCTGGTAGAATTCAGCTGTGAAACCATCTGGTCCTCGGGTTTTTGTCTTTTGTAAGCACTAATTCAATGTCAGAACTCATTATCGGTCTATTCAGGGATTCGATTTCTTCCTGGTTCAGTCTTGGGAGGGTGTATATGTCCAGAAATTTATCATCCATCTCCTCTAGATTTTCTGGCTTTTGTCCATATAGGGGTTTACAGCAGTCTCTAATGGTTATTTGTATTTCTCTGGGGTTAGTGGTAACATCTGTATTGTCATTTCTTATTGTGTTTATTTTAATATTCTCTCTTCTTTATTAGTCTAGCCAGCAGTCCATCTATCTTATTAATTTTTCCAATAACCAACTCCTGTATTTGTTAATCTTTTGAATGGTTTTTTTCTGTCTCTATCTCCTTTAGTTCAGCTCCAATTTTGGTTATTTCTTGTCTTCTGGTAGCTTTGGGGTTGGTTACCTCTTCCTTGTCTATTTCTTCTAGTTGTGATGCTAGGTTGTTAATTTGAAATCTTTCTAGCTTTTTCATGTGGGCATTTAGTGTTATAAATTTTCCACTTAACATTGTCTGAGCTGTGTCCCAGAGATTCTGGTATAGTGTATCTTTGGTGTTATTAGTTTCAGAGAACTTTTTGATTTCTGCTTTAATTTTACTATTTACCCAAAAGTCATTCGGGAGCAGGTTGGTTAATTTCTGTGTAATTCTAAGATTTTGAGTGATATTCTTAGTCTCAATTTTTAATTCAATTGTGCTGTGGTCTGAGTGTGTGATTGGTATGAGTTTTGTTCTTTGCTTTGCTAAGGATTGTTTTATACCCAATTGTGTGGTCAATTTTAGAGTATGTACCATGTGGTGAGGAGAAGAATATACTTTCTTCTGGTTTTGGGTGAAGAGTTCTGTAGATGTCTATTAGGTTTATACAGTCAATTGTTGACTTCAGTTCCTAAATATCTTTGTTGATTTTCCACTTCAAGGATCTGTCTAATATTGTCAATGGGGTGTTGAAGTCTTTCACTATTATTGTGTGGGAGTCTAAGTCTCTTCATAGGTCTCTAAGAACTTGCTTTATAAAATTGGGTCCTCCTGTGTTGGGTGTGTATATATTTAGGATAGTTAGGTGTTCCAGTTGAATTGATTCCTTTATCCTAATTTAATGTCCCTCTTTATCTGTTTTGGTTTTTGTTGGTTTAAAGTGCTTTTTTTGGTGAAATTAGGATTGCAACCCCTTTCATTTCTGATTCCCATTTGCTAGGCAGATTTTTCTCCATCCCGTTATTTTGAGCCTATAAGTATCATTGCCTGTGAGATGGCTCTCTTGAAGACAGCATACCATTGGGTTTTGATTCTTTATCCAGCTTTCCACTCTGTGCCTTTTAATTAGAGGCATTAAGCCCATTTACATTCAAGGTTAGTATTGATATGTGTGCATTTGATCCTGTCATTGTGTTGTTGGTTATTACACAGACATGTTCTCATGACTACTTTAGAGTGTCACTGGTCTTTGTGCTTGAGTTTGCTTTTCTATTGGCTGGTAACAGTCCTTCCTTTGCACATTTACCACTCCTTTCAGGGACTCTTTTAATGTAGGCCTGGTGGTAATGAATTCCTTCAGCATTGTTTGTCTAAAAAGAATCTCATCTCTCTTTTACTTATAAAGCTTAGTTTGACTGGATATAAAATCATTGGCTACAGTATTTTTTGATTTGAGAATGTTGAATATAGGTCCATAATCTCTTCTGGCTTATAGAGTTTCTGCTGAAAGGTCCACTGTTACCACTGTTAACCACATTGAGTTCCCTTTGTAGGTAACCTGTCCTTTTCTTTAACATGTTTAAACTTCTTTTTGACCATGGGAAATCTGATGATTATGTATTTTGAGGATAATTTTCTTGTGTAGTATCTTGCAGGAGTTCTCTGTAATTCCTGAATTGAATGTTGGACTCTCCAGCAAAGAAATCCTCATCCATGAGGAAATTTTAATGGATGGTATTCTGAAATATATTTTCCAAGTTACTTGCTTTCTCCCCCATCTCTTTCAGGGATCTCAGTGATTCATAGATTTGGCCTCTTTACATAATCCCATATTTCTTGGAAGTTTTAAAAATTTATTTTTATTATCTTTTCTTTATCCTCATCTGACTATATTATTTCAGAGAGTCACTCTTCAAGCTATCAGATGCTTTTCTCTGTTTGGTCTATTCTGATGTTAATACTCGCAATTGCATTATGACATTTTTGTAGTGTGTTTTTCAAGCTCTATCATGCCAGTTAGTTTCTTTTCATGGCTATTTTATCTGTAAGTTCTTGTATAATTTTATTGTGATTCTTAGATTCCTTATATTGGGTTTCAATGTTCTCCTGAATCTTAATTATCTTCATTTCTATCTGCATTCAGAATTCTATTTCTGCCATTTGAACCACCTCAGCCCAGTTAAGAACCATTGCTGGAGAACTAGTGCAGTTGTTTAGAGGACAGGATACCTTCTGGCCATTTGAGTTGCTAGAATTATTGCACTGGCTCCTTCTCATCTCTGTGTGTGGGCATTCCTTTCGCTGTGGTGTAGATTGAGTATAATCAGTAGAATTCTTTACTGGATGTTTCCAGAGGGCTGAGGCTTTGTGTAGGATATTTATTTGTAGCTCACTTTTTGTCTTTGGTTTCACAGGAGGTTATGTTAAGAAAATATTTTTGCGTTGAATTTTTGGGGTGTAATCAAGTCAGTGGAACTTAAGCATTATAGTCAGTAGGTAGGCTCTTGCTCAGTCACATGGCTTGTCTATATTTCCTCACAGTTGAAGCTGTGCTCCCTTTCAATGTTCTGATAGTGTGGGTTCATAACCCTCTAGATGCTGGCTACAGATCATGGCTTGGCACTCCCATGCTGCACACTGCAGCTCTGGGGTGATCTCAGGGTTTTTGTTACCTCCTGAAGTTGGAGGTAGCAGAGGAAGGGAAATTAACAGTAGTTGTGGCTGAGGTTCTTTCCACTTTTCTTCTTGGGCTTCACACCAGAAGATGTGGAGGTGTCATCAAAGAGTCTGATTGTTCCGAAATGGAGCAGATGTGCTGGGGGTCCAAGCTGGGGGGCAGGGGAGGGATGGGGCCTGATGACAAGCAGAAAATGCGAGTGAGACGTGTGGGAGACAGGCTGTCCTCCTCTCCTTAGGGTGACTGCAACTTGCAGGAGGTGAGGATAAGGAACTTAGAGTCTTCGTTTCTTCCCTGGTCTGCAGACAGCAGGGTCAGTGTCACTGCACAGCAGTGTCAGAGGGGCTTTCAGTTGCCACTGGGAGTTCCACTTCTGAGAAACATGGAGCCCCTGCCACTGGGAGTGTTCAGCCTGGGGGTGGGGTGGCTGTACTGCTGGCCTGGGCCAGAGACTCCACTTGTTGGGGAATAGGGGACAAGGACCCACAGGGAGGAAAGACTGGCTCCTCTCTGTGTGGTGACTGTGATGTTCTGTAAGTTCAGGTGTAGCCCTCAGGCTCTTTGTTTCTTCCCCAGTCTGAAGGCAGCAGGGACAGAACTGCTGCTGTGGCAGTGGCAGAGGGGCTGTCAGTTGCCTCTGCGAGCCTCTCCCCAGGAAAACCCAGAATCACTACCAGCCAGCCTTATACATGGATAACCTTATACTTTTTTTTTTTTTTTTTTTTTTGCGTCAGAGCCTCACTTTTGTCACCCAGGCTGGAATGCTGTAGCGTGATCCCAGCTCACTGCAACCTCCACCTCCTGGATTCAAGCAGTTCTTCCTCAGCCTCCCAAGTAGCTGGGATTACAGGCAGCTGCTACCACGCCCTGCTAATTTTTGTGTTTTTAGTAGAGACAGGATTTCACCATGTTGGCCATGCTGGTCTCAAACTTCTTACTTCAGGTGATCCACCCACCTCAGCCTTCCAAAGTGCTGGGATTATGGGCATGAGCCACCACACCTTATACTTTAATAGATAAAAGATAAAGGCCTTTATCTTTTCCTTAAAGAGCATATTTGACATTGCATCCAACCCTCTTTACTCTGAAGATTTCCCTGAGTTCTATATTGTGTGAAGGGGTCCAAGAGGTCCCACATGTCCTAATGGAAGATTTAAAAAATAGCTGATAGTGCCCCTAGATGAGTATAATGAGGGTGGTGGAGGTGGGCCGGGATATTATTTAACTAAAAATCTAGACCTTCTAGAACTGGAGATAGGTTGGCTGTTAAGTCACACTTCATGGGCCTGTGTCACTTCTGTGTGTCATGGCAGAAGCCTAGTCAGGTGAGAGAGATGCAAGCAGAAATGGCCAACCTTCCAGGGACAAGCACCGCACATTGCTTTGCTGAGAAGTATAATAATGAGTCACAACTGTAGTGGATGCAGTGGGAACAGAGGCAAATCTAGGCAGAGGGTCCCCACTACACTAGCTGTAAAGCGAACAAACAAGAGCATGTGGAACCAGATGGCATTACCCACTTACCCGGATGATATACAAGCTTTCACTGAACACAGTTTTCACCAAGGGGGAAAAAAAAAAGAAGGGAAGAATTAGGGAAAGAAAATGTAAAATATTATTTATTACAAAGAGACTGAGTTAACATGAAAGTAACCAAATTATTTTAATAAGCAATTTAATTTTGCTGTGGGGCAGAAATTGGGGTTCAAGAGCTAAGTGAATAATTCTAATAGAGAAATACATAGTTACATTGTTGCATATTTGAGTGTTAAGACTATGAATTACAAACCTGCTCTAAACCTAAGAAGAGTGAGGCAGGAAAATAGGGTCTGGAGGCAGGGAATATAAGGCCAATTCACACTTCAGCTATGACAGGAAATATCCTCTCCATAGGGCATATGCTGAGTAAATTACTTTGTAACTTTACTTCATCCTCTCCATCTACATAGGGTGTACACCAAGTAACCAATGGAAACCCCTAGAGGGTATTTAAACTCCCAAAAATTTTCTAATGGGGCCCTTGAGCCCCTGTGCTCAGGCCTGCTCCCACACTGTGGGGTGTACTTAAATTTTCAATAAATTATTTCATTCCTTCCTTGCTTTGTTATTGCATTTTGTCCAGTTCTTTGTTCAAGATGCCAAGAACCTTGAGACCCTCCACTGGTAACACACTTTGGTGAGCCAGCCAGGATAAATTCCAGGAGAAGGTCAGCCCAAAGTTTGGGAATTAGTTTTCTTCTTTCTCCTTTTCCTTTCTGCCCCATACAGGGGAATTGCTCTCTCTCTCTCCTCTCTCTCTCTGTGTCTCTTTCCAACTCTGGACCCTTGGTAGACAGTGCCTAAACACAGAAGCAACTGCAGGTTTCTGGCCATAGCCAGTGAAAATAAGAGGTTTCCATTTGGAGGCACCAAATCACCACCACCCAGTTTACTTAAAGGACCAGAGGGGTTTTTTTTGTTTTTTCTCTCTTTCTTTTTCAGTCTTTCAGCAGCTGTTTCCTAGTAGTTCGTTGGAAATTGAAGGCAATTGGCTGGGGTCACTCCCAGTATTTCCTGAAGGCCTAGGAATGAATGGGAATAATTTGCCTGCCCAAAAGAAGGACAGGTTCTTTTTTTATATATTTTCCGGGTGTCGTCCCTGATCCCTACAAGTGGCACAGCTCAGAGCAAGTTCACACATGTTTTAGGCTACTTAAACCTTCTTTCCTTATGCTAAATTCTTCCCTTCGTCTATTCAACTGGATAAGGGCAAAACAAATCTACCCAGCCTCCGGTTTCTGTCATTAAAGTTTGTGGAATGGGATGCATGGGAAAGCATGGCCTCATCAAATTATAAAGATGCTAAAAGTCAGGGATTACACCCAGGTACCAAAGAAAAGTTCACAGTAGGCTCTGGAGGAAAGCATACAAAGTGGCACTGGTGCCCACCTAACGTCAGAGACATCTAACACTCTAACATGTTTCCCCACAGGAAGATGCTCTGGGAGATCCTGCCGACCTCAACCCTCACAAAGGGGATGCTCTTGGGAGAGGTTCTGAGGTCTAGAAATAAGCCTTCCTTAGAATTTTCTCTCACAGTTGCAATGCTGCATGGCCCCAAAATTGTTTAGAATCTGAACTGAAGTTTACTGTTTAATGGGAAAGTGGGATGGCACTGCATGTGTCCAGGCTTTTGTGTTGCTATTCTAAGCAGAGGGTCTGCTTAACATGTGATGCCCTCCTTTGATATTGTTTGGCCCCAGTGCTCTTTGGAGCCTGGGGAGGTTTGGCTTTTAAAAATCAAACTGCTATGGAGACTGTTTTACTGGAAATTTTGGTTCACAGCCTTCATTGGATTATCTATTGGGGCAAAGTAAAACCAGCAAGCTTGTATTGCTATCTCATGGCTAAGGTTCCAAGACATTGGATCTTCATTTATGTGTGTGTATACATGTCTAGATGTGTTCATTTGTACGTACACTTATTGTTATATGGTGTATCTACCAAATTTGCTTGTAAGTAAAGGAGTGCTCATAAATAAAGTAAATAAGTCTAAGCAATTTTCAAGTTTATGTGACTTAAGTATAACTTTACTAAACAAGCTAGCTTTAAAATTATTAGTGGAGTAAAAATAGAAATGCCTTCAGAATTGTCAGCATACACTTTATCTGAATTTCATGTTTGTATTTGCTAGATATTTTTAAATATTAGTGTTAATTCAAGCTGGAGACAGTTAGGGCGAGCCTCCCTCCCATTCTATTCAAAGTCTTACTGAGAAAAATGCATGTTTAATTGCATCCTTTGGAAAGGCTAATCAGAAACTTGAAAGAAGGCAACTGTTCATCTCACGCTTACCCGTGACCTGGAAGCCACAACCTCCCTCCCCGCTTTGGGGTGTCCTGCCTTTCCAGAGGAAACCAATGTTCATTTTACATATGTTGATTGATGTCTTCTGTCTCTCTTGTTAAAAGTGAAAGAATTGAGTACAATGAAGAGGATGAATGTTTTAGGTAAACTTTTTGTGTGAATTAAAATATTGAAGTTATTTTTGATGCTCATTTAATATCTGGGTCATTTCCAATTAAGAAATAATTTTGATATGGGGAAATATGTTTCCAAAATTGTGGAGTTGTTCTTATCCATAAATGCCCATATCTGATAGTTCAGGATTTCTTGCTTTTTAGGGTTTCACTAAAGTTTTAGGTTACTAAAGATAAAAATTATAGTTAACATAATTCTGTATACAAAATGTGCCAGAAAGGGTTATGTTATTAGTGAACAAAAGAATAATTTTGTCTAATTCAGAGGTTATTTAAATTTAGTTAAAATTACAGATTTGAAAAGGTTATTTATGAAACAATGTAGTAAGGAATCATTAAGTAGGGGAGAAAGATGTGGAAAAGGTTATATAATAAAATATTCTTTAAAACCTGATAAAGAATTGGAGACATTTGGCTAACTAACATTTTTCATAGTTAAGTTCTTATCCTTGATTAAAGTAAAATAAGAAGTATTGTAGAGAAATGCATAAGCAGTTTGGCAATTCTTTTTTTAATATAGTTAAGCATGAAGCTGGATTTACTGTGGAGCCAAATTTCACATACATGCTTGCATTGCTTCACACTATATTTACCATTTTGCATGGATAGTGCTAGAGTATTAATTGGTCATGTGCCTATAGTGAATTTCTTGATTGCATAGAATGTATAATAATATTGGAGAACTTAAGGGTATTAAATTTTGTATCAGGAATAAAATATTCAATCTGTGGATTTTTAGGGGGCTCTGGGTAACACTGTAGCCTCCAGGGTAGATTAAATAGAAAAAAAAAATAGGGTTAGTTTTCTGTTTATTTGTTTTTGCTTCTAGTTTTCATTTGTTGGCTGTTTACTCTCCATTTATTTTGGATTCCTAAGCTACCTTTGTCAAGCCCACAGGAATTAATGGAGCACACCAGCCTTTTAACCTTAAACTAGCTTTTTTAATTTTAGGCTTCCTGATACTTTAAGTGTGTTGAGTGTACTTTTATAAATAGAATTTGATTCACATTTCTCTCTCTGCCTAATTTTTCCAAAATTTGTAAATTATTTGTGAATATTCTTAATTCATGGCAATGTGTTTTTTTGCATACAGTTAAGGAGGGTCTCCAGGACCACTCAAAGAGAGAGAACCCAGAAACCTGGCATGTCAGCAAAAGGGCAAGAGTTTCTTACCAGCCAGTCTCTGGCCTCTTTCTCTCTCCACAAACTTGTTACATAAATATTAAAAGTCACTGTTTATCTCCTCTGTAAAGTTTTAATTAATACAAAAGGGATTGAATTAATTGGTTGAAGAATAATAAGGGCTTAAATCAAATATTTTGTCAGAAAAGTGAAAAACATAATGCCTTTTATTTAGTTCATGTGACTTTAGTAATCTCTGGGAAATAAACATGCTTTTAAAGATTATTGGTAAATTATAAACGTCTTCAAAATGTAAACATGTGGTCTAAATTATGTTTAAATAATAGATTGCTAAATGGTTGTAGTTCATAAACTGCTTCTTTGGCTTTTGAAAAATTGTTTAACTTACCTGCTTTACAACTAGGTAAGGCCTGGGAACACATGGAGTTGACCGTGTCCCAGGTATGCTGGAAATAATCAGACCTTATCAGCACTTAGCACATAATTAACATTAACTTACCAGGTTTTACATTAAAATCAAAATTCCTAAGAGTTGCCATTATAGCATACAACTGAGACTATTAGAAACAGTTTTTACATGCAAGGTGTGTAAGAATAGTAGAACGTGGGCTTTCTTTTCTTTTTTGTAAAAGGTTTTGCTTCTTTAAAATTTGTCATTATTTTGACAAAATAAATAATTTATGGTAATCTGGAATTCCAAAATCAAACTTTAGTTTCACAATTGTCTTTCCTAATGCCTGGTTTTTTGGATAGATCAGAGGACCCTTGAAAACATCCAGAAAAGAGGTATACAGGATTATGTGGAATGTTTAGGTACATGGGATTATCAAAATGATGTTCAATTTCTGTAGGTTGTATTTTTTTGAATTAATACTAATATATGTTCCAAAATTGTACCAGATTTCTAAAATTCCGATGTGTAAGTATATGCTGCCAATTATAATTATGGTTATTCTCTTAAGTTACTGTAAACCACAGAAATAACCAAATTTCCATGTAAATAGCTACTGACCCAAGTAGAACAAAAAATTAATTAAATACCAAGAAAATATACTTTGTCAAATTTTTATGTTAAGCCATACTAAAATTGTTTAAATATGCAATTAGTATTAACTCCATGGTCTAAGTCAAATTACCTATGATAACCCATCAGTTACCAGTGCTATGCACATAATTTGGATAAACAACCAGTATTCAAGAGGATATGTCTAATGTTAATTAAGCATGGACTCATGGAGAACCAGCATGGCCACTTTGCCCTTACTGGGTCCTTACAGCTTTTATTAAAAGCTCTGCATTCTATGACTCATCATAGAAAAGATAAAATAATCCAAATTGAATACATTGGTGTGGTAACTTACAAATTACTAAAATAGTTTATAACCAATGTTTGGTCCCACGTTCCTGGGAAAACAATTACAGTTTCAGGTATATTTGGTCACCTGGTGGGTCACTTAAACATTTTACAAAGGGATTCCATTCGATTGTTATTTTCAATGCATGTTTTCTGGTTGCACAAAAGCTTTCCCATGCAAGAGGGCTGATATTATAACAGTAGATTATTATGCTACAGTGTATTTTCACCATGTATAAAAGCCTTTTATGGCCTGGACCTTCTGAGAACATCAAAAACTGTCCTTACCATCTACACTACAACAAAACTTCAGGACCTTAAACTTTGGATTCACAATCTGACAACTGAGAAGTGTCCCTTCACACTCTTGGAAGTGTACATCCATTGGAACCCTTAAGGTAAAACTAACCAGAGAAATTTCTCCCAAGAAGAAGATGGCATCCTCTATGTCAACAGCTTTTCCCAAGTTCACAGATTAAGACTTCTACTATCATGAAACTCTTATCTTACCCTTGCTTATGCCTCGACGAACAATAGAAGTAGAAACGGGATCAGTAGTGTGCACTTACAGGATATACTTTTATTTGTGAAAGAATTTGTATCCAGCCTTATACCTGGATAACCTTATACTTTCTTTCTTTTTTTTTTTTTTTTTTTTTTGAGTCAGAGTCTCACTGTTGTCAACCAGGCTAGAGTGCAGTGGCATGATCTCAGCTCACTGCAACCTCTACCTCCTGGATTCAAGTGGTTCTCCTTCCTCAGCCTCCCAAGTAGCTGCGATTACAGGCACCTGCCTCCTTGCCCAGATAATTTTTGTATTTTTAGTAGAGATGAGGTTTCACCATGTTGGCCTTGCTGGTCTCAAACTCCTGACATCAGGTGATCCACCCGCCTCAGCCTCCCAAAGTGCTGGGATTATGAGCATGAGCCACCACACCCGGCCAAACTTATACTTTAATAGATAAAAGATAAAGGCCCAACATAGGTAAGAAACCTTAATAGTACATATGTTGCCTTATCATCATTCAGAAACAAAACATGGGTTCACTCCTCTTAAGCCACATCATGGGTTAAAGAGATCATTGCCAGGAGGCCTTCACTCTTCTAGAAGGGTATCATTTTTTAGGTCCTCTTCTGTGGTTTAAAGTAAAAGAGACAATGATTAGAAATGTATTCTCCAGATAGGCTCTATAGCAAATTCTACCGTAAAGGGCTACAGTTACACAACAGACTTCAAATTCTCTTGTGAAAGTTATGACAGAATAGGCTGAACAAAGAAGTATCTGTGCAGATGCTGGCACTTGTGACCTATAGAGAAATACATCAAATGAAGATTACAGAAATTCAGTGGCAGGGGATTAACAAAGAGATTGCTTAGTAAAGTGAATAGACTCTTTATCTAGGTAATTCTTTGATCTATTTGATGTTAGGAGGTTTGGCTTATGGTGACCTGGGATAAGAAGCATACTCCAAACTCTTGCTATTATCCTTCCAATAGTCATAATAATAGTCTCCCTAATAGGCTGTATTCTCTCAAAGGTTTTAAATGCTTGGATGCAACCATCTCTAGGCTGCCATATGTTCTCTCTTCAACTAAAATGACAAGAGCTGAAAGAAATGTGTAACCATGAGGACACTGTAACCTATGAATGATATGCTGAGTCCAGAAATCCAAAATGATGGTAACTAAGAGTGGCGCTAAGACCCTAAGTTTTGGTCACACTCTTACCTAAGTGAGAACCTGACCAAAAAGAGGGAAGTTTTTAAACGAAATGATGAGAGGCCATTGTTTTGGAATAAGCTCAGGCACTAGACCTCAACAGACCAAACCAAGCCAAAATGGAGTCATTTGTGCTAAGACTTTAAGGAAACACATTGATTCTAGAACACACCAGGTTTTATTTTTTTCTCCTACAAATCTCTATAACAAACATTCCTGACAGCATAGGTATCCATCCTCTGAAGTCCCCTTCAAATCTTTTAACCAAATACACTTCCTCTTGCCTAGAGACCTTCAAGCTTCAGATGATTATACAACAAAGCTTCAAGCAAGTTCCAGGTGAAGACACCACCACTGGCCATCAAGAAGCTACCCTGCCTCCTCTAGACAGAGGAGGGCAAGAGTTCTGTGATCTCTAATAGGTAGGGACTACTCCCCAAGCCAGCATGAAGCAGTTACATAAGAAAGACCATCGGTCCCTTCACCTCCCATAAAGATTTACAAGAATCACATCTCTCAGCAGGGAAATGAGGCAGGAAAATAGGGTCTGGAAGCAGGGAATATAAGGCCAATTCACATTTCAGCAATAACAGGAAATATCCTCTCTATAGGGGGTATGCTGAGTAAATGACTTTGTAACTTTACTTCATCTTCTCCATATAATACATAAGGCATACACCAAGTAACCAATGGAAACCTCTAGAGATTATTTAAACATCCCAAAAATCTGTAATGGGGCCCTTGAGCCCCTATGCTCAGGTCTGCTCCCATACTGTGGACTGTATTTTCATTTTCAGTAAATCCCTTCATTTCTTCCTTGCTTTGTTTGTGTGTTTTGTCCAATTCTTTGTTCAAGATGCCAAGATCCTGGATGCCCTCCGCCTGTAACAGGAGGAGTCAGCAGTGACAAACTCATTCTGTTCGCACTAGGTACATTATATATAAAAAAGTCCTTCAGCTTCTATATGAAATGTGTGGCAGAATGCAACTATTTCTCTTCTAATTGACTTTTGAATTCAGGAGAGCTTCACTTAACTTTAGTGAGAAAGAAAAGTAATCTATGTTATTTTTTCCTGAAGAAGATAATATTAGACAATATTAGAGCAAAAGACTTAAAGAAGAAGAGGTGACAAGTCTTGCAGAGAGAACTTGTAAGATGCTACAGTTTACTGTCAATATTTTGGCTTTTATTCTATATAAGATGGAAACTTATTGGTTCTGAGCAAGTAAGTGACATGGTTTCAAATTATTATATGAGTATTAATTAGGGTGCTTATTCAGAATTATTTCTAGAGTATCAAAGCTGCTATCAGATCAGCAGAAGATCTCATTCATTGGGGCAAGAGATGGTGGCTTGAATGAGGAATAACAGGACAGACAAGCAGTGATCAAATTTTGGATATGTTTTGAAGGTGGATTCAAAAGAATTTGTCACTCTTTCACTCAAAGTCATCCGATGACATAAGGGATGTGAGAGTTGTTCCAAGAATTTTGATTAAACAGGTAAAATAATGAGCATGTCTTTAACAAGATGTGGAAACCTGTGCATGTTTGGGAAGGATAGTCAGAGAAAGATGAGGAGCTTATGGTGAGACAGGTGAACTTTAAATTTCTAGAAGATATTCATGTGGAAATATTAAGAAGAAAGTTATATGTATAACACTGTTAAGGGGATTTACTATGTACGAATGAAGATAAATGAGCTCTAGCAATAGCTGGGGAAAGCAACATCGTATTTATATACTGATGGTGACATTCTAATAATGAGAAGAAAGAGAATGGAAAAGACAGAGGAAAAAGCTGAAGTGATGTCTTTAGTAGGGAATTATAATGATAAATAATTCATCATTATAACAGCAGAAGCACATGGATAAAATAACAATAATAACAGCTGAACACATGAACATCTTTGCAGATAAGTGGGCAGATGTAATATGGGGGCTTGTGGAAGTGCTCTTTAACCAGATTATATTTTAGACAAGATATTCCAGAAGCACCCCTGAGGGGGATGGCAAGTATCTGATTGCGGAAGTGTTCCCAGGAGAAGGCTGTTGTGAGTCAGAAAAGGAGGAAAGAGAAGAAGCCAAGAAAGTGTGTGATGCTGGAAAAGTTCCCAGGAGTAGCTTCAAGATGATCCCACAGGGGAATGCTAGAGAGTAAATTTTATTTCAGAATTTCTGACAGTGGAAGCATAATGAATCTGCTGTTAATGCTTCTTCTTTTATTTTCTTTTTGTTGTTTCTGTTGGCAAGTAAGTTTATATGAGCTTTTCAAATTTTTTTTAGCAGTGTTTAAAAAATCCAATAGTCTAGCACTTAGTAGTTCTATAGATGTCCGGAGGCAAAGCACAAAGCATCTCTTTGGCAAGTGTGGACTGTCAAAGAAGCAATGTGGTACTGATCTCACAGAAGTGGTGATAGCTTCCTGGTCATGAAGAAGTAGAGTTCCCTCATGCTGCTATAGAGCTTTGAGTAGTGCCCCTAAAACAGAACTCAAGACTGTGCTTCTCCAGCCAATCCAATGGTTCTATATGACTTTTTCTCATTTGTTAAAAAATAAAAAAGTCCTTCCTGCTTATCTTGGGTGTAATGGATTTGATTTTCTAACAGATATAATAATTTGTATTAAGATCTGCTCTGATGATATTATTAAGGATACCTTCATTCACTCTTTAAAACAATTTTAGTTTGTACTGAAATGATCTCATCAACAAAAACCATTTTCTTCAAATTATTTAGTATATACCTGTTAATTGGGTTTCTTAACTGAGCAAGCTTGGAGAATCACAACAGGGAAAGACTGTAATTTAGAATATACTTGGGCTTCAAAATTTGGAGATAGAAAGGAAGGCGACTAATTAGACACTGGGGTTGAGTGACTGACCAAGATTAAAGATTAAATTCCAAGTGACTGCTTTGTTAGAACAAAATGTAAAAAGGAGACAGAGTCAGAGGTAGAAACTTCCTTAACTATTGTTCCAAATCTAACTTCATCAATAAAGGTGCAAAATCACAGTGGGGGTCTCCTGACCTGATGTGATGGTTTAAGACACAATGTCACTTATGTAGCATTTCTATTAAAATGTTTAACTTGAACTCAATTATGAAGAAACAATCAGACAAATCCAATGGAAGGATGTTTAGCGAAATATTTGTCCTAAATATTTTATTCAGTCTAACTATTCTGGGCTCTTAAAATGTTAATTTCATGAAATATTCAGAACAACAATGAAAAAAGCCTGGGGAAATATTTTAGATCAAGAGACCAATGAAACTACAACTGAAAGAAGGCACAATTCTGATGAGATTTTTGGATCATTAAAAATATAGTAAATTAACACAAGTATGAAGGGCATTATTGAGGGAGGCAAATGTGGAAATTGGAATATGGATTCTGTATAAGATAATGGGACTCAGTGTTAAATTTCCTGAATATAATGAATATATTGTAGTTATGTTTTTTAAGGAAATAAATGCCAAACTATTAAAAGATGAAAAATATTAAGGTCTACAACTAATTCTCAAATAGTTCAGACACACATGCACATACGCACACACACACAGTGAAAGGGCAAAGGAAAGATTTTAAAATGATGGGTATACACGAAGAGTATAGGTGGTTCACTGTACTGTTTTCTATAACTTTTCTAAAGTACTAAAATGTTTCAAAATAAAACAGTGAAGAAAAAAGATAATCAAGAGGGTAACAACTCTGAGAAATTAAAATCACTCTAATTATATTGCCATTTATAAATCAATTACGATGTAGAAACATCACAAGTAACTACAGCACACATCCACCCACCCAGAAGCACAATCTATCACATTGCATTTTATGAAAAGTAACACCTAAAAAGCACCAGATCTTTGGTTTTTAACTGTCAACCCAACTCACAAAAGTTATTGTGTAACAAAGTAATGATTTCAAAATTACTTTTTTAATATAGATATGAGCTGGACAAGAAAACAAAACCAAAAATAAGTTCCTTGGCATATCTTTACCAAGCAGGCACAATTTCTGTTCACTCATTTGAGCACAGAGGGATAATGAGCGTGTGCTTTCAGAATTCATATTTTTGAAAAATAATATTTAAAACATATCCGTGCAGAGAATCTTGGCTTGAGTGCACAGGCTTTTATGTTATTTTATTCTTAATATATTTGTATGTTATAAATTTATATTTTAAAATGAAAAACTATTAATATTGTCAATACATTTACATTAATAGATAAATTATTCAAATAAACATGCTATACCATTATGTGTATCATCTATCTTAAATTAATATTGTTCTCTCTTTTATTATAGATTAAAGAAATAGGGTATTAGAACATTCTGATTGCTCATATTTTAGATACTCCAAAATTAGGTCCCAAATGTCACTCTATTTGAAGTTCTTTGTTTTCAATAATTATGTGCATTTAAAAATCAATCTAAATTAAACGTTAGAATTTAAAAAATCCTGTAATATGATGCCCAGTGTGCTTATATGTGATATATTCATTAGTTTGCTTAAAAGTAAAAAATGACACTGGTAACGCATGAAAAGATTACTTGTATTTTTTTTTTCTTAAACTAGGAATATAATAGGTTTGAAGTCCTTAAGGAAATCTTAAGCCTATAAGGAAATAAGAGAGATTTCTGTGGAAACAAGCTTTTGCTTCAGGAAAAGGAATAAATTGGAGTCTTTTGTGTAGAAAGATATATTTGGATTTTAGCAACACACAGCTGTCAGGTTACCTAACTAGCTGATTTTATGAAGTGTACAATTTTGACTATCAATTATTTTACACTTTGTATTTCTCTCAGACATTTTGTATTTCTATCTTTTTATCATTATTTTAGTTAACAATGAACAATTCTATAGCACTTTTATTAAAGAAAAAAAATTAGCATCCATTGTGTAAAGTTAACCTTTTCTCCTCACATTTTCCCTTCAACCTACCATTGTCATTGATGTTCAATTGTTTCAAGAAATAATAGAACTCTCCCTTCATTTAAAATGGGTAAATTTTTTATAAGCTTCAGAATGTTGGATGTTGCAGCTGTTTAAATAAGAGCAGGAAAAAAATGTGACCTCATAGCTACTTGATTAGCTTGTTTGTTAATAAACAAATTAACAAATTAATTAATAACAAAATAATAAATTAACCAGAATATACCAAGTTCCCACTTATTTTGGATTAAGCTATCTATGGAAATGACTACATTGGCTTTTGAAGTAATAATGCAGAAAGCCTCATTTATGAGTCATTGAATTTAATTATGTCTTTCATGGCACTGGTATTCTTTTGTATTGACCAATGACTGAAATGATTAGCACATATCCGAAATCTGTTGAAAAGGTTTTAGGGAATGTATAACAAGCATGACAGAATATGACATGAAATCATAGTCACTAATCAAAACATCTAAAACATCAAATCAGTGTTGTGTCTGTTTCCAAGGATTATTTATGTTCCAAAATATTCCAGCACATATTAAATTTCAGATCTATTTTTAAGCTCTAAAAACCTTTCCCATCAACTGATCTGCATTCCCAAAAGCATCTACATTTTTTAACTGTGGCTAACACAGTAATGAGAGTAAAATCAATTAGAAATACTATTAAGGATAAAATTAAAATATAAAATATGGAAATAAGAAGTGCAGGGGATCAGATGATTCGATGTCAAATAAATGTTTGATTCAAAAGTGGGTGCTGGAGATCACCGTGTTAAGTAAAATAAGCCAGGAACAGAAAGACAAACATTACATGTTCTCACTTATTTGTAGGATCTCAAAATTAAAACAATTGAACTAATGGCCATAAAGAGTAAGGTGATTGCCAAGGCTGGGAAGTGTAGTGGGGGTGGTGGGGGAGGTGGGAATGCTTAGTAGGTACAAATAAATAGAAAGAAAGAATAAAACTGATTATTTGATAGTGCAATAGGGTGATTATAGTCAATAATAACTTAATTGTATATTTTAAAATAATGTAATTGGATTGTTTGTAACTCAAAGGATAAATATTTGAGGGATGGATACCTCATTCTCTGTGATGTGTTTATTTCACATTGCATACCTGTATCAAAACATCTCATGTACCCCAAAATATATACACCTAGTACAAAAGTGGATGAGAAGATGACTGACTAGAAGCAGCTAATGCATTCCACTCTCACAGAGAGGATAAAGAATGGTAAGTAAACACTAGCTCTTTGACTAGATTGCCTAGTTGGCTATATTGGGAGTCATCAAGGAAGAAACATGACCCACAGAAAACAGAGAAGGGCAAACAGGACAGCCACCCACTCAGGACTGGCACAGAGCCGGGGGAGCTCCCCAACATGAGGAAATGGTGACTGTGTAAGAGTCCCTGGGGACCCACATTTCTGCCATGGACCTTTGCAACCCTTGGCTTAGGAGATCCCGCATGACTCCCCACACCAGGACTTCCAGACTCACACGAAGAGCTATGTGGAAACTGGGCAGAGCTGCCACTCAGAAACAGGTGGATTCCCAGGGGCCTTAGACTCCTGAACACCCCAGCACAAGCGGCTGCAGCTCCAACAACAGAGGAGGCCATGCTCCCATAATAAGGTCTAAATCCATGGGACTGAGGAGGAGACAGACTTTAAGCCTTGCCTCCATTACACCTTTCCAGACGAGGTTCACCAGCCAGTGACAGAAGTGCAGCTACCCTAGCCCTGCCTGAGCTCTCTGGCAGGTAGCAGCCCTGCATTTCCAAGGGATGAATTTCCTAGAGGTAGCCAGCAGGCTCACAGTTCTCGTTCCTGTTGCCCTCAGGCTCAAGAGGGAGCGAAGTGATTAAAGACTAACACAGGCCCCCAGCACAGCACAAGTGCCTTATGGAAAAGGAGCCAGACTGTTTTCCAAGAAGGTTCCTGCTCCTGCAACTCCTCCCTGGCTACAGTCTATCGACCTGGGATCCCAGCCACCCCACCCTCACCTGATCACTTGGGCCGGAAGAAGCTCTGTACTTCCTGAGATGGAGCTCCCAGAGGTAGGAGGGAGGACCACCATTTTTGCTGCTCCACAGCCTCAGCCCCTGCTGCCCTCAGACTCAGGAGGGAGCAAAGATATTAAGAACGAACATGGGCCCCAAGCACAGTGCAGCTGCCTTATGGAAGAGCAGCCAGAATGTTTTCCACATGAATCCCTGCCCCTGTTACTCCTCACTGGGCAGAGTCTCTTGACTTGGGCCAACACAACCACCCTTCCCCCCCCATACACTTTTGCCAGTGGCAGCTCTGCGATTTTCTGGGAAGGAAATCCCAGAGACAATCCACAGCCCCTCTTCCATGGCAACTGTGGTGGTACAGCCCTTACTGCTTTTGAGCTCGGGAAGGAATACAGGGCCTGGTTGCATTACTGGCACCTCCAACGTGCTGCAGCCACCATATGGAGATGAGCCGAGTCTCTCTTCTCTGTGAGCTCCAAACCCCTACTCTTCACCAGGCAAGGCCTCCAGCTCAGACTACAGAGCAGCTGCCCTACTCCTCACTGAGTATTTCCAGCAGTGTTTCTTGGGGGAGGAGCTTCCAGAGGCAACTGACAGCCACTGCTGCTGCCAGTGCGGCAGTTCTGCCCTTACTGCCCTTGGAATGAGGAAGGAACAAAGGGTCTGAGGCCTTTATTTGTGCCTCCAGCATGCCATGGTTGCCATATGGAAAGAAGCCCAATCTCTCTCCCTGTAGGCACCAAACCCCTGCCCTTCACAAAGCAGGGCCCCCAGCTTGAGTCCAAAGTACAACTGCTCCAGCCCCTGGCTGAACATTCCCACTGGTAGTGGCTCTGTGTTTCTCTTGGATGGAGCTCCCAGAGGCAACTAAAAGCCCTTCTGCCACTGCCAGTGCTGTAATACTGCCCTTACCCCATGGACTGTCATAGGAACAAAGATCCTGGGTTCTTTACTTACACCTCCAGCATGCTGCATCTGCCCTGAAGAGAAGAGGCCATTTTGTTTTCCCCAAGAGCCTACTGCCTACCGTGCTTATCACCAGGCAGGGCCCCCTGGCTTGGGCCCATATTACAGCTGCCTCCAGTTAGACTTATTGCTGCAGTTGGTAGTGGCTCTATGTTTCTCTGAGGTGGAGTCCCAAGAGACAAATCAAAGTCCTACCATTGCTATTGCCAAGGTCCTTTACCTTGCTGTCCCAAGCCTGGGCAGGGAACATAAGGCCTGACCTCACCCCAGGACTGAAGTATGCAGCTGGGGAATGCCAACCTGAGATCTGCAGCCAGCAAGAAATAAGCCTACACTCTCACAGCACTGAAAGGGAGCACAGCTACGAATGCTAGGAAATATAGAGGAGCCACATGGCTGAGCAAGAGCCTACTAAATGGCCATTACACTTAGGCACCATCTACTAGATCACAGCCCAAACTTCAACAATAAATATACTTTGCTAGGCTGAGGTGGGCGGATCACGAGGTCAAGAGTCTGAGACCAGCCTGGCCAATATGGTGAAACACCATTTCTACTAAAAATACAAAAATTACCTGGGCATGGTGGTGTGCACCTATAGTCCCAGCTACTCAGGAGGCTGAGGCAGGAGAATCCCTCAAACCCAGATGGCAAAGGTTTCAGTGAGCCAAGATTGTGCCATTGCACTCCAGCCTGGGCAACAGAGCAAGACTCCATCTCAAAAAAAAAAAAAAAAAAAAAAAAGAATTTCAAAATATAATTGGAAGTATAAAAACAGAATAGACCAAGCTGAGGAAAGAGCCTCAGACCTTGAAGACATTCTTCAAACTAACTCAGTCAGACAAAAATGAAGAAAAAAGAATAAAAAAAACCACTAAGAAACATGGATTATGTAAAGAGACCAAATCTATGACTTACTGATGATGTTCTTAAAACAAAAGGAGAAAAAACAAGCAACATGGGAAACATATTTACAAATATTATTCATTAAAATATCCCCAACCTTGCTAGAGAGGGCAACATTCAAATTCAGGAAGTCTGGAGAACCCATGCAAGCTACTATACAGGACAACCATCCCTAAGAAATATAGATATCAGATTCTCCAAGGTTAACATGAAAGAAAAAATATTAAAAAGAGCTAGAGAGAAGATGCAGGTCACATACAAAGGGAACCCCATCAAGTTAATGAAGGAATGTTCAGCAGAAACCTTACAAGTCAGAAGAGATTGGGGGCCTATATTCAGCCTAATCCCACCAAGAATTTCATATCCAGCCAAACTAACTTTTATAAGCAAAGGAGAAATAAGATCCTTTCCAGAAAAGCAAATGTGAAGGGAATTTGTTGCCAACAGACATATCTTACAATAGGTATTAATATTAAGGGAGTACTAAACAAGGAAATGAATAATTGTTGCTAGCCATCTCAAAAACACACTTAAGTACATAAACCATAGACACTATAAAGCAACTACACAATCAAGTCTGCATAACAACCATGTTACAAAATGATTATGGAATCAAATATACATATATCAATATTAACCTTAAGCATAAATGGGCTAAACACCCCATGTAAATGTCACAGAGTGGCAAGTTGAATGAAAAAAGTAAGACCCAACTTTATGCTGTCTCTAAGAGACCAACCTCACATACAACGACACCTCTAGGCTCAAAGTAAAGGGATTAAAAAAAAAAGCTACCAAGCAAACATAAAAATATAGAGCAGCGATTGCTATTCTAATTCCTCACAAAAGAGGATTTAAACCAGAAGTGATGGGGAAAAAAAACCTTGTATAATGGTAAAGATTTCAATTCAGCAAGAGGGCTTAACTTTCCTAACTATATGTGCATACAACACAGGAGCAGCCAGATTTATAAAACAAGTTATTAGAGACTTAAAAATAGATTTCAATAACCATACAATAATAGTGGTAGAATTCAACACGTTACTAGAATTGAAGCATTAGAGATAGTGTTAGAGAGATCATTGAGACAGAAAACTAACCAAGATACTCAGGACCTCAACTCAACATTCAACCAAATGGACCTAACAGATATCTATAGAACTCTTCAGCCAAAAACAAAAGAATATACATTCTTCTCATTTGTATATTGCAGATGCTCTAAATTGACCACACAATTAGCCATAAAACAATCTTCAGGAAATTGAGAAAAAAATACGAAATAATACCAACCACACTGTCACACCACTGAGCAATAAAAATTGAAACCAATACCAAGAAGATCACTCAAAATCATAAAATTACAAGGAAATTAAACAAACACTCCTGAATGACTTCTGAGTAAACAGTTTGTAGCACTAAAACCCACATCAAAAAGTTAGAAAAATCTCAAATCAACAATCTAACATCAAACCTTGAAGATCTAGAAAATCAAAAGCAAACCAACCACAAAGCTAAGATTAGATAAGAAGTAAAGAAAATCAGAGCTGAACTGAATGAAATTGACATGCAAAAAGCCATAGGAAAGACTAGTGATGCCATGAATTTTTTCTTTAAAAAATAAGGAAGATAGATATATTGGTAGCTAGACTCATTTAAAAAGAGAGAGAAAATATCCAAATAAATGCAATCAGAAATGAGAAAAGGGATATTACCACTGAACCCACAGAAATACAACAATCAGAAACTGTTATGAACACCTCTATACACACAAACTGCAAAACCTGGAAGAAATGGATAAATTCCTGGAAAGGTGCAACCTCCCAAGACTGAACCAGGACAAAATTGAAACCTTGAACAGACCAATAACAACTTCTGAAATTGAATCAGTAAGAAAATCTACTAACCAGAAAATGACCAGGCCCAGGTTTTCAGATTCACAGCTGAATCCTATCAGGCATATAAAAAGAGTTGATACCATTTCTACTGAAAGTATTCCACAAAAATTGAAGAGGTAAGACTCCTCCTTAACTCATTCTGTAAGGCCAACATCATTTCGAAACCCAGATCTGGCAAAGATACAACAATAAAAGGAAACTTCGGGCCGATATAAATGATGATCATAAGATACAAAAATCCTCAACAAAGTCCTAACAAACTGAATCCAGCAGCACATCAAAAAAGTAATTCACCACAATCCAGTAGGGTTTATCCCTGAGATGCAAGGTTGCTTCAATATACAGAAATCAATAAATATGATTAATCACATAAACAGAACTAAAGACAAAAACCTTATGCTCATTTTAATAGAGACAGGAAAGCTTTTGATAAAATTTAGCATGCCTTTCTGTTATAAACCCTCAACAAACTAGGAATTGAAGAAACATACCTCACAATAATAAGAGCCATCTATGACAAACCCACAGTTAACATCATTCTGAATGAGTAAATGTTGGAAGTATTCTAATTCAGAACTGGAACAAGGCAAGGATGCCCACTCTTACCACTCCTATTCAATATGGTCCTGAAAGTCTTAACCAGAGCAATCAGGCAAGAGAAAGAAATGAAAACCTCTGAATAAGAAGAGAGGCACTCAAACTACGTCTGTTTGCAGAGATATCATTTTATACCTTGAAAATCTGTTAGTCTCTGTCCCAAAGCTCCTGGATCTGATAAACAACTTCAGCAAAGTTTTGGGATGCAAAATCAATGTACAAAGATCAGTAACATTTCTATACAGCAATTATGATCAAGATAAGTTCCAAATCAACAACGTAGTTCCATTCACAATAACGACACAAAAATAAAATACCTAGGAATACAGTTAACCCAAGATGTGAAAGATCTCTACAATGGGAATTACAAATCATTGCTGAAAGAAATAACAGTTCACATAAACAAAAAACATTACATGCTCATGGATAGGAAGTATCAATATAGTAAAACTGACCATACTGTCCAAACAAATTTTCAATATTATTCCTATCAAACTACCAATGATAGTTTTCACAGAATTACAAAAAACTATTCTAAAATCCATATGGAACCAGAAAAGAGCCCAAATAGCCAAAGCAATACTGAGCAAAAATAACAAAGCTGGAGGCATTGCATTACCTGACTTCAAACTATACTGCATGGCCACAGTAATCAAAACAGCTTGGTGCTGGTACAAAAACAGACACACAAATTGTTGGAACATAATAGAGAGCCCAGAAATAAAGTCACACACCTACAATCATCTGATTTTAAACAAGTGGACAAAAGAAAGCAATGGCAAAGTACTCCCCATTCAATAACTGGTGCTGGGACAACTGGCTAGCCATTATACAGAAGATAGAAACTGGACCCCTTCCTTATACCATGTACAAATATCAACTCAAGATGGATTAAAGGCTTAAATATAAAACCAAAACTATAAAAATCCTTGGAGAAAACGAAGGAAATATTACTCTGGACATAGGCCCTGGCAAAGATTTTATAATAAGGATGCTGAAAGCAATTGCAACAAAAACAAAAATTGACAAATGTGATTAAACTATGGAGCTTCTCTACAGAAATAAAAGAAAAAACTATCAACAGAGTAAATAAAAAATTTACAGAATGGGAGAATATACTTGCAAACTGTGCATCTGATAGAGGTCTAACATCCAGAATCTATAAGGAATTTAAACAAATTAACAAGCAAAAAAAAAAACTAATTAAAAAGTGGTCAAAGGACAGTATGGCCATTCTCACAATATTGATTATTCCTACCTATAAGCATGGAATCTTTTTCCATTTGTTTGTGTTTTCTCTGGTTTCCTCTATTCCTATTTGAATACGAAATTTATTCCTCTTGCCTGGACAAAACTTCCAATACTAAGGTGAGTAGGAGTGGTGAGATAGGGAATCCTTGTCTTGTTCTGGTTTTCAAAGGGAATGTTTCCAGCTTTTGCCCCTTCAGTATATTGGCTGTGGGTTTGTCATACATGGCTTTTATTATTTTGAGGTATGTTCCTTCAATACTGAGTTTATTGAGAGTTTTTAATACAAAGAAATATTTAATTTTATTGAAAGACTTTTCTGTATTTATTGAGATAATGGTGTTGTTTTTTTCTTTAGTTCTATTTATGTGATGAATTACATTTATTGATGTGCCTATGGTGAACCAACCTTGAATTTAGGTGATAAAGCCATCTTGATTGTGGTGGATAAGCCTTTTGATGTGCTGCTGGATTTGGTTTGCCAGGATTTCATTGATGATTTTTGCATCAATGATCATCAGAAATTTTTACCTGAAGTTTTCTTTTCTTGCTGTTTATCTGCCAGGTTTTGGCATCAGGATAATCCTGGTCGCATAAAATGAGTTAGAGAGGAGTCCCTTCTTTTGAAATTGTTTGGAACAGGTTCAATAGAAATGGTACTTTTTTACCACTGATAGAATTCAGCTGTAAACCTGTCTGCTATTTCCATTAAACTACTCATTGCTATTCTTCACAGAATTAGGACAAACAATTTTAAAACTCATATGGATCCAAAAAGCCTGTATAACCAAGAGAATCCTAAGCTAAAGAAACAAAGCTTGAGGCATCACACTACCCAGCTTCAAACTGTACTACAAACTAGGCTACAGTAACCACAACAGCATGGTACTGGTACAGAAACAGACACATAGACCAATGGAACAAAATAAAGAACTCAGAAATAAGACCACACACCTACAAATGAAGCAGTGTCATTGTTTGGGGTAAATAGCCAAGGTTCATTGTCTCACACCAAGGAAATCGAGTACACTGACACACAAAATGTGAGTTTAGCAGTGGAGGTTTCATAGGCAAAAGAAAGAGAAAGGAGAATAGCTCTCTTTCCTGTGAGAAAGAGGGGTGCCCAAATGGGACTTCCGGCCCACAGTGGAGTGCACAGGCTTTTATAGACAGGCTTGAGGAAGTAGTGTCTGATTTACATAGAGCCCACAGATTGGTTGCTCGAGGTGTGACTTTTACATAGTGCATGAGGAAGCTGGCAACCCAACCCTAATCTTTTTATTATGCAAATGGGTCTTTACTTGGCCAGCACCATGTTGTCTGCTCCCTACTGCACACGTGGTTTGCAAGAAGAGAATATGAAGCCACCATGGTAGACATTCCTAGTCCCCATGTAGCCCCTTTCGTATTGGCATAGCTGACAGCATTCATCCATGCAAGCTTATAGCTCTCCTTTGTATGACTGCAGCTGGATTTTACAGGCTACTCTTTGTTAGAAAAGAAAATAATTTGGGGGCTGCTTTATTTTTTTTTTTTTTGAGACGGGGTCTCACTCTATCGCCCAGGCTAGAGTGCAGTGGTGTGATCTCAGCTCACTGCAAACTCTGCCTCCTGGGTTCACGCCATTCTCCTGCCTCAGCCTACCCAGAAGCTGAGTGGGGCTGCTTTTTATCAAAAGGAAAACCTTGCTGAGGACTTCCGTACCTTCACTAACTGCCTACATAATTTCTTTTTAGCTCATATATAAATCCTCCCTCAGGAGTGGTAACCTTAACTGCTGTTAGGGGGTGTTAGATGATGACCCTTTCTGGCTACTTCCACTAAAAAAGGGCATCATATAGGGAATAGAAGCTAGGGCTCCCCCTGGGGTTGATCTAAGGGTCCTCAGAAGAAAGGCATGTCCATGCCTGATTCTATCTGCAGCATCATTTGGAGATTTATTGTTTCTAGGCAAGGAGATAAATTTTACTTTGAATGCTATGAGTATTAAGATTACCACTAGTAGTGGGGGTACTATAGGCTACAACCATGACAGTAGAGTTTGATACCTATCGGCCATTCTGATGGGTTATAATACCAGTTTGCCTCCACCAGATGTAGTCGTATTTTACCAGAAACATTGATATGAAAGCAATGTTTTTCTTTGAGAAAAACACATATTTTCCCCTTGACTTGCCATTAGGTGGTAATTTTAGGTCTAGGTCATCTTTAATAACTTGTTATATGTTTGGGAGAAATACGTTATTGGGTGGCTAGAGTAACTTTAGTGTTAACCGTGGCTAAATCTTTCCTGCAGTTATGAGTTCTTTCACAACTTCCACAGACCATCTACAACATGCTTTAACTTTCTGACTTGTCATAAACCTTCCTCTTTTCAATCAATCAGTTATTCTCTTTAGGACCCAAATTTACTATATGAGATCCTTTCTTATATAAAATCTCTTCTTTTTAACTTTCTTTGCATTGGTAGGGTGTAACATATTATGAAACCAAATAAAAATTCCTAGCAGACTCAGTGATTATAAAAGTTTCATGCTTACTTCCTGTTGGTAATTTTTATTCCTGCTATAAAAAAATAATTAAGCAAAATACTACAGCAATGGAAACTTTCTGTCTGGTATTCCAGTTAGAAGGCGCTACCATGTATAGCACTAATGCAAATAGTAGAGTGAGTATAACAATTCCCACAAGTGTGTTGTAGCAGATAATTTCCACCAAAAATTTTACTCTCTAGGACATAACATTTGCCTTTAGGGGTCTATGAAGTTACAAATGCAACTCCATGAATAATTAAATCTATGAAGTTACAAATGCAATCCCATGAATAATTAAAATCTCCCTGCAGGTATGCCTCAAAAAGACGTTCTAATATCTGATGGCAAATCTCAATAGGAAAAATAGAAATGACTGAAAGTATCTGGTAAGGTAAAAGTAGGACTGAGTAAGATGACTAACCATTACTCATTTAATTATCTTTTATGATTTTCAGCTTAAGGTCTATTTCTTCACACTGATATTTAACATGTTCCTCTGGGCTGTTAGGGATTGCTCTCTCAGCTTTCCAGGTTTTGACTCAAATGTGATGTATCCAGGAATTGATACCTGTAATTTTTACCACTGAGGGGGTCGAAAGAAGGCCAGTTCAGGACTCTTCCTAGCTTGGGCTCAGGGAGGGAGAGAAGGGAGAGCTTTTACCAATACTAAATCTGGGTTAAATAAAGGTGGTTCTATTTCTTGGGGTTGTGCTTCAGCTAGTTTGGTTAATTCCTGTTGAATGTGAGCCAGAGAGGGAACATGCTTTACCAATTCAGATGTCCTCTGGTCTCATAAGAAATCACTGGTAAGGAAAGGCCACCCCAACAGCATCTTGAAAGGGCTCATACCTAACTTTAAAGGAGTGTATTTTTACTTGAAATAAAGCCATGGGAAGAAGAGTGACCAAGAAAGATAAGTATTTTGGGACAGCTTTCTGACATGTCTTATTTGTCTTCTCTACTTTTCCTGATGACTAGAATCTCTAAGTGCAGTGGATACTGTATGCCTAGTGCATTTGACACCACCTTGTGACAACTGCCTTAAATGAGGGGCTGTTGTAATTTTGGAGGTACTTAGGTAGACCAAAATGGGGAAATTTTTCATCAATTAACACTTTTATTACTGTAGAGATTCTTTCTATATGGCAAGGAAATGCTTCTACCCAGTTAGTGAAAGTGTCTACCCTTATCAGCAGGTATTGGATACACTTCTTCTTTGGTATGTGGGTGAAGTTGATCTGCCAGTCCTCCCAAAGATAGCTTCTTATCTTTTGGGTTTGAGAAGTAAGGAGCTATCTGTTCAGGGGATTATTTTTAAGACAGACTTCACAGGCATTAACAACCTGTTTGACTGTTCTTAATAACATAATGAAACCCCATCTCTACTAAAAATACTAAAAATTAGCTGGGTGTGGTGGCACGTGCCTGTAATCCTAGCTACTCAAGAGGCTGAGGAAGGAGAATCACTTGAACGTGGGAGGTGGAGGTTGCAGTGAGCCGAGATCACACTATTGCACTCCAGCCTGGGCAACAAGAGTGAAACTCTGTCTCAAAAAAAAAAAAAAAAAAAAAACGTTAAGAAGTGGGTAAAGGACATTAATGGACACTTCTCAAAAGAAGACACTCGTGCAGCCAACAAACAAATGAAAAAAAAAAAAAAACTCAACAAAACTGACAGAGAAATGCAAATCAAAACCACAATGAGATACCATCTCACACCAGGCGGAATGGCAATTATTAAAGAGTCAAGAAACAACAGATGCTGGCAAGGTTGTGGAGAAAAAGCAGCACTTTTACACTGTTAGTGGGAGTGTAAATTAGTTCAACCATTGTGGAAGACAGTGTGGCAATTCCTCAAAGTTCTAGGAGCAGAAATACCATTTGACCTAGCAATCCCATTACTGGGTATATACCCAAAGGAATATAAATAATTCCCTTATAAAGATATTTGCATGAATATGTTCATGGCAGCACTATTCACAACAGAAAAGACATGGAATCAACCGAGATGCTCATCAATGACAGACTGGATAAAGAAGATGTGGTACATATACACCATGGCGTACTATGCAGCCATAAAAAGGAATGAGATCATGTCCTTTACAGGGACATATATGGAGCTAGAAGCTGTTTTCCTCAGCAAATGAACACAGGAGCATAAAACCAAACAACACATGTTCTCACTTATAAATGGGAGCTGAATTATGAGAACACTTGGACATATGGGTGGGGAACAACACCCACTGGGGCCTGTCATTGGGGCAGGGGATGGGAGAGCATCAGGAAGAATAGCTAATGGATCCTGGGTTTAATACCTAGGTGATGGGTTGATCTGTGCAGCAAATCACCATGGTACACATTTACCCATGTAACAAACCTGCACGTCCTGCACAGGTACCCTGGAAATTAAAATAAGTTTGATAAAAAAATAAAATATTAAAAGAAGGCAAAGGACTTGAACAGACACACTTCAAAAGAAGATGTATATGCAGACCAGAAGGATATGAAAAACCACTCAACATCACTAATCATTAGAGAAATACAAATCAAAACTATAATTAGATAACATCTCACATCAGTAAAAATAGCTATTATTAAAAAGTAGAAAAATAACAGATGCTGGCAAGGCCATGGAGAAAGGGGAACACTTGCACACCACTGGTGGGAAAGAAAATTAGTTCTGCCACTGTGGAAAGCAGTTTGGAAATTTTTCAAAGAACTTAAAACAGAATAACCATTTGACCCAGCAATCCCATTGTTGGGTATATATTCAAGGAAAAAAACATATTCCACCATAAAGACACAGGCATGGGTATGTTCATTGCAGCACTATTCACAATAGCAAAAACATGTAACCAACCTGGATGTCCATCAATAATATACTGGATAAAGGAAATGTGGTACGTATACATCATAGAATACTACACAGCCATAAAAAAAACAAGATCCATGTCATGACATGGATGGTGCGAGAAGCCCTTATCCTAAGTGAATTAACACAGAAACCAAAAAAAAAAGAAAATAAATAAGGCATGTTCTCACTTATAAGTGGGAGCTAAACATTGAGTACACATGGACACAGAGAAGGGAATAGTAGATACTGAGGCCTACTTGAGGTAGAGTGTAGGAGGAGGGTGAGGATCCAAAAACTGCTTACGGTACTAGGGTACTATGCTTATTACCTAGGTGACAAAACAATATGTACAGCAAACTCACATATGTGCAATTTATCCATAGATCAAACCTGCACATGTACTTGTGAAACAAAAATAAATGAAGTGGGTGAGGATTCAAAATTTAATGATAAAGAGGTGAAGCTGGGAGGAGGAAAAGCCAATAAGTAAAAATATATTAAAACAAAATAACACCAGAAAAAATTAATGAAAAAGGTGATTAAGGCAGAGGCAGAACAAATAATGACTATAAGTAAAAGAAAAACCTGTTCCTCATTTAGTCCCAAGTGTGTTTCAAATAAATTGCTATTGTTCCTCCTTCTTATTATAAAATGCAGAAGCAAGGAAATGGCTGTCTTAATGTTTATGTCTTCCATTGCTCTTAAAATAAGAACCAGAACAAGTTACAAGGCCAGCATGACTCTGCATCAACTGAACTTTACCTAGCTTCATCTCTGTAGCCTCAACCTCATCCCAGTTCCCTTGTTTCTGTGCTCTGACAATGACGGTTTAGTTTTATCTCCTAAAGTATACCATATATCCTTTTTGACTTAGGAACTTTGAACATATTACCTCTGCCTGGCATTCTTCTGTTCCTCACTTCACATATTCCAGTTAACTCCAAATTGTTCTTAAACTTCAGCTTAATATTTTTTTCTGAATGTAATATTTTGACCTATAAGTAGTCACATCATTCTGTTAACCATTCTCACAGCAAATTGTAACTTTCGCTCATAATATTCAATTGCAATTTGACACTTAATTGTATGATTCTCAAAGATTCTAAGAATCTAAGCTTCTCTAAGATTGACCATGTATACATATGCTATAACATACATATATACATTTTCTAAGGGATATATATATATTCTAAGATATATATATTATATCTTTCTGTGTGTGTCTATTATCTATCTCTTCCTGTATATTCATCTTTACACAATAGTATGACAATAGTGTACATAGTATGACAATAGTATGCAATAACAGGAACCATTCTGCTTTTTCCTTACCATTATTTTCTTAATATATGGCCCAGTGAGTGTCCAGTTCTCAAATTTGTGTTGAATAAATGTCTTTTCCACCAATACTTGTCAGATTTATTAAAAAAAAGAACAAAAAACTAGCAAGAGATCTACAACTTGAAGCTTATGTTTCGATTTCCTTCCAAAAATGCCATCATTCTCTATTAAATGTGTACATAAATTTTAATTTACTTTTGTTATGATATTGGTATAATAATGCAAACTGATCCTATATAGACAGGGTTTGGCTCTGGGTAACAAGAAACACTTTAGCTATTTTAAGCACAAACAAATTTGGTTCTGGGAATCTGGTGTTTACAAATTGTTGGTAGGATTGGAGCAGCAGGTCTCAGAGTCAAATTTCATATCTGTTAAATTAAATAAGCAGGAGGCCATTAGCCTGAGGCTGGCTCTGTACTTTGAGTTTCCACATAACAGACAGCTACCTAACTTAGTATGTAAACAAACCAAAACTGAACTAGGAGTATATGTTTCATAACAAATGGCTGCATTTCAATCACAAAGAGCCAAGCTTCAGCCAATCACCAGAAGCCAACTGATCAGACCATGCCCAAATAAGGCAGATGCCTCAGTGTAGCCAGTCAGGTGCTTCCTCTACTTTGCTTCCATTTTCAACCTTTAAAGCTTGTTACTCTTGCTGCTGAGTGGAGCTCTCTGAACATTTTCTTGTTTTGAGCACTGCTGGAATCATAAGTCATTGTTCTTGGATCAGATAAACTCTGTTCAATTTAATTTGTCTAAAGTTTTCCTTTTAACAGATCTTATCTCAGAAGAGGCTCAGGTAGAAAACAGCTGTGTTTGCCACAGCCAGGAAGTTACTAATCCATACGCTTGTTCCAAAGTTACACCAACTTAACCAGGCCCTGAAGATCAGATGTCCCCCCACTTCCTTGGCTCACAGGCACTCTGCACCTGCAAAATATGTTAGATCTGCCACCTCTTTTCCCACTGAAATGAGTTCCTCATTCAGATTTCTCACAAGGCTCTGAGAAATGTAGATGCAGCAGAAAGTTTTCCAACCTCTGCTCTACAGGCAAGGCACCTGGGAAGCAGAATGTAGTAGACACTGTGTGATCTGAGTATACCTTGTTTTGATTTGAGTTTGCTTGAACAGCAAAAAAACAATTGCCAATTGTACAACTTTTTTAAAAGATAAAGATAGTTTTACAAACAGGCTAATTATTTTTTTACATATTCCAAGAAGGAATATTTGTGCTATCTTTTAATTAATGCAGACAGATACTTGTATTTTCCACTTTGCCTCTTCAATCACAAACTCACACTTATCATTTTCCTCTGTTATCCCCACACATACACCTAATTTTAGTTATGTGATTAAGAGAAAAGTATGCTGTCCTTAATTACAGAGATTTAAAACCTCTTTTATTTTGTAAATATAAAAACAGAAGTTACTTTCTTTTCTCCTTCTCCCTTATTTTTTCATTGTTTCATTTTTCCTTTCTTTCTCCAGCAAACATTAATTTCTATGAGTGGAGACCTTTGCTAGGGAATGGAAATATAAAAAGGAAAAAGACCTACATCATTATATTTTTCTACAATTTAGTTTAATTTAGAGGAAAGATTTTAAAAGTATGCAAAAATGAGATTGGTGTTACATATAAGGAAAGTGCAAAACAAATATCTGTCAGATTTCAATCAGCAAAACAACATTCGTTCCAACTAATTCAAAAGAGGAGATTTTATATGGGGAATTGGTCACAAACGTAGTAGGAAAGTATAGGAAAGGCAGAAATGGAACTGTGAATAAGCCTAAGATGAGCCACAGCAGGAAACTGCTATTACTCTTCATATTGGAGAGACTGACTAATAGAGCAAGGGGAATTATAGGATCCCATTGGAAGGGCCGCCTGGTGGGAATTGTATTCTTGCACAAGACATGTTCACTGGCAAAAATATTTGTCAGGACAGAGAGAAAGAGGAAGAGTAAACCCTTCTTCCCATCCTCCAAATTTCCTCTAAAGCCCCTACCGACCAAACCCAACTGGTAGACTTTTGAAAAAGAAATATGGAAAACATAACTTCAATATTGAGGCCATGAAATATGCAATTGAACATGAGAAGGACAGGGAGTAGCTCTGAGAAGAAAGATACACATACACAAAATACTACGAGAGCCTCTGACTGGTCTAGGGGTATTTAGGAAAGAGTTGGGGAAAAATGTGTTAGGCAGAGAGAACAGTATATCTAAATGCTTTAGAGTGGAGAAAAGTTTCTCATCTCTCTACTTTTAAATCTCATTTCAGATAAAATACACAGTAAATTGAAAATAATGTGAAACCAGTTAACTTTCTTGTAATGCATACTTGTATCCACTTTCTTAATCATAGTAACACTGAGATTATTTTCTTATCAGACTCTAATCAAAGAAAAGAGGAACAAAGTGAGAGAGAAGAAAAAGCCTGCAAACCTCTTCTCAAGTTTACTTAAGATATATATTAACCTATATGTGCGTATAGAACATACTTTTTAAAGATATTTTTGTGTTAATAAATCTTTACGAATGCATGATAGTCATTTTTAAATAGTCTCTAATGTTGTCTTTATGAAATCTAGTTATTCTCAATTTTTGTTAATACATTTCAACGATTTCCCTCAGGAAATCGAGGCTAATTAAAATGCAATAACCTATTCTATCGATTTCGTTCTTACTACAGTTCGTTTTTACATGCCCTCACAAACATAGGTAGTGAAAAATATGGGGAAGTGGCTTTCATAGTAAATAGCAAATATCATAAGAATAGACAATTTAGAACATCAATCGTTCTCTATTAAAGAAATCACAAATCCCAGCTCCCAGATACAGTGGTAGTTAATTACATGGTTTTAGCACAATTTCTCAAAGTCTTTTCAGCTATCATACATGCATTATGGGACTTTAGGTACATAATATGAAACTATTAATAGGAATAATAAGTATACATTAATATATGGTTAGAAGATGGGACCACTTTTCTCATTTCAACATGAGCTTTTATTGCATATGATTGGTACAAAATTATTTATAAATTACTTTCTCTTTTACTAGCTTTAATGTCAAAGTTTGGGTGACCTACTCAAAACTTGAACAAAGGACTCAGTACAGTCCACAGCACTTGACTGTGTTGGCGAAAATTGTTCTTTTCATGAACAATATTCATGTTTGATGCTCAAAGCTCAAGGCAATCAGCACATCTCTCAAGAACTCTATCAAAGTCACTCAATTGTTCTTTCTCTAAAGAGAAAACTGTAAAAAGTCACTTAGCTTCTCTCCCACCAGTAAAAGGGAGGGTTTATCTAGATGTCACTTTTATCAGCTTTAAACGATATCAGAATATGGGTGAATTGAACATTGTTCCCAACAACACTGAAGAAGTATTTCTTCTTAGGAATTTTATCATGACTGGAAAAAAATGACAATAAACATAAATCCTGCATGCCAAATTGAGCCCACTTACTACAAAAAAAAGAATATATAACCTTTAGATTAGGAGAAAACCATTTAATATTTGTGCCCAGTGATGGTTAGGATATATAAAAACAAACTGGTACTTTAGGTTACAGTATATAAAAACTGGTACTTGTTATTTTAAACTAGAAGAAACTGGTTTCTTCTAGTTTAAAGTAGTTTCTTCTAGTTAAACTTCCTTCTAATTTAAAATTGCAAACAAGCAAACAAAGCAAAAAAAAAAAAAACGTGTAGGGAAATGTAAACACAAGGAAAATATTTATCCTGGAGATGCATCCTAGGAAAATTGAAAAAACTGAAAACAAAATTTATGAATAATAATTGAAGTGAGGGGAGCTATTTTCTTTTTTGTTGTTGTTGTTTTGTTTTGTTTTGTTTTTTTTGAGACAGAGTTTTATTCTTGTTGCCCAGGCTGGGGTGCAATGATACGATCTCAGCTCACTGTAACCTCCACCTCCCGGGTTTAAGCGATTCTCCTGCCTCAGCCTCCCGTGTAGCTGGGATTACAGGCGCCCACCACTACGCCCAGCTAATTTTTCTGTATTTTTAGTAGAGATGGGGTTTCACCATATTGGCCAGGCTGGTCTCGAACTCCTGACCTTAGGTGATCCACCTGCATTGGCATCCCAAAGTGTGAGCCACGACCCCCAGCCGAGGGGAGCTACTTTCATAGTGTTTTGGGTTATGTTGTTGCTTTTACTTCTATATTGAAGTATAAAAACATACATGAAAATGCACAGATCTTAAGTATACAGCTTGATAACTTCTCGCATATATGCATACTCATGTAGCTACCAGTCATTAAGATTAAAAAAAAAATTCCAGCAAGCCAAAGTCCCCCTCATTCACTTTACCAGTCAGTAACCCATCCTCAGAATTAGCCATTGTTCTTATTATCATCACCAAAGATCAGTTTTCTTTGTTCTCTAACTTCTTATAAATGTACAGTTTATATATTAATTATTTCAGTCAATATTACATCTGTAGGTTTCATTCATATTTTGTTTGAATACAGCAGGTTTGTTCTTTTCAATTGTATTAAGTATACTGTTTGCTGAATATCCAATTTATTTATACACTTACACATTTATTGATACATTTACAGTTTATGAAAATGTGTACCTTCAGTTGAGGCATGCAGTTATTTTTAACAGATTATAAAATTTAAAATCTAAATTGCTAAGTTAAATGTACCTCATAACTACAACTGTATGAAAATTATGTGCTCTAATAAAAATAAACCAGAAGATTACATATAAAAATGAAATCAATTAATGTGTTTGTATGATTGGGAAACATATAGTAAGTCATTCAATAATTATGTCCATTTTTAAGATGTAATCAACTTTGTTGAGGTAAAATTTATATATAATAAAATTTATCCATTTACAGTATGTAGATCAAAAGGTGCAGCAAATGTTCAACAATCAAAGTTTAAAACATTTCAATCAACTCAAATTTCTCCATTTCCCTTTCAATAAATCTCATTCTCACTTTTTGATCAATACAAACTCTGATCTGCATCACTATTGTTCAGTTTGCTGATTGTAAAATGTTATATAAATGTCTAATGTATTTCATTCAGTATGTTTTTGAGGCTCATGCATGTTGTTGCATATATTAATGATGGGCTCCTCCATTCTGTTACTGCCTAGTAGTCCATTTCACTGAATCAATAACAATTTATTCATTGTCAGTGTATAAAGTATTCTTTGATATATGGCTTTAGTGTATACATTGTAATTAATCTTTCAGAAGCTTACACTTGTCTAGATTTGGTGATATATTACAAATAATATCTACCATCATATTAAAAGACTTAAAATACTACCTATTCTACCCACTAAATAGCTGTGTGGGGTTTGATGTTTTTCACATAATTCAATCAAAATATATTTCAATAGCTTGAAGACAGAACAGATATGGTTCTCCTGTTAAGCTAGACATTAAAGGGTTTTTCAAAAATGTAAATCAATGCTACTCTTTTCACTATATTTTGTTTGAAAAATTATAGTTATTTTAAAAAACAAATTTTATTTAACATATGGATTAATTTGATTTTTAAATAGATTAATAAATATAACTTTTAATTTACCAGCTTTAATTTTCCATATGGTATCACTACATAAACAGCAGAAAATAATCTGTTTAGGATTTCCATAAGTATTTAAAAGTGCAAAGGAGTCCTGAGACTAAAATATTTGAGAACCTTATATTGATGTACTTTATAGTAATTCTTGAAAACAGATAATGTAAATTCTTTAATGTTTCCCTTTTAAAGATTGTCTTGCTCTCATTATAGGTTGTTTGTTTTTTCTTGTACATTTGTTTAAGTTCCTAGTTGATTCTGGATATCAGACCTTGTCAAATGCGTAGATTACAAAAAATTTATCCCATTCTGTAGGTTGCCTGTTCACTCTGATGCTAGTTTCTTTTGCTGTGCGGAAGCTCTTTAGTTTAATTAGATCCCATTTGTCAATTTTGACTTTTGTTGAAATTGCTTTTGGTGTTTTCTCTGGTATGATCTCTTATTTCATTTGTGATACTGCTAATTTTATCTTATCTCTTACTTTTTTGATCAGCTAGTTAGACCTATATTAACTTATCTTCTTTAAAAAAACAACTTTTTGTTTTACAAATTTTCATTATTTTGAATCCTTGTTTTATTTTGATTTCCACTCATTATATCTTTCTTTTAACTTACTTTGAATTTGATTTGCTCTCTTTTTCAAATTTCTTAAAATAAATGCTGAAGTCATTGTTTTGAGATGTTCTTTTTTTCTTATATGAGCATCTAGCACAACAATTTTCTTCCTACATTGTTTCAGCTGCATCCACAAATCTTGATAGATGGTATTTTCATACTCTTTCAGCAAAAAAAAAAAAAAATTCCAACTTAACTTGTGATTTAGTCCTTGCTATTTAAAATATATATAATTTTTAATTTCCCTTCAGACTTCCTCTTTTTTAAATGTATCATAAATCCCCGCATGTTCAGGGATTCTCCTGTATTTTGTTATTGGGTGATTATGTATATCATGAAATTGATTCATGTTGTTGTCCAGCTTTCTATATTCTTGCTGATTTTCTGTCTGTTAGCTCCACCAGTTGCTTAAAGGAAGTTGTTGGAATCATCAACTACAATTATAGATTTGCCAGTTTCTCCTTTCCTTTCTATTTACTTTCATTTTATGCATTTTGAGACTCTGATGTTCAATGTATAAACATTTAGAATCATTATGTCTTCAGGGTAGATTTTTTTTCATTATAAAACGTTATTTGTTGTCTTCAGCACTTTTCTCTGCTCTGAATTCTACTTTATCAGATGGTAACATAGCCCCTCCTGTGTTTTTTATTAATATTTGCTAGATATGTTTTTTCAACTTACCAAACTAATTGAATTTAAAGTGACTTTGTTGTAAACAGCATATGATTGGGTCATGTGTTTTGTTTTATACTCTGTCAACATCTGTCTTTTGGTTGATGTATTAATGTAATTTATATGGAAAGTAATTATTGATATGTTAGTGCTTTAAGCCTACCTTTTTTATTTTGAACTTTTCTCTGCTTCCTCAGGTTCTCATTTTTGTTTTTATTTTCTTACTTTCATACAAGTTACATGAGCATATTTTGAGGATTCCATCTTGATTTTTTTATTGTGTTTCTGAATGTGTACCTTTGTATACTCTTGTTTTTACAGTCATTGCTCCTGGTATTCTGATATAAATGTGTGATTTATCAGTCCAGTTGTATTAAAATTTTACTACTTTGAGTCAAGTGTAGAAAGTTACTTCCATTTAGCTCTTTTCAACATTTTGCTTTTAAATACAATCACCATATTAGGTGGTATTGCAAGTTTTGTTTCTATTATCAAATATGACTTACAAAAGACGTTTGAAAAGGATTGTCTATTTCATGCTCTTATATTACTGCTCTTTTCATCATTCCTTCTTTCTTTCTGACACTTCAATATTATTTCTTTTGTCATTTCCTTTTTCTTTAAAGAGCTTCCTTTAGCCCATACGTAGATACGCTATTGACAAGGGTGTCTTTATTTCTCATGCATTCTTTAAGGATAGCTTCATCGAACAGAATTTGTAATTGATAATTCTTTTCTTTCAGTATTAAAAAAGATATTGACATTTTCTTTTGCTCTCCATAGTTTCTGATAAGAAATTCACTGTCTTTTGAATTATTTTCTTGCTAATGGCAATATGACATTTCTTTCTGGATGTTTTGAAGATTTTTTTCTTTGTCTTTAGTATTCAGCAGTATAATAATATGTCTTGTCCTGAATTTCTTTGGGTTTATCTGCTGGTGGTTTTCTTAATTAGATGTATTCGTATCTTGTATCTTTCATTAAATTTGGAAAGGTTTTAGCCATTATTTTTTATATTATTAATTTCAACACCATCTTCTTTCTCCTCTCCTTGTAATACACCTATAATATGAATGTTGATCTTTTGGGTTTTTTTCCTACAGGTCCCTAAAATGCGATTAATTTTTAAAATAAATTTTATTGTATACATTTTAGGTATACAACATAATGTTATAAGACACATAGTATGTGTGTGTGTGTATATATATAAAATAATATGAATACTATGGTAAAACAAATTAACATATCCATCATCTCACATAGTTATCAATTTTCCCCCCGTGGCAAGATAAGCTATAATCTACTCATTTAGCAAAATTCCTGAATATAATATACTAATTTATAATCTTAATATTATACATTAGATGAATCTATCTAAACAAAGGTATTTATTTTCCTAAGTCCAAGTTACTCCCTCTGAAATAAGGAGATAATAATTATGTCTATTTTTAAAGTTTATTTTATAATCAAAATAATATAACCCAATTTAAAATACAATGTCTGGCACAAAGTAAGTATTAAATGCACATTAGTTGATTACTATTACTGTTACTATTTACTTCCATACATCACGCTGTTTTAAGTTTCCTGAGTGTGGTGATATGTGCAGTGAGGACTTTAAACATTTCAAATTCTCAAAAAGGTGGGCAACAGTAATGACCTTACCATTTCTAAAGGTTGTTATCACTGGGAAATGAAGGCAATATTGCCGTTGGTGTTTTTATGTCAACAAATAAACTTTATTCTTCTGAGGGTGACCAGGACATATAATCCAGTGTCTCAGGTTGGTGTAGGTTTTCAGTGACTTTTTAGAAAAGCAAAGGTCTACCTTTTATTAGGAAAATTGATCTTGGATCTTAAAGGTCAACAAAGTAAAGACTTGACTTTAGTTGCTAAGAATCCTGCAAAATAAGCTGCATGTAAGATACTGTATCTACTTTATGAGTTAACCCCATCTAGATTTGAACCTCTGATTTCTGAGAGCCTGTGCACTTTAAGTCCAAACACTTCCTTTCAACTATGAAGAACGACATTTTAAAATTACAAAACACACTTTAAGGAATGGCTTTCTTAAATTAACTACATTCAACAAGAGAGGGTAAAAGTGACTGTGCTGCAAGGCAGGTGGTAGTGTAGAATTTACAGGTGCAGGCCCATGGTGCCATTCCCTTCAGCTAGAGAAGACATGAATGCGCCTGACATTCTGGCATCTAGCCAAGATCAAGAGCACTTTGCTGTCACATTCAACTTGTTCAGTTCATGCACATTTCTCTAATGCTTTACAAAAATAAAAATTTAATACAGAGAATTCAGTGAAAGATGGCAAAATAAATTCACATTTTCTTAGCTTTCCTGCCTAAAACCTACTGAAGTGAATAAAAATAGAGACAAAATCTACCTCTATGCTTAAGAACTGCCATAACCTCATAGAGTCAACTCAGAAGTGTATCAGTCAGCTACAAAAAATTTGGACCAAATTGAAAGACTCTGGATATTGGTAGACATATCTTCATTTGGAAAGAATGAATGGTATAGTAGTTAAGAAAGGGAGTTATAAAGCGGTCTACTAAGAACTCCTAGCTGGAGAGATGAGACTGTGGATTGAACCAGTTACAGGAGAAAAAAGGAAAACATCTTGTACAATTAATTCTATGACAATAAAATAGCAAGTTGAAGGAAGATATATTTAATATATAAACTTCCTAGACAAGTAATATTATTTTTTCAGTGGATTTTCTCCCCTCAAGGAAAACCCTGGTATAAAAGAAACTGTACACTGTAACTTCTGACCAAAATAACATCAGCAAAGAGAAATGTTTACATATCTGTAGAGATCTGAACTTTCATTTGGGTGTTCAACTCTCTGCCAGTCACAGGAGTGAGAAAAGTGGTAGAAGCCCATTTGGTTACAGTATTCAATAAATGTAAAGAGAAATTGCTTGATGATAAAATTCACTAACAGTCTCAGCTTCTTTTCTGTACTCCTCAATCAAATAAATGGCTAAACAATGTATACAACCCACCAATTATCATACTTAAAATTTAATTCCGTTAAGACTAAAGGACACTTCTGAGAGAGGGAGACAAAGAAGAGGAATTGGGAAACAGAAATAATAGTTTTTTAAAAAACAGCTCACATTACTAACATCATCTTATACAGAGAGTGAGTTCTGTTTGGAATTCTATCACTTAAAAAAAAAAAAAAAAGGCCGTGCATGGTGGCTCATGCCTGTAATCCCAGCACTTTGGGAAGCTAAGGCAGGTGGATCACGAGGTCAGGAGATCGAGACCATCCTGGCTAACACAGTGAAACCCCATCTCTGCTGAAAATACAAAAAATTAGGCGGGCGTGGTGGCGGGCGCCTGTAGTCCCAGCTACTCGGGAGGCTGAGGTAGGAGAATCTTTTGAACCCATCAGTCAGAGGTTGCAGTGAGCCGAGATTGCGCCACTGCACTCAAGCCTGGACCACAGAGTGAGACTCGGTCTCAAGAAAAAAAAAAAAAAGAAGATAAACCAGCATGATACCAATGCAAAAATTAATACTGGTAGAGAAAATAATGGAAAGAAAGTAAAAGAAAATCATGTATATGACAAACACAGTCACAGTCACTGTAAAAGAAAATATATAATAGTTGACACAGTAAATTTTATTATAATTTCAAATTTTGAATATTAATTAATAATATAAAATAAAAAATATAGAATGACATAAAATCTGATCCATGTTAATTTAAAAATAATTTTAGGTGAAAAAGCAGTATCAAATTTCAACTTCTCTAAAATCAGCATGAAGTACCAATTACCTAATACAAAGTTGGAACAAGACATAGGCAATATTTTCAGAAAATTACACATAATTCAAAGTAAAGGCATAGAAAATTACATTTTAATATTTTTCAATTTATTTGTCATATAAATATTACGTGAGTATGATGGTGTTTGCTCCTCTTCCCCTCCTCTTTCTGTTTCAACATTTACAAAGAGTAAATTTCATTCTTGCTTTCTAGTTGTAGTGTCACAGGCGATGTTATGGCACCTGTTTGTAGCTCCTTAATTGTGCCACCGTAAGTTAAGTGTGGCTGATCTTGTTAGTGAACAGATTATGCACAATAATCTCTGTTTTATTAATGAGTTGGAGTACCTTTTCCAAAGACAGCCATCTTGCTAGTTTTTCTTTTGCTTCCTGGACACAACCTCAGCATGTTCCATGTTGCTCCCTGTTTTCCTTCTGTGTGTAGGAAGTGCATGCAAGGCACACCTGCTGTTCTCTTTACAGTAAAACCTTCTTTGTGTTAACTTGTTCTTTCCAATTTAAGAACGAGGGCTAGGAAGACTTAGGCCAGCTTCAATACTGTATTCACCACCAACTGTTTATCAGAAATCTTGCATTTTGATGGGTGGTTTCCCAAATTTATGCAGCAGTATTTTGGTTTTTACGCTAATGATCCTTACATATACACTCTACTAGATAAGAAGAGAGGTGATAGGATCATGAAACCATAACAGAGAAGTGAGTTCCAATATCTGGATAATAACTTTTTTTAAGAAGTTAAAAAAGACTGAAATTAGATTAAAATTTCTAAAGAAATAAACTTCCCTGAAATGTAAGAAAAACTAGGTCTGTAGAAAAAAGGAATCAACTTGCTTCAGAAAAAAAACAAAAAACAAAAAACTAATAGTGAATGTTGAGCATAGGACAATATTATAATAAATGTAATGAAACTCAACAATAAAGAAAGAATTTAACAAGTGTATTCAGGAAGAAGAAACAAATAACTTAAAGAAAATACACACACATGCTCATAGAATGATCGTAGGCTTTTTTAACATCAGTATTGTAAGTCTTGAGGTGATGACGCACATCTAGAGTTCTGATAGAAAATAAACATGTAACCAGATTGCCTTTTAAATTTGAAGAAAATAGAATCATATCCTAAAGTATGCAAGAAGGAAAAATTCATAGTGTTTGGTTTATATCTTTAAAATATGCATACATTATATCCAATTAACGACAAGGAAATGAGGAATAAATATTCCCCAAATGGGAAAATCATGCCATAAAATGGCTTGTGGGTGAAGTTTCAATACATTTAAATCCAAAATTAATTGGAAATAATATCTAATTAATTCACAGCAGAATGTTTTAATATAAAGTGTATTACAATTAGCAAAAGTTGAAAAGACATTAAATAATATATACAAATGAGAAGGTGGTAAACTAAGAAAATGGCCACTAAAAATATGCCATAAAGAAGCTCAAGAACAAAAACATTTGATTGGTAAGGTGTAAGTGTGCTATGTTCCCCATTTTTCATGACTAGAGTCAATAATGCTAAATTTGATAAACTAATAAACACAGGTTTAAACATGCAATTTTCAGTTTTTAGGTTTGGTAAGGCACTAAAAATCACAATACACATGAGTTTTCTCAGGTGGAGGGTAGGCAAAAAACCACACACCATATTACAAAAATACAAAAGCAAAGGAAATAGCAAAATAAGCATGATATAAGAAGACAAAAGACCAAGTTTATCTCTTACAATAATAAATGAAGATTTGATAAGCTCCGAAAGAAAAATTTTAGACACTGTGATAATACAACTAGAAATAAAAAACAACAATGTGCCATCTACAAGACAATCTTGCCTGAAAGAAACGGACTCTGAAAAATAAGTGTAAAAGGATACACAACAATTTACCAAATAAAAACAAACCGAAAGAAACAAGGGTCATAATATTTATATGAAGGAGTTAAAATCCAAGCATTTTGCAATAACTCAAACCAAGAAAAAGACTTTAGTGTAATAAAAGATTCTATGCACAACAAATATGTAACTTTTCCTAATAAACATGGCATTGAAATGTATGGAGAAAAAATCCTAGCAATATAAGGAATATGAGCAGAATTTGTAGACTAAAATTTCTAACTAAGCAAGTTGAAAAAAATGTATATTTTAAAATAAGAAATACGTATGTGTGTTAGTGTATGTATATGTATGGTATATACATATAAATATCTATAAATGTCTATGGCATATATGTATATTTCAGGCACATACATACACACATTCTATAAAGATAGAAAAAAATTAATTCCAAAAAATGACATATAGTACAAAATATATTTACTTCATTATAATAAAACTAAATATAATTATAAAAATAGAGACAGAAAACAATGCCTTATAAATTAAAATATATGTATTATAAGCAAAGTTCAGAGATAAACAGAAATAAACTATAGAGAAATATTTTTAAAATTGTTATAATCAATAAAATGATACACAAATGGAAATTTTTAGCAAAAGTCATATATGAGAAATTCAAAAATTATTTCATGCAGGTAGCAAAAATTAGGAAGAAAACAACTAAATATCCACACTAGAGACTAACAATATGTTTCATATTTTCAGTTAATGATATAAATAACATATATAATCAAATGGTATGTAAACATTTTTTAAAAATCATGCAGCACATCTATATTTATTGAACAGATAAAAGGGTATGATGAGAAAAGCCTTTCATTAGGCACAGAAGAGCCTGCCTAGTTATTCTGGCTGATAAACTCTGAGGGTCAGGAGAGCTGGGACTACTCTTACAGATCCTGATCAGCAATGAATCCCTAATCCTAACACAACAGTGGAACTTTTTAAAGTTATATGTTACTTTTGACACACTGATATAAACTATGGGCTTTTTCTCCTGGGAAATTTGAAACCCAATGATAGGGCTCTATGGACCCCTGATTAAGAACCCTTGGCACTAGTAGATGGTAGTGTGACTTCCAACATCTGATTTAGTGTGTTTGGACCCTCATTCTGCAAAATGTGAACAATTCACCGCATTTGGTAATTATGAGTGCTGAGTGAGTTCATACTCACAAATGTTTAATAGCCAGAATATACTAAGTGCTAAATGCACATATGAAATTTTTAACTAGCACTATACCTGGCACATTGTACAAGAGTTCAGCAAATATTTATTAAAGGAATAAGTAACTGTTCTTACCTACTTCTCAGGATTGTGAATGTCAGATCATTGGCATAACTTTGAAAATTATAAAGCAACAAATGAAGAATTCTTGTCTCATTCTGGGGCTTTGAGGATATTCATAGGACATAAATCATAGCTCTACCATAAACATAATGCTTCTTTTGCAAGATTCGCTATGGTATTTGCTTCCATCCAGCAACGCCCTTCAATTAAGTTGACTTTTTGGCATACTTAACATTTGCATGCTATGATACATCTCTCATGTGACCCTATTCTCTTTTTTAATCTTAAGAATCTTATGTTTTCAATATAACCAAGTGCAGAAGTTCAGTTTCTGACACTGAAAGCTATTCCAGTGTTTTGGAGAATTCTGACATCGTAGGTTCTAAAATGAGATATGAGCAGAAAGAAGAGCTCTTGGTGGGAGAATCGGACTTTCTCCTTTCTTTCAATATGGTGAGCCAGACAAGAGGTTGTATTTTCTTCAAGATGTGAGTTATCTGGAAATAAAATAAGGAGAAAAAAATTAAGCTTTTTTATAATATGAGTTTTTTGACATTATAACAATATATCTTTGATATAGTAATTTCCTCATTTGTTTGAAAATTTTCAAGCATACATAATGTTTGAAAGAATAATAAAGTGAGATATATCTTCCATTTAGAATAAACAGTGTAAAAATCTGCCATGATTTGCTTGTTCTCAGCAAGTTGCAGTTATCATGGCGTTACCCTAAACAATTTAGCACGCATCACCGCATAAACACAATGCTATGATCACATCTAAGAAAATTACAATAATTCCATAACATTATCTAAATTCACCGAACAAAATTCCCTAATTTAAGACAATTTGAGAATCAAAACGGAAAACTAAAGAATTGAAAACTAAAAAAAAACCCCAAAGATTATTTGGTTATAAATAATGTTTGAATCCATAGACAGAAAATGAGAGGGTGGTGTTTCTGTGCAGAAAATGCCAGATAATACACAAAGAAGAAATGACAGATTTTTTTAAATTGGCATTTTGTAATTCCTGTGGAGAGCAAAATAATTGTCTTCCAAAGATACCTAAGTCCTAAACTCAGGAGCCTATGAATGTGTCACTTTACATGACAAAAGAGACTTTGTAGATATAATTAAAATGTGACCCTGAGATGGGGAGATTTTACTGGATTGTGTAGGTAGGTCCAATCTATTCATATTGATCTTTAAAAGCAGAGAGCCTTTACCAGCTGCAGTCAGAGGAAGATGTGACTATGGGAGGAGAGTTAAAAAGACACAAGATGAAAAGGACTTAACCTGATGTCACTGCCCTTGAAGATGGAGCAAGGGGTCACCAGCCAATTCTTGTGAGTAGCCTTTAGAAATTGGAAAGAGACAAAAATACAGATTTTCCCATAGTGCCTTTAGAAATGAATGAAGCCCTGCTAGCCAGTAGATTGTAACCTAGTGAGACCTGCATCAGAATTCTGACCTTCAGAATTCTAACTGTAAGGTAATAAAGTTGTGTTGTTTTAGGCTGCTAGATATGTGGGAGTTTTAAATAGCAGTGGTAGACAACTAATACAAGCCCTTCAAAATAATTGACTCAGAAAGCTCATCAGTGGATGCTAGCTAGAAGCTTTGGGTAAACTGGTGATGTGTAATAGGGCAGCCAAATGAGGCCAGAGTGTCAACCCACAGATCATTCACTAATTACAGAAGAAAAAGGTGTCTTTACAATGGGGGAAGAGTGGCATTTATCACCTTAATTAAAGTTAGTTTCTTTAATGGGGGATGTCTTCACAGCGTGGGTCCCCTGGTCCAATGCTCTGTGAAGTTCATACATCATGTAAAGTGTTCTTGCCAATGTTTAGCTAAATCTAATACAACCTATATACTTACTTATATTCATAAAAAAATATTCGGACAACAGAAGAAAATGTAAAGGAAATATAAATAATTATATCCAGAGCATAAGATATAAGACAACACTCCCAGAGTCTTCAAAATGTCAATGTAATAGAAAGAAATTAAAGAAGTAAAAGTCCTGTTAAAAATTAAAAGGTAATAAAGAAATATCACAGTCAAATGCAATGTGTAAACCTTGACTAGATCCTAAATAACAAAAAGGAAGGAAGGAAGAAAGGAAGAAAGGAAGGAAGAAAGGAAGGAGGGAAGGAGGGAAGGGAGGAAAGGGAGGGAAGGCAGCTATAAATTATTTTATAAATATATTAACGATTAAAAATAATATACACAAAATTTCCACTAGCATCACTTTTTTCTTTTCCAATCATTAATAAATATATTGGCTGTTTACTGTGGAAAGAGCATTGATTTGGACCCATGGGACCTTGGTTCCAGTCCTGATTATGCCTACAAATGATTTAGGGAAAAACATTTAATTTGTCTGACTGTCAGCTTCATAAACTAGATTGTATTGCATGATTTCCGCTGAGCCTGAAACTTGCACATTCCTTGGCATTTCCTCCAGGAGAACCTTTGGAAAGATTTTCTTTGACTCTCAATTCTAATGAAAACTTCAAATGACAAATTTGCTGAGTGAGCATATAAGTTTTTTATTGCTCTGTAACAAAGTACCCCAAATGAAGTAGCTTAAACCAACACAAGTTTATTATCTCACAAGTTCTATAGGTCATAAATAGGGGCATGTTATGGCTGGATTCTTTACTCAGGGTTTCAATGTACTGAAAGCAAGACATTGGCTGGAGCTGTGGTTCTCATCTTGGCTCAGGATTCTCTTCCAGGTTTACTTGTTTGGGGCGGAATTTCTTTTCTTGCAACTCCAGGACTGAAGTCCCCATTATCTTTCTAGCCGTTGGCTGGGATCAGCTCTCAGCTCCTAGATGCTGCCTGCAGTTCTTTACCATGTAGCAACCATAGACAATTCACAACATGAGTGATTGCTTTCTCCCAGGCAACCTGCAGCATATTTATGACTGTCTTCTGCTACCTGCCTGCAGAAAATAGTGCTTTTATAAAACTTATGTGATTAGGTCAGACCCACTTAAATAATTGCTCTCTATCATTAGGTCAACTAATTCAAGACCTCAGTTATGTCTGCAAAATCCCTTTTGATCTACAAAATATTCTAATCATGGGATTGAAATTCACTATATTCAAAAATCTTGAGAATTATGCAGAGCGTGTTTACAATGAGTCAGTAAATCTTGTGGTCCATCCTAGGATTCTGCTATTACATGGTTATCTCAAATCCACTATGTAAAAAATAATGCATTCAATTGTCATAAGTTTGTAGAAAGTATTTTGCAATACACATAATTTTCCATGGAAATCATTAAAAATATTGAGTCAAAGGTATTTCTTATTTTGAAGGGTAAAAAAATTAGTTCAGTTCCTCTATAGACTTAAAACATAACAGTATCATAAGAGAAATTAAATTGAGATGAATATGAATTCATATATCAGATCAATAAAGTGATTTATGTGAAAAGCTTGCAAAAGTGTATATTATCACATGTTAAGAGCAAGAAGAATGTTATACCAAGTGCAGAGAGTTCAGATCAAAGAAAAATAAACATACTTTTAAAAGTTAAAAACTATTTAAAAGAATTCATGAATATGAAGAATTAATGGAAGCAAACACATTCCATGCCATTAAAAGGTAATTTGAAGGATTAAAGGAACTCTTATGATTTAAAGTCACACCTTCAGAGAATTTTGTGAATATTTTAAACGTACAGACAAATATAGCATTTATTCAATTCAGTAAGACGTAGTGGAATTCTGTACAAATTGTAGGATGAGAAGAGATGTGAACAACAAAATTCACGTATAAAAGAATGTGTTTATTTATCTATTTATTTATGTAGCAAAAAAATGGAAGGATACCTTGCCAGATGCTGAGGAATATTTTTTAATATGGATATATGCATTTTCCTCTGCCACTTACTATGTAGAAAAGAAGACAGACATTGGTCAAAATTTCAAGGTGGAGTGCTATGAATAGTAAAGATTGGTATGCTATAGAAACATGTAGCACTAAGGCTTGTTTGAAAAACATGATTACTGCAATTGGAATCAGGAAAAATATATTGAAAATAAGCTTAGTTCCTCTTTTGGTAATTGTCTGTTTTTTATTTTACTTTACGTTCAATGGTGAAGGAAGAAGTGTTGATTGTATGAAAATAATAAATTGTGTTCTTGATTTTTTAAGCAGTAAAATCTTGAATGTGATATCTTAGGATACTATTTCCAGTGCTTTGGTGAGAAGAATTAATAGCACAATGATTCTATATTATTTTTAAAGTAAAATACATTTTGACGTACTAATATTGGACTTTAAAAGGAAAAGAGGTTGGGCGTGGTGGCTCACGCCCGTAATCCCAGCACTTTGGGAGGCCGGGGCGGGTGGATCACAAGGTCAGGAGATCGAGACCATCCTGGCTAACACAGTGAAACCCCGTCTCTACTAAAAATACAAAAAAAAAAAAAAAAAATTAGCCGGGCGTGATGGCGGGTGCCTGTAGTCCCAGCTACTCGGGAGGCTGAGGCAGGAGAAGCGTGAACCCGGGAGGCGGAGGTTGCAGAGAGCCGAGATCACGCCACTGCACTCCAGCCTGGGTGATAGACCGGCGACTCCGTCTCAAAATAATAATAACAATAATTAATTTAAAAAAAAGGAGAAGAAAGGCATTAAAGTAGAATGCGACCCTCTTTTAACTATTTCAAAATTAGCCGATCTCAATTGTTAAAAAAACATTGACTTTCAGACCTAGGGCATAGCTCAAAGGCCTTTCATTCTAATTTCTTAGACACAGATAATTCAAATGTCTTCCGCATCTCTTAGGATATCACCAATAATAGGCACATTCTCACACTTCTTGAAGAAACCTCCTTTTTTTTTTTTTTTTTTGGAAAGTTATATTTCAATGTTTACATACAGTCCAAATTAGTGTCTATACACACTACATCATTGATTCCACTTATATGTCTGGTGTCTCTGATACTTCTTTCTTCTACAGTACAGACCGTTGACTATTTTGTAATTAGCTCTCATCTCATTTACTTCTGAATTATTCTGTTTCCCAAGCTAAATATTTCCAGTTTCACCAGAAATCAGAACTATTTCTCCATGCTACACATTATCATTTTAGCTTTAGTTCACTGTTTTAGCATATAAAAGTCTTTTTGACCATGTTTGTAATTGAACATATTTTCCCCTTCCATAAGTTTGCTAAAGATCTTTTTGTAATACCATTCAATAAACCAACAGAAGTATGAAAAGAACAGAGTGGATATTGGTGCACATCTTTGGAAACTTGCTTTGCAACTAAAATCCATTCAATAATAGCTTGCTTTTAGGACACCAGAATCATTCCAAGTTTTCTAAAGTGGAATTAATACTGGGTTTAAAAAATGTCTGGTTGAAATCTAGATACAGCAGCCTACTGCCCTTGCACTTCACTGATCTACTTAAATAGCAACACTTTCCATAGGAAAATGAAGTCATTTGGATATGGTTTGTCATATCTGCATTGCCTCAATGCCCTTTGATTCTGGGATCAATTTTTTTTAAAACCTCCTACAAACAGTTAACATATGAGGCCCTATTCATTTTAATCCTAAAATGGATTTAATTATTTTTAAAACAGAAATTTAAATTTGGATTTTCATCATGGCTGTGAAGTAGCAAAAATGCTTAAAAATAAAAGAGACTCTGAGATAGTGGCTAGCTAACTGACAAGTATGCAGATGAACTTTATCTTCTGCAAAATTCATAGAGTAGCGTGTCTCTTTAGAAAGCAGCCCTTGAAAGTCTGGGATTTTCTGATGCATAAAGAAGTGCTCTAAAAATGCCAGGGAGGTAGAACACTCATTGTGCTTGTCAATGGAATGTCCCATTAGTAACCCCTGTGGAAATCACAAAGCTCCCAAGCACATTGAGTCATGAAGGTCACCCTGCATAAATCTGTCTACATTCATGAGTTGCTACCGCTAACTGCCACCACATCAAGTTCAGTGTACACCCCATGCTGCTGAAATGGCGGGACACATTGAATAAAATCCAAGCTCCTACATTCACATTTCTTTTTGTTTATCTTTAAGGCAGTACAGTATCTATTCAGAAACGTGCCCTTGAGCATTTGCATATCTGGAACAGCAGTCCCTAATCCTCCCAAGCTTTGAGAGAGGCATGTATTATTGGTTTGCACACATTTCAAGAGAAAAATGCTGGCCACAGCTCCTACTACAGAAATATGACATAGCATATTCTTAGTCTTGCAACACTGAGAAATTGAAATAGCTAGGCAAATAATCATAATTCTAAGCTCTGACAACTAAAGATAATCATTTTTACATCAAAATAATAGTAGTTATGCTATACTGTGGTATATGTTTACAAATTTTACAGCTTAAAAATTCTTGAAGCATTACTTGTTTTATTTCCAAACATTGTAATGGGGTGATGTTAACTTTACCATTCTATAGATAAGAAAACACTCTCAGAAAAGCTAGGGTACTCAATGAAGTCAATTAGGACTTAGATTTAAATTCTGGTCCAAATGCAATATCCTGTAAATTTTGGTTCTGATTTTCAAAAGTAAAGATGTGTAATTTTTAATTAATCATTTAAATAATTTTTTGAAAAATCATTTCTCTGCTACTGAATTCTGTCCTTTTCTAGATATGTTAGTATTTTTTAGTTGTGTTATATGTTTAATATATATAATATATCTGTTAATATCATTTCTTACTGCATTAATGTATGTTACCACTATATTGTATTTCTCAATACAGACAACGTTTAAAAAGTAGTAAACATTTGTCTATTTTACATTAAAATTTTTAATGTTGAAGAATTTCACAAGCATTATGGGAGAAAAAAATAATAATAAAATAATAAAATAAAAGAACCATATAATAGAAATGTATTCGGAAGGGCACTTTAGGTCTGAGAAATATTTAATATGTCTACTTTTTAATTCAAAAAAGGTCACTTTATAAACAATTTGACAAGATATTTTAAGTTTATGGAAAAGTTTATTCAATAAATACCACATCTATTTAGAAAAAATATAAAACTAGATACACAACATGAAACACCTATATCACATGAAAGAAAAACATGAAATTCCAAATAGATTGAAACTACAAAAATGTTGAAAACAGATACAAGAGAATATTTGTATAATCTTGATATGAAACTAAAAGATAGACTTGACAATGTATTAAAACTTCTGACAAAATATACCATGAGCACAGTTAAAAGATAATAAACAAGATTAATATTGCACATAACAAAGGAATCTATCTTTATTATATAAAGAGTCTTTATAGATTATTAGAAAAAAAGAATAGAAATATATAGGAAGTTAACAAGTGAAGAAATCCAAATGACAAATCTATTTGTTAAAATCTTAAAGTGTAGGTAAAATAGGATTCACTTGTCAGATTAGCAAAGATTAAAAATAATTTTATTTTATTTTATTTTATTTTATTTTGAGACGGAGTGTCAGTCTGTCGCCCAGGCTGGAGTGCAGTGGTGCGATCTCTTCTCACTGCAAGCTCCGCCTCCAGGGGTCACGCCATTCTCCTGCCTCAGCCTCCCGAGTAGCTGGGACTACAGGCGCCCACCACCATGCCCCGCTAATTTTCTGTATTTTTTATTAGAGACGGAGTTTCACCTTGTTAGCCAGGATGGTCTCGATCTCCTGACCTCGTGATCCGCCCGCCTCGGCCTCCCAAAGTTCTGGGATTACAGGCATGAGCCACCGCGCCCGGCCTAAAAATAACTTTTAATATCCAATGATGTTATAAAAAATAGTTTCGCTGGAGGCCATTATCCTAAACAAATTAACACTGAAATGGAAAACCAAATACTGCGTGTTCGCTCTTATAAGTGGGAGCTAAACACTGAGTAAATTTGGACACAAAGAAGGAAAAAATAGACACTTGAGGCTCCTTGAGGCGTGGGGGTGGGAGGACTGCAAGGGTACAAAAAAAAAAAAATTCCTATTGAGTTCTATTCTCATTACCTGGGTAACAAAATAATCTATACACCAAACTCCCACAATGAGCAAGTTTCCCACGTAACAAACTTGCGCAAGCACCCCCTGAACCAAAAATAAAGTTGGATAAATAAATAAATAATAAAATCACACAAAGCAAGGAAAAAAATAAAACACAAGTGGTTTAGATTTTTTTTTTCTCCTTTAAATAGCTTTTATTTTTAAGGCAAGTTTCAGGTTCACAGGAAAACAGAATAGAAAGCACAGAAAATTCCCACATACCCCCTCACCTGCTCCCCATGGCCTCCTCTCCTATGAATATTCTGCACCAGAGCGGTACATTTATTGCAACTGATGGACATACATAAACATGTTACTACCCAAATCCATTGTACACGTTAGGGTTTAGTCTTAGCGTTGTATACTCTATGGGTTTTAACAAATGCGTACTGACCAGTACTCACCATAATAGTGTCATATAGAATAGTTTCATTGCCCTGAAATCCTCTGTGCTCCATATATTCATCCCTCTCTCCCTATAAATTTCTGGTAACTACTGATCTTTTTACTGTCTCCATAGTTCTGTCTTTTTCAGGATACCAAGTACTTGGAATCATCCAGTATGTAGCCTGTCCACACTTCCTTCTTAGTAATATGCATTTAAGTTATTTTCGTGTCTTTTCATGGCTTCATAACCCATTTTCATAGTGCTGAATGATATTCCATTGTCTGAATGGATATATTTATTCATTCACCTGCTGAAGGACATCTTGGTTACTTCCCATTTTGGCAATTATGAAAAGGCTACATAGACATCCATGTGCGGGTTTTTGTGTGGACATAAGTTAGCAACTCATCAGACTAAATACCAAAGAGCATGACTGCTGGAGCATATGGTAAGACTGAGTTTAGTTTTGTAAGAAACCACCAAATTGTCTTCCAAACTGACTGCGCCATTTTGCAATCTCACCAGTAATGACTAAGAATTCTTGTTGCTAAGAATTTATGATCTCAGAGTTCTGGATTTTGGACATTTTAACAGACATGAAGTATTTCATTGTTACTTGGAATTCCCCTAATAAAATATGATGTAGAGCATCTTTTCATATGTTTACTACCCATCATATATCTTCTTTGTTGAGGTATCTGCTAAGTTCTTTTGCCAATTTTTAAATAGTGTTTTGAGTTTTGAAAGTCATTTGTATATTTAAAATAACAGTCCTTTATCATATAGGTATTTTGTGAAGATTTTCTTCCAATCCATATTTTTTCTTCCTCTCATTTTCTTTACAATCTTGCACAGACATAGCAAACATTTTTGATTTTTATGAAGCCTTGCTAATCAATTCTTTCTATCATGGATTGTGTCTTTGTTGTTGTCTAAAAAGTCATTGACATACCTAGGGTCATTTAGTTTTTCTCCTGTTATCATCTAAAACTTTTGTAGTTTTGCATTTTAAATTTAGGTCTGTGATTCATTTTTAGTTAATTTTTGTGAAGGGTATGAGGTCAAGGTCCAGACTGACTGTTTTTATTTGTGGATATCAAGTTGTTCTAGCAACTAGACTCAACTTTTGTCTAAAAAACTATTTTCGCTGTATATTATTGCCTTTAGCTTTTGTCAAATATCAGTTGATTTTATGTATGTATGTTTATTTCTAGGCTTTCTATTCTATCCTGTTCATCATTCGTTTATTCTTTTGCCAATGTTACATTGTCTTAATTACTGGAGCTCTATAATAATTGTTGAAATCAGGTAGCATCAATCCTCTAACTGCTATTCTTCAATATTGTGTTGGCTATGTTGTATCTTGCCTCTCTATGTAAACTATGCTTTTTAGAGTAACTTTTTTTTTAATTTCCCTAAGATTTTGGAGAACAGGTGGTGTTTGGTTACATGAATAAGTTCGTTAATGGTAATTGGTGAGAATTTTAGTTCACCTATCACCTGAGCAGTATCCACTGTACATCATTTGTGGTATTTCATCCCTCACCCGCCTCCCACACTTTCCCCCAAGTCCCCAAAGTTCATTGTATCATTCTTTTTTGTTGTTGTTGTTAGAAAAATAGAAACTTTAATGCTTTTTTATTCACGTGACTTTAGTAATCTTTTGGAAATAAAGACAGTTTTAAAGATTATTGGTAAAATAAAAATGTCTTCAAAATGTAGACATTTGGTCTAAAGGTCAGATATTAGATTTGCTAAATGCTTTAAGGTTGTAAACTGCTTCCTTGACTTTTGAAAATTGTTCAATTTACTTACTTTGGAGCATTAGATTCTAGATAAGGGCTGGGGACATGTGAAGTTAGCCATGCCTCCTAGCTATACTAGAAAGAGTCAGATCTTATCTTCACTTCCATTTGGCTTCCTAGGCCCCACACATAGTACGTAATTAAAATCTCTTACTTGTCGGGCTTTTCACCAAAAATAAAAGTTGCTAAGGGTTAACATTGCAACATGTGACTGAGACTACTGGAGAAATGGTTTTACATCCAAAGTATGTAAGGATAGTAGTATGTGTTTTTGGTAAAAGATTATAAGTCGGCATGGAAATGTGGCTTCTGTTAAGCAGAATATAATTTTGTCTAGTTTAGAGGGATTTAAAGATTGTCTTAACCTAAAAGAATATTGGGACAAAACTGAAGGTTTAAGGAAGTTGAAAAGGGTTTGTGAAGGGTTGGTCTTATGAAGAAAGTTCTGTGGGTATGAGTAAGTTGGCTAAGACTTGAAGGGGATTATTTAATTTTTTTCCATATGTTGAACATTAAAATAAAAGCACATTAATGCAGGGCCAGAATCTGGGCCCATGTGTCAGAATAATGGAGTTTTCTTAGAAAATTGATCTGCTGTTAACAGAAAATTGTAAAGGGTTCTAAAAAGTTTATGAAAATCTTACCTTATGGTCAAACTAGTTAAAACTGAATAGATTGATAAACTCTTATTTAGAAACTAGCTATAGCATTAAAGAGGCACTAATGCAAACATGAAATTTGGTTTTCTCTCTTTTTTCCTTTATCTTTTCTTATGTAAACTTTAGAGTTAGTTTGCTGATTTCCACAAAATAACTTGCTGTGATTTTTACTGGGATTGCACTGAATCTACAGAACAATTTTTGGAAATTACTGACATTTTGATATTACTAAGCATTCCTATCCATGAACATGGAATATCTCTCAATCAGTAAGTCTTTTATATGTTTTTTATTATATAAATAACACTTGTTTAGAGTGTTGGAGATAGGCAAAAGACGAAATGATAACTTATAAAGGGAATTGTTTAAAAGTTTGAGGAAGATTGAGCACACTGTTTTTGGAAAAATTTACTGTGACCAAAGAATTATCCAACCAGTCAAGTGGTCTCCACATGTGACAGCAATATCGGGACAATTAAAGATGCCAGGAAATGTGTAATCTTTCAAAACTATGAATATAAACATATATCAGTCAACCAAGAAATAAATCGACATAAGGAACACATGAATAAGAAAACTGTGAATAGTCAACTTACTTAAATGTAGAATTAAATTTAGGAACTATACTACAAATTGTTATGCAAAAGAATGCAAATATATTATTATTACTAACTTGATTGTGGCAGACAAGATGAACCACACAGATATTCTTTTTTTGTTTGTTTTGTTTTGTTTTGTTTTTTCTGAGACAGAGTCTTGCTCTGTCATCCAGGCTGGAGTGCAGTGGTGTGATCTCGGCTCACTGCAACCTCTGCCTCCTTGGTACAAGCAATTCTGCTGTCTCAGCTTCCCAAGTAACTGGGATTACAATCACACACCACAACTCCTGGCTACTTTTTGTATTTTTAGTAGAGACGAGGTTTCTCCATATTAGCTAGTCTGGTCTTGAACTCCTGATCTCGTGATCCTCCCACATCGGCCTCCCAAAGTGCTGGGATTAAAGGCGTGACCCACTGCACCCAGCCACCACACAGATATTTCTTAAAGGCGATCTGCACAGCTGTAAATTTTGTGATTAGTTGAGAGTCTGATAGTTGAGAGTCTTTGTGATTAGTTGAGCGCTGTTGTATTACATAAGGTCTTGTTCTACTTTTGAGTCTAGTCAAGCTTTTCTCTGCAGGGCCATAACTAATGAATGCCTGAGAAAAGCAGTGGCACAAGGAACATTTACACCCAATGCTGGACTTCTCTAACTGGCTCTTTGCCGTGGAGCTCCTTATGGAACTGACAGAGAGACTTTTCCAGACTTGCATTGCAGTCTGATGGCTCCCTAGTAAATCTAACTCTGTCATGCTGTCTCCTTCCAGGAGAACCGACACTGCAACAGCAACTTTTTATATTGAATAATTTCAATTATATAAAAAGTTGAAAAATTATAACAAACATCCGTATTTAATTTTCAGCCATGATAAATGTTTGTACAATTGCTTTATCTTTTTTACCATATATATATAGTGTGTATATATATATAAAAATATAGAGAAAGATATATATGTGTGTATACATATGCATACGTGTGTATATGTATATATTTGTCCTACCATTAGGTTCGCCTGCACACACCTTGAAACTATTGTTCAATATTTTAATTTGTGTATCTCAGTAATGAGGAAAGTCTCTACATAGCAAAAATATATTACCTTCTCAATAAATTTGATATTATAAAATTCAATTATCTAGTATAAATTTCATATTCAAATAGCACAAGGTATCCCGTATTTATTTTATAATTGTTTTTCTGGTTTTGGAAACAAGAATCAAACAAGGATTACAAAACTGAATTGACGTGTTTCTTTAAACCACAAGAGTCTCCCAACCCTCATTTTATAATTGTTGTAGTTCTTCATAGTATTGATTTAAAAAAAAAAAATCTTAGTGGCTTTGCAAAATATCCTGTAACTTTCATTTGTTTAATTGTTTCTTCATCATTAAAGTTACACCCTGCTGGCAACAATGCTACATAGATGATATTATGCCTTCTCAGCACTTTTCCTTAGAGGTTATCATATCAGTTTAGCAGATTTTTAATTTTCAGGTATAAATTCTTAAAATTAAAAGTGAAGAGACCGGAAGTTGCTATAATTAGAAATAACGGGCTAGAAAGTGAGCTAGATTAAGTTCCAAAATCGTAAGCCTAGAAGATTAAAATATTCTATTCGACATTTTTTAAGTAATCATTGACTATGTATTAGACCTTTTCCTGGTTGCTGGAAGATGTTTCAATGAATAACCTATAGCCATTACCTTAGAAGAGCTCAATATGTAAACAAAGATGATAAAGATTAATGCTAACTTTTAAAGATATAAGTGCTTAAATGAAGCTTGGTACAAACTTGCAAAACACACAGACAACAGTTACTATTCCTAGGTATGATGTAGGGAGTGGTCAGCAAAAGATAATAGCAAACATGACATTTCAGTTCTGTCTTAAAGACATTTCTCGCTGTCAAATAAATAGTATATATCCTAGATAGGTCAAAAGAAAATAATATCAATTCAATTGGATAGATATAGACAGACAAATAGAAATATATAATAGATAATGATGATGAAGACAGATGAAAGAGAGAAAGAATCATAATTTCTTAAAATGGAAACAAAAGGCATCTAAGAAAAGTCAGTGGCAGATAAGAAAAGGTAGTTTATTACGGGAACTTGGCAGTAGTATATGATAAAAACCAGGGACCAGCCTTTGCAGTGTGCAAAGTGGTCAACAATGAGGATCTATAAACTATAGTAGTGGTGTTCAGGAGATTGATTTGACAAGATATGCTAAACAGTTAAGTTTAATCATCATTTATTGATAACCAGGCACTAAGTACCTTGAGTTCAAAGATCACTAACATCAATGGTATTACTCAGTGCGACAGAAATAATATCACTATTTATCAAGTTTTGATGCACTGTGCTAAGCATTTTGAGTGCTCAGCACAAAATCTAATCCTCACAACAACCCTATACAGCAAGAGCATACATCTTTTTTGTGCAATGAAAAAGCTGAGACTAAGTCTGGCATTTTTCCAAAGGCCATAATCTAGAAACAACCAGGATACAAGTACCCTGACCCCAAAGCCTTTTTTTTTTTTTTTTTTGGTGAGTATGCTACAATCGAATAGACCTTTAAATTCCACGTCCTTGTAAAAATTCAAAATAAAATTGGGGGGTGGAATAGAAAACATATAACAGGTGATCCATTTTATTTTGCCAAATAACAATATTAACAATTATATACAAGCAAAACTATTATCTATCATAACCATTATTTCATAAAGGAGGAAAGGTGTTAACACTAAAACTTTTCAGAATGCAAGATATCCATTTACATTGAAAGACTTTTGAACTGAGAGTTATAGAATGTATCCCAATGCAATGTTCAGTACTTAGCTTCTACAAACTGATTAACTCTATTATTCAGACATTCCAATCTATGTAGTAGCATATGGAAACCAATATAATTACTGTCCAATGAATCAGATATAGCTCTGCGTATAAGGAGTTTGCATTCTAATAGAAATGTTTGGCACACAGGTAGACAATTGCAAGAAAATCTAGCAAATATATTACTGATATGGCACAGATGGAATGAAATTTGGACAAATAGCCCAATTTAAGAGTTTGAAAAAATATTTTTTGAATGATTTGTTTACAGAACTGACACTTGATGGATGAGTAAAAGCAAAAATCAGTGAAGAAAGATAGTCTTTATGTTTCAAATAGAGGGAGCAATCTTTATAAAAATTCAGAAGCATTAAATGTCATATTTTATAAGTAACTATAAACAGAAAATTTATACTGCAAAGCGAAATGTTAATCAGGGACTGGTAAAAGATTCAGTTGAAAAAGTGTAATTGTCGGTTTAGAGAGTTTTGGACATCTTTCTAAGGTGTCTGAATGATACAAACAGGAATCATTGAAAGCTTTTAAACAAAATGAAATAATCATACAAGCAGTGTGGAAGATAAATATAAAGGTAGAAAGAATGGCGTCTAGGTGTTGATAATTTATTGTTTTAGTTGAGGTTAAATGTGATGAGGGTAAGGCTTTACCTTTTAGTAATAATAGTAGCTAACATTTATTAATCACTTTTCAACCTCTATATGTATTATCTCACTTAATCTGGAAGCAACTCTGTTAGTTATCATATTTGTAGCTCTACTTTACAGATTAAGGAACCAAGGACATTGTTATAGGCCAAATTGTGTTCCATCAAAATTTATACATTGAAGTATTAACTTCCCATACTTCAGAATGTGACTGTATTTGTAGACAAGATCTTTAAAGAGGTAAAGTAAAGTGAGATAATATGGGTAAGCAATAATAAAGTATGACTGTTGTCCTTATAAGAAGAGGAGATTAGGACCCAGACAACACACTGACCAGGAACAACCCTGTGAAGATACAGCAGGAAAGCAGCCATCTGAAAACCAGCGAGCGAGGCCTCAGAATAAAACTGTGCCCGGAATTGGTTCCTTCTTGGTCTTGCTGACTTCAAGAATGAAGCCGCAGACCCTCGTGGTGAGTGTTACAGTTCTTAAAGATGGTGTGTCCAGAGTTTGTTCCTTCAGATGTTCAGATGTGTCTGGAGTTTCTTCCTTGTGGTGGGTTCATGGTCTCACTGACTTCAGGAGTGAAGCCACAGACCTTTGCAGTGAGTGTTACAGCTCTTAAAGGTGGTGTCTCTGGAATTGTTTGTTCCTCCCAGTGGGTTTGTGGTCTCACTGACTTCAGGAATGAAGCTGCAGACCCTCGCAATGAGTGTTACAGCTCATAAAGGTAGTGTGGACCCAGATAGTGAGTAGCAGCAATACCGTGATGAGTGAAAGAAGAAAGTTTCCACAGCATGGAAAGAGACAGGAGCAAGTTGCCGCTGCTTGCTCGCGTGGCCAGCTTTTATTCCCTTATTTGGCCCCACCCACGTCCTGCTGATTGGGCCATTTTACAGAGTGCTGATTGGTCCATTTTTTACAGAGTGCTGATTGGTGCATTTACAAACCTTAAGCTAGACACAGAGTGCTGACTGGTGCATTTTTACAGAGTGCTGATTGGTGCATTTACAAACCTTTAGCTAGACACAGAGTGCTGATTGGTGCATTTTTACAGAGTGCTGATTGGTGCTTTTATAAACCTTTAGCTAGACAGAGAGCGCTGATTGGTCCGTTTTTACAGAGTGCTGATTGGTGTGTTTACAAACCTTTAGCTAGACACAGAGCACTGATTGGTGTGTTTACAATCCTTTAGCTAGACAGAAAAGTTCTCCAAGTCCCCACCCGACCCAGAAGCCCAGTTGGCTTCACCTCTCAAAATCAATTCTGCTGACACCTTAGTCTTGGACTTCTAGCCTCCAGAAATGTAGGAAAATACATTTCTGTGGTTTGAGCCACCCAGTTGGTGGTATTTTGTTATGGCAGCCCTAGAAAACTTAATACAGGTATCTTAAGGTCCAGGGACTTATAGGTGGCAGATCAGGATTTAAACTAAAGCAGTCTAACTTCCAAGTTCGAGTTACTTTTGAAGCAGATATGTCCATCAGGAGGCTAGATAAGATATCTGGTCACAAAAAAATATTCAAATCTTCATGATCGTTATGTAAGTCTTCTGAGAAAATGTTTGCTAATGCCATGCAAGTGGGTAAGCTCTCTTAAATGTGCATGTAGAAAAGAAAAGCGAGAGCCCAATAGGAGACTCTGGAGGAACATTTTCTTTTAAGGAGAGGAGGAAAATCCATGAGTGAAATACAGAAAAAATAATAAAGAGTGAGATACAAAACTGAAAAGGAAAAACTAACATTACAAAAGCCAAAGGAGTCACTGATATTTAAGAAGTACTTTCTCCACAGAAGACGGACAAATTCTGTTTCTTTCTGACAAACTTATGACTGGAATTGTCTCAAAAGCAGCATTAGGGGAGTTCCCATAAGGGAGTGCCCCAAACCCTCTGGAAATGGGGCCAGTTGGGATTCCAAAGAAAGAAGCACTAAACAGCAGGGTGATCTAGGGTGATCTGTCCAAAGCATGTATTAGGAGAACTTACTTGTATGGTGCTGCAGCATATCCTCATGAAAGACAGAGAAAGAAAGCAATAATCCAGTAGGTATGTCTACAGTGGGAGAATCAGAGTATGGAGTTTGTATGACGGTTTAATGGCTAAGGGCCAGGGGTTGATTGTTTCAGTGCTTTGGGCAGCAACCTAGATATTTGTATCAGTTCCTAGGAATGTTCAAAGACTAGTTTTGCATTCAAGCCTGCTGGGAAAAATCTGCAGCTGGCCGGGTCACAGGGCAGTCAGGGCACTCTGTGTGTTCACTTAGGATTCAGAAGGAAAGTGGGAAAACTGGGGGACCTTACAAATGGCCAAGAGGTATTTGAAAAGTTGCTCAACATTACTAAGCAGTAGGAAAATGCAAATCAAAACCACAATGAGACAACACCTTATGTCTTTCAAGATGACTATTTTTTAAAAAAAGTATTGACCAGAAGACCCAAGATGGCCAACTAAAAGCACCTAGAGGAGCTTATCCCACTGAGAGACCAGGCCATCAAGAAGACTGGCATACCCTGGCAGACCTTCAGAAGGGATACACTGAGAGGGGACAGCGAGAGGATGTACACCCTGGGCTGAAGGGCTGAGGGAGAGGAAGCTGGGGACCCTGCATGGCATGGCCAACCACCAAGACTCATTCCTGACCTTGAGCAATTACTAGGGAATGGATCAGTTAAATAGATGTGGAGTGGCCTACTCTTGCCAGGGACCTCCAGAATCCTGGCTGCAGGATACTCAATTGCACACCTGGACATTTGAGCTGGTAGGGAGAGCTGCTTGGAGAGTTGGCAGGAACAGGACTCTAGCCTGTCCAGAGCCCAGAGGTTTTGCCATGGGAATGGCTACAGTGGAGCATGGCCAAGTATGCCTATACCCCCATCTCACCATGATCCTCTAGGTGGCTTTGGTCTTTGTTGACTGTTGAACCTTGACAGCACAGGGCTGCCTTGCCTGTGGGATGGAGTCATTCTGACCTTAATGCCCCACTCTCTACCAGCCTTTGCCAGGGCCCCTACCTGGCCATATCTGCTTGCAGTACAGCCTCGGATGCTCAACTGAGGCATTTCACAGCAGCCACTGCCACAACTACTTCACTGGCAGACCCCTACCTAACCATCAGAGAGCTTCTGCTGATGGTCCCCCACCAGCACAAAACCACCTGCATCCTCCCCCTAATACTTTGATGGTGCTCATTCAACTGCAGCCTACTACCAATACTTTGCTGATGTGCAATCATTCAGCTTCCTCTGACTGCTTTACCTCTGCATGTGAACAGATGGATCTAACACTGACTGCCCCATCCCTGCTGGAATACGTAAACCCCACTGTGACACTGCCTGCGACTGCAGGTGCATGCGCATGTGTGGACCCCACAGTGCTGCCTCCCTGCTGCCTCTGCCACATGTGCTGAATACCACCACACTACCACCCTGCTGCCACCAGCACATGTGCGTGAGCACAGACCCCAATGCCACCACCCCAACGAAGTGCTTTTGCCAGAACCACAAATCTAAGTGTTCCTGCTAGCCGACCAGGAACACCTCAATTCTTCCAGCTCAGGAGGTGCTCAACATTGAGGGGCCATAGAACAAATGCCATAGGCCTGGTCCCTGACCCCCAGGGTTAGAGCACACAGTCCGGGAGTGGTGAGATGAGCCTTGGCCTCCTGAAATGACACAAAAAGGAAGCCAGTCAACTGAACCCAAATTATACCATGATAAAGCCCTCAAAGACATCAAAGTTGAGAAATAACAAGCATAAGAACTCTGGCAACTAAAAAAGCAAGAGTGTATTAGGCCGTTTTCACACTGCTATGAAGAAATGCCTGAGACTTGGTAGTTTATAAAGGAAGAGGTTTTAATTGACATACATTACCACATGGCTGGGGAGGCCTCAGGAAACTTACAATCATGGTGGAAGCAGGCACTTTCTTCACAAGGCAATGAGAGAGAGAGAGAGCTTGGGAAGGAGAAACTGTTCAACACTTGTAAGACCATCAGATCTCATGAGAACTCACATACTATCATGAGAAAAGCATGGAGAAACTGCCCCCATGATCCAATCACCTCCCACCGTGTCCCTCCTGTGAAATGTGGGGATTATAGGGATCACAATTCTAGATGACAGAGTGTCTTCTTACCTTCAAACAACTGCACTAGCTCACCAGCAATGGTTCTTAACTAGACTGAAATGGCTGGAACAACAGATATAGAATTCGGAATCTGGATGGCAACAAAGATTATTGAGATTTAGGAGAAAGTTGAACCGAATCCAAGGAATCTAATGAATCCAGTAAAGTGATAGAAGAGTTGAAAAGACAAAATAGCCAGTTTAAGAAGGAACAAAACTGAACTGCTAGAGCTGGAAAGCTCACTACAAAAATTTCACAATACAATCAAAAATATTAACACAAGAATAGACCAAGCTGAGAAAATAATCTCAAAGCTCAAAGACCAGTTATTCAAATCAAATCAGACAAAAGTATAAAAGAAAAAAAAGAATAAAAATAATGATGAAAGCTCCAAGAAATATGGGATAATGTAAAAAGACCAAACCTAGGACTCATTGGTATCCCTGAAGGAGAGGAAGACAGAGAGCAAATTGGAAAACATATTTGAGAATATTGTCCACAAACATTTTCCCAACCTTGCGAGAGAGGTCAACATTCAAATTCAAGAAATTCAGAGAACCCCTGTGAGATACTATGTAAGACAACCAGTCCCAAGACACACAGTTATCAGAGTCTTCAAAGTCAATCCCAAAGAAAAATATCAAAAAACTAGAGATAAGAGGCAGGCCATGTACAAAGAGAACCCCATAAATCTAACAGAAAACCTTTCTGAAGAATCTGTGCAAGCCAGAAGAGAATGAGGGCCTATATGCATCATCCTTAAATAAAAGAAATTTCAACCAAAAATGTCATAGCCACTCTAAACAAGCTGCGTAAATGAAGGAGAAATAGAATATTTTCAGACAAACAAATGCTAAGGGTATTTGGTACCACCAGACCTGCCTTACAAAAGGTCCTTAGGGGCGAGCTAAACAGGAAAACAAAAGACTATTCCTGGCCACCACAAAAATCTATCTACATACATACACCATTGACACTATAAGCAACTATACGATCAAGTCTACATAACAACCAGCTGACAACACAGCGACAGTACAAAACCCACACATATCAATATTAACCTTAAATATAAATGGGCTAGACACCCCACTTAACAGTCATAGAGTGGCAAGACCCAACTATATGCTGTCTTCAAAAGACCCATCTCACATGCAATGACACCCATAAGTTCAAAGTAAAGAAATAAGGAAAAATCTGTCAAACAAACAGTAAGCAATAAAGAGCAGGGGCTGGTATTCTTATTTCAGACAAAAACAGACTTTAAATCAGCAATAATCAAAAGAGAAGAGCATTACATAATGATAAAGGGTTCAATTCAACAAGGAAATACTGCCATTTTTGATTTGTGACAACATGGACAAACCTGGAAATCATTATGCTAAGTGACATAAGACAGACAGAAAAAAACAAACATTATATGTTTCCATGTATACATGAATCTTAAATAGTCCAACTCATAAAATCAGAGAGCAAAATGGTGGTTGCTAGAGGCTTGGGGAAAGGGAAATGTGGAGGTTTTGGTCAAAGGTTGTGAAGTTTTAATTACGCAAGGTAAATCAGTTCTGGAACTCTACTATACGGCATAGTGTCTATAGCTAGAAATACTGTATTGTATACATAAAATTTTCTAGGAAGATAGATCTTTAGCATGCTTGCAACAAAAGAAAAAAATTATGATAAGAATGGGAGGAAACTTCGGGAAGTTGGGAGGTGATAGATATGTTTATGGCCTTCATGGTGGTGATGGTTTATGGACATATACTAATCACCAAATGCATCAAATTGTGGACATTTTAAATATGTATAGCTTTTTACATAGCAATCATACCTCAATAAAGTGTTTTTTTAAGCTGAAAGATAAATATTTAGTTGTGGTGTTTCATTATGTAAATAGGTCAAATTATCAATTATGTGACAGATATGGTTTAATATTTATTATGTATTAAGAAGCATTCCTATTGTTGATGTTGAAAGGAGCAGTTTCAGTGCTATGATGTTGAGAAGGACATGGGAGTGGTAAGTGGGAGAACACAAGTGCAGTCTTCTAACTTTGATGTGAGGACGGGAGAAGAAATAACAGAAAAAGTAAAAAGCGGGGAAAGGCCTCAATCAAGAGGAGTGAGAGTATGTTTAATTCATACATTTAAGTTTGTCATGTAAATTTTCAGCAGAAAAATATAAGACAAACTTGGAGCTGCTGCTAAGGGCAGGAGATTTACTTGTAGGACCTACCAACAGATATGTAATAATTAAAATTAGGAGTGAATGAGAAATCCAAGGGAAAGGAACAGAGAGAGAAAGAGGAGAAAGTGACACAGAAAAAAGAGAGAGAGAGACAGACAGAGGTGTGCAGAAAGCCAACGGACAGGCTTTATAGTAGAAATGTAGAGATTTCAAAGGTTGTCAGGAAAGTATTAATAACAGTCATAGAACTGCAATTGTCCTCATTTACAGAAAGTTAAGAGAAGGATCTGTGAATATATATTAGATGACAGGATGAGAGGATTTTTTATATTAATACTACAAATTCTGTTGGTAATCATAATAGAAAAGTATTGTAATGACAGATTCACCTCTATTCCCTAAAAATGCTTATTCTTCTATTTGCCTTCTTTCCCATTTATATTGTTGATTCATACAGGGCTCACCAGATTCATTAGATTTTGTAAAGTACACATAGAAAGTGCTTAATAATATTTCCCAGTATGATTAAAAAACAGTAAAAAATAGGCCGGGCAGGTTGGCTCATGCCTGTAATCCCAGCTCTTTGGGAGGCAGAGGCAGGTGGATCACCTGAAGTCAGGAGTTCAAGACCAGCCTGGCCAATATGGTGAAACTCTGTCTCTACTAAAAATACAAAAAATTAGCTGACATGGTGGTGCACACCTGTAATCCCAGCTACTCGGGAGGTGGAGGCAGGAGAATCACTTGAATCCAGGAGGCAGAGGGTGCAGTGAGCCGAGATCATACCACTGCACTTCAGCCTGGGCAACAAGAGATAAACTTCATCTCGGAAAAAAACAAAACAAAACAAAACAAAAAACAGGAAAAAAAAGGCATAAATTTGAATATAAAATACAACTATGAATTGTACAACTGCAAGAAAGAAAGTTATGGTACAAAATTGACATTTTTAAAGGTTAACTATATACAGAGTTCTATGTGTAATCTTTAATTATTCCAAATATTTGTGGGGAAACAAAGCTGAGCCATAAAGAGATTATTATGCATATTAAAACACATTATTTTAAATTTAAAACTGACATGTACTCAACTAATTAGAATGGGAATCAAAAGCCTGCCTATCTTGAAGTAGGGGTAGGGTAGATATCACACCATTACTAACATGGTAGTTAGGTAGGGGAAAGCTCCCGGAAAACAATGTGTGTAATGGATGAATGGATCTTTAGGCCCCTCACTTATGCTTACAGTTATGGCTCTTTATCAGTTAGCACCAAAATAATTTATACACATACGTGAATGTGGATCAGAACTACTTTGCCATATATGATACGCCCCACTAAGATTTGATTTCTCTTCAATCTTATAACTACTGCATATGCAATATGGTCATCTGGTAACATAAAATGTTTTTCATTCACAAACAAAAAATGTTAACAGAACATCACTGTCAACATATTTCAATTGCAAGGCAAATGTCCGTTAACAAGGACATAGATGACAAAAATATTGAAACACTTTAGAATCACAACTGAAATAGATAATGTTACATTTTAGAGTTGTTATCATACGGATATTTTGGATCTTATTAAAGTATTGTGAATTATAATTAATTTTCTCATCCTTCACCACTTAACCAAATTTTAGAAAAATTGTGCTGAAAGTTAAAAGCAGTTATGTTCATGCATTTTAGTATAAAGGGAATCCCTATGACTACATTTGGTATTTCAACTGTTTGTTCAACCACCAAAATCCATTCCATATGCCAAAAATAACATCTTCAAAATTTCACAGCATAAAGTCATTTTCAAATTCTCCACAATGGAGTGTAACAATCTGCTGAATTTTGCCAAGTTATATAAAGGAAAAATGGACTTGATTTTTTTGGCTTAAAACCATGTTGTTAAAATATTTTAATATGTTAGACATAATATTAGAAAATATATTCAAAACCATGATTTAAGAATGTTACTTTGTGGTTATTTGTGGGATAAATATTATTCTTGATTAGACCATAATATGTATTATGTATTCTATCTTTTAAGCTCTTTTACTAGCACATAATTCAATACTCTTCAATGTTTCTGATGATGAACACTAGTAATGGTTATTATCACTACTGTATCTAATTTTCAGCTCAATGCTTCCAGAGATTTTATGTATTAGGGGAAAATGTAGAGCATAGCTATGAAACAAAGTTGCCTCAACACATAAGTGAATTTCAACTTACTGTAATATAACACTGTTTCATTTTTAAAGTGTCTATAATATACCTTATCATTATAATACATTTATTAGACAGATAAGGCAGGTATCTATATTCTCATTTTAGAGATGAAGAAATGTAAAACAAAAAGATTAAATGAACTCTTTAAGGTCACAAAACAAAAGTAACAGGATAAGTATTAAATCAGGTCTTTTGACAAATACTGGCCTCTTTTCACCATGCTTCTCCAGAAACAAAGATACTTCATTTTATGCCGAAGTTGTTATTTCAGGAATGTCCTTAGTGCTTTCTTGAAATTAGTTGAGTCAACAAAATGCATCAATCATGGTAATTTTTAAAACGAGAAATAATTATTTTTATTGCAACGCAAACTGAGGCTTGCCAGATTTCTATTGTATGTTAATTTCTGTGAGACTAACTTTAATGCCTACCTGCAGACACAGGGTACACATTAGTACAACATCATCGTGTACCATTTTTCTTGTGTATAGAACAATTTAAAAAAATATGACTCAGCAGGTTAAGCAATGAGCTAGAAACTTCAGGCTCTGTGAATTCTAATCTCTAGTACCTTGGTGGTAGCTAAAATATAAAAATGTGAATGGTTAAATCCCATCTGTAGTTAAATTTAGCCCATTTAGCTTAGGGAAAAAAGGGCTACATTTTGGGTAATAATTGTATTTGAATGTTCTTCCTCCCGCTTGTATTCTCTAGACAACAACTAACCTACTGATGACCTAAGAATCCCCTGTTGAGAAACAATTACAGTTAAAATTCCCTAACAGGAATGAGATATGAATAAGGGTTATGTGTGACAAAACTGTATCCATCTCCCGCAGATGGCCCATAGTAACAGTGCCCTAGCGATCTGATTGATTCCTATAATAAATAATTTTGGAAAACAAATGCTTTCTTATCATGCAGCATGTTCTAAAACCATTCCTGTAAGTAAACTTGAGATAATGTGTTTTTTGAGTTCTTACTTCCTTCTCACAGCTGCTACCATGAAAGCAGTTATCCTTTCCACTCTGCCCCCAACAACAACAATAAAAGCTCTCTTCTATGTCTCTAATTGAAATAACTTACAAAAATATAAGGGAATTTGAATGAGAAAATAATAGAATGATCCCTAGGAAAGGAAAAGTAAGGCAATATTTCAAATCCTCACATTTAGGGAGAGAATTGGTGGGAGGGGAGACTACAGAGCTAAAATTGAGTAGCTAGTTCTCAATGAGAGCTCAAGAAAGTAACAGAGAGGAATGGAAATAAGGCTGAAATGAATAAATGAATAAGCAGTAAGTTGAAAGACCCATAAGAACAGCTATTCATCCCCCCTTTACATCCAAACAAATAAAACTGGCTTTAATGATTCAATAATCCACAGTGAGGACGATGGACATTATTTTGTTATATTTATCTCCCTTTGAAATTTACCAAATTTAATAAGATTGTACCAATTTTTACTTTCAATCAAAGGAAATCAGATATAAATACATATATATATTTTTTTCTATTTTACTGATTTCATCTATACATCATACATTTACACCAAGTCTAACACTCTTTCTAGAACAGAAGCAATCTGTGGATGTTCATTAGGGTTGTCAAAGTACCCCTATTCAGGAGAAAAAAAAAAGTTATTTCTCCCTCCTGACTCTTTTCCCTTTTTTCTTCCTTTCTTCCTTTTTTTCTTTTGTTTCATTCCAGAACGTGTACTGTTTGCCAATATGTCAGTGTATATGTCTCTATATAATGCTGATTGTAACTTAATTTTCCTCTGTAGCTAACAGTTTTATCCAAGGAAATTTAAGAACAAACCAAGCACAATAATGTCTTAGTTCATTCAGGCTGCTATAACAAAAATACCATTGACTAGATGGCTTATACAACAAACATTTATTTCTTGCACTTCTGAAAGCTAGGAAGTCCATGATCAAGGTGTAAACAGATTCAGTGTCTGGGAAGAACCTGCTTCCTGGGTCATAGATGATCTTTTTTCTATGTCTTTACATGGCTGAAGACAAAAGAAAGCTCTCTGGGGTCTCTTTTGTAACAGCATTAATCCCACTTAGAAGGATCTATCCCCATGAAATACTCACCTCCTAATACCATCTCATTGGGGGTTAGAATTTCAACATATGATTTTTGCAGGGACACAAACATTCAGTTTATAGCAAATGATTAGGTGGTGTCTCTCTACCCATGTTGATGTATTCTTAGAAGAAAGATGGAAATAATCTCTGCTAGTTTACTTAGTGTGAAAACAAACAAACAAAAAATCTCCCACCCTGTGCATAATAAAAGAAGTACTGGTACTTTTCTGGGTTCATAGAAGAGCCAAATTATGAGACAGAAGCAGCCATGGTAATGCTATGTTTTCCAATGGCTTGCCAAAATATTTTACATACCGAAGTTTGTATTGTTGTGACATGAGAAGTGATAGAGTCAAATCTAGATTATCAGCACCACCTCTGGACCTTTCTATATGATGGAGGCCTTGACCTTTCCATCTTCAACACGGTCATTTTAATCCTCCTCTGTGTACTCTGAACCTCCTAAAACAACAGATGGCTCTAAGTTAGTATAGTAAATTAATATTCCTTATGTACTATTTCACACCAAATTTTACTTAGTATTTTATCGATGTTCAACATTTGTTATTATCTTAGAACTTTTACAGAGAAATTATTTCATGTGTAGCCTCTGACTTATACAAATAATGTTCTGATTTTATCTTCACCTTTAAAAATTCATACATGCCAAAATACTTTTACATACCTCTTGAACTACAAGTTTAAGAATCATAAGTTTGGGGACACTAAATTTGAGGGGAAAATAGATTCTGAGGATCGCTGATCAGCCCTGAGACAGTTCTCTAACGCATTTCTCTGGACGCTAAGAATTACTAGTTTTCTGAACATAGTCCCTACTCATATAATGTCTACTGAGGGAGACATATATATAGTTTAAATATACTCAAGAATATTATTTAAAATTATTTAAATGTCACAAAAAGAAAAATGATCCTGTCTAAATAATAATAATATTACTAACTTTATGTTAAAATTTCTGAGGAAATGGTAATTAAGTTAGTATCTTAAAGACCTTAATTACCTTAAACATACTTAATTCAATAAGAATTAGCTAGTGGTAATTATTGGCTAAAAGAAGGGCACAAGGGTTGAGGTGAATTTATTCATATGGGAAGAAAAGGCTTATACAAATTTTCTGATAGGCAAAAGAGGTACTAGTACATTACAGAAACTGAAATTAGATTTTTTCAGTTGAACAAGTAGGGGAGTCATGTGAACAGAATTTAAATTTAGAAGCATGAGGCAAATTACACAGTTCTTTAGAGACATGTTAATGAACCACATTTTAAAACTTCCAAATAATAGGAGAAGTCTTTGGTACTAATTATGAATTAATGGTATAAAATACTTAATTTTAAAATAACATTTTGCTTGTCATGTGGATATTGAATGAAAGGGTGTTACATTTTTTTCTCTCTCCAGTCAATGTAAAAAAATAAAATTCCCTTTGTGAGTGCGCTACAAGAAAAAGCAACAATGGCAAACATGTTTCTTAAACCAGAGGGAATGTATTACATTTCTCAAAAATAAAAGCCAAAATACACAATGCTGTATCAGAAATACCATACACACTAGCCAAAGATAAGAACAATAGTTCTCAACTGGGGGCAGTTTTGCCACCCAAGGGAAGTTCGGCAATGTCTGGAGATGTTTTTGACTCTGATAACTTGGGAGATGGATGTTGCTACCAGCCACTGAGTAGAAGCCAAAAATGTTGCTAAACATCTTACAAGGTACACTATAGCTCTCCACAACAAAGAATTTTCCACTCAGAAGTGTCAATACTACTGAAGTCAAGAAACTGTGCTGTTTATTATCAAGACCATCACTGTACTATTAGTATCTTCCCATGAACTCTCTCTTCTGTAACCATTTCCTGGTCATCAAATGACCAGACCAGGATTATTCCAAGGTTGAGGACAGCTTGGATCCTTCCACGATGAGGTAGACATGAATCTATAATGCAAAGCAATTTTCTGCTTGAATCAGTCATATTGTTTCTGCCAAAATTAAGCTCTGATAATCAAAATGACTAATGGTGAGTTTCAGTGTATAATATAATCAATTCTCATTTTTGAGTAAGAGACTAAAGTAAGCTGGAGTTCAGGCAGCAAGGAAATTCTTGGGTTAGCTGCACCATGTTAGATGATGTTTGGCTGGCCTTGTGGTGAAGAGAGTGAGACATTGAAGAGATCAAATCAGATTTACCATTCAATGAAAAGTGTTTAGGGGGGTGTGTTTGTGTGTGTGTGTCTGTGTGTGTGTGTGTGTGTGTGTGTGAAATATTTGCAATAAAACACACCTTGTGAACCACTAACTACTATATGGCCTTTAATCTAAAATACATTGTTTTAACCTTGGGCTTAATAAGTACTTTATTTTCACTTTAAAAATAATAATTTAAAAGCCTATATATTCTATTGTGTCTCCAGGTCACAATAAATTGAAATGTAAATTCTAGTGTAAAATCCACTGCAGTAGTAAGAAAACAATCGCTATGGCAATGTAATCATGAGGTTCTGTATAGTGTATTGAAATGACATTTCAACTCTACAAGGTGACAACAACTTGTCACAGAGACCATGCTTGAAGTTCTCCCTTAGACCCAGTTCCAAATAGTTTAAGACTTGAACTGAACAAAGAGTAATGAGAAAATACATTTAAACCAGAGAATTCAGAGCCAAACACTTAGTCTATTTATACAGGAAGCATGTTAAAAGAACCAGGCTCACCAGGATAACAAATTCAGACTGTTTGAAGGCTGAAAGTTTTGAGTATGCATTAGAAATATTTTTTGAGGAAATAAAAAGAGAATTTTTACATCTTTGTACTCAGAGAAAATAATCAACTTTCCATTCAGTTTTTTTTGTACCATGAAAACAAACTTAACAAATACACAAATGGTTAGTTTTTGTATGCTACAGGTCAACATTCAATTGAAATTACTGATGGAGCCTGAAAATATAATAACTAAACTGATTTGAAAAACAATTCAGTAGAGATTTTCTTCTGCAAATAATTTTAGGACTAAAATAGTATTCATGATTAAGTCTGTCCTACCACTTTAACCTGCTGGATAAAACAGACCTATATATTTAAATCAGTTACTGTACGTTTTTAAAGACTCATTACAAAAGATTAAATGCTAAAAATAAAAATGCACTTATATATGTTTATTAAAAAATATTAATACTATTCCTAAATGACCAATATACATCATTTATAAAAGATTTTGTAAATATATAATGTAACAGCAAAACAAAAACTTAAAATAAAAACGTCATTAACTTGAAGCAATTATTTGCATAGGTATTTGTTGATATTTTTGAGTTTTTCCTTCTCCCACAACATATTTGGAAAATATTGCTCTCAACACTTTTCTAGCATCTATTTTTTAAATGCTTAATTGTTTTTATGTGATAATACCCTCACTTCTTTCAGGTCTACTTTAATATATTGATTGTTTCTATGAGAAGTGGAGGCCTGATATTTATTTTGGTTTCCAAAGACATTGTGATTATAATAAATGATTACTAAATGTTGACTAACTACATAACCTACAATGACAGATATTTAACTTTCCCATTCCAAATTCACTTATTACCTCTTTGCATTCTGCCATTGCCCCAAGAGGTGAATATTTATGAACTGCATCTACAAGCTCCCTTGTCCTCTGGCTTGAGTTTGAACAGTGGGAGAGACCAGAGGAGAGTAGGAGGCAGGAAGAGAGTGAGGTCAAGCTATTTTTAATTCTGGGTTCCTCTCTGCCAAAAATATTTCATCTGTTTTTATATAACTATTGTTTCTGGGGTTTGATAACTATTTATTCTTGCCTCTTCAGGCCTAGAAGTAGTAATGGTTCCCCACTGTTGCTCACTATCAGTTTTGCATTATCTGTGATAGGTTGCCAAATCTCGAGAGTTGTGAAAAATTGACATTGCTGATCAATCAAGAATTGTAGGATGAATCACCTAGTAAAGATATAATCTTATATGTACCCAATGACTCTTGAGATAGAGATGTTAGGAGCATATGTTCAAGTAGTATTGACAGTCAGATTTAGTTTGAAGACCAACGTTAAATTATATTCTGTCATTTGTGAATTTCTGCATAGAAAATAGAAATACAAGGTTCTCATTATGTTGTATTCTGACAGCTTTCAAATCCCTGCTTGGTTTTCTAGTAAGAAAAAGACAACTGAGAATATAAGGAGCCCAGTACATATTAAGTTCAATACCCTAAATATAACTGTCTGTGCAAGCCCTCACACAGATCATACTTTCTACTAATTAAGTAGAAACCAGACTTGTTTTCTCTATCTTTGCATCTAAGTATAATCATTTCCCAAGAGAGAAATTATCAAAAATGTTAGGTAATAATAATGATGGTAAGTCAAATACACATACACACATATTTCAAATCATAAGTGAACGGAACACAATTTTTAAGCCATGCCTTTAATGAAAGAATAGGCTTTTTTAATAACACATTTTTCTTTAACTCTTACATCAATCTGAAAAGTGGTCATCACTAAAAAAAGGTTTGATCAATGCTCACCATTCCTTTTTTTTTTTTTTTTTTTTTTAAGACAGAGTCCTGCTCTTTCACCCAGGCTGGAGTACAGTGGCGTGATCTTGGCTCACTGCAAGCTCCGCCTCCCGGGTTCACACCATTCTCTTGCCTCAGCCTCCTGAGAAGCTGGGACTACAGGTGCCCACCACCACACCTGGCTAATTTTTTTTTTTGTATTTTTAGTAGAGACGGAGTTTCACAGTGTTAGCCAGGATGGTCTCGATCTCCTGACCTCATGATCCGCCCGCCTCAGCCTCCCAAAGTGCTGGGATTACAAGAATGAGCCACCATGCCCAGCCTATGCTCTACCATTCTTTATAATGCAATGATTAAAAACAGAAATTTTGAATAAACTAAATGAGAATGTTCAATTCTTTGCTTTCCTAATGGCAGTTCGGAAATTCCAGGTCAGTTAACTCACATCTTCCCACTAACAATTTTCTCATAAATAGAATGAAGATAAGCATGGCTATGTCAGAGATATAACAACTCTTTAAGATAACGTGTATCAAATGCTCAGAACAGTTACTGTAACAAATACATAGCTGGACAAATGGCAATAAACATGATTGTTATTTCTGGTTTTGCTATGGGTTTCTTCACCATGCCAGGGATCAGCAGATTACCTCCTTCTCTGGGTATGGCACTTTCCTCACAGATTAAAAACACTGTTTACCTCAGGCTTTCACATTCCCTGGATCTTGGCAATTTAGGACAAAGCTAAAACCAAAGATATATTTAAAAAGCATCCCTCAGAAACTTCCCTCAAAGTTTCTCTAAGGTAACAGATTCTAGAGACCTCAAGATTTTCCAATTTGCCTTTGAATATCTACTTTATGTTTTCACTTTAAAAATATGCATTAAGCCTCAGTTAGGCTAAAAATTCTGGCTAAAGTAGCAATAAATTGATTACAAAAGCATAAACCATCAAGGACAAAACATAGAGAAAAGGAGACAGTAACATCAAAAATTTGAAGGCTAAACAGTAGATGGATCAGTAGTAACTTTTAGATGTAATTAGGTAATTTTTGGTTTGATATGGTTTGGTTGTGTCCCCACCCAAATCTCATCTTGAATTGTAACTCCCACAATTCCCACATGTCCTGGGAGGAACCTGGTGGGAGCTAATTGAATCATGGGGGTGGATCTTTCCCATGCTGTTCTCACGATAGTGAATAAGTCTCACGAGATCTGGTGGTTTTAAAATCGGGAGTTTCCCTGCACACACTCTCTCTTTTGTCTGCTGCTATGCATGTAAGATGTGACTTGCTCCTCCTTGCCTTGTGCCATGATTGTGAGGCCTCCCAAGCCATGTGGAACTGTAAGTCCAATAAACCTCTTTCGTTTGTAAATTGCCCAGTCTCAAGTATATCTTTATCAGCAGTGTGAAACGGACTAATACAATAAATTGGTACCAGTAGATTGGAGCACTGCTAAAAAGATATCTGAAAATGTGGAAGCGACTTTGGAACTGGGTAACAGGCAGAGATTGGAACAGTTTGGAGGCCTCATAAGAAGATAGGAAGATGTGGGAAAGTTTGGAACTTCCTAGAGACTTGTTGAATGGCTTTGCCCAAAATGTTCATAATGATATGGACAATACAATCCAGGCTGAGGTGGTCTCAGATGAAGATGAGAAACTTGTTGGGAACTGGAGCAAATGTGACACTTGTTATGTTTTAGCAAAGAGAATACAAGCATTTTGCCCCTGCTCTATTTGTGGAACATTGAACTTGAGAGTGATGAATTACGGTATCTGGCAGAAGAAATTTCTAAGCAGCAAAGCATTCAAGAGGTGACTTGGGTGCTATTAAGGGCATTCAGTTTTAAAAGGGAAACAGAGCATAAAAGTTTGGAAAATTTTCAGCCTGACAATGCAATAGAAATGAAAATCCCATTTTCTGATAAGAAGTTCAAGTGGTGTACAGAAGTTTGCTTAAGTAATGAGGAACCAAATGTTAAACTCCAAGACAATGGGGAAAATGTCTCCAGGGCATGTCAGAGACATTTGCAGAAGCCACTCCCATCACAGTTCTGGAGGTTTAGGAGGAAAAATGGTTTCCTGGGCTAGTCCCAGGGTCCCTCTGCTGTGAGCAGTCTAGGGACTTGGTGACCTATGTCCTAGCTGCTCCAGCTGTGACTAAAAGGGGCCAAAGTATAGCTCAGGCTGTTGCTTCAGAGGGTGGAAGCCCAAAGCCTTGGCAGCTTCCACGTGGTGTTGAGCCTGCAGATGCACAGATGTCAAGAATTGAGGTTTGGGAATCTCTGCATAGATTTCAGAGGATGTATGGAAATGCCTGCATGCCCAGGCAGAGGTTTGCTGCAGGGGAAGGGCCCTTAAGAAGAACCTCTGCCTGCTTGGGCAGTGCAGGAGGGAAAAGTGGGGTCAGAGCCCCCACACAGAGTCCCTACTGGGGCACCGCCTAGTGGAACTATGAGAAGAGGGTCACTGTCATCCAGACCCCAGAATGGCAGTTCACCAACAGCTTGCAACGTGGGCTTGGAAAAGTTGCAGACACTCAATGCCAGCCCATGAAAATAGCCAGAGGGAGGCTGTACCCTGCAAAGCCACAGGGGTGGAACTGCCCAAGACCATTTAGAACACACCTCTCGCATCAGCATGACCTGAATGTGAGACATGGAGTCAAAGCAGATCATTTGGGAGATTTAAGATTTGACTGCCCCACTGGATTTTGGACTTGCATGGGCCTGTAGCTCCTTTGTTTTGGTGAATTTCTCACATTTGAAATGACTGTATTTACCCAATGCCTGTACCCCCATTGTATCTAGGAAGTAACTAACTTGCTTTCAATTTTACAGGATGGAAAAACAGGTGGAAGGGACTTGCCTTGTCTCAGATGAGACTTTGGATTGTGGACTTTGAGTTAATGTTAAAATAAGTCAAGACTTTGTGGGGGCTGTTGGGAAGGTATGATTGATTTTAAAATGCAAGGACATGAGATTTGGGAGGGCCGGGGGTGTAAAGATATGGTTTGGCTATGTCTCAACCCAAATCTCATTTTGAATTTTAACTCCCACTATTCCCACATGTCATGGGAGGAACCTGGTGGGATGTAATTGAATCATGGGAGCAGGTCTTCCCCATGCTGTTCTTCTGATAGTGAAAAAGTCTCATGAGATATGATGGTTTTAAAAATGGGAATTTCCCTGCATAAGCGCTCTCTTTTGTCTGCTACCATCCAGGTAAGGTGTGACTTGCTCCTCCTTGCCTTCTGTCATGATTGTGAGGCTTCCCCAGCCATGTGAAACTATAAGTCCAATAAACCTCTTTCTTTTGTAAATTGCCCAGTCTTGGGTATCTCTTTATTAGCAGCATGAAAACAGATTAACACAGAGTCCTCTAAAGGCTCAGAAATCAGTGGCACCAAGTCCCATGAATGAAATGATAGTGAAGGGAAAACAAAACAAAACAAACAGGTGGATTGGTTGAAAATGTGTTTATAGGCGGGTTGCAGTGGCTCATGCCTGTAATCCCAGCACTTTGGGAGGCTGAGGCGGGCAGATCACCTGTGATCAGGTGTTCGAGACCAGCCTGACCAACATGGTAAAACCCCATCTCTACTAAAAGTACACAAATTAGCCGGGTGTGGTGGGCACCTGTAATCCCAGCTACTCATTGCTTGAACCTAGGAGGCAGAGGTTGCAGTGAGCCGAAATTGCACCACAGCACTCCAGCCTGGGCGACAAGAGTGAGACTGTCTCAAAAAAAAAAAAAAAAATGTGTATAAGGCAATTGAACATCAGGATTTCCTTACCAACTCTGCATAGGTATTGACTGCTAGTTTTCTACCATGATGTAAAACCAGAAGAGCGGGCTCTGGAGATGATAAAACCAAAGTTCTCTGTGCTTCAGAAGTTGGAAAATTAAACTGAAAACAACATAACTACGTAGGTTGCCTACTGAACATGGAGGCCTCTAAATCCCTTCCTTTATTAGTATCCTGAAGCACTGGCAGTTTTATCCTCTACAAAGAAGATAAACATAGTCCTCTGTGGGTAATCTAACCAGTCAAACATGACATCAGTGAATGCTGCATTGAGATAACTTGTATAGTATACACCATCACACAGTGTTGCCACCATAGATTTACAATAGACATAAATGGATTCAAAAATATAGATAATAATAAAATTATAGTAAAATAGAGGAATTGGTGATTTTTTTTAGTATTTTTACCTGTTTCTGTGATAACTTACTTAAGGATAGGTTAATATAATTTAAAATCATTAATATAATGGCTACTTTTACAACTTGCTTTCAAAACATCTAAAAATTCAACAACCAACTCTAAGTCAGTATGAGCTGACTCCAGGATGCCACAGTTTATGTCTAGAACAACTAGGCGTTTTGTAATCTTCATGTTAAGTCTTCTGCTACATTGTCCAAAATATAAGTCCTAATTAAGCCTCTAAAAAATTGGGCTGATAGTTTTCTAAAGAAATTTTTTTTTAACATATCAAGAGTTTACTTACATCCAAAGAAATAAACATCCTGCACTTGGCAGGATAAAGAAAATTGGATAAATCACTTTTTTCCTAATGATTTGTATTATCTCAAGAAATACATAACATTAGTCACGTGTATATGAAATGAGTAGGATTTAAAAAATCAGTCAAATTCAATGTATTCAAATGACCATAAAGACAATTTTTTATTTAAAGAAAAGCCTTTCTCCGGGCAATTGATGAGTTCTATGTGTACATTCAGTAGTTCAAATGTAATGAAAGCAATGTTTTTCTTTTCATTTGCTGGGTAACTTCCACAATTAAAATAATGTATTTTTTATTAAGGTACGTATTAAACAAATGCATGCATTACATTATCTATTTGAAGACTTTCCATCAGAATAAACTATTATATATTTTCACCTAAAGAATTTAAAAATATTACAATCATGAAACCTATTCAACAAAAAAGTTTGTGAATTATGCATTTTTAAAAAGTAAAATAAGTTTACTTACTTTTACTTTTTCTTTTAAAAAGAAAATAAGCAGTAACTCACAGTGACTTACTGCCTGGCCGGTAGACAACAATAATATGAAACCTTAAATACCAGACTGTCTGGCTCACAAATGGACCTTGACCACACAAGCAGAGGCCAGGGGTGACAAACTATGTTATCAGGATAGCAAAAATACAGCAATAAATATAGCTATCATTTACTGAGTACATCAGCTAGGCATTGTGTCAGGTGCTATATATGTCTTTTTTCTTAATTTAATCTTCCCAAGAGTTGTAGAAAAAACATTAGTCTCTTCAGAAGATATTAAGACTCATAAAAATTAAGCAATTTGTCCACGATCAGACAATTATAAATAGACATAACTGGGATTTTGCTAATCTGACATCAAAGTCCACCAACTTTTCTGTCCTCTATGCTTATATTGATACTCTTCATAGTTATTGCTAATTATTGCACCAGTTTAGTTTATTATATATATCGTAGTTCTTCCTTTTGCAAACATTATACTTTTTCCAGGAACCTTTGACACATACTGAAATACACATGACTTCCACTCACACTCTTTATCCTTTGGAATGTTTCCATCTCTTGTGTCCTCTCAATGCCAATAAAAAAGACATCTGAAACTTCTCCTCATATGAGAATCGCCTCTTTATCACCAGAACAACTATAATCTCTCCCATCTTTGCACAATCTATATGCATGTGTCACATATGCTCATGTGTTTATTAGTTTTATTTATCAGTGATTCTTAAAGTATAGCACTTGAATACACAATATCCACATCACCTAGGTACTGATTGGAAATATAAAATTTTAGATCTCACCCTGACCTCATTACTTGGAAACTCTGGGGGTTTGCCCAGCAAAGTGAGTACCTCCAGATGATTCTGATGCATGACAAAGTGTAAGAACCACTGTATTAGAGAATATAAGGAACTTATCCTTTCTTACCTATATAATACACACATATACATATCAGTGTGCATTTTTGGTGTCTTTATAGTCTTAGGTTAATATTCTGTTATGATTAAAGTGATAGCTTATACCCTTGCAGGAAGAAAAAGTTCTTCCATTGAAGGAGGGGATCTTCCAAAGTGAAATATCACAGGAAAGTGCCAATTCTGGAATAGAAAAGGAAACTAGCACAGTAGGTCACAAAAAGACAAAAGGCTCTAAGAATACCAGTCCTAATTGGCAGAATACGAAGATACGGGGAAAACTGGCCCCTATGCGCCTCACCCAGGCAGGCCAAAATCTAATCACCAAGCTAGACACTGGTTCCCTAACCTAGATAAAAAATTCAAAATCTCCTGGTACCTTAATATAAGAGGAATTTCCTACACTTAGGAGATTCAAATTTGGTAACACTAGCATCTAGCTTTACAACATGTACTACACATGATTTTGATGTGATTTGAGAACCACAAGTAAGGATGAGGCAATATGTTCCAGAAAGCAGCCGCCTGGAATGAGACACTAAAATTGCAACTTAGTATTTATCTCTACTAGGTTATCCCTGAGGCTTCAGTGATGAACTGTTTAGAAAGAATAACCTGATCTGACCTAGGATTAAGGAAAATATTTGTTTCCATATTTAGGGCAACTCTGTAAGTTACCTTAGGGGTGATTAGGGAGCAAGCTCTATGAGGCAAAAGATGCTTTAAACAAATAAAGACTGTGCTTCGAGTGTTGATGGTTTTTATAAAAGGTAGTGACGAATTATAGTCTTTCTCCCCTTAAACATGATATGGATTTTCTTGAAAGCAGAAATGATGCTTTCGTGTTGTTGTTGTTATTGTTGTTGTTGCTGCTGCTGCTGCTGTTGCTGTTATTTTGAACAAATTTCAATATGTAACAAAACTTGCATGCAACAGAGAGAGCAGTGAGACCCAATAATGATTAAGGGTCTACCTTGTGCAGGCACCTTTAAAAATTTTTACTTCCAACTTTTATTTTAAGTTCCGGGATACATGTGCAGGATACACAGGTTTGTTATGTAGGTTAACATGTGCCATGACAGTTTGCTGCACAGATCATCCCAGCATCTATTAGCTATTCTTCCTGAAGCCCTCCCTCCTTCTATCCCCAACCCTCCAACAAGCCCCAGTGTGTGCTGTCCCCTCTCCACCATATGTGCGTGTGTTCTCATCATTTGGCTCCCACTTATAAGTGAGGACACACAGTATTTGGTTTTCTGTTCCTGCACAGGCACTTTTTAATATGCTTTAAATGCACCATCTTATTTGCTTCTCAAATCTCCTATTTTAGTTTCATTGTATGTAAAGGGCACTGAAGTTCCAAGAAGCTATAATAACACATCAGTAAGCAGCAAAACTGGATTTTAATCTTGTTGGTCTTAAACATAGTAGCTTATGTTTTTATCCATGAGATTAATTGAATCTTATTTATGTATTTATTTTAAAATATTGATATTTAAATAATGCCTTTAAATTATTAAAAGGCAAATAAATGACATGGTACAGCATGCACTATTGTATTCTTCTAAGATATTTGCTTTCTCCTATGGTATAGTGATAAGCTATACTTATAAGGCTATCCTCTGCTCCACTTTTCGAATCAACCCCCACCTGTACGTTATAGTATTTCATTTGGCTGCCAGTTAAACTAGTAAATAAGTAAATAAATTAGTGGTCTATACAAAATAGAAGTTTTTTTTTCTCTAATTTGCATGACACAGACTGAGAAGGTCATGTAGTGAAGTATCATGCTCCATATGGATCCTGTCAAGAACCCAGGCAACTTCTATGACCACTAGGGATGGCATTTCTCACAGTTCAAAATGGTTCCACGCTGTAGGCATTAGTTCAGAGAAAGAAAGAGAGATGAAAGCAAAGGAAGCTGTCCAGCAGCTAATATATAAAGCCTCTTCTAATGTCCTTTTCTTTCCTAAATTCAGTCATATGACCACATCTAGATGCAAGAAATGCTAGCAAATGAAATCTTCATTCTATTGTCATTGTATTTCCAACAAAAATTCCGGTAATGGAGGAAGGGAAAACAGATATTGAGAATAATCATTAGCCTATAAGACATGATCTAATTGCCATTTGGAAAAAGACCAAAATTAAAAATGAAAGCCTTTCCCAACATGCATTGTCGTCATCCTCTTCAAATTCTCATTTTATGTCGAGTTGAAACTAATATTGCTGAAGAAACCTGAGGCTATACCTAAAGGAGACAATTCAATGAACATAAAGCAAAGGTGTCTCCTTGGAGCAGAAACATGTAATTTAAGAAATATTAATCGTACTATTTAGCTTTTTTCTTTTAATATAATTCAAAATCTAAGCACTAAAATACAGGATGATAAATTGCCTGAATTTTTGCATTTTTGTATAACTGCATATTCCCTTTATAACAAGAAATAATTATTGGAAGTTTAATCTTAGATAACTATATATATATATATATATATATATATATATATATATATATATATGGAATCATGTAATTTACCCAAATTTGGCACACTGTTAAGAATAACATGGGACTGTTTCTTTGCACGTGTTTAACACAGCTTTTGGCACTATTTTGATTAAGTATTACTACAATAAATGTTGTAACACTACTTTCCAAGAGAGGAAATAAAAGATAAATTCTGTGTGCCTTTTGGGACACTTAACAGAGAAACAAATTAAAGGACATTCCAGTCCAAGTGTGTGCTGGCAAATGGAAAAGACAAATGATCAGAATGAGACAAAATGAGGAAATACAGCATTTTCCAACACTCATTACATGGACTAGAACTATGCCGTTGGCAAAATAAATAAATAAATAAAATTGCAAAATTCTGGAAAAAAGAAGGAGCGCAAATTGCCTCAGTGTAGGAAACTTCTGATAACCTTCAATATGCAGACAGGTATTATCTTTCACCATAAGTGCACAGATGGAGTGATTTTCAAATTATTTGAGTTTAGAACATTATTCCTCAAAATAAGTATTATACTAGTTTTTATACTAGTTAGCTCTTGATAGGACATCTTTTCAGAAAATATTCACTTGGGAGCTTTACATATCACTGACAATTGCTCATTTTACTTCATTTAAGCTGACTACTAAAAATCTCTTCCTATCTCAAGCAAGAACTCCATCTTTGGCTCCTCAGAGACCCTACTGCATGAGCATCCTTGCTGAAATTCTTTCTCACATGTTTCATGGACCCCCTTTTGTTCTGCCCTTTCTTTCTAACCCCTAATTATTTGTCAACATTTTCCCGAAAAACTGTTGTTGACTCTATATTCAATACCTAAATATATTTCTTTCTACAAGGAAGATGTATGTGACAAAAGTTCAAAATCTGAATTTAGGAGGAAACAAGTGAAAATAATCCACACTCTAGCTGGACTGAGATGATGTGGCCTGACGGGAGGCTGAGTGGCAGGTTAGATGTCACCAACAGAAAATATGCATAATAAGACCAGTGCCTAGTTCTGCTTGTGACATCAGATGTGATAAGAGTGCATGAGAAAGTGAAATATGAGAAGCTTGTTGTAGATACACGCATGTGCACTCATTGGCATGATTCCTTTTTCTCGTTCTATACTAAGGGTTATGTTTTCTGATTTTTAATCATTCCTTAAATATGAACCATGAGGCTGGGTGCAGTGGCTCACACCTGTAATCCCAGCACTTTGGGAGGCCAGGACGGGTGGATCACTAGGTCAAGCGATCAAGACCATCATGGCCAATATGGTGAAACCCCATCTCTATCAAAAATACAAAAATTAGCTGGGCATGGTGACGCGAGCCTGTAGTCCCAGCTACATGGGAGGCTGAGGCAGGAGAGTCATATAAATATATATATACCATGAAAAAACATTAACAGCATCAACTTATACTGAAATATTGCAGAATTAATTCTATTGGCAATATGTATGTGGGATGTGTTTAATGTGAATTGAAGAATAACATGAGAGGTGTTTATGAGATAAAGTTATTTTTCAAAATATATGTATTTATTTATTTTTATATATACTGATTTAGCAAGTAATAAATGAGTGACTAATATGGACCTAACACTATGTTAGATGTTATGGAAAGAAGATGAGACAGACATAGCCAGTGCCCACAAAGACTTCTAATGCACTGTGTGTTGAAGGGTGAGAGCCAAGTATAAAGCTAGGTATCATGGAATGTGACAAACTTGTTATGTTGATGTTTTAGTCCATTCTCACATTGCTATAAAGAAATACCTGACTGGGTAACTAAAAAGAGAAGATGTTAAATTGGCCCATGCTTTCACAGGCTGTACAAGAAGCATGAGGCTGGCTTCTGGGGAAGCCTCAGGAAACTTACAGTCATGGTGGAAAGTGAAAGGGTAGTAGGCATGTCAGGAGCAAGAGAGAGACAGAAGGGGGGAAGTGTTACATAGTTTTAAATAACCAGATCTTGTGAGAACTCACTCACTATTACAAGGACAGTACAAGATGGATGATGTTCAGTCATTCAAGAGAAACTGCCCCCATGATCCGGTTACCTCCTAGCAGGCCCAACCTCCAATATTACAGATTACAATTTGACATGATGTTTGGTAGGGGCACAGATCCAAACCATATCAGTTGATATAGTGGTGACCTGAATAAAATGTTACTGAAGCACAGTGACAGTAGGGAAAATAATTAATTTTGCTGAGGCAATGAAGTAGATCTGCAAGTTTCTGCAGAGACGATAACAACTGACCTAAGCTAAAGACTTAATTCCTGAGAGGAGACAGTATGAGGATTGAATTGGAGGGATAAATGTAAATGAACTTTCTGAGATAAGCAATTCTAGCAAAATAATCTAGCAAAATTTCTCAACACCCTAAGTCCTTTGCATTTTTTAAACAAACGAATGTATGAGTAAATGGATGACTAAATGAAACATAGATGGCAGGTGGTCGGGAGGAGGATGACTGGTATAGTGAAATAGACAGATGCAACTCAACATCTGAAGGACTCCACTTGCCATGAATTGTAAAACTCAGTCTAACCTCTGAAATCAATGGGATATCTATGTGCAACCAGAAAAATAAACAAACACAAAAGCTAGAAACTGACCTTATGCTTTACCTAAAAATTGATTCAAAATAGATAATAGACCAAGATGTAAAACACAAAATTATAGAACTTCTAAAAGGAAGCATAAGAGAAAATGTACATAAGCTTAGGTTTGATGATAAATTTTAAATACAGCACCAAAAGCATAATACACTAAGGAAAAAACTGATCAGCTAGACTTTATTAAAATTAAAAATATCTTCTGTTCTAATGACCTTGTTAAGAAAAGCATCAAGCCACAGCCTGGGTGTGGAAGGGAATTGAAAAATATATATCTGAAAAAACTTGTATCCAAAATATAAGAATATTTAAAACTCAAAATTAAGAAAGCAAATAACCCTCATTAAAGTAGTACAGAATATCTGAACCCACATCTCACTAAAGAAGATATAAACATAAATAAACAAAACAATTGATATTCAACATACTTTGTCACTAGAGGAATGAAAATTTAAAAAACAATGTAATACCATTGTATACTTGTAGAATGTTAAAAATTTTAAAAACCAAAATGGACAGTGGCAATGGCTGGTGAGGATGCAAACAACAGGTACCCACTCTCAATCATTTCAGCCATTGCTGGTTGGAATGCAAAAGACTTCAGCCACTTTGGAATACAATTTGGCAGTTCATTATAAAATTAAAGTAGTCTAGATAATATCAAGACTCTGAAAAGCGGATGAAGTGAAATTATTGGGACACCTTGAAAAGGAACCAATATGTTCATAACTGACCTTCTTACTCCAACCTTGAGATCAGAGAGTGAATTTCACTTAGCTAATTCAAGCAGGGAGGGATTTATTATATAGCATTCGGTAGAGTACAGAATCTTGGAAAGGCTAGAAAAAGTGACTCAGGACTGAGCTTCCAAGAAGAACTTTGGTGGAGGTGCTGGAGGGAAGCCTAGAACCCCAATACTTCAGTAACAGTCAGAAAACAGCTTCCACCAGTACTGAGCCAAAAAGGGCAGTGCTCCTGCTATTCCCAGGGACAGTGGGAAAAAGCCACATGCCCACCTTTTCTGTGACATAATTTTGTTAGCAACCAGTATCTCTGGGTGTATTTGAGTGGTATAATCTAAATCACATGATAACATACCAGCTCCCTAGTGGAAAGGGAAACTGGGAATAAAAGATTGGTTTGTTTATTTGTTTTTTCTTTGTTAGTTTGAAGGCATTCTGAGAAACTGAATGTTCTCATGATGTAACATGCAGTTACATTGTAAACAGAGTATTCAAAAATTAAATGTAAACAGGCTATTCAAAAATGTTTGAGTGACTTAAAGTAACTGATATCCTTACTTAGACACTAAATGTATGAGAATGAGAGTCATAGCGAAATAATAACAACTATGAAATTAGAGTTGGGGTAAAATGTCATTAATTTAAAGAGGGATAGATGGCAATTATTTTTGATTTTTAGTAGTGTAGAAGCCAGTGAGCAGGGAAGGAGGAAAAAGAGGAGGATTTAGTGTGTCCTATGTAAGGCAGTCTAAACTTTTTTTGCAACTGTGCCTAGTTATTTTATTATGATTTTTTCAGAAATGAGGGTCTCACTATATTGCCCAGGCTTGTCTGTAACTCCTGGCCTCAAGTGATCCTCCTACCTGAGCCTCCCAAAGTGTTAGGATTACAGGTGTGAACCACCACACCCAGCCCCTAACATTTAACTGAAAAAAAATCCTTTTAGAATTTGTACCTCCACCTTCCCAAAAACTAGAGCCCAAGCTTGTAGAATACATATCTAATACAATCAGCGTGGACTCCGTTTGAGTATGTGATGTCCAAATAAAAGAGAAAAATCTATATTTTGATGTTCTTTTAAATAAAAGCACAGAAATCATATTGGTTGAAGAGTGACTATTTTTTGACATACTAATATGGCATAAATAAATCAATTTTGCTGCTGAAAACTAATCTGACACACTTTGATATATTCATTAGATAAAGTAATGCTGTATTAAACTTTAAAGAGGTGAATGTGTAACTGTCACTAATGTTTATAGTTACATGTGATTTCCTTCTATCTTGAATTTTTTTTTGAGTTAAGGTAATAAAGCATTTTGGATTCATTAACCAATGTCAAAAGAAATTTCCCCTAGTAGAATTTCTGTTAGTCAGAAATTTAAGGGGAATTGGTGTTTAGAAAAATGATTGGTTTTATTTCCAATAATAAATATCTGCTGGTGCATTTCATAATGTGAAATTTTGCACTGCTGAAATCATTCTTTTCATTCAAGTCTCTAATAAGACAAAATATTTTAAAATTTGAATTGGATTTTCCTTTTAGGTCAGAATAGCCCTTAAAAATTCACCACTTGGCCAGAATGATTACCCTATGTAAAATATACATGACAAAGAACATATAAATACAGTTAATATATAAAACCTATGCAATATCAGAATATCCAACTAAAGTGACATCATAAAAATTTTCCAGAAAATGCCAGCTATGATAAATTCCATTTTTACTGTTAAAACTTTATTTTGGGGGCTAAAACTCACTATAAGGTAATGGTGGCTTTGGGGCCCCAAGCCCATAAATCTGTGATAAATTAGATATGCATCACTTACATTCCAGGGTTCTTGGAAAATCCTTATCCTTAGGGTGGTTACGGTAGGTCACACAGACACACATATCTATTTTAAATTATAGAATTTCCACGTGTATAATAACTTAGAAGGCCCTAAGTAAACTACCTTAACTCCTTGATTCTCATGCTCAAGTATTTGAAACCTTAGATTTACAGCAGCTAATCAGTTAGACAAATATTGTGCTTTAAAACAAACAAAGCCACAATAACAAAAACAGAGTCAGAAGTTATGTGTCAGTGCCCAGCCTGCAATAACTGATGCTGAGACAGTTTTACTGGAATGTTATCCATTTCACTTGAAAGGGTCAGTGCTGCTAGAGACAAAAATCACACCTCCTAAAACAGGAAATAATAATAGTTTGCTTTAGACCGAGAATATTGTCATTTTGTCAAGGGTACTGTTTTCCAAAAGAGAAGCTAGGTCCAGGCAGTCAGCGTACTCTAACAATTAGCCTAATAAAATAAGAAGCAATTAAAGTACTTTTTGTTCTTCTGAATCACAGAAATACCAAAGTGAAGAGGATTTCCAGGAAACCTGAGACCTTTTCTAATAAAACTCTAATTTGAAGCTCTCGTTTATAATGAGGCCAAAGCTGAAAATATTTGTTAGTTTAAACTCTCTGAAATACTTCAGAAAAAGTTTTAATTATTTATTAAAAAAATAGCCACACATAACATTAGATTTAAACAAAATTTATATTTTTCAATATTTGCATTCTGGAAGAAAATAAATAAGTAGATTTGTTAAAATAAAATGTTAAATTTCTATTCAAAAATCAAGGAAATTTTGTAAGAAAATTTTGAGATTCTTATTAAAGACAAACATTTTACTACTTAACAAATGCTCTTTTTAAGATGTTCAGTAATTTATAATTGATCATGAAATGTTACAATTCCATTCTGCCAATTATTTTGTGATATTTTTACTAAAAATTTCCTTTCGATGCATGGTCATAAAATTAGAGATAGGAAATTTTTACAATACTGGAATTACATTTATCATAAAAATTGAAACATATTCTTTTTCTATTTCCAATTTTTATCCAAGCAATAAATGAATATGGTAGAAATAAAATTGTACAGAAGAGTTTATAATGTGCCCTATATCTCTCAAACACAAGACCTCCTTCTCTGTAGAAACTACTTTCAACTCTTGGTTTGGAGTTTCTTTTGGTAGTTAACTCCTTAACTTTCATAACCACATACACTTTAGTTATAATTTTATAATTTTAAAATTTGTTTTTAAAGAAAATATTTAATTCACACAATCCTCTTTCCCTTCCCTAAATTAGTATTTTTACTTCCAGTTCTTACTTCATCATCTCTACCTAATCTCTTTGATTAATCTCTACATTCAATTTTGAAAATCATAACACATCTCTCCTTTAACATATATCATTTACTTTATTCTGTCATATTTTTAGCCACACCTTTACTTTTAAATTGCCATAATCTATAGATAATATTTGCATTCTATTCTGTAATTATATGTATTCCAGTGCTGTTTTATTTGGAGAGACCTTCCCTAAAACACCGACTTCTCTCTTTCCCCTCCCTAACTTCTCACCAAATAAGAAAGGACTTATTTAATAGGCAAATCTGAGAGGAAAAACTAATGTAGTAAACGCATTTATTATTTTTCTCTTTGGGCCTCACCTATGCCCCTGAGAATGCACATCTGTGCTAAGTTTAGCAGGATAGAACTGGAGAGAAGCTAGGTAGGTATCCAGCATGGGCTGTAACTATTTAATTTTGAGGTGCAGCAATAGCAAACCCTCTTGTGTATCAGAACTAAGTCACATTCTCAACATGAGCTTTATCAATATGAGATAACCCTTTAATTTCATCTACATGACTCCTAACACAATATTTTTTACTGATTTTAAAATTTGTATAATTTATTAGTGATATCAAACATTATATCAAGATCAATAAGAAAAAACAGAAGGCAGGTCATCCTTGTGGCTGGTACGATTCCTCTTACTGAACAAACCTCTGCTATACTTTGTGGTAGCCTTGATAAATAGTGTATATGTGGATTTGGGGGAGTAAACAACACACTTACATAGATGTGTTGTCTGCAGTTAGTGGGGACCATGAGAGTTTTTGTTTTTGATCATTTCCAGGGGTTTAGGGTGTGATCTTTGGCTGGTTTTTGTAATTGTGTGGTTGGTTTTTAATAGAGACAGTCCAAATAGGTAGCTTTAGACTTTAAGTTTGGCTAACAAGCTATGAAGTATCTCTATCTTGGTGAACCCCTGCAGTTTATAGAGGTTTTGGCAGCAAGTCAGTAGATGTTTTAAACTGGGAGGGCTGCAGCCTCCAGCCTTAGCAAATTCAGCTTGTAAGAGTGACACAAAACTTAGTAAGCAGACGAAGATTTCATTTAGGGGAAACAATTTTTATATTAAAATCTGCAAGCCCCAAAAATGTTGGGAACAGGCCCCAAAATCTGGCCATAAACTGGCCCCAAAACTGGCAATAAACAAAATCTCTGCAGCACTGTGGCATGTTGGTGATGACCTTGACACCCACGCTGGAAGGTTGCTGGTTTACCAGAATGAGGGCAAGGAACACCTGGCCCACCAAGGGCGGAAAACTGCTTAAGGCATTCTGAAACCACAAACAATAGCATGAGCAATATGTGCCTTAAGGATATGTTCCTGCTGCAGATAACTAGCCCAACCCATTCCTTTATTTCAGCCCATCCCTTTATTTCCCATAAAGGAATAATTTTAGTAAATCTATAATCTATAGAAACAATGCTTATCACTGGCTTGCTGTCAATAAATATGTGCGTAAATCTCTGTTCAAGGCTCTGAAAGCTATGAGACCCATGATTTCCCACTCCACACTCTATATTTCTGTGTGTGTGTCTTTAATTCCTCTAGCACTGCTGGGTTAGGGTCTCCACGACCGAGCTGGTCTCGGCACAAAGAGGTAAAGTTTTTTCTTCTATTGTTTTCCTCTGTTAGATCTGCATAGGACTTTAGGACTTAAGTGGCAAAGGATATGATACAGAGCCCTGGTGAGATGCTAGCTTCAGATAATAATTTGTGGTGAATATAGACAAGCAATATTCAGTCATCTGCCCAAATTTTGTTCCTTTTGTATGTTGTTTGGAATTGCCCTCAAGGAACTTCAGAACAAGAAAGGAAAGGGTGGAGAGGTTCACTATAAATTTACGTAACTTATTTGCCAGATCTTTAGAGTTCCGCTACACACATGCACACACGTGTGCACACACACACAGACACATATGCATGCACGTGCACATACAGCTTTAAAACAGCTCCATACATGTAAGAACTGGGGGTTTATATTTCAGAGAATAAAATTGTCATATCTATATGCATAGAAAGATTCTGATGGTCTTGAACATTTAAAGGAAGGTTGCCAGTAGTTGAGTGAAGAAAGAGTGGATAAGGAGAGAGGGGACACACAGAGGAACTTCTAGGGTGAAGTAACAGTACTGTGGTAGTGAACTCATGATTTAACCTATTTGTCAAAACCCATCAAACTGTACATCACAAAGAGTAAACTTTAATGTATGTAAACCTTTAACAAATCAGCCAGGATCTTGGGGATTTCAGGATGGAATGCAGGCTATGGCAAATAAACTTATTTATATCATGAATATGAGGCAAAACTGTGCTGAAGGAAGTGAGGAGCAAAAAGAAGCTGACCTTAGTTTATTTGGAAAGCAATGTGTTTTTTTTACTGGAAGCTGTAAGACTAGAGACAAAAGGAAACATACATCAATGCTATACTTCATAAATTTGCTTCTCTTAGGTCCAGATTAATAGTTCTGAAACTGATTTACATGTATAATAGGGTTGATCAAATGAGAAAATAGATATTGGATAGTGGAAACTGCATTACTCACTGTCAGAGAGGGAATTTAAAGATAAACAAGAAAGAAGGCTAGAAAGGCCCCTGTGGTAACTGAATTGGAGTCAGAAACATTAGTATGAACGCATGATTAGCTTTGTGTGTGTGGGTGTGTGTGGGTGTGTGTTGTGTTTGTGCATGCGTGCATACACACTCCACCTCTTGTTGTCGACTGTGCATAGAACTTCATTTCTAAAAGAATGGAAGTTAACTTCACAGTGGAATAAGTTGATAAGGACTGCTCTAACTAAGTAATCACAGTTAACATGTCCAGCATCATTATGAATAAAAACATCAAACAATCTCAGATTGAGAGACTTTCTATAAAATACCTGACAAAACTTCTCAAAACTGCCAAACTCAGGAAAAACAAGGAAAGATGGATAAACTTTCACAGACCAGAGGAAAATAGAGAGACATGACAACGAAAAGCAATGTGGTTCTCTGAATGAGATCCTGGAAGGAAAAGATGACTTAATGGAAAAAGTAGTGAAACTCAAAGTCTGGGGTTTAGTTATGAGACTGACTAAATGTTCCATTGTGGGTTTCTCAGCTTTGACAAGTGTACCACAGTAATGTAAAATGATAACAAGAGTAAATCAGGTGAGGAGTACATGGGAAGTTTCAATACTGTGTTTCCAACCCTTCTGTAAATCTCAACTTACTCCAATTAAATGTTTATGAAAAATAAATGATGAGATACAGAATTTTTGGCAGAAGTTTTCATCTTAACTAGGCTTCCAAAAGCAATAAATATAGCTTCAGGTGAAGATTTTGTTAAGAGTGATTCTCCTGATTGGGGGGGAAATGTGAAGGGAAATCCTTCCCTAGGAGGCAGCGTTTATTGACCTAAGAAATTACACAGCAAGAGGCAGTGGAAACAACATTGTGTACTGAAGACATTTGCTCATGAGAAATTGTTACTAGTTGACTCCCATGGCAAATACAGCACTACAGTGTGAGAAAATTCGAGGCTTACAGTATAAATGAAAAATTAGAGGTTTGATAGAACTCTAGGAAATAAAAAGAAAGAAAGGAAAATCCTAAAAGTTTTTCACCTTTGCAAATTTGTAAGCTTTGCAAGAAGGCAGCAAATTCTCAATTGACTCTAATAAAATGGCATCTTACCCATTCCTGTATCTGGAGGTTTTATCTCCAGATACAGGAAATCCACAGGGTCAATGTTAACCTCTCATTTGGAGATACATCACGATGTAAGGTCAAGGTCATGGAACCTGAAGTACTGGCCCACATTGAAGGGCATCTTGGTGATGATAAATTGAATATTCTTCCAAAAGTCCTCTCCCTTTCCATACATGAGAATTTTTGCTACAGTGTTTGACACTAATTCTAGACATTGAACATATAGTTTTACCTGGGATAACTACTTTAGAAACTAGGCGCTTGGTTATCTACATTTTATGCTAATACTGCAGTAACTAATTTTGTCCTGGTAACTCTGATTTTTATTTCCTTAAATGAGACATAAAGTATTTTTTTATTATACTTTAAGTTTTAGGGTACATGTGCACAACGTGCAGGATTGTTACATATGTATACATGTGCCATGTTGGTGTGCTGCACCTATTAACTCCTCATTTAACATTAGGTATACCTCCTAAGGCTATCCCTCCCCCCTCCCCCCACCCCACAACAGTCCCTGGAGTGTGATGTTCCCCTTCCTGCGTCCATGTGTTCCCATTGTTCAACTCCCACCTATGAGTGAGAACATGTGGTGTTTGGTTTTTTGTCCTTGCGATGGTTTGCTGAGAATGATGGTTTCCAGCTTCATCCATGTCCCTGCAAAGGACATGAACTCATCATTTTTTATGGCTGCATAGTATTCCATGGTGCATATGTGCCACATTTTCTTAATCCAGTCTATCATTGTTTGACATTTTGGTTGGTTCCAAGTCTTTGCTATTGTGAATAGTGCCGCAATAAACATACGTGTGCATGTGTCTTTATAGCAGCATGTTTTATAATCCTTTGGGTATATACCCAGTAATGAATGGGATGGCTGGGTCAAATGGTATTTCTAGTTCTGGATCCCTGAGGAATTGCCACACTGACTTCCACAATGGTTGAACTAGTTTACAGTCCTATCAACAGTGTAAAAGTGTTCCTGTTTCTCCACATCATCTCCAGCACCTGTTGTTTCCTGACTTTTTAATGATCACCATTCTAACTGGTGTGAGATGGTATCTCATTGTGGTTTGGATTTGCATTTTTCTGATGGCCAGTGATGATGAGCATTTTTTCATGTGTCTTTTGGCTGCATAAATGTCTCTTTTGAGAAGTGTCTGTTCATATCCTTCGCCCACTTGTTTATGCAGTTGTTTGTTTTTTTCTTGTAAATTTGTTTGAGTTCATTGTAGACTCTGGATATTAGCCCTTTGTCAGATTAGTAGATTGCAAAAATTTTCTCTCATTCTGTAGGTTGCCTGTTCACTCTGATGGTAGTTTCTTTTGCTGTGCAGAAGCTCTTTAGTTTAATTAGATCCCATTTGTCAATTTTGGCTTTTGTTGCCATTGCTTTTGGTGTTTTAGACATGAAGTCCTTGCCCATGTCTACGTCCTGAAAGGTATTGCCTAGGTTTTCTTCTAGGGTTTTTATGGTTTTAGGTCTAATGAGGCATCATGCTACCTGACTTCAAACTATACTACAAGCCTACAGTAACCAAAACAGCATGGTACTAGTACCGAAACAGAGATATAGACCAATGGAACAGAACAGAGCCCTCAGAAATAATGCCACATATCTACAACTATCTGATCTTTGACAAACCTGTCACAAACAAGCAATGGGGAAAGGATTCCCTGTTTAATAAATGGTGCTGGGAAAACTGGCTAGCCATATGTAGAAAGCTGAAACTGGATCCCTTCCTTACACTTCATACAAAAATTAATTCAAGATGGATTAGAGACATAAAGTATTTAATGTTTGTTTTTTGTTAGTTCTTTCCTAGAAATAGAAGACTGGCTATGTCGTCTATGATGTTACCTGGCTTATAAGTATGTTAACCTAAACATATTATTTTTAGATTATAAGATAGCTTCTGGACATTAAGATACTCAGTCTCCAAATTCCAGAATGGAGAGGGCTATGCAGCCAGCAGTATCCAACTTCCAAGAGTACTCGTTCTTCCCAAATACTTGGTTCGGTTTATCTAGGGAAAAGTCTTGCTGTTTTCTGTCTGGGAGTCAAGTGCTAAGCTGCCAGCAGCATCCCGTTCTGCATATCCCATCACGGGTTGGGTTCTCCAGAAATAAGAATGAGTTTGCATGCAGTTAATGCAGGGTGTTTACTAAGAAGTATTGTTGGGATCAATACCAGTGGAAGAGAAGATGAGATCAGAGGATTGGACAGAGAGAAGCCTAACTTCAGTGGCAACTCCACAAGGAGCTCAGGATTGAAAATGGCCCATCAGATTTGCCTTGCATTGGATCAGAATAGCTGGCCATTTATACTTCTGCCTCAATGACCAGATGTGGGCTTACCTGGAAGAGTGTGACCATTCTTTTTTTTTTTTTTTTTTTTTTGCAGAGAACTGCAGTGGCAGCAGGAAGGGAGATGGAAATAAGAATTTTATGTTACCCTGAAAGGGAAGTGAGTTTTACCTCCCCTTCCCCCCACACCAATGGCAGGTGAAAACCTAAAAGTTTACAGTGAGTACAGGTATAAAGAACTGCCAGAGAATTTCTCTATTTATGGTCAAAGCAGCAGGAAAGACTTTCTCTGTGAGTCAGGGAACATGTAGGAAATCTCCTGTTGCATTTTTCTTCCTCTTTCCTTCTACCTTAACACCTGGGCAATACCATGGTAGCAGTGATATCAAAGTCATGACCATAAAAACAGGTAGTTACCTAAAACTCTGAAGAGGAGTGGACCATTCTTGTTGACTGGAGGAATTATAGTTTACCAAGCACTTTGGGAGGCCAAGGCGGGCAGATACCTTGAGCCCAGAAGCTCAAGACCAGCCTGGGCAACATGGGAAAACTTGTCTCCAAAAAAATTAGCCGAAAGTGGTGGTGCATGCCTGTAGTCTCAGACACGCAGGAGGCTGAGGTGGGAGGATTGATTGAGCCCAGAAAGGTCAAGGCTGCAGTGAGCTGTGATCCTGCCACTGGACTCCAGCCTGGGAGACAGAGTGAGACTCTGTCGCAAAACAAAAGAAAACAAAAAAGAGCATAAGGCAAATTCCTGTTGCTTTTTTTTGTTCTTACCCTGTCCTTGCGCTACAGGAACCGCCCCCTCCCCGCAAAGAAGGAAGTGCGTGACAGAGCAAGGAAACACAAACTAAAATAGAACACTAAAAAATGTTTAAATGATGCAACAAAGGTTGGAAAGGAAAAATAGAAAAACTAAAAACCAAGGAAAGTGTAGCAAATCAAAAAATTATAAATAATAAAATTTGGGGAGTAAATAAAACACATCGAAAATTACTATAAGTGTAAGTGGTCTAAATATGCCAATTAAAAGGTAGAAAGCATTTGATTGGATTAATAAAAAACTTCAGTTATATACTGTCTAAAATAATTTGGTCAGTTGTGGTGGCTCACGCCTGCAATCTCAGCACTTTGGGAGGCTGAGGAGGGTGGATCACCTGAGGTCAGGAGTTTGAGACCAGCCTGGCCAACATGGAGAAAGCCCATCTCTACTAAAAATACAAAAATTCTCCAGGTGTGGTGGCGCATGCCTGTAATCCCAGCTGCTCGGGAGGCTGAGGCAGCAGAATCCCTTGAACCCAGGAGGTGGAGATTACAATGAGCCAAGATGGCGCCACTGCACTCCAGCCTGGGTGACGGAGAGAGACTCTGTCTAAATAAATATATATATTTTTTTCATTCATTCAAATATATATATATATTTCATTCATATATACATTTCATTGTGATATAGGTATAAAGTAAAAACGTAGAAAGCAATATATCTGCAAACATTAATTTAAAGAATGCTGGAATGGCTCCATTGCTATCAAAGTAGAATTCAGAGAAAAGAAAATGGCAACTGGTAAGGGGAAATATTATGTATTAATACAACAGTCATTTCTCCAAGAATACATAACAATGTAAATATGCATACACTTAACACAGCTTCAAAATATATGAAGCAAAATAGATACAACTGAAAACAGATATGAAAAAAAATCACAATTAAAGCTGGAGACTTCAAAACCCATATCTTAGTAATCAACAAAACAAGTAGAAAGAAAACTGCAAATGATAGAATAACTGAACTAAACAATGCCATCGATGGATTGGATCAAATGGCATTTTTAAACACTCCAACCACATTTTTTTCAAGTGCTTATGCAACATACAGCAAGATAGACCATATCCTAGATCATAAAACAAATTTTAATAAACTTAAATAAAAAATACACCACAAAGGTATTAAAGCACAAGTCAAAAACAGAAAGATAGCTGGAATTTGGGAATTAAACATACTTTTAAATAAACTGTGAGTCAATAAAAAAGGTCCCACTGGAAATTTATTTTGAACTGAGATAAAAAGGAAATAGAACAACTAAAAATTTGTGGGATGCAGTTAAAGCAGTGCTTAGTGAGAAAATTATAGCATTAAGCATATCACATACTTCTATTAGAAAAGTCTCAAACCAGCAATCTAAGTTTCTACCTTAAACTACCAGGAAAATAAATATAAAGTATACATAAAGTAAAAAAGAAGAGGATAATAAAGATCAGAAATCAATTAAATTGAAAAATAGGAAAAAAGTTGAACAAAATTAATAAAACCAAAGGTGATTCTTTTGAAAGTGTTAATAAAATTAATAAACTTCTAGCCAGATTAACTAATAAAGATAGAGGAGAAACCAATTACCCATATGAGGGTTGAAGGAGGGGTTATCACTGTAGTCTATATGACTATTAAAAGTATAACAATTAAATATTATAGACAGGTCTAAGCACATAAATTTGACAACTTACATAAAATAGAACAATTCCTCCAAAGCAACAAATTGTCAATATTCATGTAAGAAGAAATAGGTAACCTGAAATGTCATTTAACTTTTAATATAATTTAATTTGTAGTTAGAAATGTTATGAAAATGAAATCTCTAGGAATAAATTAATTTACTGATTAATTGTACCAAATATGTATAGAAGAAGTAACACTAATTCTACACAATGTGTTTCAAACATGGAATAAGATATACTTTCCAGTTAACCTGATAGCAAAAGTGGACATCGATTTTAAAAGAAAAAAAATAATAACTAAAGAAAAACATCTTCCATGAACATAAATATATATAAAGATCCTCAACAAAATACTAAACTAGTTCAATTTATAATGTATTTCACACTAAACTCATCACGTACATTTAGACTTCAGTGGTTAGGGCTTATGATCTTGGGTTCAGAAACCAGTTGTTCTATCTTCTGCAAATATCTCTGATCTTATGCGAAGTATTTGCCTCTCCCTGAATCAGATTCTTCACCTATAAAATAGGAATTACAAGAGTATCTATCACTTAGGGTAGTCACTGGGCATTAAATGGGTGAAAATATATCAATCCCTTAGAGCAGTACCTAGCATATTAAGCATCCTGGTAAGTTATTGTAAGTTATTATGATTACTATAAAACTTTGTTTTGTTTAAAACTTATAAGATTAATTCACCGTATCAGAAAATCACATCGTTCACAGTGATATTGCTCATAATGGTTTAATTACAACACATATTATGCATATTAATCTATATTTGTTTGCAGCCACATTCATGGTAAATTAGCCTTCCATTAATATATCAAATATAAAAATTGTATATATTACAATGGCAATATCTATAATTTTTATAAATTATTCCTCAATAAATTATAAAAAATAAAAAAATGCTTAATATAAAGCATAAGGATCTATCATCTTCAAGCTGAATATTTACAAATTGTGCTTATCAATTTACTCACTAATGATTTACCAGTATGCCTATTCTACCAGCACATTTCTCTCTAATAAATAATGGAATCATAATGATTAATGGAAAATCTTGTAAAGCAATAGCTCATAAAACAGGCACAGACCTAAGATTTAAAGGGAAGTTTAAAAACCATAATTGTCACAGAAATGTTTTATTTAAAAAAAACTAAATAATAGAATAGAGTTTTAATTACTTTCAGAACAGTACCAATATCACAAAACATGAAAGACCATGCAATCTTACAAAAATAATTAATCATAGCAGCTGTCCATTGATGAAAAGAAATTCAAATAAAATAATTTCTTCTATTACATTCAGAAGTGATACTGTTTTGAGGAAAGTTGATAAGGGGAATATTTGAAAATTAGCTATGTAACAATGAATGGTAGGCAAGCAAATTTTAAATTCAAATGAGAGAAACATCCTAGGTAATCATAATGCATTCCTGTTTGCATAAAATTACTGAAAATAGATACAAAAGTCTGCCTGTATTTAACCCCCTAACAATAATTTTGTTGAAAAAAATTTTGCAATGTCATTGCTGTATAACAAATGAAACATTAACAATAGGAATAGTTGTTCAGCAAAAATGAACATACAGCAACAGTTCAGAAGGTGTATCAGATGTTTTATCAATTCATCAGTTCACAGTATTCTTCATCAAAAATCATCACCAAGAATCTTACTAACAGACCACATACATCAGTTTCTTTGTCATCGGTATTATTAGTAAATTTGAGTAATCACCTTTTTTTTCTTTTTCTAAGATGGAGACTCGCTCTGTCGCCCAGGCTGGAGTGCAGTGGCGCGATCTCGGCTCACCGCAAGCTCCGCCTCCCGGGTTCACGCCATTCTCCTGCCTCAGCCTCCCGAGTAGCTGGGACTACAGGCGCCCGCCACCACGCCCGGCTAATTTTTTGTATTTTTAGTAGAGACCGGGTTTCATCATGTTAGCCAGGATGGTCTCGATCTGCTGACCTCGTGATCCACCCGCCCCGGCCTCCCAAAGTGCTGGGATCACAGGCGTGAGCCAAAGCGCCCGGCCTCACTTTTTATTTTTTATATTCCAATTAGACATTGTATTTTATTTTTGTCTCTAACTTAATTCAGTTAGTAGTTTGTTTTTATGAATTTCATCTTAGAATTGTCAAGGGGTATTACAGATATTTATTATAAAAACGATTTAGGCTAACAGGTTTGGGAATTGTTATACTATGATCTTGCCAAAGAGAATATTCATATAATTTTAAAATATTTTCCAAACCATATCATTTTTAAAAATCTCACTATTAGAAATATTGTTTCTTTGATTATTAATGTGAAGTTTTTGCACATATATTAGCCTTTTGTGATTTTTTTCTACGTTCTCTTCCATAGATATCACCCATTCTTTGATCTGTAAATTTGAGTTTTATTTAAATCTATTTAGTAACTACTTTATATATTACATACGTTAAGCCTTCAATTTAATTATGGCAGATATTTGTCTTTATATATCACAGGTATTTTAATGTCAGTTGGGATTCGTTGTATAGATGGTTACCAATATATCACACAAATTCTTTGTTAATCCTTTTGTGATATTTATTATTAGAAATTCCTCCCCTATGTTTAGAAATATTTCAGTATTTTTCTAGTTTTTCAGGTATAATTTTACTTAATTCAACTTGATTTATCTTCTGGAATTTATTTTACTGAAAAATATAAGGTGTATTCTAGCTTGATTCATTTTATTACACAGTTTATCAATAGTCCTATTGACTCCTTAACTATGAATATTATGCTCTAAATCGTTATGTGCAGGGTTTGCTTCTATATTTATTTATTCCAATGATTTTTTTTTGTCCTGGTAATATGGTGAATTAATGATTGTGCTTTATGATAATTATTTAGTATCTGAAAGCTTATGTCTCTTTCATCATTATTCTTTATTCAAAATCGCTACTATGATTTTTTCAATCATTTCATTTTGATGTACTACTTTGGAGTGATTATAACAAATTTATAAAAACAGCTTAGGGATTTTCTAAGGTTGCATTAAACTTCTATATTAATGTAAGGTACATATATATGATAGCCTTTCTAGTAATTGTTGTCACTGTCCATGACAAGTACAAATTGTGAATATTTATTGACGTAAGAGACATGTGCGTAAGTGAAAACATTAAAAGTACATTGATTCACTTTAACCAACTGATGCATATATGAAAATACTAGCAGTTTGGCAATACATAGATAAGTGATTTGGCTCTTGAAAATGTTAAGATGTTTAATATCAAATCAGTAAAAACTAATTTGGTATTTTCAAAAGTATGTTTTACATAATTTTGCTTGACTAAGAAGAACTAATCCTAAATAGACAAGCATAAATAGAAGCTTGACAGAGAAAAGAACTAAAGCAAAATGCTTAGATGATGAATCTAAAGATTCAGAACATAGTATTGAGAACTAAATATGTGGCTTTCATACATGGGTAGATGCATGGATCTTCTCCCTAAAGGGGAAAAAAGTGTCATTTCAAATGCATTCTTTCAGCTGCTGGCATAGTTATTGCCTAATAGAAACGTGGAGTCTGTCTGTTCCATATCCTCTGCCTCTCAACCTTGATAATTTCTATGGGTAATAGGGTGACTGATGAAAAAGTAACATGGGAACCGGCGGTTCCAGCATAATTATAACATCGTTCCTTAGATCGTCAAAGTCTCCTTCCAGATATCAATCTGCTGGTTTAATAAAAGAGGTAAAGAATCAAGACCCTTTATTACCCCTACTTGAGAGTCCTCAGGGAAGGGAGGAAATTCCTCAGCTGAGCGCACAAAGATTTTCTGTAACGAGCAGCAGCTTTATCCATGAAGTGAAGGTTAGTCCTATTGTATCCAATCTGTCACTTTTCTTCACAGACACCCACTAAAAGCCCCAAGGCAGCATTTTAAAGCAGGAAAGTGCTCCAGCAATGGTTAGTGAAACTATGATTTTCCCCATGGGAAATACCCTTCTGAACTAGAAAACAGGCAAAACTAGTCCATTAACTCTCCTTTGAGAGGGGTGTGCTTTCGTGGCTTCATATAAATAGTAATGCAGAGTTGGAAAAGGAATAAAAAGTCTCAGGCTTTAAAAACTAAAATGTATCCATTTGGCAATCAGCTTAATGAAGGCTTAGTAACTAAAAGAACTGCACACAAATTCATATAGCCCAGAGAGATTAGTGTAAAACTCATTACATGAACACAAGAAACTTCCCAAGAAGCAAAGATAGGTGAGTAATTTACCTCTTCCTGAGGCTCCTTTGCATTCATTAAAGGCACAGACACAGATTAACCGCAGCCCTTTGCCCTGTGGCATGTTTGGGGCATATGTGAACTGTGTTTTGTTTTGTTTTTTACATTTCACGATAGTTGCATCGGAACCTTGACCTCTATTTTCTTGTGATGAAAGAAAATATATTGTTCAAATAAATAATTTTACTGCAGCAAGTTTCAGATACAAAGTGGCTCAATTCACACCAGTGTGAAGACACCTTGCTTGGGAAAAGGGCCCTTTAGCTGCAAAACATGAGGGTTTCTTCACAGTCCTCATCCCTAATATGTTTTCTGAAAGATTAAAAAAAAAAAAATACAGAAAACTGATCTTTCTGCACACTACATGAAGTGGAATTTGCAGTTTCTGCACTTACTCAAGAATAATGTGTGCATTTAAAAAAGAGGGGACTTGTAAAAGTTGTGAAAAAGAGAATGGTTTAGCAAGAAGCATGCATCTAGGATGTTAGGATGTTAATCACCAAGATGACGTTAAGGTTCCGCGCAGTTCGACTAAACTTTAGACAGGCTTCTTCCTGACTATAGACCCCTGACCTCTATTATCCTAGAGCATTTACTTCAGAAAACTTGCCATTGTAAATTTGTTATAAGTTTCTGTGAAACATAAATCTTGTCCTTGCCTATTGCCAGTATTACAACTAGGAATGTCTTTCCCACGAACCTGGGAGCCATCTCTTTAAAATGTAATCACAAAGAAAGACAGTGCCTCTTACTCCATCTCTATGGGAGGTAGTTTAACTTCTATAAACACAAATTAGCCAATTAGAAAACACAGATGGCCCAATCACATTGGTCTGTGTGTCTGTTTTTATACCAGTGCCATGCTGTTTTGGTTACTGTAGCCTTACAGAAGAGTTTGAAGTCAGGTAGTGTGATGCCTCTGTTGCAGAAAAGGGGTCCCGATCCAGACCCTAAGAAAGGTTTCTTGGATCTCGCGCAAGAAGGAATTCACTGCAAGTCCGTAAAGTGAAAGCAAGTTTATTAAGAATGTAAAAGAATAAAAGAATGACTACTCCATACTCAGAGAAGCCCCGAGGGCTGCTGGTTGCCCATTTTTACGGTTATTTCTTGATGATACGCTAAACAAGGGGTGGATTATTTATGCTTCCCCTTTTTAGGTCATATAGGGTAACTTCCTTACGTTGCCATGGCATTTGTTAACTGTCATGACGCTGGTTGGAGTGTAGCAGTGAGGACAACCAGAGGTCGCTCTCATCACCTTCTTGGTTTTGGTAGGATTTAGCCTGCTTCTTTCTTTTTGGCAGTCTCACTCTGTCGCCTGGGCTGGAGTGCAGTGGAGCGATCTCGGCTCACTGCAATCTCCACTTCCCAGGTTCAAGCGATTCTCCTGCCTCAGCCCCTCCTGAGTAGTTGGGACTGCAGGTGCCCGCCACCACGCCTGGCTGATTTTTCTATTTTTAGTGGAAACGGGGTTTCACCATGTTGGTCAGGATGGTCTCGATCTCTTGACTTCGTGATCCACCTGCCTGTGCCTCACAAAGTGCTGGGCTTACAGGCGTGAGCCACTGCTGGCTTCTTTTCTGCAACCTGTTTTATCAGCAAAGTCTTTATGACCTGTATCTTGTGCCGACCTCCTATCTCATCTTTCGACTTAGAATACCTCAACCATCTGGGAATGCAGCCCAGTAGGTCTCAGCCTCATTTTACCTAGCTCCTATTTAAGTTAGAGTTGCTCTGGTTCACACGCCTCTGACACCTCCAGCTTTGTTCTTTTTGCTTAGAGAGCAGAATGCTGGTTTCCAGTGACTGAAGGTGGAAGAGTTTTTAGAAGCTAGGGTTAGCTAGGGGAAAAACACTGGAGGACTTTAGGAGGGAGGTTGGTCAATATGATTTTGAGTTGATTTTTGAGTATGGTGTAAAATAAGGGCAAAATTTCATTCTTTTGCACGTGGATATTCAGCTTTCCCAATACCATTAGTTGAAGAGATTGTCTTTTCCTTATTAGGTATTCTTGGCAGTTTTGTTGAAGATGAATTGACTAAACATGTGTGGGTTTATTCCCAGGCTCTCTATTCTGTTTCATTGGTCTATATGTCTGTCATTATGCTAATATCAGATGTTTTAATGACTGTAGCTTTGTAATAAATCCAGAAGTCAGGGAGTGTGATGACTTCGGGTTTCTTCCTTCTCAAGATCGCTTTAGCTATTCAGGATCTTGGGGAGGCAGAAATGGGAATTTGTTGCTCGATGTGGACAAAGTTTCAGTTATTTAAGATGAATAAGTTCTAGAGATTTACTGTAAAATATAATGCTGTATTAGTTTGTTGTCGTGCTACTAATAAAGATGTACTCGAGACTGGGTAATTTATAAAGGAAAGAGGTTTAATGGACTCACAGTTCCACATGGCTGGGGAGGCCACACAATCATGACAGAAGGCATTAAATTAGGAGCAAAGTCACATCTTACATGGTGGCAGGCAAGAGAGCTTATGCAGGGAAACTCCCATTTATAAAACCATCATCTCACATGAGACTTATTCACTACCATGAGAACAGTGTGGGGGAAACTACCCCCATAATTCAACTATCTCCAACTGGCACCATCCTTGACACGTGGGGATTAGTACTATTTAAGATGAGATTTGGATGGGGACACAGCCAAACTATATCAAGTGCCAAGGGTTAATAATATGTATTGTACACAAAATTTTGCTACGAGGTTAGATCTCCTGTTAAGTATTTTCACCTTTTTTTTTTTTAAAAAGACACACATATAAAGGAACACAAAGATGTGATGAATATGTTTGTTACTTTTTGGTGATGGTGTGTGCATATGTGCAAACTAAATTATATACATTAAACATGTGCAGATTATTTTAGTATATTAATTATACCTCAATAAATTTGTTAAACACACACACACACACACACACACACACACACACACACAAAACTCTCCTGCCTTCTGTTTCCATGATGTTGAGTTCAGCTCCCCTATTGAAATAATCTTGCCTATTTTGTTCCACCCAGAGCTGTTGCGGGAAGTCACGGACTGCGAATGGAGGGACCAGCTGGAGCTGCGGCAGAGGAACATAAATTGTGAAGATTTCATTTTAATATGGACATTTACCTGTTCCCAAATAATACTTTTATAATTTCTTACGCCTGTCTTTAATCTCTTAATCCTGTTATCTTGGTAAGCTGAGGATGTACGTCACCTCAGGACCACTGTGATAATTGTGTTAACTGTACAAATTGATTGTAAAACATGTGCTTGAACAATATGAAATCAGTGCACCTTCAAAAAGAACAGAATAACAGCAATTTTTAGGGAACAAGGGAAGACAACCATAAGGTCTGACTGGCTGCAGGGTTGGGCAAAAAGAGCCATATTTTTCTTCTTGCAGAGAGCCTATAAATGGACTTGCAAGTAGGGAAGATATCGCTAAATTCTTTTCCTAGCAAGGAATGTTAATATTAATACCCTGGGAAAGGAATGCATTCCTGTGGGGAGGTCTATAAATGGCCACTCTGGCAATGTCTGTCTTATGCGGTTGAGATAAGGACTGAGATATGCCCTGGTCTCCTGCGGTACCCTCAGGCTTACTAGGGTGGGGAAGAACTCCACCCTGGTAAATTTGTGGTCAGACCAGTTCTCTGCTCTCGAACCCTGTTTTCTGTGATTTAAGATGTTTATCAAGATAATATGTGCACCGCTGAACATAGACCCTTATCAGTAGTTCTGCTTTTGCCCTTTGCCTTGTGATCTTTGTTGGACTCTTATCAGTAGTTCTGCTTTTGCCCTTTGTCTTGTTCCCTCAGAAGCATGTGATCTTTGTTAGACCATTTTTAGTTCTGCTTTTTGCCTTTTGAAGCATGTGTTCTTTGTGTTTACAAAAGCATGTGTTCTTTGTGCTTACTCCCTGTTCTTACACTCCCTCCCCTTTTGAAACCCTTAATAAAACTTGCTGCTTTTGAGGCTCAGGCAGGCATCATGGTCCTACCGATATGTGATGTCACCCCTGGTGGCCCAGCTGTAAAATTCCTCTCTTTGTACTCTTTCTGTTTATTTCTCAGCCAACTGACACTTATGGAAAATAGAAAGAACCTATGTCAAAATATTGGGGGTGGGTTCCCCCAATACAGAGCAATTTTTTCTTTGACGCTGAGAAGAAAGCAAACTAGTGAGAAATTTCCAGTCATCATAAAACCTGAACAAAAATGTGTAACATTTACTTGGAAATGGTTTGTGTGCTGCCCTGTAGTGGGCTACCTTCTCAAAAAAATCACAATAACTGCTACTACCTACAACTGCCCTTTTAAGTGGTTCTTTGGAAGACAGAACAAGTGGGACAGTGTTTAGCATGGATGATCTTTATAGAAGGAGGTCTGACATTGTGGGTAGAAGGGTGAACATATTTCCTGAATCTGGAGAATATACACTTTAATCTGATTATTCACAAAATTCTTGACTGATAGACAAAATACAGTCTAAAAGTATGGAATTGGAGATGAACCTATAGTTTTTCTAGAAAAGGAGGAGGGAGAAAGAGAGGAGGGGGTAAATCAAGAAAGTTGGAGGACTTAAAGACACTCTGTAAACAAACATGAGACTGGACATTATATGCACAGAAATTCTGCCTCTAATCAGCTTTCAGTCTCAGTCATGTTATTGCAAGGGAGAATTCTTCGCCTCTAACAAACTCTACAAAATACTTATCGTGAGCTATTTTTTAATAGGAAAGATTCCTTTTTACACTTGACTGGTACTACAAATGTCTCTATTTTAGCCTCCTGCATCAGTGTTTCAAAGTCTGCATTGGTAGATTGGGCATTTTTATAGTACTTACTTTGGGATAGAGAAAATAATTTATGGGTTAGGATCTGAGCTAAACTGGGTTACCCTCTTGAGCTAAAACCAGGACACTGCAGTTTTTCCTGTGAAGCATTATTAAACATCTACAATTTCTATTGCAGCTCAAGCAGCTCACAGATTTTCATTGTCTATTTTACAACTTCTGTAGAATTATTAGTAATAACTGTGTGGGAGATTTAAGAAGCAATATCCAAAAACCAGGCAGACATAAAAACTTTATTGTGAAAAAGAGACTACTCCACTACAAGGAAAGAATATGGTGAGAAGACTGATTTGTTATTTCTCTAATATTTCAACAGAATATATGGGTTTCAGTTCCAAATTTGCACTGAGTGATGATATGCCAGTCTAGAAAATAAAATAATTGATCTGGATGATATATAAGCTCCCTTCTAGGTCTACATTTCTTTCCTCAATACCTGTTTCGTATGACTTGTTTTCTTCTCTTTCCTTCTTTTTTTACTTACTTTCTCCTTTCCTTCATTCTCCCTTTCTTCCTTGTTCCTTCCTCCTTTTTTTTTTATTGTTGTTGTTGCTTGTTTGTTTTTTCAGTAGTTTATTTTGGAGACAAAGCAGTGCAAGAGGCTGGCCATGCTTTCCTGCTACCCCGGGGCTCAGGGTTAGGACCAAGAAAGGCTACATGCAGACATTAATCAGGGTTTAACACTCAAGTCCTGTAAACGTGGTTCCAAAAAAGCTGGGCAGTTCTAATGATTTCCTTCCTTCCTCTCTTCCTCCCTTCATCCCTCCTTTCCTTCCTTCCTTCTCTCCCTCCCTCTCTCCCTCTTCCCTTCCTTCCTTCTTTTTCTTCCTTCCTTTCTCCCTCCCCTCCCTATCTTCCTCCCTTCCTCTCCTTCTTCCTTCTTCACTCTACCTCTCTTTTTCTGGATTTCAGTGGTAAGTACAATATTGAATACCTCAAACAATTTACTGATAATAAATCGTAACACTTTGAGAAAATACAAGGAAAATATTATAACCTTCATGTTAGCCATGTCAAACAGTAAAAATATTCTGGGAAGGAAGCATTATCTTGATCTCTCGATAGCAGTTGTGTGCTAGTGACAAATAGATTTCCAGCTGGCAGAGGGAAACAGATTATTCTGAATATATGGTATTAATTTAGGGTGGTAATTACTATGATTAATGTTTTTAAAACAAAATTGTGAGTTTTTCCTAAGGAATGAAATGGAAATGTTTATCTTATAATAATGTTGTGGTATTGTATTAATATAAAGTGGAATAAGAAAATTACAGATGCATAGAATAGCCAAACCAAAAGTCTGAGCACCAAAAAATTGCTTTTTAAATGTCATTACCTTACTACTATAAAATGTTCTAAATTAAAATGTAGAAACTTTATTCGAGAATTTAAATTGATATACAATTTTCTGAGGCCTAAATTCAATTTCCAAAAATTAGAACTATATGAAAGAAAAAACATACCAGTTCCATTATACAAATGCAATATTGCAGATCAAGGCAATTAAAATAGCATCATTGTACAATAAAAAATATGAATAAGACATTATAAAACTTGCAAATGCTAAAGAGTAGTGGGCATTTCTTTCTAAGTAGAATTTATCTTTAATAAAGGTACTAGTATAAATGAAAGGACTGTAGTGCAGTGGTTAAGAACTTTGTTTCTGAAGTAAGAATGTTTTAACTTAAATACAAGTTTGTTGTCCCTGTGGTCTTTTGCAAATTATTTAACTTCTCTAAACTAGTGGGCTTCAAACATGGATTCCTGAATGTACAGAGAGAGTTTCCAAGGACATTCATGGGTGATTTCAGAAAGTCAGTTTCCAGAACCTCAAATATGTGCTATTTTCCAAAATCAACCTGCCTAGGAATGTGCTCGCAGTCAAGGTGTCACACAAGATTTCCTTTCCCACATTCTGTATCATAATTACCTTTCTTCTGTTTGACAAATTAAGGAAAAAATCACATCTAACTCAAATGTTTTCCTGGCAAATTTTCCCGGGGTTTTAAAATTTCTGGAGTGCCAAAGAAATGGCCAATTCAAATTATTTGTGTTGGTGAAGCCCCTTTAAATAGGGTTCCATAAACCCCTTCTAGGTTTCAGGGTCTTTTTACATTTTTACTAAGTGCAAATATACCATTAGAAATGAAATATTTGGGGTTTTGTTGGAAATTCTGAAATCAGATATAGGATAGAAAGGTGGGGACAAAAAATAAAAAATAATTATTATTTCACTATCTTTCCTCTTCCATGCTCTGATTATTGCCAAAAAAAATGTATTGTTTCTGAGGGAGAACTCTATCAGAACAAAACAAAGACAGCATCAGTAAGAAATAATGAAGTGAAGCCTTTCTCTCTCTTTCTCTCTACACACACACACACACACAGTGTCATGCTTAATGATGAGGATACTTTCTGAGAACACAGCATTAGGCAATTTGTTGTGTGAACATCATAGAGCGCATATACGCAGGCCTAGATGGTATAGCCTACTACATATCTAGGCTATATGGTGTAACATAATCGTACTGGGCTAAAAACCTATACAGCATGTCACCGTGCTGAATACTGCAGACAATTGTAACACAACGGTATTTGTGTATTTAAACATGGAAAAGATACACTGGGCACGGTGGTGGCTAACGCCTGTAATCCCAGCACTTTGGGAGGCCGAGGCGGGCGGATCACGAGGTCAGGACAGGGAGACCATCCTGGCTAACACGGTGAAACCCCGTCTCTACTAAAAAAAAAAAAAAAAAAAAAAAAAAAATTAGCCGGGCGTGGTGGCAGGCGCCTGTTGTCCCAGCTACTCCAGAGGCTGAGGCAGGAGAATGGCATGAACCTGGGAGGCGGAGCTTGCAGGGAGCCGAGATGGCTCCACTGCACTCCGGCCTGGGCAACAGAGCGAGACTCAGTCTCAAAAAAGAAAAAAGAAAAAAAAAAAAAAGATTAAAATTGGTATGCCTGGATATGGCACTTACCATTAACGGAGTTTGAGGATTCTAAAGTCAGTGAGTGAGTGGTGAGTGCATGTGAAGGCCCAGAATTATTACGGTACACTATTGTTGATTTTATAAACACTGTACACTTAGGCTACACTACATTTATTTTTAAAGTGTTTCTTTCTTCAATAATAAATTAACCTTAGCTTAGTGCAACTTTTTTACTTTATAAGCTTTTTAATTTTGTTAACCTTTTGACCCTTTTGTAATAACCCTTAACTGAGAACATAAGCACATAATACAGCTGTATAAAAATATTTTTTCTATATATCCTTATCTATAAGCTTTTCTGTATTTTTACGGTTCTCTTTTTGTTTTCTCGTTTTTTTCACTTTTAAAACTTTTTTTGTTAAAAACTAAGGCACAAACACACACATTAGCATAGACTTAAACAGGGTCAGAATGATCAATATCACTGTCTTCCATCTCCACATCTTGTCCCACTACAAAGTTTTTAATAACACACATGGAGCTGTCATCTCCTATGATATCAATGCCTTCTCCTGAATGCCTCCTGAAGGACCCGCCTGAAGATGTTTTATAGTTAACTATTTTTATAAGTAGAAAGAGTAAGTGCTAAAATAATATAGAGTGTAGTAAATACATAAGCCAGCAACATAGTCATCTACTTTCATTATGAAGAATTAGGTATTGTACATAATTGTATGTGCTATACATTTTTATGACTGGCAGCACAGTAGTTCAGTTTACACACAAGCATCATCACAAATATGTAAATAATGCCTTTAATTATGACATTATGACAGCTATGACATCACTAGAGAATAGGTATTTCACGGCTATTATAATTTTCTGAGACCAACATTGTATATGCAGTTCACCATTGACCAAAACATTGGTATGCCATGCATGAATAGTGTGTATGTATGTGTGTGTCTGTGTGTGTCCGTGTGTGAAAGAGACCTTTCCTCCAAATTAGTATTCTGGTATATGACAGTTGTCATTAGGAAGCACATCAACATATTTTTTGAAATTAAAATTGTTTTATCCAAAAATATATTAGTAGCTGAGATGTATTAAAATTTTTCATATTTTTCTGGGAAAATAATTTTTGCATTCTAGTGAAGAATATTATTCATCCACAAATACATTAATTAATTAGCAAATAATTTATCTTAATATATATTTTCAAAAATATAATTTTTTGAATAATTATCAGTATGCAAATGTTGGTATTGTTTTAATATTTTGTAAAGATAATATATATGATAATTCTAGACAAATGTTTAAATACCTAGAGTCTTATGGTCAACTACAATTTTTAAAAACAAAATTTCAATATATGTTTATATTTTTGGTTACAGAAACGTATGATGGTGGGATTAATAAGATAAAATCAAGCAAAAAAAACCTCATTAGTATAAAATTCTGTGGGTAAAATTAAATGTAAAGACAATATCAGAGAGAAAAGGAACAGTAAAAATTTCCCACAGTTAGAGGACAATACTTTTTGTAATGAATAATGAAAGATATTCAAATGTCATATTTAAATTATATACTTTTTTAAATAATGTAATATTTCTTTGAAACAATGCAAGTACTTGCAATATACTGGAAAGCTATGCAAACATCTAATAATGTAATTTTGAATACTGAATTAAACAAAATTAAACTTGAGTAAATGCTTTTTCAACGTATTTTAAAGCGAAGGTAAGCTAAAATGGTCCACTGCCCTACTTTACTTGTTTCCTCTTCTGTGCAATGGGAGTAACAAAATTGTACTTTATGGGATAATCATGCAGAATATTGTGTAATGCCTGTAAATGTCCAGCACAGTTTCTGTCACAAAGGGAGCAATCAATAATTATTAGTTTTCCAAGGGAGTGAGAAGGATTATCTTTGGAGATTATGACCCTTAAGCATTACTGCATATGTTCTCCCTATTTTATTCATTTCCATATAAAAAATAATGAATAGAAATATATTATTTAAATCTAAATATAAAAAGACAACAAAATAGGGACAAGGAAATGATGAATGGGAGATCAGACCTTCTCGTTGCTTTTAGAATAGGTATTTATTTCCGGAAAAGAATCTTCATACATCTCTCTAATGTGAGGTTGCATACAAGTAATATTTAAAATTATTCATCTCTATTACCCTGAGCTATTATCTAAATAGTATTAGATATGATCAACAACTATTTATTTTACATATGCACATGAATGATGGCATGTAGGGTGTCAGGAGCTGAACTGTTCAAGTTTCACAGATCGATGTCCATAATCTGACAGATTCTGCAGTTTTACACCATTCATTACAGACTGATGCCAGTGATGCTGTAGAGATAATAACGGTCTGAATCTCGAATTTTGTAACTCATTTTAATATAACCAAAATTTGCTTTATTTGTGGGGGCGGAAGTAAAGTTTGGGTGTATGCTAAAATTGATGAGAATGATAAACATTCTCATTTCTGGATCAATCATAAAGCAGTACATAGATGCCTACAAGGAAATGTACCTTTTTTTATCCAATTGTTTGACAAGAATTTTTGAGCAGGTAAAATTTGAAGCTTTGTGTTTTTACTGGCATATTTTCAAAATTTAGTCAAATGGCTAACATAATTCCAAATAAATGATGCCTTTGATTTGGGATTTTGAGTACAAAGGATGAGTTAATTCAATAGAATAAGTGAACAGAAGTCAACACGGTGAGGAAAAACTATCAGTTAATTTTCTCCCAACAAAATCAAACATTTCTTTGTATTAACCATAATGTCTTGGTAGTTACTCCTCATATATCTATATCCACATTTTTGCCCATCATAAACAAAAAAAGAATCCACATTGTGGTATCATGGTATTGTGTCAACTCGGCCGGGTGGAGCAACTTTTTCCATTATTTCCCTCCATATGTGTTTACAGTTAGGGTAGGACACAAAAAGAAATTTTAAACTCCTCGCCCTGTTAGCTCCAAGCCCTCCAGATTCAAATGCAAAGGCAACAGCTGTGAAAGTATTGTTTAATCATCTCCCACAATCAGAGAAGGTAAAAATCCCTATAATAATCCATTTTATATGTACCTAATACACACATAGAAAGGTATCTTTTTCTCTAGGCATACAGGCCTTTATTTCCTCCTGTGTCACATGTATTTTGTATTTGCTGTGGTTTGTTAGCATCCTGTATCTGTACTATAGGTGACAAAGAGTCATCAAATTATATCCACCAGAATAACTGCATTGCCTTATTTACCCTGTATTCAAATGTAGTGAATAAAAGAAATTTAATAATACTAGTTAATTATTCTTACTGGGATATATTTACGTTATACTTGAAATGTATAATTTTCATTTAAGTTTTTAATCCATACTGAGTTCATTTTTAAGTATAAGGTAAGGATCCAAGTTTATTCTTTTGCATGTGCAATGCATTATTTGTTGAAGAGACTATTGGGTATGATTTGAATGCACGTGTCCCTCCAAAATTCATATGTTGGAACTTAAACCCAAGGTGGTGCTATTAACAGGTGAGGCATTTGGGGAAATGATGAAGTACTGAGGGTTTCACCATCATTAATGGATTAGGGCTGTTATAAAAGAGGTTGAAGGAAGGACCCTAGTGCTTGCTTTTTTGTTCCCCCTGCTTCTGTCACCATCTGAAGATGCCACAAGAAAATAGCACCTATGAAACAGGCCTTCATCAGACAGGATCTGCTGGCACCATAATCTTGGATTTCCCAGCCTCAAAAACTATGAGAAATAAATTTATATTGTTTAGAAATTTTTCAATTTAAGGTATTTTGTTATAGTAGCCTGAATGAACTAAGATATTATCCTTTCTAATTCTTGGCACACTTGATGAAGATCACTTGACCTGGATTTATTTCTGTCCTCTCTATTCTGTTCTCGTTGTCTACATGTCTGTCTTTATGCCAATCTCATAATGTTTTAATTATTGTAGCTTTGTGGTATATTTTGAAATCAGGAAATGTGATGCCTCCACCTTTGTTCTTCTTTTTCAAGACTTTAAAAATATAAATGTTGATTGTGTATGTTTAAGGCACACAACCTGATGATAAAAGATACATGTAAGTACTAACAAGCTACTAAAGTGAAGCAAATTAACACCTCCATTCATCTTTTCTCATAGTTACCCATATTTTTTGTTTTATGGCAAGAGAAGCTTAAATCTAATTATTTAGCATGAATTAGATATACAGTAAAATTTAATCCCCTATAGTCCTCATGTGGTATATTAAATATCTAAACTTGTTCAACCTACATATGTGCTGCTTTGTATCCTTTGACACACATCTCCCCATTTTCCCCCCCTTTTCTTTTCCCACCCCTAGTAATTACTGTCTTATTCTCTCCTCTCTCCATCTCTCTCTATTTGAAATTTTTTTTGACTCCACATAAATAAGTGAGATCAGGCAATATTGTTCTTTTCATTCCTGGTTTATTTCACTTAGCATAACATGTTCCAGTCTCATCCATTTTGTGGCAAATAGCAATATCTCATTTTTAATTTAGGGCTAAATAATGTTCCATTGTATTTATGTATCAGTTACTTTACCCATTCACCCATCATTGGACAATTAAGTTGTTTTCTCTTGGCTATTATGAATAATAATGCAATAAACATGGGAGTGCAGATTCCTTTATGAGGTGGTGATTTTTTCTTTTGGGCACATGCCCAGAGGAGAGACTGCTGGGTCATATGGTAGTTTTATTTTTAATTTCTTTAGAAATCCTCATACTGATTTCCATAATAACTGTACCAATCTATATTCCACTAAAAGCATACAAAATTTCTTTTATCTTCATATCCTTACCAATATTTGTTATCTTTTGACTTCTTGATAATGGCCATCCTAACAGATGTTAGGTGATATCTTATTGTGGTTTTGATTTGCGTTTCCCTGATGACTAATGATACTGAGCACCATTTTATTTTATAAACCTGTTGGCCATTTTTATGTTTTATTTGGAGAAATGTCTATTCAAGTATTTTTCTCACTTCTTTTCTTTTTCTTTTTTTTTTTTTTTTTAAGACAGAGTCTCAATCTGTTGCCCGGGCTGGAGTGCAGTGGAGCGATCTCGGCTCACTGCAAGCTCCACCTCCCGGGTTCACGCCATTCTCCTGCCTCAGCCTCCGAGTAGCTGCGGACTACAGGCACCCGCCACCACGCCCGACTAATTTTTTGTATTTGTAGTAGAGACGGGGTTTCACCGTGTTAGCCAGGATGGTCTCGATCTCCTGACCTCATGATCCGCCCACCTTGGCCTCCCAAAGTGCTGGGATTACAGGCGTGAGCCACTGTGCCCAGCCTTTTTCTCACTTTTTAATTGGGTTGTTTACTTTTTCACTATTGAGTTGTATGAATTATTTATAAATTTTGAACATTGGCTATTTAACAGATATGTAATTTGCAAATATTTTGTTGATTGGTTCCTTTGCTGTGAAGACATGTTTTAATTTATGTAATCCTGTGTATTTATTTTTCTTTTTGTGGCCTGAGCTTTTGGTGTGATATCCAAAACAAACATCAATGCCAAGACTAATGTCTGGAAGCTTTTCTCCTTTGTTCTTTTCTAGGAGTTTTATGGTTTATGGTCTCATATTTAGTTTTTTGTATCCATTTTCAGTTGATTTTTGTGTATGGGATGAGACAAGGTTCCAATTTCATTTTATCTTTTTCTCTTTTTTTGCATGTTGAAATCAAGTTTTCTCAGGACCATTTGATGAAGAGATTATCCTTTCCCCTATTATGTCTTTGTGTTCTTGTCAAAAATTTGTTAACTATTTATGTTTGAATTTATTTCTGGGCTCTCTATTTTGCTCCAATGGTCTATGTGTCTGTTTTTATGCCAGTCCTGTACTGTTTCAATTATTTTAACATTGTAATATAATTATCCATCAGAAGCTATGATGAGGCTTCTGACTTTTTGTCTATTTTCAGATGTGTTTTGGCTACTTGAAGTTTGTATTGCTCCGTATAAGTTTTTATTTGTATTTTTTCTTGCAAATTTAGAAGTATAAATGCAGTTGTGTTACAGGGATATATTGCATCGTGGTGAAGTCTGAGCTTTTACTGTACTCATCAATTTTTAATATTTCTTTCTATTTCTATTAAAAATGCCATTGGGATTTTGATTGGGATTGCATTGAATCTGTATATCGCTTTGGGTAGTAAAATTTTAACAATATTTATTATTCTATTCCATGAACATGGAATATCTTTTTATTTATTTGTGTCTTCTTCAATTTATTTCATCAATATTTTATAGTTCTCAATGTACAAATTTTTTACCTTCTTGGTTAAGTTTATTCCTAGGTTTTTACTTTTATGATTGCATCAAAAATGAAATTGGGTTCTTCATTTCTTTTTTATTTAGGCCATTTTTACAGAAAAATCTTATGAATTTTTGTATCTTGGTTTTGTAAACTGTGAATTTACTCAACTTATGTATTAGGTCTAAGAGTCGTTTTGTAGAATCTTTGGGGTTTTTTACATATAAGATCACATCTGAAATAGAGATAATTTTTTCTTCTTAATTGTTTTATCTATTCTGGATCTTTTGTGTTTCCATATAAATTTTAGATTTTTTTCATTTTTATTAAAAATGCTCTTGATATTTTAATAGGAATTACATTGAGCCTGTGAACCCCAAAAATCTGAGACAGGTCTCAGTCGATTTAGGAAGTGTATTTTGCCAAAGTTGTATGGATGCACACCCATGACACAGCCTCAGGAGGTCCTGATGACATGTCCCCAAGGTGGTCAGAGCACAGCTTGTTTTTATCCATTTTTAGGGAGACATGAGACGTCAATCAACATATGTAAGCTGAATGTTGGTTCTATCCAGAAAAGGCGGGACAAGTCAAAGCAAATGCAGGACAACTTGAAGGAGCAGAGAGGGAGCTTCCACTTACAAATGGTTGCATTCTTTTGAGTTTCTGATTGGCCTGTCCAAAGGAGGCAATCAGATATGCATTTATCTCAGTAAGCAGAGAGATGACTTTGAATAGAATCGGAGGCAGGTTTGCCTTAAGCAGTTCCCAGGTTGATTTTTCCCTTTAGATTAGTGATTTCAGGGCCCCAAGATTTATTTTCCTTTCACAAGCCCTATACAACTCTTTGGGTAGTGTGGACATTTTAAAAATATTGAGTTTTTCAATCTATCAATACAAGATATCTTTCTATTTCTTTGAATCTTTAATTTATTTCATCAATATTTCGTACTGTTCACTGTACAAGCTTTTTGCTTCCTTAGTTAAGTTTGAATGTTTTATTCTTTTTGATGCTATTATAAATGAGTTTGTTTTACAAATTTGCTTTTTGGATAGTTTTTAAAATTAATATACAAAAATGCAACTGATTTTTGTTTTTTATTTCTTATTCTTTACTTAATGTGTTTTACTAGTTCCAATAGTTTTCAATAGCATCTTCAGGATTTTCTACATATAAGATTATAATCTTCAGAGAGACAATTTAACTTTTACCTTCTAATTTAAATGTTTTCATTGTTTTTCTTGCCCAATTCCTCTTGTTTGGACTTACAATATTATACTGAATAAAAGCAGTCACAGTTGGTATTCTTGTTATGATCGTAGTGCTAGGGCAATGTTAGCTGTAAGCTTTTCATAAATTGCCTTTATTATGTTGAGGTATTTTCCCTCTTAGTTTGTTGAGAATTCTTATTATGAAAGAACATTTTGTACAACTCCTAGAAGAAAACACAGGGGAAAGCTTCTTAACACTGCTCTTGGCAATGATTTTATGGCTATGACATCAAAGATACAAGCAACAAAAGTAAAAAATAGATAAATCAGTGTATATCAAATTTAAAAATTCCTGCATAGCAAAGAAAACAATCAACAGAGTGAAAGACAACACTCTGACTAGGAGAAAATATTTGCTAACTATGTATGTCATAGGCAGTTAATATTCACAATATAAAGAACTCTTACACCTCAATAGCAATTAACAAATGACAATTTAAAATGGGCTAAGGACTTCAAGAGACATTCTCCAAAGAAGACATACAAATGCAGAAAAAGTATATTAAAAACTGCTTAACATCTCTAGCTGTGTGAGTCCATTCTCACATTGCTATAAGGAACTACCCGAGACTGGATAATTTATAATATAAAGAAAAGAGGTTTAATTGACTCACAGTTCCATAAGCTGTACAGGAACCATGGCTAGGGAGGCCTCGGGAAACTTAATGATGGAAGGTGAAGGGGAAGCAGACACATCTTCATGTGGCAGAACAAGAGAAAGAGAGAGTGAAAGGAAAAGTGCTACAAACATTTAAACAACCAGATATCATGAGAACTCACTCACTATCATGAGAACAGCAAGGGGGAAATCTGCTCCCATGATCCAATCACCTCTCACCAGGTCCCTCCCATAGTGCTGGTGATTACAATTCGACATGAGATTTGGGTGGGAACACAGAGCCAAAGCTTATCATTCCACCTGTGGTCCCTCACAAATCTCATGTCTTTCTCAAGTTTAAAAACACAATTGTGCCTTCCCAACAGTCCCCCAAATTATTAACTCATTCCAGCATTAACTCAAAAGTCTAAGTCCAAAGTCTCATCTGAAGCAAGACAAGTCCTTTCCACCTATAAGCCTGTAAAATCAAAAATAAGTTAGTAATTTTCAAGGTACAATGTGGGTACAGGCATTGGTTAAATACTCCCTTTCCAAAAGGGAGAAGTCAGCCAAAACAAAGGGGCCACAGGCCTCATGCAAGTCCAAAATATAGCAGGGCAGTCATCAAGTCTTAGAGCTCCAAAATAATCTCCTTTGACTCCTTGTCTCACATCCAGGTCATGCTGATGCTAGGGGTTGGCTCCCAAGGCCTTAGGAAGCTCTGCCCCTGTGGCTCTGCAGGGTACAGACCCCATGGCTGTTTTCATGTGCTGGCATTGAGTGCCTGCAGCTTTTCCAGGCCCACAGTACAAGCTGTCAGTGAATCTCCCATTCTGGGGTTTGGAGGATGGTGATCCCCTTCTCATAGCTCCACTAGGCACAGCTCCACTTTTCAAAGCCCCAGTAAGAACTCTGTGGGGGGGTCTCCAACTCCACACTTTCCCTCCACAGTGCCCTATTAGAGGTTATCCATAAGGGCTCCACCCCTACAGCAGGCTTCTGGCTGAACATCCAGGAATTTCCATAAATCCTCTGAAATCTAGGTGGAAGCTCCCAAGCCTCAACTCTTCCCCTCTTTATACCTGTAGGCTTAACACCACAGGAAAGCCTTGGTGGCTTCCAGCTTACACCCTCTGGAGCAGTGGCCTGAGACCCATATCTGGGGCCCTTTTACTCACAACTGAAGCTGGAGCACCTGGGACATGAGGCCCAATGTCCTGAGGCTGCACAGAGTGGTAGGGCCCTGGGCCTGTTTCATAAAACCATTTTTCTCTCCTAGGCCTCTAGGCCTGTGATGGGAGGGCCTGCCATGAAGGTCTCTGAAATGCCCTGGAGGCATTTTCCACATTGTCTTGTCTATTAACATTCGGCTCCTCTTTACTTTTGCAAATTTCTGCAGCTGGCTTGAATTCCTCCCAGAAAATGGGTTTTTCTTTTCTGCTACGTGGCCAGGCTGCAAATTTTCCAAACTTTCATGCTCTGCTTCCCTTTTCAATATAAGTTACAGTTTCAGTCCGTTGCTTTGCTTATGCAGGTGAACTAGGCATTTAGAAGCAGCCAGGTCACTTCTTGAATGCTTTGCTGCTTAGAAATTGTTTCTCGTGGCCGGGCGCAGTGGCTCACTCCTGTAATCCCAGCACTTTGGGAGGCCGAGGTGGGTGGATCACGAGGTCAAGAGATCGACACCATCTTGGCTAACACGGTGAAACCCTGTCTCTACTAAAAATACAAAAAATTAGCCTGGCATGGTGGCGGGCACCTGTAGTCCCAGCTACTCGGGAGGCTGAGGCAGGAGAATGGCATGAACCTGGGAGGCAGAGCTTGCAATGAGCCAAGATAGCACCACTGCAGTCCGGCCTGGGTGAAAAAGCGAGACTCTGTCTAAAAAAAAAAAAGAAATTGTTTTCGCCAGATACCCTAAATCATCTCTTAAGTTCAACAGATCTGTAGAGCATGAGCACAATGTCACCACTGTCTTTGCTAAAACATAGCAAGAGTGACCTTTACTCCAGTTCCCAATAAATTCCTCATCTCCATCTGAAATCCCCTCAGCCTAGACTTCATTGTCCATATTACTACCTTCATTTTGGCCACAGCAATTTAACAAGTCTCTCTAGGAAGTTTCAAACTTTCCATTGTCTTCTTGTCTTCTTCTGAGTCCTGCAAACTATTCCAACCTCTGCCCATTACCCAGTTGCAAAGTTGCTTCCACATTTTCAGGTATCTTTATAGCAATGTCCCACTCCCAGTGCCAATTTTCTGTATTAGTTCATTCAATCATTGATATAAGGAACTACCTGAGACTAGGTAATTTATAAAGAAGAGGTTTAACTGACTCACAGTTCTATAGGCTACACAGGAAGTGCGGCTGGGGAGGTTATATGGTTTGTCTCTGTGTCTCTACCCAAGTCTCATCTTGAATTTTAATTCCCGTGTCAAGGGGGGAACCTGTAATCCCCACATTCAAGGGAGGGAGGTAATTGGAACTTGAGGGTGGTTTCCCTCATACTGTTCTGATGATAGTGAGTGAGTCCTCATGAGATCTGATGATTTTATAAGTGTTTGGAAGTTCCTTCTTCATCTCTGCCTCTAATGCCTCCTTGTGAAGAAAGTGTCTGCTTCCTGTTCTGCCATGATTCTAATTTTCCTGAGGCCTCGCTAGCCCTGTGGAACTGCGGGCCAACTAAACCTCTTACCTTTATAAATTACCCAGTCTCAGGGAAGTTCTGTACAGCAGTGTGAAGACAGACTAATATAGGAGGCCTCAGGAAACTTACAATCATGATGGAAGGCAAAGAGGGAGCAGTCACATATTTACATGGCAGAGCAGGAAAGAGAGAGGGTGAAGGGGAAAGTGCTACTCACTTTCAAAGAACCAGATCTGATGATAACACTCATTTTCATGACAACAGCAAGGGGGAAATCTGCCCCCATGATCCAATCACCTCCCATCAGATCCCTCCCCCAACAGTGGAGATTACAATTCGATATGGGATTTGAGTGGAGACACAGAGCAAAACCATATCACTGGTTATCCAGGAAATGTAAATTAAAACCACAATGAGATATCACCCCATACATGTTAGCATGGCTATTATCCAAAAAAAAGGTAAGTGTTGGTGAGGAAATACATTATAACATCTCTATACAGTTGACTAGAATGTAAATTGGTACAGCCACTATGAAAAATTGTATAAATGTTTCTAAAAAATTAAATTATAATCCAGCATTTGAATTTTAGAATATTTATTTGGAATAATTGTAATCAGAGTTTCAAAAAGATATTATCACTTCCATGTTCATTTCAGCACTATTTATAAAAGCCAAGATATGGAAACAACCCAAATCTCTATCAATGAATGGTTTTTTAAGTGGTATATAATATAAAAGAAATTGTTCACTTTTAAAAAAGAAAGAAATCCTAAATTTGTGACAATGTAAATGAACCATGAAGATATTACGTTGATTCAAAAGAGTCAGTCACAAAAATTAAATTGTGTGATTCTACATATATGAGGTATCTAAAATAGTCAAACACAAAGAAACAAAGAATGAAATTGAGGTTGCTGCGGCTGGGGGAATGGAGGAATGGGAAGCTGTTAATCAAGAGATAAAATTTTACTTGTGCACTATGTGTTAAGTTCTAGAGATTTGCTGTATAACATTATGCCTATAGTTAACAATACTTCATCATGCACTTAAAAATCGAAGACAGCAGATCTCATGTTAAGTATTATTACCACAATAGAAATAAACAAAAGAAAATAAATATAAAACAGAAATTGTATACTTTTCAAAAAAAGTTTAATTTTAAAAGCAAAATGGTTATAGAGTTTTGCTCTTTTATTCTATGGTGGAAAATCTTTCTATAAAATTTTCAGAGCTTTTAAAAGTATTTTGTAATATTTGACATTGCCTGAAATATATATGTCAAATCACAGAATTAATCTTAATATCATTTAAAATATGAAATCTGTTACACAATAGTATATACAATTTTTGTGTCATCTATATTAAGTGAAGCTAAATGACCTAGCTAACATATCTGTGCTACTTTTCCTTTTCCTTACCTAGGTAGGAACTTGGCAGATACAATCACAATTTTAGTCATTCTGAGTCTAGAAGTATCCTCAGAATCTTTATTGACAAAAGTTTTTTTTATTTTTAATATCAAATTATTGTATTTCAAAGCACATTTCCTTGAGATGTTATTATTTTATCTTCCTTTTATGATTAACATTTGTTAATTTTATATATTTAAGGGTACACGTGCAGATTTCTTGCATGCATATATTGCACCATGGTGAAGTCTAGTACATCAATCACCCAAATAGTGAACAATGTATGCAATAGGTAGCTTTCAGCTCTCAGTCCCCTCCCCCTCTCCCATCTCTTGGAGTCTCCAATGTCTACTATTCTACCCTGTATATCCATGGGTACCCATTATTTACCCCCTCTTGTAAGTGTTAAGATGTGGTTTTTGATTTTCTGTTTCTGAGTTATTTCACTTAAGACAATGGCCTCCACTTTAATCCATGTTGCTGCAAAAGACGTTATTTCATTCTTTTTTTACAGCTGGGTGGTATTCCATGGTATATATATATATTCCATATTTTCCTTTTACAATCACTTAGGTTCAGTCAACACTTAGGTTGATTTTGTATATTTGCTATTGTGAATAGTGCTGTGGTAAACATATGAGTGCAGATATTTTTTGATGTACTGATTTTTTTCCCTTTGACTATACACCCGGTAGTGGAATTTCTAAATCAAATGGTAGTTCTATTTTTAATTATTTGATAAATCTTTATACTGTTTTCCATAAAGGTTTTATAAATTTACATTCCAACCAAGAGTATATAATTGTTCCCGTTTCTCCATATCCTCACCAACATCTGTTGCTTATTTACTTTTTAATAATAGTCATTCTGACTGATGTGAGATGTTACCTTGTTGTGGTTTTAATTTGCATTTCTCTGATGACTGGTGATGTTGAGTATTTTTTCATATGTTTGTTGGCTGCTTGTATATCTTCTTTTGAAAAACATCTATTCATGTTCTTATTCACTTTTTAATGGGGTTATTTGATTTTTTCTTGTTGAATTGTTCTTTGTAAATTCTGAATATGAGCCCCTTGTCCTGTGCATATCTTGCAATTATTTTTTTCTATTCTGTAAGGTATCTGTTTACTGATTATTACTTTAGCTGTGCAGAAGCTTTTTAGTTTAATTTCCATTTATCTATTACTGTTTTGTTGCGTTAGCTTTTGCAGACTGGGTCATAAATTCTTTGTCTAGATCAATGTCCAGAAGAGTTTTTCCTAGGTTTTCTTTTAACATCGTTATAATTTCTTGTCTTAGGTTTAGGTCTTTTATCCATCTTGATTAACTGTTTTATTTGGTGAGAGTTTCATTCTTGTGCATATGGCTATCCAATGTTTTCAGCACCATTTATTGAAAGGGTGTTATTTCCTCAGTGTATGTTTTTGGCCCTAGTGAAGATCAGTTGGTTGAAGGTATGTGGCTATATTTCTGGGTTCTCTAGTCCGTCCTATTGATCTTTGTGTCTATTTTTATATTTTTTTACTAGTACAACACTGTTTTGGTTACTATAACCTGGTAGTATAATTGGAAGTCAGGTAATGTGATGCCTCCAGCTTTGTTCTTTTCATATAGGATTTCTTGGGCTATTTGAGCTCTTTTTGCATTCCATATTAATTTTAGATTTTTTTAATTCTGTAAAAAAATGACGCAGGTAATTTAAAAGGTATTGTATTGAATCTGTAGAATAATTTGGGCAGTATAGCATTTTAACAATATTGACTCTTCCTGTCTATGAGCAAGAGGTGGTTTTACATTTGTTTGTGGTTATCTACCATTTCTTCTATCATTATTTTGTAGTTCTCCTTATGGAGACTTTTCACACCCTTGGTTAAATATATTCCTAGGTCCTTCAACTTATTTCATAGCTATTGTAAATGGGATGGGATTGCCTTCTTGATTAGGTCCTCAGCTAGATTGTTATTGGTGTACAGAAACACTGCTGATTTCTGTATGTTAATTTTGTATCCTGAAACTGTATGGACTTTGTCAAATCTAGGAGTATTTTTGCAAAGTGTTTAGGGTTTTCTAGAGATAAGACCACATTAACAGCAAACAAGGATAATCTGACTTCATCTTTTCTAATTTAAATACGTTTTGCTTTTTTCTCTTGCCTGAATTGTTCTAATTAGGACTTTCAGGACTATGTTAAGTAGAAATGGTGAAAGTGGGCATTCTTTTTTTGTTCCAGGTTTTAGAGAAAATGCTTTCAACTTTTCCCCATTAAGTGCGATGTTGGCCATTGTTTTGTCATACATGGCCTTTAATATGTTGATGTACATTCTTTCTATGTCTATTTTGTTGAAGACTTTTATCATGAAGGGATGCTGAATTTTACTGAATGCTTTTTCCGCATCTATTGAGATAATCATGTAGTTTTTATACTTAATTTTGTATATATGATGTATCAAATTAATTAGTGTATGTTGAAATATCCTTGCATCCCTGGGATAAATCACACCTGACCATGATGTGTTATGTATTTAATATGCTGTTGGATTCAATTTGCTAGTATTTTACAGAGGATATTTGCATCTATGTTCATCAGGGATATCAGTCTGTAGTTTTCTTTTTTTATTGTGTCCTTGCCTGGTTTTGATATGAGGGTAATGCTGGCCTTGTTGAATGAGTTTTGGAGAATTTTAATCATCCTCCTTAATTTTTTGCAATAGTTATAAGAGGATTGGTATTAGTTTTGCTTTGTATGCTTGATAGAATTTGGCAGTGACTTCATCTGGTCCTGACCTTTTATTTCTTGGGAGATTTATTAGAACTGCTTCAATCTTGCTACTCATGATTAGGAATTCTACTTCTTCCTGGTTAGTCTCAGAAGTTTGTGTGCTTCCAGGAGTTTATTCATTCCTCCAGGTTTTCTAGTTTGTGAGCACATACAGAATAGTCTCTGATGATCTTTTGTATTTTTGTGGCATCAGTTCTAATACCTCCTTTTGCATTTCTAATTGTGTTTATTTGGATTTTCTCTATTCTTTGTTATTGTAGCTGGTAGTATTTTAATTTTGTTTATCTTTTCAAAAAAACAACCATTTCTTTTGTTGATCTTTTGTAATTGTTGGTCTCTATTTCATTTAGTTCTGCTCTGATCTTTGTTGTTTCTTATATTTTATTAACCTTGGGTTTGGTTTTTTTTTCTTTTCTAATTTCTTGAGGCAGAATGTATGGTTGTTAATTTGTGATCTTTCTGCTTTTTTGATGTCATCATTTATTGCTAATAGGCTTTTGCAATATCCCACAGGTTTTGGTATGATGTGTTTTCATTTTCATTTGTTTCCATTTTTTTTAATTTCTGTCTTAAATTCTTTATTGACCCAGTGATCATTCAGGAGCATGCTGTTTAATTTCCATATATTTGTATAGTTTCTGAAGTTCCTCTTGTTATTGATTTCTAGCTTTATTCCACTGTGATCTGAGAACTTACTTGACATGATTTGATATTTTATAATTTATTAAGACTTGTTTTGTGGCTTAACATTTGGTCTGTCTTGGAGAATGTTCCATGTGCCAATGAAAACAATTTATATTCTGTAGTTGTTGGGTAGAATGTTCTGTAAATGTCTGTTAGGTCTATTTGGTCTAAAGTTCAATTTAAATTTAATATTTTTTGTTAATTTTCTGTCTAAATAATTTTTTACTGCTGTGAGTGAGGTGTTGAAGTCCCCCACTATTATTGTATTGTCCTCTATCTCCTTTTTAGGTCTAGTAATCCTTGTTTTGCAAATTTGGAAGCTCTGATGTTGGATGCACGTATATTTAGGATTGTTATATTCTCTTGCATAATTTATCTCTTTATCATTATATAATAAATTTCTTTGTCTTGTTTAAAAACTCTTTTTGATTAAAATGTGTTTTATCTGATACAAGTGTACCTCTCTGCCAGCTCACTTTTGGTTTCTGCTTATGTGGATTATTTTTCTCCATCTTTTTACTTTCAATCTATATGTGTTTTATGGGTAAGGTGAGTTTCTTGTAGGCAACATATAGTTGAATCATATATTTTTAAATTTATTCTGCCAATCTGTATCTTTTAAGTGTACCATTTAATCCATTTACATTCAAGGTTAATATTGATATGTGAGGCTTTGGTCTTGTCATATTGTTGTTTTCAAGTTGTTTTATGAATTATTTCTTTCATTTTCTCTCTTTGTCTGTGATTTTCTGAAATTCTGTCATGTTGCCTTTTGATTCTTCTTTTCGTCTTTTGTGCGATTGTTTTATAAGGTCTATGAGCTTTATATTTCCATGTGTTTTCATGATCATGAATATCAACCTTTCGTTTCCATGTTTAAGACCTCCTTGAGCATTTCCTATAGGCCCAGTCTACTGGTGACAAATTCCATCATCATTTGCTTGTTTGAGAAATACTTTATTTCTCCTTCATTTATGACGTTTATTTGCTTATTCAGGCAGAATATAAAATTTTTTGTTGATAGGTTTGCTTTTTTTTGTTTGTTTCCAGCACTTTGAAAACTCTATCATATTCTCCCCTGGCCTGTAAGGTTTCTGCCGAAAAGTCTGCTATTAGTCTAATGAGATTTCTTTTATAAGTGACTAGATCCTTTCTCCTGAAAATTTTAAAAGTTCTTCACTTTTACTTTAGAAATTCAGAATATAATATGTCATGATGATGTCCTTTTTTGCTATGTGTTTTACTCAGTATTGCTGAGCCTCCTGCATATGGAGGTCTAATTATCTTGCTAGCCTTGGGATGTTTACATCAATTATTTCTTTAAATAGGTTTTCTCAGCTTTTTTAATCTCTCTAGCCCCTTAGTAACATCAATAATTCATAAGTGTTAACATTTTATGTAGTCACAGATATTTTGAGGCTTTGTTCATTCTATTTTCTTCTTTTTTTCCTTATTTTTGTCAGACTGGACTATTTCAAAGACCAATCTTTAAGTTCTGAGGTTTTTTCTTCTGTTTGGTATAATCTATTATTGAATGTATTTGTATTTTTCCATTTAATTTTTTATTTACAGATTTTCTGCTTGTATGTTGTTGTTATTGTTTTTTAATATATATGTCCCTGGTAAATATTTTATTTATTTTCTCAATTGATTTTCTATTTTTGTGTATTGGCTTTCAGATTATTAATTGCATCTCATTCAGCTTCTTTAAAATAGGTACTTTGAATTCTTTATCTGGCATTTTGAAGAATTCATTTTGATTGTATCTGTTGCTGGATATTTGTTGTGGTCCTTTGGTGGTATCAGCTTTCCTTCTTTTTTCATGTTTCTTGTGTCCTTCCACTGATATCTGCACATCTGGTGTATCAGGGGCTTGTTCTAATTTTTAAAAATTGCTTTTGTAGGGAAGAATTTTTTTGAAGATGTATGTACATTGTTGGTTGAGTAGGATACTTTGAGTTTGATTTGGGATGCCTGTGGTAGTGTAATCTTTGTATGACTTTCTCAGCAGTGTACAGGGTAAGTGGTATCTGTAATTTCCTCAGTGGCTTAGGGTATAGTTATTAGTTAAGGTTGTGATGAAGTTTTACTAGGGAATTGGACATCAGCTGAGCAAGTCTCTGGGCCCCAGTGATAGCTGCTGTGGGGTGAGTATGCCTGGTTTTAGGCCCTAGAGCAGCTTATCCTAGCTTCAGTGTCAGTGAGTCTTACAGTTGCCTGTTGCAGGGCAATGAGTATTGTCCTAGGTGTGTGTAGGACAGTCTGATTTATCTGTCTTTCCTCAGCTAGGTGATGGCTGCAGCCACATCAACTCAAATTCAGCCCAAGGGTGGGGCACAGTCCAGTATTAAATTCTCAAAATGGCATCTTGGGATGGTCCTAGAGAGAGAGCACAGTCCCTCCCAGGCAAGCAATGTGGGAAAGATCCTGTGGGGACTGCAGTTTAGTCACATTTGAGTCTCAATAGCAACCCACAGAAGGGTAGTAGGAACTCTCCCAGGAGTACATGGGAGTGCCCATTCTTACTTGTCCCTCCCTGGAACAGCTACAGTGCAGTGTCCGTAAATCCCCAGTAGTTAGGCTCTCAAAGTGGCACCCAGCTGAGGCTGCTCTAGGCTCACATGACTGTCAGATTCTGTGTGGTTTTCTTTTTGGAGCGAAGTCCCTGTGCAATCTTGAGGCAGGCTATATGTCAGGCCTGAGGCCCTAGCGAGTCAAAGTTTTCTCCTGTAGCCAAGATTGTAAAAGCCCATTTGGATGTGAAGCCCTAACAGTAAGAGTTTCCTAAAAGTAAGAATTTCTCTTATTATTTCCCTGAATCCAGAGACTTTTCCCATTTTTCATTCAGTTCTTGGCTGGGCAGGATGCTGTGAATGCTGTCCTTACTTACTTCTGGTGCTTCCTGTCTCTTCTCTGGTGAATCCTACTGTATTCTCCTAGACAAGCTCTTTGAAATGTAAGCACCTACTTACTATTCTGGTTCCTCTCCATGAAGGAGATACATACTACTTGCATCTAGTCAGCTATCTTGATCCCTCTCTTGACATAGATCTTTACAATATGATTACTTAATGATAAGGATTGGCATGTGAATTGGAACTGATTTGGCATCTTTGGTATTGAATACATGACATAAACCCCCAAAAATAAAATGTTTGACAAATGAGAAGTAAAAAAAAAAAAAAAAAAAAAAAAAAAAAAAAGTAGCTAGTAGAGTTTATTTAGGTAATTTATACATGGCCTCCAGGGAAATTCTTACTGTTACAGGAATATGGCAGGTGAAAGTAGAACATAGAATACTAAATCAGAAATCAGAAGAGATATCTATTCTTTTAACTCTGTCTCTGCCACTTACCAGCTCTGATTGCTGAGCCAAGTCTCTCTATTTGTCAGGATGACTGGTTTAATTTCTGCAATAAACAAACTCGAATTTTAACTTTATTGGGTCAAGACACAATAAAAGTTTTTCCTTGCAAATTCTGACACGGTTGGGTGATTCATTCCAAGTAGTGTCTTGATTATCCAGGTTCTGTGCATTCAGGATACCTTCATCTTCAACAGATGGTCTGTATGGTCTCACGTGAAGGATAAAATAGAATGATTTTAGTGAGCCTGATGTGAAAGTCTGTTATCCCTGCATTGACAAAAACCAGATAAAAGACCCAATCTAAATTCATACAAGCTGAAAAATCCAGTGTTCCTTTATGCCCCAGAGAAAAAATGAAACATGTTTAACACATGACATTACCTCTGCTACAGTCACTTGTCCTTTCTGGCTCTGGTTCCTAATTTTTATACAGGTTTTAATACCACATTCATTCACACAGTTGTGCTTAGGAATAAATGGAATGATGAGCTTCTTAAGATACAAAATTGTTATCATTACTTAAATGGATAAGGATGTAAGGATGTAAGTTTTCCACATGAGCTTATTCTAGCCTCTTACTTTTTCTATTATACATAATGAAAGTGAAGGGAAGAAAACCAGTCTAACAGCAAAATATTGATTTTTAGAATGCAGGAAAAGAACTATTTGATTACATTTAACTGCTAATAACTGTTTTTGATTAGAAGTCCTACTGGTCCTTTTGAAATGAAAACATGAGATTAATTTGTAATTAGTAGCTCCCATTCATAAATTATGATTAACTTACCTTTTAAACATAGTTTGCTATGTAGAACAGATTGAAATAAATCTTTGCAATGTTATTGGCTTTATTAATTGTATAATCAAGCTTGCCTCTATAGACAGTAAAAGGAAAATACTTCTATCCAGATCATCCTAAATTAAATAATCACAAATTACATAATCACAAATTTGTTAACATGCAAATTAATAAGCTTTTATTTATGTTTCCTAATTTAAGACACTGTTATATTAATTCCTTATTGGCCACATGTAGTTACATAGAACACCTGGAAATTTATTACATTTTCATGTTATTAAATAAAAGTTTTAATATCTGCCTCATGATTTCTCTAAATTAAATTAATCTAGTGCCTGGTAATATGCATGGGATGTTCAATATAGTGGTTATTATTGGTAATTGTTTCTTATCTTGGAGTGACTATAACCTCATGTCATGATAGTTATTTTAATGTGCTACAGACTAGTAGTTTTCCAAACTAATTTTGCATGAAAATCACCTGTAGTCCTCTTTAAGAACAAATCTCAAAATTCTATCTGAAATGTAGAAAGAGAAATTCTGAGATTGGACCTCTAAATCTTGATGCTTTGGTCAATTTCGAACAAATTTGTTTGAGTACTTGTTCCAGACACTTAGAATACACAGACTCCTTTTAAAGCAAGCCTTCTTCCATATCCCTTAGGACTAGTCAAACTTGAGACTCCTTAATGCATGCATATTATTAAAACTTTTTAAATTATAAAAACACAGAAAGATCTTAAAATAATACAAATTTCTTTAAAATTATATTTTAATAATCAGTCATATGCCTTTTTGCCTTTTTTTCTGGGAATTTATATTAAAATTAGCATATAGGAGGCAATGTCACATGGAATGTCATTAAACCTAAGGTACCAATGATTGTAACATGCAGCATTAATGTATGCAATACCATAAGAGAAAAAAAATAGCTGTGCTAAAATTTGACAGAATGCTTTCTTAACACTTATAATTTTTATTAGACTTATGGAAGGTGCTATTTTAAAACAATTAAGGCACAGATGGCATAAGACCAAATCACCTTGAGCACTGACAATATAATTTTATGGAATGTCAGAGAACAGGAGAATTTTCTTTTATTCTTATTATACTTTAAATTCTAGGGTACATGTGCATAATGTGCAGGTTTGATACATAGGTATACATGTTTCATGTTGGTTTGCTGCACCCATCAACTCCTCATTTACATTAGGTATTTCTCCTAATGAGATCCCTCCCCGAGGCCCCTACTCCCTGACAGGCCTGGTGTGTGATGTTCCCCATCCTGTGTCCATGTGTTCTCATTGTTCAGTTCCCACCTGTGAGTGAGAACATGAGGTGTCTGGTTTTCTACCCTTGTGATAGTTTGCTGAGAATGATGGTTTCCAGCTTCATCCATGTCCCTGCAAAGGACATGAACTCATCCTTTTTATGGCTGCATAGTATTCCATGGTGCATAGGTGCCACATTTTCTTAATCCAGTCTATCAATGTGGGACATTTGGGTTGGTTCCAAGTCTTTGCTATTGTGAATAGTGCCACAATAAACATTAAATGTGCATGTGTCTTTATAGTAGCATGATTTATAATCCTTTGGGTATATACCCAGTAATGGGATTGCTGGGTCAAATGGTATTTCCAGTTCTGGATCCTTGAGGAATTGCCACACTGTCTTCCACAGTGGTTGAACTAATCTGCACTCCCACCAACAGTGTAAAAGCATTCCTATTTATCCACATCCTCTCCAGCATATGTTGTTTCCTGACTTTTTAATGATCACCATTGTAACTGGTGTGAGATGGTACCTCATTGTGGTTTTGATTTGCATTTCTCTGATGGCCAATGATGATGAGCATTTTTTCATGTGTCTTTTGGCTACATAAATGTCTTCTTTTGAGAAGTGTCTGTTCATATCCTCTGCTCACTTTTTGATGGGGTCATTTGTTTTTTCTTGTAAATTTGCTTAAGTTCTTTGTAGATTCTGGATATTAGCCCTTTGTCAGATGGGTAGATTGTAAAAATCTTCTCCCATTCTGTAGGTTGCCTGTTCACTCTAATGGTAGTTTCTTTTGCTGTGCAGAAGCTCTTTAGTTTAATTAGATCCCATTTGTCTGTTTTGGTTTTTGTTACCGTTGTTTTTGGTATTTTAGTCATGACATCCTTGCCCATGCCTATGTCCTGACTGGTATTGCCTAGGTTTTCTTCTAGGGTTTTTTATGGTTTTAGGTCTAACATTTAAGTCTTTAATCCATCTTGAATTAATTTTTGTATAAGGTGTAAGGAAGGGATCCAGTTTCAGCTTTCTACATACGGCTAGCCAGTTTTCCCAGCACCATTTATTAAATAGGGAATCTTTTCCCCATTTCTTGTTTTTGTCAGGTTTGTCAAAGATCAGATGGTTGTAGATGTGTGGTATTATTTCTGAGGGCTCTGTTCTGTTCCATTGGTCTATGTCTCTGTTTTGGTACCAGTACCATGCTGTTTTGGTTACTGTAGCCTTGTAGCATAGTTTGAAGTCAGGTAGCGTGATGCCTCCAGCTTTGTTCTTTTGGCTTAGGATTGTCTTGGCAATGCAGGGTCTTTTTTGGTTCCATATGAACTTTAAAGTATTTTTTTCCAATTCTGTGAAGAAAGTCATTGGTAGCTTGATGGGGATGGCATTGAATCCATAAATTACCTTGGGCAGTATGGCCATTTTCACAATATTGATTCTTCCTATCCATGAGCATGGAATGTTTTTCCATTTGTTTGTGTCCTCTTTTATTTCGTTGAGCAGTGGTTTGTAGTTTTCCTTGAAGAGATTCTTCACATCCCTTGTAAGTTGGATTCCTAGGTATTTTATTCTCTTTGTAGTAATTGTGAATGGGAGTTCACTCATGATTTGGCTGTCTGTTTGTCTATTAACGGTGTATAGGAATGCTTGTGATTTTTGCATATTGATTTTGTATCCTGAGACTTTGCTGAAGTTGCTTATCAGCTTAAGGCGATTTTGAGCTGAGACTATGGGGTTTTCTAAATGTACAATCATGTCATCTGCAAACAGGGACAATTTGACTTCCCCTTTTCCTAATTGAATATCCTTTATTTCTTTCTCTTGCCTGATTGCCCTGGCCAGAACTTCCAACAATATGTTGAATAGGAGTGGTGAGAGGACATCCTTGTCTTGTGCTGGTTTTCAAAGGGAATGCTTTCAGTTTTTGCCCATTCAGTATGATATTGGCTGTGGCTTTGTCAGAAAATAGCAATAGCACAGGAAAGTTTTGTTAGCATTTCCTATTTGTCTAAACTAACAGTTTCACCTTTCATCAATTAAGTCTCATGTTGCTGAAGCTTTGCAGCCTCTGTTGAAAATCAGCAGGAATTTAATGTCACATTGATACTTGGTGCCTTAATTATAGTGCTATACTATGCATGAATCTTTAATACCAGCAATTCATTGCTTATAAATGTCTTCCATCCTCTAAACAAGATAAGGAAATTTCTCCTTCGGTTCCAATTCTTGTCTGGTGATGGAACTCCTTTTACAGGTATCCCAATTATAAGAATACCACAGTTTCATCCACTTCCTTTCTTAGGTCATGTGAAAGACCTATTATTGACCTTGTAAGGACATATGGAATTACTACCTCATATCCACCCTCCACCTTTCTTCATCCTGCTCAGTACCCTAGGAGACTGACTTGATTGAAATCGTCATCTGGGCTCCCTTGCCCTGTAGCTTCTCTGTGGGGTTCTGCTACTGGACTGGAGATCATCAGAAAAAGGGAAAGTCATCTTAGTACACTAATTTACCCAGGTACAGCCCTGCAAAATCACTGTGAACTGGCTATTTCCCAGTGAAGGTCACACTCTTGTTAATTAGCCCCCACCCCCTCTATCTGCCTGGTTTCCTTCTCTCTGGGTTTTGTCTCTCTCTAGATTCCAGTAATTACTTCATTTCTTTACCACCTCAGCCCTCGGAGTGACAATGTTTCCCTGCAAACGCCCTCCAGTCCTTGGGTCCTGCTCTATCCCTTGTGGCTTTCTTATACTCTGTCCTTACTTTTATTATGCATCCCTTTATTAAACTGTTTCTCAAACATATTCATTTGAGTGAGTTATCTGTTTCTTCCAGGAACTTGTTATAATAATTGATGTCAAGTAACTATTTTACAAAATAGAATTCTGGGAATAGTTTGCTTGCATAGCTGTGGACTGCACAAATACCCTAACCAAGGAAAATGGAATGCAAATAATCCCTGAAAGGTAATAACATCACATTTAACTTATTAATAATAGATTCATACGATGTGGTAAAGGTAAGAGTACAGCATTAAGAGAGCTACTGATTGTGGCACTCAGCTACTATAATCGGCACTAAAAATTTACTGGGGTCAGCTGACTTCATCTGCCAACCCTAGAGAACATCAACAGAGAAAAAGGCAAGTTGACTCCTGAATGTCCATCTCAAAACACTCCTGAATGTCTACCTGAAAAGCTGACAATCAGAAAGACTGACTGGTAATTTTGAATGAGCCTCTGCTCTACTGCAGTTACAGAGCATAAATGGCTCTGAGCAACAAGTCTAGAATTGATTATGAAGGTTGCAGAGTTGCAGCAGAAAATCAAGCAAGTCTCCTATGACGGTAGCAGTAGTGAAGAAGTGGTGGTATGCTGAGATGTTAGTTGAGTGCCTTTGGGTTGACACAGGGGAATTTGAACACTTTGGTCCCCCATAATATCTCTGGAACTCCTTCATCAGTGGAGGTGGCAATTCCAGTGACTGTAGCTGAGACAGTTTCCTAAGAGGTGCATCTTCTGATACCCAGGACCCACCCCATAACTACTTATTTTCTACAAGCCTATAGTGAAATAGATCCCACACAAATTTGATGGAGAAGTTCTCCTCTGGAAACAGATATTCTGTATACTGAAATAGATATAAAATATTATTATTTGAATCAGCAGTAATATAGGCAACAATTGTGGGAGTAAATTTTGTGGGAGTGTTTTCCCAAGAAGGACAAAATTATAAGCCTTCATTGGACTAAATGTATTGACATGAGTGTATTCATATCAGAGTCAAGAATTAATGTGTTAGCATGCACATCTGGAAGTGGCATTATCAATCTGCTGTGTTAAATAATTGAAGCCCACAGTCAATGAGGTTGAAATGTTGGAACTTCTATATCATGTTCAGGAATGAGTCTGAGGCTAGGGAAATAGGCATGTTAAAATAGCTCTATTATGTGCGTATTCCTCAGCCACTCATTAACCGACTACTTGGGCTCTCCTTTCATCCAAATTAAGAACTTATTGACACCGCGAGAAACAGTATCCTTGAAAAACTCTTTGAGGGCTTGAGGGTTGCTCTCTGTAGGCAGGATATGACAATAGGAGATTCTACAAGTGATTGGGTTCTTGCCTCAGTGGGAATAAATGGGTCCCAGAATGATGGTGTTTAGTTGTTTTAGATGATGTTGGTGTAATTACTATAATATGGCAGAGGGGTAAAATGTTGATGAGTTTTGGCCTTCAAGGATCTATGGAAAGGGCAAATTGATCACAGTGATCATAGAAATGAAATATAGGGGAAACGAATGAAGAAAGATGTTGCTGAACATATATTAACTGGAAAAATCCTAGGTATGATCAGAAGAAGCATAACCTGAGTCACTATAGTGGGAATTTATGGCCTCTTGTCTGTTCCTCTTGAGAGGACATTGAGTTCTTTGAGCTTAGACCAAGCCAAATGGTTAATATTCTGAATATTCCTCCAAGTTTTCCTGAAAAGTATGTGTGGTATTTACCAAAGATATTGTATACTGAGCAAAGGAAAATACCCAGGCTTTCTGAGAAATGACTTGACCCTAACTTCCAGAGACAGACAATGCTAAGCTGCTACATTTTCTACACTGGTATTTTAATTGAAGAAAAGCAACACAGCCCCAGACATGTGGTATGGAGCTTTTGACCCAGAAAATACTCCTCACTCTGCAATACCTCCCAGAAATAAAACTCAGTAGCAGTTTGACTACACGTAGTAAGGTCAACCCTATAACTTTACTGTATTACCTTAAGGGTATGTTGACTTTCCTCTACTTTTCAATCATCACGTAGTCTGTGGGAACTTAATCAACTTGACAGCCCACAGAACATCATACTTATCCATTGTGCCTTCTTCTAATACTATATCTAGGTGCATGGATACATTGGGTATATACCTAGATAGTGAATTGATGGGTCATAGAGTGTGTGTCTGTTCAATTTAAGTGATACCACACAGTTTTCAAAAGTAGCCATAAATTACAAACATACCAACAGTGTATGGAGTTCCAGCGCTCCACGTGTTTGTCAACATATGGCACATTTAGTATTTTTATATTTAACTATTCTGGTGGTGTCATGTTCATATCTCCTTCTGTATTAACTTAAATTTTCCTAAGTGTCATTAGGTTACAAACCTCATTGGTTAAAAGACCTAACCAATGAGGTTAGGTTACCAATGAGGTTAGCAAACATTAAATGTTTATTGGGCATTTGTAAAAACTCTCTTTTGAAGTGCCTGTTTATTTCTTATGGATGTTTTCCTTTGGACTACTTTCCTTACTGATTTACGGGAATTCTTCGTAATTTCAAAAAACAAGCACTTTTTGTTATATGCATTACAAATATCTTCTGTGTTGGGGCTTGCCTTTTCACTATTTTATTTATGTCTTTGAATAAACAGAATTGTATAATTTTACTATACTGTATACTATACTTATTAATATTTTCCTTTATACTTTTTTTTTGTGTTCTGTGAAATAAATACTTTCTTAACCCCCCAAAGGGAGATATTTTTCCACATTATTTTATAATGACTTTCAGATTCACCTTTCACATTCAGAGTTTCACTCTACCCAGTATTGACTTCCATAGAGAGTGTGATGTAGGAATCAATTTTATATTTTTTCATTTGCAAATCCAATAATCCAACATTATTTATTGAATAGTTTTTATTTTTCACTGCTCTGTAAATTCATTTTTGTTATATATCATGTCTGTGTCTGTTACTGAAATCTAATTCTGATCTATTTCTTTGTTTATCTTTACACCAACAACTGCCCTTCCACTAGTTTTATTAAATGTCGTAGTATTTAATAGAGCAAGTGATCTCACCTTTTTCTTCTGTTTACGAATTTCCTGGCCAGTCTTGCATCTTTGTAATTCTAAGTAAATATTAGAATAACCTTTTAGAATTCTGGGAAAAAAGCTATTAGAATTTTGGTTGTGATGCACTAAATTCACATGTCAATTTGAGGGAAACTGACATCATCAGTATTAAATATTCCAGTCCATTAAACGTTTTCTCTCTTTGTTAGTAACGTGTTTTATATTTTCCCCTAATTATAGTTTCTATGTTTCTTTAGAGATGCTGCATATTTTAGTGAAATTTATCCCTATGTTTTACTTTTTAAATATTTTTGAGATGATTGTAAGTGATATCTTTCTAATGTCAGTAAGATTGTTAATGATGGTTCCTTTTTCATTTCATCCTATTATTAGTTGTTCTCTCTGTCTTTTATTATTCTTTAGTTATCTGTGTGCTTCACAATGTTTTATTCTTTTCAAAGAGTTGGCTTTTAGTTTTGTGAGGTATTAATAACATTTGTTTGTTTTCTGTCTTAATACCCCTTTTGTTCTTATACTCATAACTTATTTCCTTCTATTTTCTTCAGGTATCATTTGCTGCAATTTTTGGAGTTATTTAGATCAATGCTTAGCTCATTAATTTTTAGCCATTTACCTTTTCTGACATAAAGCTATATGATTTTTCTAATTGTATATTGAGCTGGACTCCAATTTTTGATATGTAGTGTTTTGTTGACAGTCTGTCAAAATATTTTCTAATTTTTATTGTAACTCTTTCTTTGACCCATATGTTATTTTAAAAATATATTTCTAATTTTCTGATTATTTGGAGGTTTTCTTAGTATTTTAAAAATTGATTTCTAGCTTGTTTGTATTGTGTTTCAGTTTTATCTTGGACTGGAAGCAGAATATAAAGTTAAGGAGAAAGGAAAGGGACATAGACAATATACTTGGCTTGTTAAATGTCACAAAGATCCTGATGAAATTTGGATTGCTAGGAAATCAAAACACTGTTATTGACTAATAGTAAAATATTATTAATTATCCTATAAGATTACTCATAAAAGTATAGTGAAATCAGCATAATAGAAGAAAACAAAAGCAAAAGAGGGTTTAAGGACTCTGTATCCCTAGGAAGATAGATTTTGGAGAAGAAACTCTAATTTTTTAGGTTTTTGTATTTTTGAGCTGAATCATTTACTAATTTGATCAACATTTGTGTCATGCATTATATTATGTACTAGTCAAACAACCTTGATCAAGAGAGGCAGGCAGAGTCTCTTTCTTCATGGAGCTTAATGTCGATGAGGTATTCGGGGCTGAGTCAAATATATGTCAGGGAATTATTTTGTTTAGAGTATTTACTGTGCATATACTCTGAGACTTCTTTAAAGAAAAAAAAGTAATATGGTACCATGCTATTTTCTATTTATAAACTCAAAATTTGCAATATTTTTTCAATGTGCAAAGAGTACTTAACCATGTGACAAAGTAGTTATTTTTTACACAGCATAGAATCTAGACTTTAAAAATATATTACTTATAATAGTCTGAAATTATAACTACTGAAATTTATTTTGCAACAGATTTGCATCATTAAAGCAGAAACTGAGCATTTTGTAAGGCAATTCAAGAATATATTTTATTCTCTTTCTGAATACTGCCTCATGAGTGTTGCATCTTAAGTCAAACTGTGTATGACAGAAGTCAAGTAAAAAGAAGCATCAATTTCCATTTCATCTTGTTATGAGGTAAACTTGAAAAAAACTAGGTAGGAAAAAATGACTTAAAGGAAGAAAATGGCATGAAAGTAAAGTTGATCTTCATTATTATGAGTTCCATATTAACAAACTTACCTACTGGCTAAAATGTATTTTTAACCCCAAAATTAATATACACAGTGTTTACATGGTTATTCAAAGACATACATAGGGCATCAAAAAAATTGGGTCACCTGTAAAGCACATTCCCAACTGTGTTCAAACAAGGCAGTGCTCTACCCTCTTGCTTCAGCATTCACACTAGAAACAAGTGTTTTTGGCAGTCTATTTAGTGCCATGGTTTTTTTGGCTGTTTTTATTTTCTCTGCATTTTTGTGCTTTTTGTTGGAGATTTCAAAGTTTAAAATGGTCCCAAAACATAGGGATGAAATGCTGTCTTGCTTTCCTAAACATAAAAAGGCTGTGATGTGCTTTATGGAGAAGGAAAGTAAGGTGTTAGATAAATTTTATTGAGGCATGAGTTATAATGTTGTTGACGAATAGTTCAAAGTTAGAGTCAACAATATATATTAAACAAAGTGTTTTTAAATAGAAATATGCATACAACAGGTTACATATTGACTGGTTGACAAAAATGTGACCAGAGGCTGTCAGAAACCTAACCCTGTATTTCCCCTAGGAGCAATGGTTTATTGCTTCCTAACTCAGTGTTTGCAGTGACTTTACAGAACATAACTTCTATGAATAATGGGAATTGTCTGGACTTTGGTGAGAGGTAGAAAGACAAGTTTGGTGAGCATGTCACAAACTTATATATGATGATACTTAGGAGCACCCAATTCTAGGCGAACATTTTTTTCTTATTGCAGTCAAAGTAAAGAAACTCAACCAAAAGTGACTCAAAGAAGAGAAAAAAAATGAAATAAGAATTTGTCTCTAGGGAAACCAAAGGAAGACAGAAATAGAAGCTGAAGCATCTAAATCTGTAAATAACTTACTGGAAGCTCATCAAAAGTTTTCTACTTCAACAAGTTTCACTAGAAATCCCCAAAAGGGCATTATAATCCCATAGGATTCATTGTTTTCTTACCTTGCAAGATTTAAGATAGTAAAGCTAAAGCTAGAAATATTTCTGCATTATAATGAAAATTGTATTGAACTCATTATTCTTTTTTTTTTTTCCTGATTTCACAAATAGCAATTCACCCTGTCTATTTATGTAGCTAAAACTCACTCAATGTCTAATTTCAAGTACAGGTTGTATACAACAGGTTCTTTACAAATATCTGTTGATTTTATGAATCAGGGAAAACTTAATTTTACATAATCAGAATTCAAGGAAGAGGACAGATACACATGGCCACCATGAGTCTATTTTTTAAATTACAGTGCTATTCGCCTCATGAAGCAGTTCATCCAGAGGGTTATTTCAAAGAAGTGATCTACTATGCCAAAAGAGAACCAGCCAAAGGGGTAATAACTAATCAAAATGTCTCTGATTGACCATAAATGAATTATAAATATTTAATGAGAAATCTCAAATGTTCAAAGCAAAATCACTTAAGTGCTGTTCTTGGATCCTCCTTAAACCAGGTTAAAAACAAAATCAAATGGATTAAGAAAAGTACAATGATCTACAGAAAGCATTGTTTTATTATTTAGTAATAGACTTCATTGTCTCAACATTTTCAAGCTTTTAAAACCACAAACAGCTTGATAAATAATTACATTTGATTTAAGTACATTATCTTTTATAAATTCACCTATGAAGAAATTAGCAGATTTTCGGTATACCAATGATGACTTTCAAAGGAAGGAATGATGGGTCTTGGTGAGAAGTTAAGACTGGTATTAACCAGGACTAGAATGTATTTAATGTACTTTTTGTTTGTTTGTTTATTTATTGAGACAGAGTCTCACTCCATCACCCAGGCTACAGTGCACTGGTGCGTTCTCAGCTTACTACAACCTCTGCCTCCTGGGTTCAAGCGATTCTTGTGCCTCAGCCTCCTGAGTAGCTGGGACCACAGGTACATGCCACGACACCCAGCTAATTTTTGTATTTTTAGTAGGGATGGTGTTTCACCATGTTGGCCAGGCTGATCTCAAACTCCTAGCCTCAAGTGATCTGTCCGCGTTGGCCTCCCAAAGTGCTTGGATTACAGGCATAAGGCACAGCACCCTACCCTAGAATATATTTATAAACCAATAAGTAGTTAATTAGATAGTCTTTGTTGGTGGGATGAGAGGAATGCAATGTGTACTTATTACAGATCAGAAGAAGACTAACTCTGGCACTTGGACCAAACCCAGCCTATAGCTTTCAGTTGTCTTTAAAGCTTTATCAAAACATAATCATGCTTATTCATTTCTGTATTGCTGCAGAGACTGTATAGCCCACAAACCCTAAATAAAATATTTATTATCTGAATCTTTACAGAAAAGTTTGCCAACTCCTGTTCTGGGCTATTTGCTATCCAGAGTTAATAAGGTTCCATATATTCTGTTTTGTTTATCTTTTCTTTGCAGATGTTTTCAATATTTTCTAAATATTGAGTAAAACTCATAATGTGAAATATCAAATTTGATTTTCATTGGCTAGCTTTCTTACGTTTTTACTAAATAGTTGTAAGATCACTGTACTTCTGTTTTTGCTTTATGCATCCACCTCATAAACTGTATTGTTGTATTAAACCAAATATTTCTGATACTAGCCACAGAAAGTTAGGTTGAGAAAATAGAATACTGTGTAATATAAATAACATGTAACATAATTAAATGATTTGAATCCCTTTGTTTTTCTGTTTTCACTTTCCTTCCCCTTAGATCTAAGAGCTGATATTGAAAAGTTAAAAATAATAGTGTAAATCCTTGTCTCTAACCTAAGCTTCTTACGTACTACGTAATCAGTTTTGCTAGAGCTTTAACTTATTATCTCTCATAAAATATATTATTTTTATAAAATAATATTTTACTTTATTCAAATTGGCTTGAAAGTGTGTGTTGCTCTTATTTTTAGGGCATTATTTCCATAGAAATCTTAAAGAATTATTATACTAAATATCAGGTTTTAGTGCATTAAATTGTACTGCCCTTATCTATCTGAAGAAATACAATATGCTTCTTAGAAACAAATCAAATTTTGGGGAAGTATAGGTTAAAATATTTAAAATAAATAGAGAAAAGAAATAAAACTCCAATTTAATATTTAGCATTATATTTTGACAAATATAATGACACAAAAATAATATAATGTTTGTAACTAAAGCAAAGACTACACAGTATGTGTGTTGTTATAGAGTTTGGCAAGGTCTAAACTAAGAGAGAACCCTATTTTATTGGAGATGGAAATTCAAGAACATTGAGCTATGCTGGACAAAAGAAATACATATATATATATAGTCCAGCCAGTCGCCTAGCCTGGAGTGCAGTGGTGCTATCTCAGCTCACTGCAGCCTCTGCCTCCCGGATTCAAGTGATTCTCCCACCTCAGTCTCCCAAGTAGCTGGGATTACAGGAGGGCACCACCGCTCCTGGCTTATTTTTGTATTTCTAGTAATGACGGGGTTTCACCATGTTGGTCAGGCTGATCTCAAACTCTGGCCTCAAGGGATCTGCCTGCCTCAGCCTCCCAAAGTTCTGGGATTACAGGCTTGAGCCACCGCCCCCAGCCAAGAAACATTATTTGTATTTGATTTTCTAATGCTGTCATGTTATAGTGAAATGAAGAGTTTGCAAAGGAGTGTCACATTTTCCCAATTTTTTTCTAATTGGATATCCAATGAAACTTTTCCTATTGTCTCATAATTGCTGCTGAAGACCCCCAAACAACAATAGGTAATAAGCTCCACATTCTGAAGAGACGCTTCTAGGCACATCACCATGGAACTATTCAGATTTTACCAGACCTTCTCCTTCCTTCACACCAACTACGCCTTCCAGCCTGAATAAGAAAGAAGGCTTAAATTCATCAGGGGAAAGAGCTCTTCTGAATGTTAAGTTACATGATTATCAAGAAACACGACGCCACTCTCTGCCACAAACAAATTTGGGCTCCAAAAGAATCATGCAGGCCGGGCGCAGTGGCTCATGCTTGTAATCCCAGCACTTTAGGAGGTCGAGGCGGGTGGATCACGAGGTCAGGAGATCGAGACCATCCTGGCTAACACGGTGAAACCCCGTCTCTACTAAAAATACCAAAAAATTAGCAGAGCGTCGTGGCAGGCGCCTGTGGTCCCAGCTACTCGGGAGGCTGAAGCAGGAGAATGGGGTGAACCTGGGAGGCAGAGCTTGCAGTGAGCCGAGATTGCGCCACTGCATTCCAACCTGGACGACAGAGAGAGACTCCGTCTCAAAAAAAAAAAAAAAAAAAAAAATCATGCATAGAGATCTGGGAGCCTATTGAAACCAAGACTCAAAGAAAATTCCCCAGAATGGATGATTGCTGAACTGGAAAAAGTAGTGCCAGGATACTGGAGTAGACTTGGATGGTGGCGTTTTGGGAAGAGACTGACATCTGTCCCCTAGGAGTTTTAATGCATATGTGAATGTAGAGGCTAATAATGGATTATTTTCTATGGATATCTAAAAATTAGAATCCAGCTGAAGCGGACAGAGACAGTGGAATGACAAAAGAGGGAATCACTGGGAGTGTCATGTATGTCCAATTTTTAGTTTGGTAAAAATTAGAGTTGACAGATAAAGTACAGGATGCACAGTTACATTTGAATTTTGGGTACAAAATGAATATTTTTTAACATAAGTATGTCCTAAATATTTCATGGAGCATATTTATCTTAAATATAATTCCTTGTTTATCTGAAATTCAAATTTAAGTGTATGGCCTTTATTTTTATTTACTTAATCTCTCATCCCTATTAAGACTACATGAATAAACTAGTTAAGGTATGGCTAGCTGCCATGACAAACTCCAAAACATATGATGGGTTCAAGTATGATGGAAATCTAATTCTTGCTCATTAAAATTACAAAGGAGCAAACAACTCTACTTTAGCAGGATCTGGGTTTATTTTACATTGTGTTTCCAACATTTTCAAATGTGTGTTCCAAGGCCTTTGTGCCTCAAGGAGGTAGATGTGAAAAGAATATGGAGGATTATATATGGCAGGTATTAGTGGGCCAAGCCTAGAAACAGCACTTACACTCACATTTCATTGGCTAGAATTCAAGACATACGTCCATATTAAATTTAAGAAAAGCTGGGAAATACAGAATAGCTGTGTATCCAGAAAGAAAAGGAAACAGGTTTGTTGCATAGCTAGCCAATATCTAGCACTCTGAATTTCCATGTACCAGTGGAAACTCTGGAAATTAGCTTGACACAAGGTTACTTTAAAGGACCTTGTCCAAGAGGAATCCTCTCACTGTGAGGGGATTCAGCAATGGTAGATTGTTGTGTATACCCCTTGGGGGAAATGCTGAAGGAGGGTTTCTAGTGATTAGAGTCTATTTCCTATATCAGTAAACTCTTCAGTCCAGGGATTCCAATAGACAGCCTCCACGGCTCACAAATACGTTCTAAAAGAAAGCCTTTGAACACTTGAAGCAGCACTAATAACCAAACTTTTACTCCTATTTCTCTAACATCTTTTTCACCCATGGAGAAGACAGCAATGCAAGGAGAGAAGGTAGCAAGCGTGAAAGAACAGATTTTACCATCTACATTGCAGGTCAGGCCAAACTGGGGGCTAGGAAAAATGGGGAGACAGACTCTTTCAATTGAATGTGAGAATGAATTTATTTGAATTGGACTAATCAATGCATGCAAGTGGCCAGAAAACTGCCATGTCTACTGAACTGTACTCCAGGCTCAGAGAAAGAAAATCCAAAAGTGGGGCTGAAGATAATGGTTGATGAAATATTAATATCCTGTTTATATTTCACTTAAATCATATTTCTCAATAACCTGGTTACATGTGAAACAGAAAAGTTACCAAGTAGGTTCTTCTAAATTCCGGATGTTTCAAGTCTCAAATAATATCTATTAGTAATCAACAAGTGTTTCCTCGGAAGCAACCTTTTTTTTTTAATCGTATTGAATTTGAAACAGCCATGTGTCTTATATATAATTGAATTCCAGCCAGGAACAGCTAAAGTACAGAACCAGATGGAAGCTGTGCTTCAGGTTTTCTGGAAGAGATTGATCCCAGGAACCAAAAGCTCTAGTTTGAGACTTGATTGTGAGGAAGGGGAGGGACTGGAGAAGAAGAGAAAAAGGAAGGAAACTTGTGAAAACTGACAATCAACATTGCTGCAAATCAAAATTGCTAATGAAAGGCTATAGTTATTTTTCTGAGATCATTGGCTTACAGCATATAAATTTCCTCTGGGTTGTGCCTAAAATTCTTTAAATCTCATACTAGGGTTATTAAAACTTAACAGAGAATACTTACATTTATTAAAGTATCATAAATACTTTTCTGAAAACTGTTTTGATGTGGGTGAAAACATCATGATCCAAAGATAATATTTTTGTTGTTTTTCATTATCTCCCAAATTATTCCCAAGTTTTCCAAGTAGCTAGATTGGAAAAAATGCTGGAAAAAAAAAAAAAAAAACACCATCATCAGGCAAAAATATCATCAGGATTCATCTGAAATTATCACTGATGTGGAAAGAGCTTGCATTTACTTGTGCATAAAATAGATGTTCAATAAATGTACTATATATTGATATGATATACGCATTATCATTTCCATAAAAATTAATGTAGTGAGAGATGACAACTTGCTAGTAGCGCTCGCTTGCTCTCGGGGCCTCCTCGGCCTTGGCGTCCACTCTGGCCATGCTTGAGGGGCCCTTCACCCTGCCGCTGCACTGTGGGAGCCCCTCTCTGGGCTGGCCGAGGCTGGAGCCGGCTCCCTCTGCTTGTGGGGAGGTGTGGAGGGAGAGGCACAGCCGGGAACCGGGGCTGTGCGCGGCACTCACGGGGCAGCACGAGTTCTGGGTGGGCACGGGCTTGGCCGGCCCCACACTGGGAGCGGCCCTGGGCAGTGAGGGGCTTAGCACCCAGACCATCAGCTGCGGAGGGTGCACCAGGTCCCCCAGCACTGTCAGCCCACCCATGCCACGCTGGAATTCTCACCATGCCTCAGCTGCCTCCCCGCTGGGCAGGGCTCGGGACCTGCAGCCCGCCATGCCCAAGCGCCCCCCTCTCCCAGGTGGCTCCCATGCAGCCCAAGCCTCTCCAACAGGCACCGCCCCCTGCTCCATGGCGTCTAGTCCCATCGATCACCCCAGGGCTGAGGAGGGCAGGCACGTGGCGTGGGACTGGCAGGCACCTCCGCCTGCTGCCCTGGCAGGGGACCCACTAGGCAAAGCCAGCTGGGCTCCTGAGTCAGGTGGGGTCTTGGAGAACTTTTATGTCTAGCTTAAGGTTTGTAAATGCACCAATCAGTGTTCTGTGTCTAGCTAATCTAGTAGCGACTTGGAGAACTTTTATGTCTAGCTAGAGGATTGTAAATGCACCAGTCAGCACTCTGTGTCTAGCACAGAGATTGTAAATGCAACTATCAGCACCCTGTCAAAACAGACCAATCAGGTCTCTGTAAAATGGGCCAATCAGCTCTCTGTAAAATGGACCAATCAGCAGGATGTGGGTGGGGCCAGATAAGGGAATAAAAGCAGGCTGCCGGACCCAGCAGCCGCAACCTGGTGGGGTGCCGTAGCACACTGTGGAAGATTTGTTCTTTCACTGTGTGCAGTAAATCTTGTTGCTGCTCACTCTTTGGGTCCCCACTGCTTTTATGAGCTGTAACACTCACCGTGAAGGTCTGAGGCTTCACTCCTGAGGCCAGTGAGACCACGAACCCACCAGGAGGAATGAACATCTCCAGATGCGCTGCCTTAAGAGCTGTAAGACTCACCACGAAGGTCTGTAGCTTCACTCCTGAAGCCAGCGAGACCACGAACCCACCAGAAGGAAGAAATTCCAAACACGTCCAAACGTCAGAAGGAACAAACTCCGGACACACCATCTTTAAGATCTGTAACACTCACTGCAAGTGTCTGCGGCTTCATTCTTGAAGTCAGTGAGACCAAGAACTCACCAATTTCGGACACAGTAGTATTGACACTACAATTTTTGGAAAAGAAATAATATTGGAAAGAATGTAGATCAGCTTTTACTTACTATATTCTTAGTTCTATAACAATTCATTAAATAAAAAGGAAAAGGCATATTTCTCAAGTTTTTGTAACTTTCATAATGTCTCTTTAAAGATAATCTATTTTAACAGATTATCAATTGCTAAAGCACAAAGCACGTGCTCAAAGACTATCAAATAGGAAAAGTCGTATTCTTTTCTTAAACATCAGAAGGTAGTATACACACAAAAAATGTACACACTTTGTCAACTGGTAGTTGAATTTGTAAATTATATTGCCTTTATGAAACCAGAATGACTGTAAATAGACTTGACTTCTCATAGCTTCCTGCTTGTGACAGCACCGGGTTCATTCAAATCATTCAGCATTTGGTCGAATGTCAGCCAGAGGCAGTAATACAGTTATAAGTATGTTTAAAAGCATGGATTTTAGAGACAAGGTGCCTGGCTTCAACTTGGCTCTCCCATCTACTAATTACGTGATGCTTAACAAGTCATTTCAACTTGCTGTGCCTCATTTTCTCACCAGTGAGATGGGATAAATAATACTGACATTGTAGGACTGTTGTGCATATTCAGTAAGTTAACATATAAAAATATGGAAAAACATCCTAGGATATTGTAAATACTATATAATTGTTAGTATGTGTTATCTTTTGGGTTTAACATATCTTTGTTTATTTTTCTTTACCTGCTTGTATAAGTTTTTTTTTTTTGCCCTTTTAACCATTTTAAGTGCTTAATTTGTAGCATTAATTATATTCAAAATGTTGTGAAGCCATTACCACTCTCTAATTCAAAACTTTTTCAGTATCCCAAACAGAAATTGTAAATATTAAATAATAACTCTCCAATCCTCACTTTTCCCATCTTCTGGTAAACTTTAAATCTACTTTCTTTTTCTATGAACTTGCCTATTCTAAATATCTCATGTAATCATACATTTGTTCTCTTGTGTCTAACTTATTTTGCTTAACACAATGTTTTTATGTTTAACCCATGTTGCAGCATGCATTACAATTTTACTTCTTTTTAAGGGCTGAATAATTTTTTCTTCATTTATTCATTTAATGATGAACATTTGGGTTGTATCCACTTTATGGCAATTATGAATAACATTGCAATAAACACTGGCATATAAATATCTGTTTGAGTTCCTGTTTTCAATCCTTTTGGGTATAAACCAAGGAGTAAAATGTCTGGGTCATATGGTAATTCCATATTTAGCTTTTCAAGGAGCAGCCAAATAGTTTCTCTATTTTAACTTTCTATAATTTTACCTTCTCACCAGCAAAATATGAAAATTCCAGTTTCTCCCACATTATTGCCAACACTTTTTTTTTTTCATTTTATTATAGTCACCCTAGTACATGTGAAGTGGCATGTCATTGTAGCTTTACTTTGCATTTTACTAGTGACTAATGATGTTGTTATGATTTGAATGTGTGTGTCCCTCTAAAATTCATATGTTCAAACTTAAACCCCAAGGTGATGGTATTAACATTTTTAATGTTTTTTAATATCTTTGATAATGTAATTTAATACACAAAAGTTTTCCATTTTAATAGATTCAATTTGCCTATTGTTTTCTTTTGTTGCTCCTGCTTTTGGTGTTGTATCTAATAATCCATTGCCAATTCCAAGGTCATGAAGATTTGTCCCTATGTATTATTGTAACACATTATTGTTTTAATAATGCTTTATTGTTTTATTACTTATGCTTACATTTTTTATGTATTTTTTCTTAATTTTTGTGCATGGTATGAGGTAGTTTCACAACGAAATTATTTTGTATGTGGAAATCTCACTCTCCCTGCACCATTTGTTGAAAAAAATGTTCTTTTGCCATTGAGTGAGCTTTATATCTTTGTCAAAAATCTGCTACTTATATAAATATGCATTCATTTCAGGAGCCTTTTTTTTTTTTTTTTTTGAGACAGAGTCTCGCTCTGTCACCCAGGCTGGAGTGCAGTGGTCCGCGATCTCGGCTCACTGCAAGCTCCGCCTCCCGGGTTCACGCCATTCTCCTACCTCAGCCTCTCCGAGTAGCTGGGACTACAGGCGCCCGCCACCACGCCTGGCTAATTTTTGTATTTTTAGTAGAGACGGGGTTTCACTGTGGTCTCGATCTCCTGACCTCATGATCCGCCCGCCTCGGCCTCCCGAAGTGCTGGGATTACAAGCGTGAGCCACCGTGCCCGGCCCATTTCAGGAGTCTTAATTCCTTTCCACTGATCTATATGTGTATCCATCTGCCTGAACCATACTGTTTTGATTATTACTGTGCTTTATGGTAAGTTTTGAAAGTGGGAAGTATGAGTCCTCCATCTTATTTCTTCTTTTTCAAGATTATTTTAGTTATTTGGGACCTTTTGCAATTTCATATACATTTGAGAATTGGCCTTTTTATTTCCTAAAAAAAAGTGGTTGGAATTTTATTAGAAATTTTATTTAATCTGTAGATTGCTCTGGATACTAACGACAGCTTAGCAATATAAAGTATTGCTATCAAAGAACAGAGAATATTTTTCCACTTATTTGTGTCCTTTCATTCCTTTCAGCAATATTTTATAGCTTTCCACGTAGAGTCTTCTGTCTCCTTGGTTAAATTTATTCTCAGGTATTTAAATTTTTAGATGTTATTGTGAATGGGCTTGATTTTAAATTTCTTTCTTGAATCATTCATTGCCAATGAGTAGAAACACAACTAACTTTTGTTTGTTGATCTTCATCCTGCAACTTAGCTTTATCGTGGTTTATTATATTAAAGACTTCTCTGGCCGGACATGGTGGCTCACGCCTGTAATCCCCGCACTTTGGGAGGCCGAGGCGGGCAGATCATTTGAGATCAGGAGTTCAAGACCTACCTGGCCAACATAGTGAAACCCTGTCTCTACTAAAAATACAAAGAAAAATGAGCCGGCTGTGGTGGCGCATGACTATAATCCCAGCTACTCGGAAAGCTGAGGCAGGAGAATGGCTTGAACACAGGAAGTGGAGGTTGCTGTGAGCTGAGATCGTGAGACTGCACTCCAGCCTGGGTGACAGAGTGAGACTCTGTCTAAATAAATAAATAAATAAGAAAATAAAATAAATAAAAATAAATAAATAAAGATTTCTCTCATTTTACCTCTGCAATCCCTTACTTCCCCACTATGACACATCTAAAAACAAGGATTCTTAATCTGGATCTATATATAAAATTCAAGACAGTCTTAAAATAATATGACAAACAACACGTATATGCAATTTTCTAAAAAGATGATTAATTGCTTTCACGGAAACATAAATGGCTATGAAAACCTCTTTCCCTACCCTCCAGAAAAATGTTTAGTTCCATTGTTTTAAAGAAAAAGTTATATAGTCATAATTTTTAATTTACCTCATTAAACATATTGCAAATTAATGGGGAGATGTATAATTATGAGGAAATTTCAGAATATTAATCTTCACTGCAAAAAATGAAATAAATAAACCTCTATATCTTTTCATTTCTCTTGATTTAGAAGGGAACGTAGCAAATTATACTCTGTACTAAGGCTGTCTTTACTACAAAAATATTATCTGATGGATAGTCATTTATTGAATGCACATATTTCCTTTCAGCACCGTGGTCTTTTGTGTAGATACAGAGCAGTAGTTCTTAAAGCGTGGCCCTTGAACGGCAAGAACAGAAATAACCAGATACTGGTTAGAAATGCAAATTTTGTGGCCCCAGCCCAGACCTACTAAATCTGAAACTCTGGGAGTAAGCCAAGTAACCTGTGTTTTAACAAGGTGATTCCAGTGCAGACTAAAGTTTGAGACTCACTAGTAAATAGAAATAATAAGATGATCATGACCTCAGGTCAATGGATTCTCTACTTACCTGCTTTAATGTCCCAAAGCCAGCAACATATCAGATGAACTGATTATATTAATATTTAGTATTCAACAAATGTTTATTGTGAACAAGCAACTATTACCTAATTAAATCCTGAGTTAGATTCTAGAAAAAAAGGGAATGAAGACACCCAGGAAGGAAATGACCTGCATAAAAGCCTTTTTGAATTGGTGATAAGCTAAGAGCTACAACAGAGTTACCCTCACGACATGCCATTAAAACTTGAAGACTATCACCTAGCTGCCTAGGAGTAATAGTCAGAGACAGTGGAAATTTCTCAGAGAAAGAAACTCTAAGCTGAGTGTAAAAGGATGAGTAGAAATTTCCCAAAAGGACAAGGGAGTGAAGGATATTTCTTGCAGGAAATATTGTACATAGAAAATGGTATATCAAGCCTCATTTAAGGGTTTGGAAAAAAACAAGTTTTTTTTTTGTCCATTTCATAAAGGTATACTGCACACAGATGCCTACTGTGTGGTCAAAAATAAAATTGGAGAGATAATAAGACTCAGATCATGAAGGCCCTTGACTATCATGCTTAGGTGGGTGACATTGATCCAGTAGGCAATACACATTTATGTAAGCTTTTTATACCACAAAGTAAAGAAAAGATTATTTCATGATGGAATAATGCTGCTGCCAGTTGATTAAAAGGCTGGAAAATGAGTCAGAGGAGCAAGAAAGAAATGTGTTAGATGTTCATTATATAGTTATTGCAATTACTTGCTAAGACATCTAAAGTGCAACAGGATGAACACACATCAATATGAACTTGTCCAAAGCACTAACAGTAGTTTAAGACATCAATTCCCTGCTATCTACAACATGTCAGTGATGCCTTCATTGTCCCGTAAGGTGAAAACTCTTTTTTTATTATTATTATACTTTAAGTTCTGGGATACATGTGCAGAACATGCAGCTTTGTTACACAGGTATACACGTGCCATGGTGGTTTGCTGCACCCATCAACCCGTCATCTATATTAGGTATTTCTCCTAATGCTATCCCTCCCCTAGCCACCCACCCCCTGACAGGCCCCGGTGGGTGATGTTCCCCTCCCTGTGTCCATGTCTTTCAAACCATTGTCCTTAAAGACCTCAGGGGAATCCGATCATTATGGCGGACGGGAGGCAGGAGTAGATTACGGCTCTGACTCGGATAGATAGAGCAGCATGTGGAGGCTCGCATTGTGAATTTTAGCTCCAGAACTACTGCAAGAACAAACCAGCAATCCCAAGAGGACGCATAGACCCTCTGAAGAAAGCAGACTACTACTGCAGGACCCGGGAGACACCCCAGATACTGAGTGCCCCAGCTTTGGAAGTGGAAAAGAGAGCCTCCTCTCCCGAACACACGTCCCCACTGGAGAAACTGAAGGTCTGTTTGCGGAAGAAGTTGCCTACCTTACCTGGAGCTGAGTCAATTTAGAGAGCCAAGTGAAATTCAGGAGTAGAGGAAGCAGCAGAAAAGTTCTGGGAGCTCACTGGGTCCCCAAGCAGGCCATTCCTGGCACCACAGGGATCCATAAGGAGGGTGGCCAGAGGAGCGGAGGGGGGCGGGGGTGAGAACACTCCCACAGGGAGAAGGAAATCTCCATCTGAACTTTGTAACAGTTTGAACGGGATGAGAAGCCTCCTGCCCAGAACTCGTGGGAGGGCATGAAAGTCAACAGAGAAACAATGAATTTAAACTATACCTTGCAACAAATGGACTTAACAGATATATACAGAACAGAACATTTCATCCAGCAACTGCAAAATACACATTCTATTCAATAGCACATGGAACTTTCTCCAAATAGACCATACAACAGGCCATAAAAAAATGCCTCAATAAATTTAAGAAAATTGAAATTATATCAATCATTCTCTCAGACCACAGTGGAATAAAACTGGAAATCAACTCCAAAAGGAACTTTCAAAACTATGCAAATACATGGAAATTAAATAATCTGCTCCTGAATGAGTGAGCAGTGTATCAAAAACGAAATCAAGATGGAAATTTACAAATTATTTGAATTGAATGGCAGTAATGACACAACCTATCAAAACCTCTGGGATACGGCAAAGGCGGTGCTAAGAGGAAAATTTATAGCCTTAAACACCTACATCAAAAAGACTGAAAGAGCTCAAACTGACCTTCTAAGGTAACACCTCAAGTAACTAGAGAAACTAGAATTCTAAAACCAAACCCAAACTGAGCAGAAGAAAGGAAATAACCAAGATAAGAGCAGAACTAAATGAATTTGAAACAAACAAACAAAAAACAACACAAAACATAAATGAAACAAAAAGCTGGTTATTTGAAAAGATAAATAAAATTGATAGACCACTAGCAAGATAAACCGAGAAAAGAGAAAATCCATATAACCTTATTAAGAAACTAAACAGGAGATATTACAACTGACACCACCTCATTAAGAAACTAAACAGGAGATATGACAACTGAAAATACAAAATACATCCAAGGCTACTATAAACACCTTTAAACATATAAACTAGAAAACCTAGAAGAGATGGATAAACTCCTGGAAAAATACAACCCTCCTAGCTTAAATCAGGAAGAATTAGATACCCTGAACAGACCAAAAACAAGAAGCAAGATTGAAATAGTAATTTAAAAATTACCAACAAAAAAAAAGTCAAGCACCAGACGGATTCACAGCAGAATTCTAGCAGACATTCAAAGAAGAATCGGACCAATCCTTATGACACTATTCCACAAGATAGAGAAAGAAGAAACTCTCCCTAATTCATTCTATGAAGCCAGCATCAACCTAACACCAAAACCAGGAAAGGCCATAACCAAAAAAGAAAACTACAGACCGATATCTTTAATGAACATAGATGCTAAAATCCTTAACAAAATACTAAACAAATCCAACAACATATCAAAAAGATAATCCACCATGATCAAGTGGGTTTCATACCAGGGATGCAGGGATCGTTTAACATACACAAGTCAGGCCAGGCGCGGTGGCTCACACCTGTAATCCCAGCACTTTGGGAGGCTGAGGTAGGTGGATTAGCTGAGGTCAGGAGTTCGAGTTCGAGACCAGCTTGGCCAATATGGTGAAACCCCATCTCTACTAAAAATACAATATTAGCCAGGTGTGGCGGCAGGTGCCTGTAATCCTAGCTACTCGGGAGGCTGAGACAGGAGAATCGCTTGAACCCAGGAGGCAGGCATTGCAGTGAACCAAGATTGCACCACTGCACTCCAGCCTGGGCAACAAGAGCAAAACAAAACAAAAAATACACAAGTCAATAAATGTGATACACCACATAAACAGAATTAAAAACAAAAATCACATGATCATCTCAATAGATGCAGAAAAGGCATTTGACAGAATCTGGCATCGCTTTATGATTAAAACTCTCAGCAATATCAGCATACAAGAGACATATCTCAATGTAATAAAAGACATCTATGATAAACTGATAGTCAACATAATACCAAATGGGGGAAAGTTGAAAGCATTTCCTCTGAGACCTGGAACAAGACAAGGATGCCCACTATCGCCATTCCTCTTCAACATAGTACTGGAAGTCCTAGCCAGAGCAATCAGACCAGAGAAAGAAATAAAGGGCATCCAAATCTGTAAAGAGGAAATCAAACTGTCACTGTTTGCTGACGATCTGATCATTTACCTTGAAAACCCTAAAGATTTCTGAAGAAAGCTCCTAGAACTGATAAAAGAATTCAACAAAGTTTCCGGTTACAAAATTAATGTACACAAATCAGTAGCTCTTCTATACACCAACAGCGACCAAGCAAAGAATCAAATAAAGAACTCAACCCCTTCTACAAAATAGCTACCAAAAAAATAAAATACTTATGAATATACCTAACCAAGGAATCGAAAGACCTCTACAAGGAAAACTACGAAACATTGCTGAAAGAAATCATAGATGACACAAACAAACGGAAACACATCCCATGCTCACAGATGGATAGAATCAATATTGTGAAAATGACCATACTGCCAAAAGCAATCTACAAATTCAGTGCAATCTGCATCAAAATACCACCATCATTCTTCACAGAATTAGAAAAAAAAATTCTAAAATTCATATGGAACCAAAAAGGAGCCCGCATCACCAAAGCAAGACTAAGCAAACATAGCAAATCGGGAGGCATCACACTACCGGATTTCAAACTCTACTATAAGGCCATAGTCACCAAAACACCATGGTACTGGTATAAAATAGGCAAATAGACCAATGGAACAGAATAGAGAACCCAGAAATGAACCAAAATCCTTACATCCAACTGATCTTTGACAAAGCAAACAAAAACATAAAGTGGGGAAAGGACACCCTTTTTAACAAATGGTGCTGGAATAATTGGCTAGCCACATGTAGGAGAATGAAACTGGATCCTCATCTCACCTTATACAAAAATCAACTCAAGATGGATTAAGGACTTAAATTTAAGACCTGGAACTATAAAAATTCTAGAAGATAACATTGGTGAAACCATTCTAGACATTGGCTTAGGCAAGGATTTTATGACAAAGAACCCAAAAGCAAATGCAATAAAAACAAAGATAAATAGTTGGGACTTAATTAAACTAAAGAGTTTTGCACAGCAAAAGGAACAGTCAGCAGAGTAAACAGACAACCCACAAAATGGAAGAATATCTTCACAATCTATGCATCTGACAAAGGACTAATATCCAGAATCTACAACTAACTCAAACAAATCAATAACAAACAAACAAAAAAAAAATCCCATCAAAAAGTGAGCTAAGGACATGAATAGACAATTCTCAAAAGAAGATATACAAATGTCAACAAATATATGAAAAAAATGCTCAACATCACTAATGGTCAGGGAAATGCAAATCAAAACCACAGTGCAATACTCCTGCAAGAATGCCATAATCAAAAATTTTTTAAAAAATAGGCATGCATGCAGTGATCAGGGAACACTTCTGCACTGCTGTTGGGAATGTAAACTAGTACAGCCTCTGTGGAAAACAGTATGGAGATTCCTTAAAGAACTAAAAGTATAACTACCAGTTGATCCTGCAATCCTGCTACTGGGTATTTACCCAGAGGCAAAGAAGTCATTATATGAAAAATACTTGCACACGCATGTTTATAGCGGCACAATTTGCAACTGCAAAAAAGTGGAACCAACCCAAATGCCCATCAATCAACAAATGGATAAAGAAACTGTGATATATAAATATATATATATATATATATATATATATATATATGAATATGATGGAATACTACTCAGTCATAAAATGGAATGAATTAACAGCATTTGCAGCAACCTGGATGAGATTGGAGACTATTATTCTAAGTAAAGTAACTCAGAAATGGAAAACCAATCCTCATATGTTCTCAGTGATATATGGGAGCTAAGCTATGAGGAAGCAAAAGCATAAGAATGACAAGTGGACTTTGGGGACTTCGGGGGAAGAGTGAGAGGAGGATGAGGGATAAAAGACTACAAATATGATGCAGTGTTTACTGCTCGGGTGATGGGTGCACCCAAATCTTACAAATCACCACCAAAGAACTTACTTATGTAACCAAATACCACCTGTACCCCAATAACCTATGAAAAAATAATAAAAAAAACTCAATGATGAATGTAGTGAATATATTACAAACTGTTCAAATTGTTTTCATACAGATGAAGCAAAATGTCTGCACAGATTATTTTTTTAATTTTTTCTTAAATATGTCATTTCAAGCTGCATTGGAAATGTATATTTACAGACATTTACTGAATAATTGGTTTATTAATATGACCTATATGGTCATTAGTTTAGGAGAGAAAAATAATGAATCAGTCATGTTCAAAACAGTAATATAGACTTCAATGGCATAAAACATTCAAGATAAGCACACTGTTTTCTTTGTTCTTACTAAACCAATTGATGATTTTAAAGTTTGATTAATTATTTTCAACAAGATTATTTTCAAATTTGGGTCTATGTCTTATTTCTTCATTAAAAAATATTGCACAAGTAGAAAATAATGGTCCTAGCATGATGACAGCAAGATAGCAGAAGAAATATTACACCCATGAACATACCAGTTTAACAACACATGGATTGGTCCCCTTTGTGAGAAATCCAGAAATTAGTTAGGAGACTCCTGCACCTCAGTTAAGTGTGAAATCATCAATACTGGGACCAGTAGAAATAGCAAAAACTTCATCTTGCCAAAATTTCCACTTCTGGCACAGCACCATACCATCAGAAGCAAATCCCCAACTCAGCTTCTCCCTGAGAAGCAAAGGAGTTTAATTGCACATGTAGTATGCCAAATGTTTTCAGTGCTGCTCAAGAGTCTGGCTTCTATCTCACCTGCCTGGGAAAGCTGACAGGGTTTAGCATAAGCAAGTATTATGGGAACTACAGAGAATAGAACAGTGGTTTGAACTAGCATGTGGGCACTCACCACAGCTCCTTTTCTCATTCAGTGCAGAGCAAGTAGGTGACAAATCCAAACTCCCAACTTCTCCCTGAGGAGGAAAAGTGTTGGATTTTGCATCCAGAGTTCTAACTTATCTTGGTGCAACCCAAAGGATTAACTGTTTTTTTTTTTTTTTTTGGAGACAGAGTCTTGCTGTGTCCCACAGGCTGGAGTGCAGTGGCATGATTTCAGCTCACCACAAGTCTGCCTCCCAGGTTCAAGCGATTCTCCTACCTCAGCCTCCTGAGTAGCTGAGATCACAGGCAGGTGCCACCATGCCCAGCTAATTTTTGTATTTTTTTTTTTTAGTAGAGACAGGGTTTCACCGTGTTAGCCAGGCTGGTCTCAAACTCCTGACCTCAGGTGATTTGCCTGCCTCAGCCTCCCAAAGTGCTGGGATCACAGGCATGAGCCACCACCCAGCCCAGGATTAACTTCTAACCTGCCTATCTCAGAGTGCTGAAAGGACCTTATATATACTGAAAAAGTTCTGAAAAAGTTCTTAAAAAGTTAGATGCCTGAGGCCCCAAAGAATAAAAACAGTGGTTTGAACTAACGCAAGGATATGAGGCCCATGAAACCTCAGGACAGGGTGATTGGTGGAGTTCTTCTCCTGTACAAGGCCAGTGTATAAGAACTTGAAGAAGTGACTTTTTTTTTCTACTGTACACATACAAAGAGTCAAGAAAAATGAAGAAACAGGGGAAAATGATCCAAAAACCAGAAACAAAATAACATTTAAGAAACCAACTTTAATGAAATGGAGATACATGAATTACATGACAGAGAATTCAAAGTAACAATAGTTAAAATGCTCAGTGAGCTAAGGAGAGTAATGCATGAACAAAAAGTGAATTCAAGAAAAAAAAATTAAAAATTTACAGAGGAAACAAACAGATATCTTGGAGCTAAAAAATACAATAATTGAGCTGCAAAATTTAAAAAGATTCATCAGCAGACTAGAGCAAGCAGAAAAGGAAATGAGTGAACTCAATGACAGTTCACTGGAAATTATCTAGTCAGAGAAGCCAAAAGAAAAGAGAATGAACAATAGTAAACACATTAAGGTATTTGTGAGACACCATCAAATGGACCAATATGCGTTATGGGTTTCCAAGAAGTAGAAGATAGAGCAAGAGGACCAGAGACCTTATTCAAGGAAATAATGTCTGAAAATGCCCTAAACCTGAGAAATAAAATGAACATCTAGATCTGGGAAATGCTAACAATGTCAAATAAGATGAATTCGAATACATCCACATCAAGACACATTGTAATCAAATTGTCAGGCAAAGACAAAATTTTGAAAGCAGCAAAAGAAAAGTGACTTGTCACATACAAGGGACTTTTCACAAGATTATCAGTGGATTTTTCAGCAGAAACCAGACACGCCAGAAGGCAGTGGAATGTTATATTCAAAGTTTGAAAGAAAAAACTGCCTACTGAACTTGAAAACTGTCCTTCAAAATGAAGGGATAATAAAGACTTCTGACAAACAAAAGCTGAGATACTACTCACTGTAACTGCCTTACAAGAAATTCTAGAGGAAGTTTTTCAATTTTACATGTGAGAACACTAAATGGCAACATGATAGCATATGGAGGTACAAAACTGATAAAGGTAAATATACTGACAAATACAGAATATTGTATCATAGTAGCAGTGGTAGATAAATTACATTTATTCTAGTTATCTTAGTCTATTTGTGTTGCTGTAACAACATACCCAGCCAGCGGTAATTTATAAACAATAAAAATTTATTTCTCATAGTTCTATTGGCTGGGAAGTCCAAGGTCAAGGCTCCAGCAGATTTGGTGTCTGGTGAAGGCTTGCTGTGTACTTTAAGGTGGTGCCTTTTGCTGCAACCTCACATGGCTACAGAGGCACAAAAGTGAGAGACACTGAATCCTCACATGGCAAAAACAGACAAAAGTGCAAAAAAGACTAGGTTGCACCCTTCAACTTATTTAATAAGAGCACTAATCCATGGAGGTGAAGAACTCATGATTTAATCACTTCCCATAAGTCCCCTCATCTTAGTACTCTCATATTGGGTATTAAGTTCCAACGTATGAATTTTGGAGGAATACATACATTCAAATCATAGCACTAGTATTTAAAAGACAAGTTATTTAACTATAAAATATGAAAATGAATACACAATATAAATAGATTTAACTTGTGATATCAATAACATAAAGTGGGTGGAAGGATAAAATACTAAAATTTTTGTATGCAATTGAAACTAAGTTGTTATTGGTTTAAAATAGACTGTTACAAGATATTGTATATAAACCCCAGGATAACCACAAATAAAATACGTATAAAACTTACACAAAGTGAAAAGAAAATAATAAAAGCATATCACTACAAAAAAGATAATGAAATGCACAGGAAAACAGCAAGAGAGAAGAGCAGGACAAGAGAACTACAATACAAACAGAAAATAATTAACAAAATGGCAATAATAAATTCTCCCCTATCAATAATTACTTGCTATGTAAATCAATTGAGCTCTCCAACCAAAAGACATAGAGTGACTGAATGAATTAAATACAAACAACTAAAACAAGATCCACCTATACGCTGAATATAAGAAACTTACTTTAGATTTAAGGACAAACTTAGACTGAAAGTGAAGAGATGGAAAAAGATATTCTGTGTAAATAGTAACCAAAAGAGAAGACAGGTAAATATAGTTACATCAGACAAAATTAACTTCAAGTCAAAAACTATCTCAGGAGACAAAGAAGACCATCAAATTATAATAAAAGAGACAACACACTAGGAAAATATAACAATTATAAAAATATATGCAACCAAACCAGAGCACCTAAATATATAAAGCAAACACTGACAGAACTGAAGAGAAGACTAGACAGCAAAATAGCTTCAGTAAGATACTTCAATACCTCACTTTCAGTAATGTATAGAAAAACCAGACAAACTATCAACAAAAAGCATTTGACCTGAAGAATGCTAGAGACCACATGAGCCTAACAGATGTTAAGTGGAACATTCAATCAAACAGCAACAGAATATACAATATTTTCAAATTCATAGAGAATATTCTTCAGGATAAATCACATATTTGATAACAAAACATGTATTAACAAATTTAAGAAGATTAAAATCATACCAAATATATTTTTGACCATAATAGAATGAAACTAGAAATCAATATCAGAAGGAAAACTAGAAAATTCATAAATATGTGAAAATTAAACAACACTTTTGGACAACCAATGGGTCAAAAAAGAAATCAAAACGGAAATTAGAAAATGTCTTGAGGAAAACAAAGATGAAAATGCAGCATATCAAAACTTATGGGATGAAGTATAAAACAGAAGTTTATAGCAATAAATGTTTTCATTAAAAATAATAAATATCTTAATAAAACAACCTAAATCGACACTGCAAAAACTTAGAAAAAACATAAGCCCAATGTTACAGGAGGGTGAAAATGGTAAAGATTACAGTAAAAATAAACTAAATAATATTAAAAATAGCGAAAATAAAGGTTTTTTTTGAAAAGATCAAGAAAACTGATCACCTTAGAGGGGAGACTAAAATAAATAAAATCAAAAATGAAAGCAGAGATATTGCAAATGATGCCACAAAAATAAAAGGGATTATAAGAGACTAATAGGAATAAGTATATGCCAACTGTATTAGTCCATTTTCACACTGCTATAAAGACATACCAAAGACTGGGTAATTTATAAAGGAAAGAGGTTTAATGGACTCAGAGTTCTGCATGGCTGGGGAGGCCTCAGGAAATTTACAATCATGGAAAAAGGGGAGGCATGCAAGTTTTACATGGCAGTAGGCAAGAGAGAGCTTGAAGGGGGAAGAGCTTCTTATAAAACCATCAGCTCTTGTAAGAACCCACTCACTATCAAGAGAACTGCATTCGGGGAACCACTCCCATGATCTAATCACCTCCTTCCCTTAACACATGGGATTACAATTCGAGATGAGATTTGGGTCAGGACACAGAGTCAAACCATATCACTAACAAACTGGATAACGTAGAAAAAACAGATAAGTTTCTAGAAACATGCCAACTACCAAGATTGCATCATGAAGTAGAAAGTCTATAAAGACCTATAACCAGTAAGGATATTGGATACCTGAGTGATGAAATAACCTGTACAACGAACCCCCATGACACACGTTTACCTGTTTAAGTAACCTTTACCTGTACCCCTGAACTTAAAATAAAAGTTACTATTAAAAAAAAAAAAGCACCGGTGAGGTTGTGAAAAAGTTGGAACCCTTGTACACTTTTGGTGGAGATGGAGAATGGTGCAGTCACTATGGGAAACAGTGTGGTGGTTCCTCAAAAAATTATTAAACACTGAATTACCGTATCATCCTACTTCCTACCTGGAATCCTACTTCCAGGTATTTATCTAAAAGAATCAGGATCCCAAGGAAATATTAGCAGCACTATTCACAATAGTCAATATGTGGAATCAATCTATATCTCCATCAATAAATGAATGGATTTTAAAACATGTGTTATATACATACAATGGAATATTATTCAGTCTTAAAAATGATAGAAATCCTACAATATTTGACAATATGGATGAGCTTTGAGTACATTATGCTAAGTGAAATAAACTAGTCACAGAAGGACAAATACTGCACATTTCCACTTGGATGGAGTATTTAACATAATAAAACACGTGAAATCAAAGAATGGAATTGTGGTCGTCAGAAACTGAGGAATAAGTAATCACTAATCAACAGGTGTAAAATTTTTGTTATGCGCCGGGCGCGGTGGCTCATGCCTGTAATCCCAGCACTTTGGGAGGCCGAGGCAGGCAGATCACCTGAGGTCAGGAGTTCAAGACCAGCCTGGCCAACCTGGTGAAACCCCGTCTCTACTAAAAATACAAAAATTAGCCAGGCCTGGTGGCGGGAGCCTGTAATCCCAGCTACTTGGAAGGCTGAGGCAGGCAGAATTGCTTGAACCCGGGAGGCGGAGGTGGCAGTGAGCCAAGATCACTCCACTGCACTCCAGCCTGGGCGACGGAATGAGACTCCATCTCAAAAAAAAAAAAAAAAAAAAAATTCTGTTATACAAGATGAAAATGTTCTAAATGCCTGCTGTACAACATTGTACCTATAGATAACAGTAGTGTAGTGTACACTTTATTTGTTAAGAAGTAACATTTCACACTAAGTGTTTTTATAATAAAATTTTAAAAGTTAAAAAATAATGATTCTCTTTTCCGTTTTAGGTCTTTCTTCCTTCCTACTGTTTCCATCATTTTTATTCTGAGTCTGTAAATAAAATAATGACCGTCTTTACTTTTTTGTTCCTTCTTCCTTTCTAATTGCTCAGAGCCTGTTAATTCAAGAGATTCATATACCTATGAGTATAAGACTCATTTCCTATGTACCCAGAGCTATGCCTATGATTGTGGTAGCCACTAAATAAAGGACTAGACATTATATGTAGCTATAACAGAGGAAACTAAAAATATCAGCCTTCAATTGCAAAAAACAGCACTAATTTCTGATTAAGCAAATAAAATATAACATATATGGAAATCTAATCTCTCAAAGAAAGGTTAGCATTTTAATGAGAGGAAGGTAAAATATTTAATATGTTGTTAAGAAAAATTATCCAAAATTTGAAAGTAAAGCAAAAGAAGGTTGACATATATTTTCTGTCCTAGGAGCATTGTCTAATAGGTCCGTGCAAGTTTGATTATTTATCTAGGCTTATATGCCCTTGTTTGACTTGCTGTTTTTAATTAATTATGTCTCAAAGTCTATCGTGACATGTTAACTTGTAGATTTGCATCTGGTAGAGCTGGAAATCTTTTTCTATCTGATAAAAAAGGTATCCCAAAAGATGGTATTTTTTTAACTTTATTTTAGGTTCAGGGGTACATGGGAAGATTTGTTACATAGGTTACATAGGTAAACACCTGTCATGGAGGTTTGTCATACAGAATATTTCATCACTCAGGTATTAAGCCCAGTACCCAGCAGTTATCTTTTCTGCTCCTCTCCCTCCATCCTCAAGTAGATCCCAGTGTTTGTTGTTTCATTCATTGTGTTCATAAGTTCTCATCATTTAGTTCTTACTTATAAGTGAGAACATGTGGTATTTGGTTTTCTGTTCCCGTGTTAGTTTGCTAAGGATAATAGCCTCCAGCTCCATCCACGTTCCCACAAGAGACATGATCTTGTTCTTTTTCATGGCTGCATAGTATCCCGTGGTGTAAATGAAGCACATCTTCTTTATCCAATCTGTCATTGAGGGGCATTTAGGTTGATTCCATGTCTTTGCTCTTGTGAATAGTGCTACAACGAACATATCGCATGCATGTGTCTTTACGGTAGAATGATTTACATTCCTCTGGGTATATACCCAGTAATGGGATTGCGGGTCAAATGGTAGTTCTGCTTTTAGCTCTTTAAGAAATTGCCATAGTGCTTTCCGCAGTGGTGGAACTAATTTATACTCCCACCAACAGTGTATAAGTGTTCCTTTGCCTTATTGAACATTAATCGGTTTTGCATCTAATTAAGCAATATTAATCCAACCTTTTGTTTTTTCAGTCCATAAATATACACAAATGGCTTTGTGGTTGTGGCACCTTGGCTAGGATAAACTGCGCTCTCCAGAATTGCCTTTCTAGTGTGTTTCCAGGTAAGGTGGGCTATAAGAGATATTCTTCACTAGAGGTGGAGGACGGAAGGGACACAGCAGCCATTTTGGAGTATGTACACAGGTTTTTCTCAGTTATCTAATCAAACATTAATCTAGGTAAAGGGATTTTTTTGCCTACATAAATGAAGTTTCTGATCAATTAAGTGTAAATTAGAGAGATTACTCTGGGTAGAGCTGACTTATTCAGTCAGTTTAGACTTCCCTGGGTCTAAACTGGGGAATGTTTAAGGCTAAAATGTTTAAGCCTTCCCTGAGGACACAGCTTGGGCCCTTTTAAGTTCCAGCCTGCTCCTAATCATTCTTTTCTGACAGCCTATAAACAACAAGCTTTGGTCCAAACTGATGGAGTTCCAGCATATTTATAATCTTCCCTTCTGGACTTCCTCACCTATAGAACTTTCAGAAGTTCTGAAGTTCTATAGGTCAGAAAGTCCAGAATTTGTAAATCAATTCTTTGAAGTTAATAAATAAGTGAGTAAATATGTGTATCCATGTATTTTACTGATTCTTCTTACCTGGTTAAACTCTTGACTCATAAGCCTTGTTAATGAGTTAAATAAACTTTTGACATGTTTATTCTATATTCGTATGAGTCATCTTTTTTAAGTTTTAAAAACTTTGACTTTGACAAGATCAGTAGTGAATACCATCAATAGTTCCTTTGTACTCCACTAAATATACTTACTTCTAAATGTAGTAAGAAACCCAATATTGTGTCTATTTGAACCAAGTTTCTTTCCATGGTTCCCAAGTCACTAATATCAAGTTGTCATAATAACATTTTTAAAGAATGACTTTATTATTTTATTAATATTATTAGTATTTAGAAACTAGGTTACTTAATTTCTGATTTAGTATATGGGAAACCAGTTCAATTTAGGGGGAGTAACTTGGCAAGAACTATCCAAACAAGATACCGTAGAGCTAGAATGCTCACAGACAGCCACGCATTTTGCTTATCTCCCACTCAATGGATTGCTTTAGCCGGGTGTAACAAAGACAGGGAAAATGAAAAGGACATAATAACCAGGTAGGCTGCTCTAGTCAAATGCTGCATCCTTTCAGTTAGTTAAAATCAGCAAGATGGAATGGCAGCTAAGAGGCTACTCTGGGAAAGGCCAACTATTTATACTAAGTATTTCTGTCAATTGAGTCAAAAACATGACTCATGATGACTTTTGGCAGCTGGAGAGACAGAAAGAGATCATTATTTTTTCCAAATGAGCTCTTGGAGAGTTGCATTTGGTGAGCAAGCATTCTTTTAAAATAGCCCTTGAGATTAGAAAAAGATGGGTTAAGAGAAAGATGATAATTAAAAACTGGAAGAAACAAAAGTGAGCAAGAAAAGGGGAAAAAAATGACTCAGATGAAAAGAGAAGAAATGACCAGGAATAGATTCTCTTTCAAATCATGGCTCTACACCACAAAGTGGAAAGCAGCCAGTCTGTGGGATTTTCTATTGATGACTCAACAGTGGCATGATTAGTTGTAACTCAGATATGGACATGGTTTCCAAGCCAACTAGGGCCCTTCACTAGACAGGGAGAGTGTAGTGGGAAGACTTGGCAGACCACTTCTCCTTGTGACTGAAAGAGGAAGGGTGTAGTCTGTTTGCACTTATCCTGCATTTCATCAGTTCAACTTTTGATGTTTTCATTCACTTAAAAAAATGATGAAGTGATCCCCAATGGGTGTGTTTTACTTTCTAAACAATAAAGATGTCTGTTTTTTCTTTTCTTTTTTCTCTTTTCAGTGATGCTAGAGGAGCAAATTTTCACCAACCACTTTTTCCACATTACACAGAGAGGGCATTCAATATCCAAGTGGGTGGCTCCCTCAAAGGTACCAATTTTGGAAACCCCCACCTAGAAAAACATTTTGGATTTTTATGGCTCTTTTCATCCAAAGATCTCAAGGGATTACCAAGCAAAATATGAAAGCTCTGACAACATTTTGAGGTGGTAGGAGACACGAGTTGCTGATGTTCCTTGGCAGATGAAAAAGCAGTGGCCAAAATGAGGGTACCATGAGACAGAAAATAACAATAGTACCAATAATCCTATGCCTCAAACCACTGCTGCTGCCTCTGAAACTGCTGTCCACCTCTGTCATAACATAGTCTCATTGTGATTATGCACAAAATAATACCCCTTTATTAAAATACCGCCATTACCTATGTGTGAGTGCGCATTATAAGTTCCTGAATGAAACTCACATTGTCAAGATGGAAAGCAATTTCCAAGATATATGTCACATAATTATGAATATTTCTTATTATTTTTACCTTTATTATATTATATCTTAGGTCGACATTATTTAACCTGTGTAATTAATAGTTAATTTAGGGAGCTAATGATGTGCATAAATAAGAATTATAGGTCTCATTTTATTATAAATTAAACTTTCAGTAAAATATGCCATATGTGGCTTCATTTTGCTGGTGCATCATTTACATGTGCTACATGAGAAGAAAGAAATACTTTAGCAAATACGTATTTTGTGTTCTTGAAAGAGCTATGCTTTATTTTTAAAGTGAATTTTTCTTCATTCCCAAATAATTTTGCATTTCTCTATACTGTTACTAAATTTAAGGTTATTGTAAGTTTGAGAGGTTTTCCAGGAATAGGTTAAATCAATTAGCATTGGTCTTAGCCCACTACTAGGTATGTAAAACAAATATCTAGAATATTAAATGCACTTCCTCTAAGTTCCAGAGCTCAGGTTTACAATATGTCTCTCTTGACCTAAAGGACATGTATTCAAATGAGCTGCAGAGAAAGCTGCTTTTTTTGTAATATTAATACAATCTTTGCCAAATTAGTCTCTGTTTTAAATTTCAGAAAACTTCTTGCATATATATTTTAATATATTTAAAATGATGAACCTAGAATTGGAGACGGTTAAATGGTTCATATTTACTCTCCTGAATTTCAAAATGTAATGAACGCCAAAAAGCCTCTGGGTGTATGTACAAAATTTGTAAAAATACATAAAAACTTACTGACCCAAAACCACAGTGGAACTCATGATAACTTTCCAGACAATATAATTCACCATTTAGTCACAGGGGAATGCCAATCTCAAAAGATAGATTTTACACCAAGCCAAGAATATCAACAAAAAAAACCACGTCTTGGATTAGGAACAAAAGGAAAATCCAATTCCATTGGCCTTAAAACAATCCTAATATTAATGATAATAAATTAACTATCTATTTCAGTATGCCAACATTTGAGAAATTTTTTTCTTAAACATTGCGCCTTATTAAAATGATACTGAAAAACCAAGAATATTAGAATATGTAGTAATAACTATTTTCTATTTATTATGCATTGAGGTCTATACTTCCTCCTGGTTTCATATTAGATGAGTACAGAAACCATATTAAATGTATTCAGCCAAATGAGAGAATTACAGTGAATTACTGCCTGTCTCTTTGAAGTCTTCTTCCAGGTAAGAAGCAAAGGAAGTCCTATTCACTCTACTTCCAATACATGCCCTAACTGTCACTCTCTCCATCTCTGTTCCCATTGCCCTAGTTCAGACTGAGGCATCTCTTGCCTCACAGTTATAACAGCCTCTTCCCCTCTGTTTCCTCTCCCTTTCTGCTCTTTGTCTTCCCTCTATTTTCAATTTGATCTCCTCTCAGCAGTTTGACTCATCTTTTAAGAAATGGTAACCAAGGCCAGGTGCGGTGGCTCACGCCTGTAATCCCAGCACTTTGGGAGGCCGAGGCGGGCGGGTCACGAGGTCAGGAGATCGAGACCATCCTGGCTAACACAGTAAAACCCCGTCTCTACTAAAAATACAAAAAATTAGCTGGGTGTGGTGGCTCACGCTTGTAATCCCAGCTACTTGGGAGGCTGAGGCAGGAGAATGGCCTGAACCCCAAGGCAGAGTTTGCAGTGAACCAAGATGGTGCCACTGCACTCCAGCCTGGGCTACAGAGTGAGAGTCCATCTCAAAAAAAAAAAAAAAGAAAGAAAGAAAGAAACGGTAATCAAATCACTTCATTCCCTAGCTTGAAATTCCTAACCAGCTTCTCACTGTACTTAGAATAAAATCCAATTTTTATAGAATCTACACAATATGTATGCAGAATCTGCCTATTTCTCTATTGTACATGTATATACAACCCAGAAGGATGAGATTATAAAAATGAAGCATTGAAGTAATATGATTTACCAGTTTGTTAGGCTTCTGATTTTTTAACTATATACACATATATAAATTTAAGAAATTATATTGGGGATGTGGATTTCAGTTGGCTTAGCAGGAAAGAGAAGCTATCTCATAGTAAAAAAGATAAAACATGGGAAGTTATATTAGATACAATGTACATAAATCTGACAGGCTGGATGTTTTCATTTCACCAACTATGTCATTCTGTGCCTTTCCTCTGCAATGACAAAAACAGAACTTGCATGAAAAAAAACTTATGATAGTTTGAGGGATTTAGGACAGCTACAACCAAAATGAAACAAAGTAAAGAATGGCAGGCCAGGCATGGTGGCTCATGCTTCTAATCCCAGCACTTTGAGAGGTTGAGTCAGGCACATCACTTGATGTCAGGAGTTCGAGACCAGCCTGGCCAACATGGTGAAACTCTATTTCTACTAAAAATACAAAAATTAGCCGGGCGTGGCAGCACACACCTGGAACCCCAGCTACTCAGGAGTCTGAGGCATGAGAATCGCTTGAACCGGGGAGGCAGAGGTTGTAGAGAGTTGAGATCTCATCACTGCACTCCAGCCTGGGCAACAGAGTGAGACTCTATCCAAAAAAAAAAAAAAAAGATAAAAAGTGAATGAAGAACATGAACAAACACTTCTCAAAAGAAGACATTTATGCCTCCAACAAACATTAAAAAAGCTCACCATCACTGGTCATTAGAGAAATGCAAATCAAAACCACAATGAGATACCATCTCATGCCAGTTAGAATGGCAATCTTTAAAAAGCCAGGAAGCAACAGATGCTGGAGAGGATGTGGAGAAATAGGAACGCTTTTACACTGTTGGTGGTAGTGTAAATTAGTTCAACCATTGTGGAAGACAGTGTGGTGATTCCTCAAGGATCTAGAACCAGAAATACCATTTGACCCAGCAATCTAATTACTGGGTATATACCCAAAGGATTATAAATCATTCTACTATAAAGAAACATGCACTGGTATGTTTATTGCATCACTATTCACAATAGCAAAGACTTGGAACCAACTGAAATGCCCATCAGTGATTGACTGGATAAAGAAAATGTGGCACATATACACCATGGAATACTATACAGCCATCAAAAAAATGCGTTCATGTCCTTTGCAGGGACATGGATGAAGCTGGAAACCATCATTCTCAGCAATTAACATAGGAACAGAAAACCAAACACCGCATTTTCTCACTCATAAGTGGGAGGTGAGCAATGAGAACACATGGACACAGGGAGGGGAACATCACACACCAGGGCCTGTCGAGGGGTGGGGGTCTAGGGGAGGGATAGCATTAGGAGATGTACCTAATGTAGATGACGGGTTGATGGGTGCAGCAAACCACCATGATAGATGTATACCTATGTAACATATCTGCACGTTCTGCATATGTATCCCAGAACTTAAAGTATAATTTTAAAAAAAAGAAAGAAAATCCTCCCTCCCCTGCACTAATAAAGTGGTAGGAGTATCACCAGCTCTAGGGACCCAAGTAGGGCATTCAAGGACAGCTAAGAACAAAGAACTCAATTGAGAAGCTATGTAAATGGAGTTGAGATTCATAACAAACACAATTATCAAAAAAACCAAAAAGTTTTCCATATGTAAGACCCCAGGAATTTACTATGAGGACAGTTTTCAGTTTGTGGTTTTAAATAACAATAGGAGCAAAAAAAAAAAAAAAGCTTTCTTAGAAGAACAAGAGGCAGAGCCTAGAGGACTAAGTAAAGTCTGTGAAACAGGCATAGAGTGAAAGATTGCGGATGATCACCTAAGAGCAGCTTCCTGCTACACAGGGAAAAAATATTAAACACACACATGCGCACACACACTCATGAGTAAACTTTTGGACAAGGAAGATGGAGTTTGGAGAATATTTGAAGTCAAGAATTTAAGATTTAGATGCTCTCTGCATCCCTGAGAAAAAAGCCACAATCTTATACTTTTGAGGCTTGAGTTAGGGTGAAAAAGAAACTGGGATATAGATACTCAGACTGGATTAGCAAAATTCCAGAGGAAAGAATTGTATCTTCAAAGAAACATTCAAGTAAAACTTCAAGTTCTTTGAAACTTTTCATTTAGAGGAGTGCTAGAAAGTCCAAACTGGGGCAGAGATGACAAATGTCTCGTTGAGGTGTTTCCATAGATGAGCCCAAGAGCAAGCCTTACCAAGCCCAGCAGGAATCAAGTGGCAAAGAGAGCAGAGTACACAACTCGCAACAGGACCAGTGCACACTCAGAATCTTTAGACTGAATGAACAGGGTCCTTACTCTGAAGGGACTTTGGCCAAGAGTTTGGTCAAGAAGGGTAAGCCACACGACCAGAGACCACAAGGAACTGGGATGGCCACTGTGGATGCCAGTCTACAGAGCCAAAGATCAGTCAGAGCAAGGAATACCAGAGCAGGGAAGAGTCAAATAACAGCATTAATATCAGACACCCTTAAGAGGAAAATGATGTTTGCTTATCAGAAGTGATACGATTATCTCAAAGTTTCCAGATGAAGCATGTTACACCGTTATGAAAATGGGAGTTCCACAGCCAAGTTATGTTTACTTTTTTAAAAAATGAAGACAAAATTAATTCACATAAATACACAACTGAATTGTGACTGCAAAAACACCTAATTGCTTATAACTATGCATCAGGGTATCTAGAAGATGGCATTTTTATTATTGTGATTATTATTATTATTAATGAAAGGATGGGTCATTTACAAGTTGCCAGCTGCTGGCACTTCTAACAGCAGAGACCACAAATCGCTGTGGAGCAGTGTGCACATCAGTGAGGCAGTTGATCAGGATGGCAGCAGAACGTGTGGAACCATCTGTTCTTGACTATGTGGCACTAAAACAGAAAAAGGGACACAACAGTAAACATTTTCAATTTCCGTATTTTTCTTTTCTTTTTCCACAGGGAAACTGTAAGGTAGTCTGATGGCCTCCATGAGAGAAAATAAAACCTTTCATACCTTAGTGATATATACATTTTTCTCCTAATTTAAATATAAAACCATGATGTTCTAGGCCCCAAGGTGCTTAAGGGAAACATAATAATTACAAAAAATATATGTAGCAATGTACTTCATGAGTTATGAAGGGAATATGAGATAGCCAAACTGTTTATGAGTCTTCAATTCTTCAATGACCTAAACACTTACAAATGTATTTAAAAGAAAAGGTCGCATATAAAATTGAATCAAAAACATTTAACTACCTAACATAGTTCATTAACTCAAAATTGTTTGTATTAAGATGCTAAATACACTTAAGAGATTGACTCTTATACACTGGTGATTATTAAAAGCTTGTAAACATTTATGACTGTATTTTTCTTTTTTTCCTTTTTTTTTTTTTTTTAGATGGACTCTCGCTTTGTTGCCCAGGCTGGATGGCAGTGGTGCAGTCTTGGCTCACTGCAACCTCCACCTCCCAGGTTCAAACGATTCTCCTGACTCAGCCTCCAGAGTAGCTGGGATTACAGGCATGCGCCACTACTCCTGGCTAATTTTTGTATTTTTAGTAGACATGGGGTTTCACCATGTTGGCCAGCCTGGTCTCGAACTCCTGACCTCAGGTGATCCACCTGCCTCGACCTCCCAAAGTGCTGGGATTATAGGCGTGAGCCATCACACCCGGTCTATATTTTTCAATCACAGATGAGAAACCCTTTATTCTATTAACTTCACAGATTCTTGGAGTCATTAAGACTTACTGAAAAATCATACGGTTTTCCCTCCAACCATGGGAAGAGCAGTAAAGAATCAAAAAGAAAATTACATCACCTGATTATGTTCCAAGTATAAAATTGTCAGGATTAGACGATGGAAAGTGGATATCTATTTCTATATTTCAATTGTTTGAGAAATTATTGTGCTGAATCAAATATACTTTAATAAGAAATGTAAACTAAATAAAAGGACTGACGGGTCAGGAAACTGTGCCAATAGCTGAAGGATTATAATTGCTTGTGGAAAATTTTCAATCCCCTAGAAGTATGTTTTAAATATTCTGCCAACATATGTCTCAATTACTGAGTCTTGTAAAAATGTAGTCTTTCTTCAATATTTTTGAAGAACATTTACAATAGCTATATTCAGTAAAACCTCATTTATCTGATAAAAGTTCATTCAAAATAGAGTATAATTTGAAGAACTACTAAGATTTTCCTGTTGAGTGTACATTTATTTTGCGATAAAATTTCAAGGTTACAGAAATATACATAAAGAAGCAGAATGGTCACACATTAGTTATCAAGCTATACTATGCTTTTCCATGAGAAAAACTATGAGTACCAGCATCATATCATGACATGTTTGTCCTGTGAATTTAATTGTCTTCACACTAAAACCCAATTGCCATGACTAGAATAATCATAAAGCTGTATCCATTGGTTCCCAAGGTCACTAAAATAAACGGCTAATCTGACATTTCTCTTCACATAAGAAATAGCAGCCTGACTTAGGACTATGTAATAAAGATAAAAGTTCTTATAAATATTGCTGTATATTTTTTATAATATTAACCTTTTAAAATATTTTCCACCAAAATACAAATTATTATTTTTAAGAGTAATCTAAAGTAAACAGAAAGGGAACCAAACAAAATAAGGGCTACTATATGTTTTATTCTTATTTTTTAGAATTAATTTATATTTCTAAATTTGTAATGCATGCATTGAAGACAGAGTTCAAGAGGTATTAAAGTATAGAAAATTTAAAAAGTAATTTTCTTTTTTATTCCTACCCAGCTTTCATCCTCAAAGGCCACCACTATTGCTAGCTCCTTGGATATCCGTCCATGGATATCCTTTGCACATGTAAGTATATATGTGCCTGTAGACTTCTTCTTTAACATACAAATTTAGCATGATATGGAGTATTTTTTCTATCTTTATTTTTCATTTAATATAAATAGATTAGTTCATTTTGGTGCATACACTTTTTTTAATTTTTAAATATCTGCAAAACATTCCGTTGGACAGATTTACAATTATTTATTTAAACAAACCCAATCAATATACATTTTCAATGCTGCAATGTGTACATGCATTATTATATAGTATTATATGTATAACACTTTCAAATACACAGAATGCATTATTCTATAGTATTTTATATAGCATTATTCAAATACACAGAATACATTATTATATAGGATTATATGTATAATACTTCCAAATACACAAAATAATGTGTGTATGCATTGCAGCACTAAAAATGTATATTGATTGGGTTTGTTTAAATAAATAATTGTAAATCTGTCCAATGGAATGTTTTGCAGATATTTAAAAAATAAAAAAAATTATATGCACCAAAATGGAATAATCTATTTATATTAAATGAAAAATAAAGATAGAAAAAAGATTCCATATCATGCTAAATTTGCATGTTAAAGAAGAAATCTATAGGCATATATACACTTATATGTGCATAGGATATCTATGGAAGGATATCCAACGATATCCAAGGAGCTGGCCTTTGGAGAGAAAAGTTGGGTAGGAATAAAAAAGAAAAAAAAGTATGTATATATATATATATATATACACACACACACACACACACACACACGTATGTGTGTATATATATATACATATGTATGTGTATATATATACATATGTATGTGTATATATATATACATATGTATGTGTATATATATATACGTATGTATGTGTATATATATATACATATGTATGTGTATATATATGTGTATGTGTGTGTGTATACATAGATATGTGATATATTCCTAGAAAATGAATTGCTGGAACACAGGATATGCATTTACATTTATGATTAAATAGTAAAGCTGCATTTAATTCCAAATATATCAATTTATGCTCTTTTATAAGGTATAAAAGTATCAGTTTCCCCATATTATAGGGTTTAAAATGTATTCATTGTCATTTTGAAAATGACCAAATTGAAGACATATTTGCCAGTGTTTGAAAATTTAAAAAATTAAAAACACAAACATAAGCTACAATGGAAGGTTTGCATATTTTCTTTCATAAAACTAAATATAACCTCCAAGTTTGAATTTTCTTTGAACAGATAAAAATGTCATTTTTCACAAAGCCAGGTTATTTAAAACTAATAATTATCTCCAAATTTCAGCATTATTGCAAATAAAATAAAATTACTTCAGTTTGAATATAAATAGTACAACTGTAGAAAGCAATTCATTTCCTCATGTATCATTTAGAGGCAGAGAATGCTAGTAATCAACTTAAGATCTTATAAGAAATCAAATATTTAATTCTATTTTTCCAAATTATTTGTTTTCTCAATAGTTTATGTCTCTTTATTCTTTAAAATAAGAAATTCCAGGGTTTGAATTCCTCCCAAGAGAGAACACTATTAAAAATTTAAAGAAAAATATTGAGCCAAAATGTTATTCATTCAAATGCTAGTTTCTTTTCAGTACTTTAAAAAGACAAATTTTTAGACTTATGCATAAAAACACTACTCTCAACTTTAATACTTGAGGAATTTTGAGACTGCAATGCTTGGTTAAGAGTTACTTGCTCAACAATATTTCTCTCTAAATAAAACCACACTTTACATTTTACAGTTAATCAATTTTAAAAGTTTAGGTTTGATAAATATATTTTTTATAGTTTGGCGTGAAGTTTTTATATTGAAAATAGCTATGTGGTTGTGAAATATCCCCAATGCCTTTGAGCATTGGAAAAATTTTTCTATTTTTCCATAAGATATGGGATTAAATTGTAAAACACTAGGAAAAGAACTTCTTGATCTTTTTTTTTCTTTTTCTTTTTCGTTTTCTTTTTTTTTTTTTTGAGACTGAGTCTCGCTGTTACCCATGCTGGAGTGGTGCAGTGGCGTGATCTCGGCTTACTGCAACCTCCGCCTCCTGGGTTCAAGTGATTCTCCTGCCTCAGCCTCCCGAGTAGCTGGGATTACAGGCACGCACCACCAGGCCCTGCTAAGTTTTGTATTTTTATTAGAGATGACATTTTACCATGTTGGCCAGGCTGGTCTCAAACTCTTGACCTCAGGTGATCTGCCCACCTTGGCCTCCCAAAGTGCTGGGATTATAGGCATGAGCCAACATGCCCGGCCACTTCTTGATCATTTTAACATTGTTGTGAAAAACTTTCACTATCTAGACTCATGTTCATTTCCTACTTAATTTTACTTAGCTTGCCTAACCTTCTTATATGATTCTTTTTTTTATCAATACCCATTCAGAATTGCTTTTGCTGTGATAAAGCCCTAGTAGTATTAATTAGACACTTTGCAGCATCAGACGTAACAGTTAAGTAAAAACTCCTTTTAAATCAAAAGTGCTCCTTTAAAAAACTGCTCAACTGAAATTTGTCTCACTAAAAGATTCAAGAAAAGGGATGAACAAGGCTGGCTCTCTGGCCTTTTCAACCGGACTCCAGGGACCAAGTGGAAAGATCTGGCAGTAGTACCAGTTTGACTTCTCTTTGACCACCACTGGGGTAAAGAATATCCAGACATAATGAAAGACAGTGGCCAGAGGTCAGTTCCACTGGGTTATCTGAATAAGACTCTCAGCTGAAGGAAGTGGGGCTATTTATAACCCTTGGGAAAAGGGATAAGAAGAAGAACCTGGGGTGTGTCTTCAATGGGCCCCAGATTCCCAGCCCCAAGAATCCTTATCTGAGCAGAACTTGATAAAAAGTTTTCAGAAGACACTAAGGCATTATCAGCCTCAGTGACTCATGAAATATTAATACTCTCATCCAGAAGAGAATATTAATCCTCAATGACTCTGTACGATGCCCATTCTTGCACAGAGATTTTATTTCATGGAAATACATATTTATATATTTTTATACATTTATATTTTTTCATGAAAATATATTTTAATGTCTTAAAATTATCAGATATTGGTATTCTGTGGTTCATAAAAATTTATTGGTGCCACTAGCTTTTATCACAGCTTAGAAAATTTGAAAACCTGTTTAGGCCTTTATCATTTTGGCACTTACTGTTTACTATTTATAGTATCTTCCCACTATGTCCCATAATCAGCAGTTTTGTCAACTATCTTTTATGAATGAAGCCCCAACTAGCTCTCCGACAAAATAACTTACATAATTTTGTCCTCATTGCCAAAAGATATGGTCTAATTTCCCAGAGCATTTCTTATACTATTCAGAATCTAGCTCCAATTAACTGCTAAGTCACATCTCTCTCTATTCAGCTATATGCATTTTGCATTGCAGACATTTAAAACGTATTGAAAAGTTTCTCAAATGTAACTCTGTTTTGTTTTGCTTTGTTTTGTTTTGAGATGGGATGTCACTCTGTCACCCAGGTTGGAGTACGGTGGTTTACTATCATGGCTCATGGGTCACTGTAACTTGAACACCTGGGCTCAAGAGATTTTCTCATCTCAACCTCCTGAGTAGCTGAGACTGCAAGCACATGCCACCAAAACCAGCCAATTTTTGTATTTTTTATCATAGAGATGGGGTCTTGCTATATTGCCCAGGCTGGTCTCAAACTCCTGACCTCAAGCAATCTTCCCACCTCAGTCCCCCAAGGTATTGGGATTACAGGTGTGGGCCACCCTGCCCAGCCTCAAATGTAGCTCTGTACCATTGACCTTACCTGTCTACCAAGCACATTCCTATTGTTTCTTCAAGGTAAATTATACGCCACCTCTTCTGTGAAGCCTCAATAATTATGAGGGCAAAACTAGTAATGTCTCAATTTGCTACGACTTGCCAAATCTACTAGGGATTGTGTTAATCTGTATTGTAATTATTTCTCTATGTGTTTGATCACTTCGTTAGATCATTAGCTAATTTTTCCAGACACGATTTTTATATTTACCTATCTAATGCCTAATGTCTGAAGCCTACGTGAGATTAGACCATGATAGATAATCGACAACCGAATGTTGAATGAATAAATAAACAATGAAGTAAATACACAAGTGCAGCAAAACCACAGAGAAGATCTACATAGTATTTTTCTGGTAGAAGGCTGCCTGTTTTTTAATATCCCAGTGTTATAGAATATTTGAGTCTCTTAGCACAGTATTTCGCAGCCAATTATTTATATAGGAAAAAATTGCATTTATGTCTCTAATACTCAATATGACATTTCTTAACAAAATTGTTTTGGGAAAAAAAGTTATGTTCCAAATAGAATTGACACAATGTCATAATCACAAGGACAGTTTGAGGAGCAGGCCAATTCTCATCGAAGGGGGTATTTATCTTAGATGTTGCTGGCACTAAAAAAGTCAATTTTACTGGCAACAAATTATATTTTTATCAAGCAAATAAATTATATTTTTATCAAGCAAATAAATTTTATTTGGTGATCTGGAAGAAATATTTTAAATATTCACTGTGTTTTAGGAAATTGAGAGCTTAGAGTTGACAAACACTCATTATATTTTTTTCCCTTTAAAATGATGGGAAATAGATTCTTGACAGCATTTCTATTCAGATCTTTATATTAAGGAACATTATTTTCAATACATGGGCGATAGCTGTATAACATTTATACTTATTACATTCAAACTGTTGTGTTGTTTATTAAGATAAATATAAAAATAAAGTGATTTATTTCTTGTCGTCAAGGAGCTTACAGTTTAGTTGGTAGAACAAGGCATACATGTTACTAACTATAATATAATCCACATCTGGGAAATATGGTGGGCTCACAATTAATCTTCATATTGAATGCTAATGGATGAAATTGTAGTGGATGCATGGGGTGCTATATTACTGAAGACTCTGAGGTCACAGCCCAGCTTGGGAGAAGAACACCATGATGATTAGTGATGTTTGTAACAGAAACATACTTGCCACCACTGCTCTATAGACTCAGAGAAAAAAGAAAGCAGCTCAACTTGAAGTGATAAATTAAAATATCTTTAAAGAGGTGACATTTAGGCTGGGCAAGGTATTTTTAGGATCAGGAATACAAAGAAGCAGTCCAAGTGAAATAGTGCCAGAAGTTAAGTGTAGATTAGAGAGAAATGACAAAATACAATGAAAGCAAGTATTCCTGTTGGCTGAAGCCAAATGTATCCTTCTTGTCCTCAAAATGGCAGCAAAGGACAGAGAGCCCCTTTCAACTTGACACATTATGGAAGGGACAGCACTTTGGTCTTATGGGAACAAAAACTTACTCTGGATACAGATCTGCCTTTGCTGCACCAGTGCTTCTCCCAAAACTACCAACTACAGACTTACAGAATGCCTTATACACTGTCATGATATTCCACACAGTATTGCTTCTTATCAAGGAAATTAATTCACAGAAAATTAAGTGAGGCAATAAGCCCACACTCATGTAATTCACTGATCTTAAATGCTCCCTATATTCTCAACTGATGGCTTGACAGAGCAGTGGAAAGGACATTGAAGTCACAGCATCACTAAGTGGTAAAACCTTGCAGCGCTGAAGCAAGGTTGTTCAGAAGGATGTGTACTTCTGGATAAGTGTCCAATATATGATGTTCTTTCTCCATGGCTGGGATTCACAGGTCCAGAAATTTAGGGATGAAAATGGGAGGGGCACCACATACTATTACCCCCTAATGACCCACTAGTAAAATTTCAGGATACTGTTTCCATGACCTTATCCTCTGCTGGCCTATAAGTTTTAGTTCCAAAGGAAGGAATGCTTTTACCAAAAGACACAACAATTATCCACTTAACTGGAAGTTTAGACTGCCACTCAACCCATTTGGGCTTCTCATACCTCTGAATCAATAGGCAAATAAAGGAGATTACTGTGCTGGCTACCGTGGTTATCCTGACTACCAAAAGAAAGTTGTACAACTGCTCCACAATGAGGTTAAGGAAGAGTATGTCTGGAATACAGAAGATCCCTTAGGGAATCTCTTAGCATTACCATGCCATGTGATTAAGGTCAATTGAAAACCAAAACAACCCAATCCAGAAAGGATTTCTACTGGCCCAGACCCTTCAGGACTGAAGGTTTGGATCACCCCGTCTGGTAAAGAGCCAAGACGAACTGAGGTACTTGCTGAAAGTAAAGGATATCCCAAATGGGTAGTGAGAAAAGGTTGTTATAAATACCACCTGCAACCATGTCACCAGTTACAAAAACAAGTACTGTAATTGTCATAATATTTCCTTCTTATTTTGATGAATACATTTGTGTGGGAGGGGTGGGGGGAGTGGGTTTGTGTATATGTCTTCAGCAAATATCTTTGTTTTCTTCCCTTCCTTTACTTTTTGTTAATTCCCTTATCATGTAAGGTAAGAAGAGTTGATTTCATGTCACAGTGTTTAAGTATTGTTAATTTTACATCATAGTAGTTAACTTACGGAATATCAAATAGTAAACGTCACTCAAAGACTTTACCACCTCTTCAGGGGAAAGTTAGAATGTGTTTTTGGTTTATGCAGGATGATTGCATCATGTGTTGCAAAATTATGCCTTGTTATTATCTTTATTTGGATATTAAGTATGTTTTAAAGAGATGTGTATCAATGCCAAGTTGACAAGAGGTTGGCTTGTGATGGTTAATTTTATATGTCAACTTGACTGGGTGTCCAGACATTTGGCCAAACATTATTTTGGGTGTGTCTGTGATGGTGTTTCTGGATGACATTAACATTTGAATAGGTAAACTAAGTAAAGTCGATTGTCTAATGTGGGTGGGACTTATCCAGTTAATAGAAGACCTGTGTAGAACAAAAAAGCTGAATAAGTGGGAGTGCCTTCTGACTGCTTGACCCGCAGTATTGCTCTTTTTCTGACCTGGAACTGTAACTTAAACATCACCTCTTCTGGTTCTCAGACCTTTGGACTTGGGCTGGAACTTATATCATCTGTCTCCTGGGTATCCAGCTTGCCAGTTGAAGATCTTGAGACTTCTCAGACTCCATAGATGTGTGAGCCAATTTTTTATAATAAATCTTGAAAATCTCTTTCTCCCCATATATATATATATACACACACACACACACACACATATATGTGTGCATATATGTATGTATGTATGTATAATGTGCACCAGAGGATTGAATTATATATGCATAAAATCTATTGTTTCTTTCCTCTGTGGAAGCCTAAGACAGCTAATATCAATAAATTTGGCCTCAATAAACTTTATGTTTTCCCCATTATCCTACACCCTTAATATCTATTCCCATACATTTTCTCCAGGTTTTTATATAAATATTTATATTTTAAATGTAGTTTTTTTGGTGCATAGTTCAGTGAAGCTCCTGGAAAGTCACACTTCATACCTCGTCGTTTAGAGCTGAGTCTTCAACTTGAATCTAGTTAAATGTTTGGAAGCACTCATGCTTATTAAGTCCTGAGAAAAATCAACAGTGCTTTGCAAGGCAACTACCACAGAGGAGGCCAGTACTGGTGCTTTAGGCTAAGGAGACTAGCCTTTTTATAAATGAATATTGTTTATCATTTCTCAAAACTTATAAAACACACACACATATTTTATTTTACAATTTAGCATCTTCCACATATTTCTGGTGAACACATTCTTTTACTCAGACATGTATTAGATACTTTTAAAAAAAATCCATTGAATGACAAACATCATCTACATTTTTTTCACAAAGCAAGTGTTCATTTTTTACTACAAATCAGCAGAGAGGTAAAGCAAAAGTCTCAGATAGAGGTTGTGAAACTTATTATTTTGCAAGAGAGTCCAAAACCAGTTATAAAATGCATAATCTTTGAGGTGATTCATCTCTATTTTTAAAAACTTTTCATTCCGTTTTTTTTTCCCCTTACGTCAATGGTTCATTTCTTCCTCCACCCCTAAAAATATCAGCCTCATCATAGCACATTGTATCCTTAATACATCAGAAACTCCCAACGGACTTCAAAATGCATTTCTCTATATTTTATTTTCATAACAAATGTATCTTTACTCTCTTTTAAGGGAGGAGATCACCCCTCATATTGTCTTATGCCTAATTTCTGCCTCCAAAGAAAGAAGACGTAAAAACTAAAAGGCAGAAATGAAACCCATAGGCAGACAGCCCGGCGCCACACCCTGGGCCTGGTAGTTAAAGATCGACCCCTGACCTAATCGGTTATGTTATCTATAGATTACAGACATTGCATAGAAAAGCACTGTGAAAATCCCTGTCCTGTTCTGTTCCGTTCTAATTACCGGTGCATGCAGCCCCTAGTCACGTACCCTCTCCTCGCTCAATCGATCACGACCCTCTCACGCAGACCCCCTTAGAGTTGTGAGCCCTTAAAAGGGACAGGAACTTATTTGTGCTTGAGGATATCAGGAAAGGTATTTCACAGGAGATGAAACTTGGGAGCTCGGTTTTTGAGACGTGAGTCTTGCCGATGCTCCCGGCCGAATAAAGGCCTTACTTCTTTAACTTGGTGTCTGAGGGGTTTTGTCTGTGGCTCGTCCTGCTACATTTGACTGCATTGATAAATATATGATTATATAATCTATCACATATTTACATATGTCATAAAATTTTATATAAGCAAAAACAAGATAAAACCAAATACTATTTATTAAGCAGGGAGAGAGGAGAGAGAGAGACTTCCTTCTATAATACCATCTTATGGAATCACTGTGAAAGATAAGATTACTACAATATTGTCACTGTTTTTAATGAGACAAACATGTAAACAGCTGTAGTTATACCCATGGCCATGTGTAGTAGACAGAATTCCAAAATGGCTCCCAGGATTCTTGTCTTTGGGGGCACATTCCCTGGTATAATAGCCTCCTATTGAGTCTTAGCCAGATTTGTGGATATAATGGGATATCCCTACCATGACTATGTTGCATCATAATGCTGAAGATGTAATTAAATTTCCAAATCAGTTGACTCTTAATTAAACAAAAGGAAGATTATTCTATGTGATCCTGTTAATCAGATTACCACCGTGACAGTTAATATTGAGTGCAAACTTGGTTGGATTGAAAGATGCAAAGTATTGATCCTGGGTGTGTCTGTGAGGGTGTTGCCAAAGGAGATTAACATTTGAGTCAGTGGACTGGGAGAGGCAGAACCACCCTCAATCTGTGTGGGCACCATCTAATCAGCTGCCAGCTCGGCTACAATAAAGCAGGCAGGAGAAGATGGAAGAGCAGACTTGCTGAGTCTTCTGGCCTTCATCTTTCTCCTGTGCTGGATGCTTTCTGCCCTCAAACATCAGACTCCGTGTTCTTCAGCTTTCGGACTCTTGGACTCATGCCAGTGATTTGCCCAAGGCTCTTGGGCCTTCGACAACAGACTGAAGGCTGCGCTGTCGGCTTCCCTACTTTTGAGATTTTAGGACTTGGACTGGCTTTCTTGCTCCTCAGCTTGCAGACGGCCTATTTTGGGACTTCGCTTGTGATTGTGTGAGTCAATACTCCTTAATTAACTCCACTTCATATATACATCTACCCTATTAGTTCTGTCCCTCTAGATAACCCTGACTAATACAGCCACTTAAAAGAAAAATACACAAAGCACTAGCAGACACTCTCCTGTTCTGTTGTCCTTGAAGAAGCAAACTACCTGTTACAGAGTGGGCTGCATGGCAGGAAATTCTAGGTCCCCCTAGGAGCTGACAGCCTCAATCTTACAACCACAAGGAACTGAAATTTGCCAACAATCTGAATAAGCTTAGAAGAGAATCTGAGCTCCAAAGAGAGTGCAAGTTGGCAGACATCTTGATTTTGACTTAATAAGACAGTGAGCAGAGAATTCAGCTCACTGTCTTATTCAAGACAGTGAATAGTGAATTAACTCCAAGTTAATAGGTTGTGATATTTAAAGACCTTCAATGTGAAATGCACCGTACATTCCAATGGAATCAATACAAACTGTGTTATTTTTGCACTGATATTCAGGCTACGCAGTGCCTGAACCTCCAACTTACAGAAACTGTAAGATAATAGTACTGTTTAAGGAGCTAAATTTGTAATAATTTGTTATGCAATAATTGAAATTTAATACAACATACATAGGAGAAAATACATAATTCAAAATGGATTTCACAATGCTTCATTTCAAGATAATTTTCTTAACTGCTTATTAGTCTTTTTTATGTGCCTTCTCATTTGATCCCAGCTGAGAGTGCTGTTTTTAAGCACTTCCTGTCTTCCCCAAAGTAATGTGCTGCTAGCTATACCTGCTACTGAAATAAGCGGCTAGCCATGTCACAGAGAAGAAAGGGAGTCTTAACTCCAGTGAAATCTACTGAGAGAAGAGAAGAGCAAGCCAGCCTTGAATATTACCACAGGCTTACTTCTCTGAGATTTCAGAGTCTATGTGCTAATCAGTCTTTGTCTTTCATCACCCAGACACAAATACTATGAATTCAATAAGCCAGTGGTCTCAAAATGATTTGGGCATATCTATATACTTACTGGAAAGAGTTTCTCTTTTACAGGAATTTCTTAACTTGGAGGAAATTATTCCTCTCTAATAAAACTTTTTTCAACTGCAAATATTGGTGCCTAACCTTCTTTAGTATAAGCTGGAGACTTAAGCTAAATATACTTGATTATTTATTCTATATCTGCTTGTGCTGAGTAGACTGAAAAATTATTCTTATCCTAAGTCTTGGCCAGTTACAATTAATTGCTTTGCTTACACAACTGAACACAACTCCAAGTTAATAGGTTGTGATATTTAAAGATCTTCAACGTGAAATGCACCATACATTCCAATGGAATCAATACAAACTGTGTTATTTTTGCACTGATATTAAACAATCATTCCATTCCACTGTTGATAATCTTTCAATAATTCTCATTATTCAAACAGGGTTCCCCAATACAGTAGCTATTAGTTACATGTGGCTATTTAAATCTAAATTTAACCTAAGCCAAAAAATAATTAATTGCCTCCATCTTACTAGCCACATTTCAACTGTACAATAACCACATGTGGTTAGTGGCTACCATAGCACACAGTGCAGATTATAGAATATTTCAGTCCTCTCAGAAAGTTCTATTGAACAATGCTGAATGAAGCCATATATTCTCAAGCATTTATATTAAAGCCTTTCATAGTTTTGCCTCTTCTGTGTTTTTAAAACATAGTTCCCTCTTTCTGCCACATTTAGCCAGCGCTCCAACCATTCTAAATCACTTGTCTTTTATAAATCAGATATTAAGGAAATTTTGTATGTGTCATTCTCATGCTCATTAATATCATTCAATCCTTTTCCCACCCGATGAATTCCTTCTAATTCTTTAATACTCTGCTCCAGTTTCATCTCCTGTGAAATACCTTTCCCGATATCCTCAAGCACAAATAAGCATTTCCTCTATGCTCCCATGATTCGATTGTCCTATTTTAAACCATGGGTCATATAGGTTTGTCTTATTAGAGATTGTGAGCCTCTAGAGGAAAGGGGCCTTGTTTCTTTTTTCTTTTCATATTCAAATCCCCCCATTCCAGGTGTAATAGGCACTAAATACTAATTAATCTATCCATTCATGCATTTATTTTCCTCATATTATTGATTGACATTAGAATGATAACTTTATTTACTACTTACATACAGAAACCACAACTCCATGTTACCAGTCGGAAGTTGACCATATAAGATGGCAGCTATAGTAAAAAGAAGAAGAGAATAAGAAGCTGTCTTAAATAAAAAGTCTGGCTTGGCAGATAGTGTAATATGTTACAAACTTACTAAATAAGAAGTTAGAGTTATCTTTCTTGAAACCTCATAAAGTCAGATGAGGTTACCCTAGAACTGTCATGAAGAAAGTAATACAAAAGGTAGAAAACTGAATATGAGTATCACATGTATGAATATGTATATATGTGAATATGTGCACTGTATGTATAAATATTTATGTATATATTTATATATCTGTGTGTATATATATGTGTATATATATGCATACACATATATGTGTATATATATGCATACACATATATGTGTATATATATGCATACACATATATGTGTATATATATGTGTGTGCATATGCATACACATATATGTGTATATATATGTATACATACACATACAAACACATTTTTTATAGTTCCATGGTTCTTGGCTTCCAGAGAAAGTGATAGGTAGTCAGAAAGTTCAAGGAGGCTGCTGAGTTATCCTTGATAACTTGATGGATCTGGGGAGAGCACAGCTTTCCAGTTCATTGTAATTCCATCACTATATAGGTAACCAGCCTGAATTTATAATATATTCATTTGAACATTTTCTTAAATTCTGATTACACAATTCTCCCTTAAGTTCTAATTCCAGAAAGTGGTTAATTGAAAAGAAACAAAATAAACTCTAAGATGTGCTATTTGTAAAAGCTGCACTTAGAGCTATGAATAAAAATATTGTTTCACTGTCTAGCTGTGAGTCATAGTTTTTGTTTGTTTGTTTTGGTAGCCTTTAAAAAAAATCAAAATGCTCTAGTAGCTTCATCTGGCAAAAACAGCAGAGCACTACAGATTTTATTCTAGCTGCCTGCCATCAGTCACAGATCTGGAAAGGCCCTCAGGCACACAAGACCCTCTGAGTGACGCAGAAGAGTCCTTTTCAAGGGTCTTGGAATATGCAATCACTTGGCTGCCATCAAATATTTCTAGAGGAAAGGAATCCTCAAGTCCAATAGACCAGAGGGTCTTCTGGCTCTGCCAAGAAGAGTGACAGAGGCTGTAAAACTGTCTGCTCTCCTCCTCTGCTAAATGTCTTGCCAGAAATCACACAGACTCAGAGCTGTTGAAAATACGGCTGTTTCATTTCAAACTGCACCACGCAAGGATGCTGCTTCCTACTCTCTTCCGCCATCTACTGGAGCTTATTCAAAATACTGATCTAGTTAACAGCTAGAAAAGTTACATTCCAGAGTACCTTCCGTTTCCCTGTTATTTCTCCTTGAAGTTTTTATCCTCAAGGAGCAAAGAGTCTGACTGTCAGCAGTTTGAATTTTTTTGAAGAATATTTTTTAAAGAAAAAAGGAGCCATGGACAAGTAAAACATAGTTGATTCTGAACACCATATCTATTTTTTGAGCTTCTCCTCTAGAATAAAGTTTGTACTGCTTTTTCCAGAGCATTCCACCTTTTCTGCATTTACCTTGTAATGTGTGGTGATTGAATCAGTAACTTGCAATAGAGGAACAGATTCTGGATTTGAAGTCAGATTATTAAAATTCAGTTCTGACCTGTATGCCGTGATGTCAGAGATTTGCCAGTATTCTTAAAATATTGAGAGCAAATGCTCTTATATATGGGATTTTTGTGAAAAACTCTGCTGTGGAAAAAGAGGTATGCCAATATATCTATAATAGCGCAAATAATGGGACTCCCACCATCAGTTCTGACCCAGACCTCTCTTTCCTGTTTGCCTCTTCAACTTGCCTTTGACCTTCTTTTTAAAAAGATGTTAAGGCCGGGCACGGTGGCTCACGCCTGTAATCCCAGCACTTTGGGAGGCCGAGGCGGGCGGATCACAAGGTCAGGAGTTCAAGACCATCCTGGACAACATGGTAAAACCCGTCTCTACTAAAAATAGGAAAATTAGCTGGGTGTGGTGGTGTGCGCCTGTAATGCCCAGCTACTCGGGAGGCTGAGACAGGAGAATCTCTTGAACCCAGGAGGTGGAGGTTGCACTGAGCTGAGATTGTGCCACTGCACTCCAGCCTGGGCGACAGAGCAAGACTCTGTTTCAGGAAAAAGAAATTTTTTAATAGACTTTTTATCTTTTAGAGCAGTTTTAGGTTTCCAGAAAAATTGAACAGAAAGTACAGAAAGTTTCTAAATACATTTGTTACAATTAATAAACTAATATTGATGCAATATTATTAACTAAAGTCCATCATTATATTAGGGTTTACTCTTACTGTTGTACAATTTTATGGATTTTGACAAATATATATACTATCATATATCCACCATTACAGTATCATAAAAATATTTTCACTGCCCTAAAATCCCCTTGTGTTCCACTTAATCATACTGCACCATAACCACCTCAACCAATAACCGATGATTTTTTCACTGTCTCTATAGGTTCGCCTTTTCCAGAATGTCATTTCATTGGAATCATACAATATGCAGCCTTTTCAGACTAATTTTTCCATTTGGCAATGTACATTTAAGGCACTATTGCCTTTTTGTAACTTGATAGCTTATTTCCTTTTATCACTGAATACATATTCCATTATGTGGATGTGCCATGGTTTGCTTATCCACCTATCTTGGGTTGCTTCCGATTTTGGTCAATTACGAATAAAGTTGCTATAAATATTCGATTGCAGGTTTTCATGTTGACATAAGTTTTCACTCACTTGAGCATATACCTAGAAGCACAATTGCTAGATAGTATGTAAGGCTGTTTATCTTTGTAAGAAACTTCCAAATTTTCTTCCAAAGTGGTTGTAGTACTGGCAACAAATCAGAGTTTCTGTTGCTCTACATCCTTATCAGCATTTGATACTGTAAATGTCTTGGATTTTAGCCATTCTAATAGGTGTGTAGAAACTTATTTTCACTCCCTCTTCGAATGGCTCTCAGAGCTCCACTGTGATCTTTCCATTGCTGACTGGCCTCAAGGCCCTTGTAAAACTAGGAACATCTTAATGAAAGTATCCACCTTTGTTCCTCTGTCTCCAGTAATCACAAGGCTTGGCATGTAGAGGGTTCCAAAATTGAATGTGATCTTCTGACTACAATTGTTTTTTCTTAACTGTCCTTGGAATCAGTCTCTTTCCAGCCACCTTATTCTGAACACTTCATCCTGTGGCTGTGTGACCTTAGGCAAGTCACATAATCTCCCTAAATATCTATTTACTTATCTAAAAAAAGAATCTTCAATAATCTTTATGACAATCTTAAAGATTTTGGTATACATTGGTAAAATATGAAGCACTCTATATGATGTAAAGCACTATATAAATATCCCTCCTTGTATCCTCAAATACATTACAGAACATTACACACGCGCAGACACACACACACACACACACACATACAAAATTAATGTCTTAATTGAATATATAGGCCAAGTCATGGTAATCCACACACCACTCTTTGAATGTAATCTGTATTTTTTGCTCTGGTTGGTTTTTAAGATTGCTCATTTTGTCTTTGGTACTACCATTTCATTTAATGTGTCTTGGGTTGGAGTAATTATTCTTTCTAATATTCTTTGGGATTCATTGGGAATCTTAAATCTGCATCTTTCATCAGTTCAGAAAGTCGAATATTTTGTTCATTATCTTTCCATGTCTTGCCTCTTCTGTATTCAGTTTACGTTCTCCTTCTGGAACACCAGTCATAAGTACCACAGAACTTATCACTTAATCTTTCTTTACTCTTAACCTGTGCTACATATATTTTTCCATCTTTGAATTCCTCTATACCAACTTCTAGATAATTTCTTCTGTCTAATCTTTCAGCTTCTCTTTTCTCTTCAGCTGTGTCTAATCTTCTTTTAAAATTTTCTGTTGAGCTTGTGATTTTATTAGTTGCATTTTTTATTTCTAGATGTTTTCTATGATTTTTTAAAATTGGTCATTTTTACACTTTTCTTTAAGACTAGATATTTTCAAGTCTATCTTCTTATTTCTCCAAATACAGTAAGTAGATTTTATACTCTGTCTCTTAAAAGTCCAATATCTATCATCTGTGTGCATGGTTCCATTGTCTATTGTTTCTGATCATTCTGGCTTAGAATGCCTGAATTTTCATCATCATGGGTTTGGTTATTTTTAACTGCATATTTCTCATAGTCTTAAAAAATCTATATGGGTATTTTGAAGATTAAAAATTCCTTTTTCTAGAGATTTGCATTGGCTTCTTGGAAGCATCTAAGGGTATTACCATTCTGCAATTACTTTGACATTTATTCACAACCTAGGTTTTTTTGTTTTGTTTTGTTTAGCAACTACTTGGTGATATTAATTTATGCTATAACTCTTATTCAAACCTGTCTGTGATTACAATTTCTTTGAGATTTTTTTCTCTCTGTTCTACACAACTCTACTTTCCGTGATTTTCAGTGGACAGGGTGGAGAAAAGGCAGATCTACTTCTCATTTACCCTTACTCTGATGGTGTTGCTTTCTGAAGTCCTAACTTTATATAGGAAAAATCTCTAATCAGATTTATTCCCTTGGTTGAATTGTAGGCCCTGGGTTTTAACTTCAATTGCCCTCATGTTTAAGCCATCAAAACTGAAGTGTGATTGTCCTTGATTGATACTTGCCTTCAGGGCAAAAATAGCACTAGTGCTCCCTTACCACTTATGTTCCAGGTTTTCCTTAGATGTTGGCTTCCTAATTCCTTACTACCTTGTCATCTCTCAGTGGTTTTTGAAAGGTAGTTTAAAAATATTTTATCTAGCATCTGTTATTGGTTTTAATGGGAGGATTGGTCTGAATAACCCAATCTGCTATGTCCCTGGAAACAGAACAAAACATGGAACATTTTCTAAACAAATTGCTTAAACTGAGTTTGAATCTACACCTGATTCAAAGTGGAACAGGACACTGAGAAAACAAACCTGGCCAGATATTAAATTCATTAACCAATCCAATGTCTCAGAAATAGTGATACTATGATAAGTATGTACTGACAAAAACTTTGCAGTGTATTATCTAGGGAAACAATGTACAGCTGAATTTTTAAAAAAATCAGCTGTCTTTGAAGAGAAATTGTAGCAATTGTAAATAAAGGACCAAGGGTACTTCCCAAATAAAGGGTCTTATTCAAAGAAACATTAACTCAACCTAATTTGCAATGGTATTAGAATGAGATAGAACAAAGAGCATACTATCAAAATACTGCTGATAATCAGAAAAATTGGAGACATTAGGCTGGTTCTTTCAGAAATCATTTTAAGTCTCATAACTCTAAAAGTTTTACCATTCAATTTCCTAATGATAGTAGACTTGGCCTTCAATATTACAACTTCACTCTATACCATGCATAAGTTTGATTTTGTTATACAATTCAACTCTAGTTAATTTTAAAGTAAATTACATATGTTTTTTTTTACTACAGTTTGAATTCAGTCATTTTTTTTAACTAATCGTTTTGGACTCTGTATAACATTCCAAACTAAGGAGTATATCCGTATAGTATTACAGATAAATATCTGGACTAACAGAGCGTCACTTTTTCCAGGAGCCAGGCTTATTTCTGGCTGATTATATATAAAAAGTAAGATACAGACATATAAAGAAAGATAAATACATGATGTTTATTTATTTGTTTTCTTTTGTGCTTTAAGCAGGAACATAAGAAACTGATTCTCCGGCAGAAATGCCAGCACTTTACAAGCCCTGTAATTATGTAATGAACACATTTCTTTCTATTCATTCTCTATTTAAAAAAAAAATTCTGCTATCTAAGTGTTTGACCTCTAAAAGACTGCATATTAAAAACCTTAATCTTATAACACTTCAAGTTCAAATGGCTTTTTATGGAAAACTTCATTACTTGAAAGGCTTTGTCATCTACTTTCTTGATCAAAATAGGTAGTGACCTGTAAAGCAGCCAAGAAATTTCTATTTGGAGTGGCTTTCTCCTGATGGATGAAGGAGCAGGCAAAGATTCTTCATGGTAAAGTGTGGGTGGATAATTTTATGTGACAGCCACATTATGAATGAAGCAATATGAGCATGAAGTAGTTCACAGCATTCACTTCTATCAAGTTCTGCTGATTAAAAAAGCAAGGTGTGGTTCAAAAATTATCTGATCCTCCAATAATTTTTGGCTTCCTCTGTAAGTCGGCCTATATGAGAATACACTAGAGATTCTGGAAAGGAAGCCATGTCATCTTTGGCGAAAAGACTTCCAGAATTGGCCCCCGTTGATTTAAACTGAGCCTTCCAGTGCGGCGTGAAGGATGGAACTGGTGCATGTAATGGCATGAAACCTCATATATTAAAATCTAAATATCATTCATAGCAGTTGTAAGCTTTATCAGAAATCCTAGATACAGGCATCTTTTCAAGATCTCAGGCATTGAAAGGACCTATTGTAATATTGCACACTGTAGAACAAACATTGTTGTCATCAGCAGGCTTGGATCTTCTGGGAGTCTGCACTCTGTCAAGGTTCTTGGCTGAGATTTAGGTAGAGAAACATTTACTTTAAAATGATTAATTATTCCCAACTCTATTTTGCCAAGGACCATGCTTTCTGTCCTCTCTTTTTAGTCATTGATCCTGAAATACTTCTGCAACTTGCTCAGCTTTCAAATTAATATGTACACTTTGAAAAATATACATATTTGATTAGATCTTTCTTTTCCCTGGAAGCTGATCATGGCAGACTCTGTTGGACAAGCCCAGTGTAAATATCTATTTCATTAGTATTATTTGAAGAATATAATTTAATTAGTCCACTTCTAAACTACATTAATAGGCCATCTGGTTAAGCCAGTATTCTGAAATATAACCTTGATTTGATGGAGTTTTAATAATGTAGTTACTGTAACAGTATGTCACACTACAGATTACACAATAATACCATCAAATTATTTCACAATAAACAACAGAATAATCTAAGACTCAATTTTTTTCCAGTGCATGTGACCTAGACCTAAGAAGGCAAAATCTGAGAAAGTTATATAAACTATGTTATAATTCACTTACACTAGTAATAAAATATACTTAAAATTTTAAGGCAAGTGAAAATTTTGTTTCATGTCCCTCTTCATTAAATGTCCTTTGCTGTGAGTGAAGCCTTCTTCCCCTTTAGGAAGACGGAGGAAGGGAACAGACGTACTGTGTTGGGGCTATTTAGGGTATGTGTATGTGTGTGGCCTAAAATGACCAGTTTGTGAAGTAATATAATTCATCAACATAACTTACTATGCTTTCATGAAAATATGTATTTAGAACACAGGTTTTTAAATAGTTTACTTTTGGTTGGAGGTGAGCAAAAAACAAAACTAAAAAAATAGGAAAGTATTGTTGAGGTAAAATTTTCTCATCATTGTTTACAAAAAAGTCTGGCTCCATTAGTCGAGGTTCTCTAGAGAAACAAAACCAATGGGATTTTCTTTTTTCTTTTAAGATAGAGTCTCGCTGTGTTGACCAGGATGTCCCCAAACTCCTGGCCTCAAGAGATTCTCCCATCTCTGCCTCCCAAAATGCTGGGATTACAGGCATGAGCCACCATGCCCAGCCCTAGTAGGATCCATTTATGATATGGAATTGGAATTGGCTTGCATGATTATAGAAACTGGTGAGTCTAAAGTCTGCAGAGCAGGTGTCCCAGTGTGCATCTGAAAGCTAGCAGGCTGCTGTAAAACCAGGAATAGCTGATATCCTAGTTCAAAGACTGTCAGACAGAATCCTCCCTTTCTCAGGGAGGGTCAACCTTTTGTTCTAGCAAGATCTTCAGCTGATTGCATGAGGCCCACCCACATTATGGAGAGCAGTCTGCTTTACTCAGTCTACCAAATTAAACGTTACTCTCATTCAAAAACATCTTCACAGAAACACCCAGAATAATATTTGACAAAATATCCGGTCATTCTGTGGTCCATTCAAGTTGACACATAAAATTAATCATTAAGAATTAATGTCACAAGAGATCCACAAACTGTCAGAACTTGATAGAGACATGTATAAAACTATAGGGTAGCCAAGTCCATATTTGCTCAAGTGTGATGCCATTTACATCTCCCTGTTGGGAGGAAGTAATTTGTCCAAACTTTTTAAAGCATTTACCAAACTAACAACTTACTCTTAGTGATGCTCACATTCTGTAATTAGGAATTACAAAGACTAAAGCCTTATTGTCTTTCAAATTGTGTTTATATTATGAAATGCCATTTTTAAAGCCCAGATCCATTGCTCATAAAAAATTCTCGAAATCTCCTTCTTAAAGAAAATTCTCACATCCTTGGCCAAAGGCACGTATTCTTACAAATCAACCATCACTGATTTTCTCTTTTAAGCTTTAGCATGTTTCAATTTCTTAGGTCACTCAACAAGTATTTATTAAGCAGCTGGTATGTACCAAACTCTGTTCTAGGTATGCGGATTTGACAAAGAACAAACATAAAAAAGCTCTTATGTCATGAAACTTGTGAAGGTATTTGATCATTGATAGCAGGTTTCCACAGACAAATTTATAGCAGGGGCCCTTGGGTCAAATCTGAGCCACCGCCTGTTTTTGTGAATAAAGTTTTATTGGCACACAGCCACGTTTCATTTGTATATGTATTGTCTCTGGCTGTTCTCACACTACAATGACAGAGTGAAATAACTGTCCTTGAGACCACATGGCCCACAGAGCTGAAAATATTTACTATCTGGCCATTTACCAGAAAACGTTTGCGAACTCCTGATATAGCATTACTATAAAACAAGGCCTTGTGTATTAGAGTAGATGCAACAAATCAATGTAAAAGTACATAACTCACAAAATAAAAGAGAAATTGAGATTTATGTTCTAAGAAATTTACTTTATTCAACATAGAGGTTTTGGTAGGCAGCATAATAGCACCCCCAAAGATGTCCACAACCTAATCCCTGAAATTTGCAGATGTGATTTTTGTTGCTTTGTTTGTTTGTGATGGAGTCTTCTTCTGTCACCCAGGCTGGAGTGCAGTGGTAGGATCTCAGCTCACTGCAACCTCTACCTCCTGGGTTCAAGTGATTCTCCTGCCTCAGCCTCCCGAGTGGCCCAGATTACAGGTGTGCACCACTGCACTTGGATAATTTTTGTATTTTTGTTAGAGACAGAGTTTCACCATATTGTCCAGCCTGGTCTTGAACTCCTGACCTCAAGTGATCCGCCCGCCCCAGACTCCCAAAATTTTATGTGAATAAAGTAAGGAACTTAAGATAGAGAGATCTCAGGATCTGGGATTATCGAGGTGGACCCAATCTCATCACAATGATCCTTATAAGAGAGAGGCAAAGAGGCCACGGTCAGAATCAGGGAAAGAGATGTGATGATGGAAGTAGAGGAAAAAGAGAGATAGACAGAGATTGGGTGATGCCACACTGCTGACTTTGAAGAAGGAGAAAGGAGCCACAAAGCAAGGAATGCCAGTGGCATCTAGAAGCTGAAAAAGGCCATCAAACAAGATTCCCCACTCAGAGACTCCAGGAGAAATCAGCCCTAATGACACCTGGATTTTAACTTGTCAGACTCATTTTGAACTTCTTACGTGCAGAACCGTAAGATAAATAATGTCTGTGTTTTAAACCACTAAGTTTGTGATTATCTGTTTCAGCAGCCATAGGAAACTAATACTACTAATACCATGGTAGACACTTTCCATGGAGTTACCTCTTGACTTTGTGACTTACTAGATAGGAAATGTTTGGCAGATTAATTTCTCTAGAGCAATTTCCCTAAGTTAGATAAAAAATAGTAATAACTCCAGAGTTTTTTGAACATTCAGTGAGCCTTAGGTTTTCTCACCTAAAATCAGAGAAGGGCTAAGTTAATCTGTAAATTATTGTACGTTTAAAATATGATCATGGGGCAGTGGTTACTCAAATGTTTTCAGAGGGTGGGATACCTAGTAATTATGATTACTTTCTGTGGTTCATTCATGTATTTAATCCAATATAGTCTTTGTGACTTTCTCACTTTTGACATTTATTATATGTTTTAAAAATACCTCTAAACTAGTCCCCCTGGCAGTCTCTCCAATCCATGCTGGTAACAGATTGATGCTTATGAAATGCAAAGATCTCATCACCACTCCACTTAAAATTCTACACTCCTTAGAATGGCACAATTAGTTAATAGGTACATATTTATGAATAAATAATTAAATGAATGTTCACCAAACACCCTTTTGGATCTGAGCTGCCCATTCCATATTTTTCTCTTATTTTGATAGCCTATCCTTTTGGTAAGAAGACACTCCAAGAAGACATTGCTAGCACAATAAGGACTCCCCTAGATCAAGCATTCAATTAACATACTTGAGGTTTCCTAGTCTTTGAGATAACATATTCGTCAATGACTCTGCTCCTCCAGGAAGTAATGCTCCATCAGCATTTCCTAAAGGCTACCTGCTTCCCAGCCATTTATTTCCCGTTACCTTATTATTTTGCAGGGAAAACATTACTGTTTGTTTACAAGGTGCAAGTTTTAAAGGAAATGACCATAAAAACTTTTTAAAAGATATCTTGATGAACATCATCAAAACCACCATTTCTATTAAAGTGCCGACATCACACAAGAGGTTCTTAGCAAACGTACTTTTGCCATATAAGAATAGAGTAACAAAAAATGCATAGAAAAAAATAGTCTTTTTCTTATTAACTAGAGCCTTTGAATGCATTGATTTGTAAAACACTGATTTAACATGAGCCTCATACTAGACACCTTATGAAGGCAGGAAGAGGACCAAAATGTAATTTTTTTTACCTCATACATGGCATCTTTTTTAAAACCATGGAGCAATGGGAGAGGGCTCAAACAAGAAATCAGAAAAATGAAACTATATACAAACCACATCACATCCATGTAAGTCACTCATCTTTTGGTGTTTTTATGCCTGCCTTGTTTTATTTAGACTGCAGAAACACTATAACCACTGCTATATCTATCTCTGCAATTAGGATGCTTATTCATATCTTATAAGTACTTAGGAAACATTTTCTTTCTTTTTGTTTGTTTCTTTCTCTCCTTTTTTTTTTTGAGATGGAATTTCACTCTTGTTGCCCAGGCTGGAGTGTAATGGCGCAATCTCGGCTCACTGCAACCTCTGCCTCCTGGGTTCAAGCAATTCTCCTGCCTCAGCCTCCCGAGTAGCTGGGATTACAAGTGCATGCCACCATGCCCTGCTAATTTTGTATTTTTAGTAGAGATTGGGGTCTTTCCATGCTGGTCAGGCTGGTCTTGAATTCCTGACCTCAGGTGATATGCCCGCTTTGGCCTCCCAAAGTGCTGGGATTACAGGCATGAGCCACTGTGTCCGGCCCAGGAAACATTTTCTAATAGTAATGACTCAAGGAAAAATATCACAAAATAATAAATTCTATTGCACTAAACATGTAATTGTTAGTTCCACTCAAAATATAGCTTATTATTTTGCAACCTCTACATGTTTACTTATTCGATTCATATGTCTAGAAAAGAAGCAATTTCTCACTATTCTTAACATACCCTGTGCTAAAGACTTTGATGCAATTGAATGCCACATGTAGTATTACAATCATGGCAGAAGGTGAAGGGGGAGCAGGCACATCACATGACAAAAGCAGGAACAGGAGAGAAAAGTGGAGGTACTACACACTTAAACAACCAGATCTCTCAAGAACTCACTCGCTATCACAAAGAGAGCACCAAGAGGATGGTGTTGGACCATTCATGAGAAGTCTACCCCCATGATCCAATCACCTCCTGGCAGGCTCCACCTCCAATACTGAGGATTGCGATTTAACATGAGATGTGGATGGGGACACATATCCCAACTATATCGAGTATCATACCAGAGTAGTTTCACCACCTTAAAAATCCTCTGTGCTCTGCCTATTGGTCCTTCCCTCCCCCTTAATTTCTGGCAACCATTTATCTCTTTACTACCTTCAATATTTTGCCTTTTTCAGAATGTCATACAACTGGAATCATATAAAATGCAGCCTATTCAGACCAACTTCTTTCAGGTAATAACATGCATTTAAATTTCTTCTATATCTTTTCATGGCTTGATAGCTCATTTCTTTATAGTGCTGAATAATATTCTATTATCAGTTTGAATTAATTTATTTCTCCATTCACCTACTAAAGGACATCTTGACTTCTCCCAAGTTTTGGCAATTATGAATAATGCTTCTATGAACATCTGTGTTCAGGTTTTTGTGTGGACATAAGTTTTCAACTCTTTTGAGTAAATACCAAGGAGTGTGATGACTGAATCATATGGTAGGAGTATGTTTAGTTTTATAAGGAACTGCCAAACTGTATTCCAAACTGGCTAAACTATTTTGCATTTTCACCAGCAGTAAATTAGAGTTTCTGTTGCTCCACGTATGTACCAGCATTTGGTGTTTTTAGTGTTCTGGATCTTGGCTATTTTAATAGGCATGTAGTGGTATATTTTTGTTGTCTTAAATTGCATTTCCCTAATGATATATAATGCAGGGCATCTTTTCGTATGCTTATTTCCATTGTTACATCTTCTTTGGTGAGGTGTCGGTTAAGGTGTTTGGCTCATTTTACCATCTGGTTATTTGTTTTCTTACTGTTGAGTCTCAACAGTTCTTCATATATTTTGCATAACAGTCCTTCACCAGGTAAGGACTTTTGCAAATATTTTTTTTCCTAGCGCATGGCTTGTCTTCTCATTCTCTTGAAATTGTCTTTTTCAAAACAGAGGTTTTAAATGATAATGAAATGAAGTTTTCAACTCTTTGGGATAAAGACCAAGGAGAGTGATTGCTGAATTACCTGGTAAAGTGTGTTTAATTTCATAAGAAACTGCCAAGCTGTCTTCTAAAGTGGCTGTACCATTTTGCATTTTTGCTAGCAATGAATTAGAATTTCTGTTGCTCCACACACTTGCCCGGATGTGGTGCCATGCCTTTAGTTTTGTATCTAAAAAGCTATCTTTATGCCCAAGATTATCTAGGTTTCTCTTATGTTAACTTTTAGTTTTATAGTTTTTCATTTTTACCTTTATGTCTGTGCTCCATTTTGAGTTTATTTTTGTGAAAGTATGAGGGCTGTGCTTAGATTCATTGTTTTTTATATGGATATCCAGTTTTAGCACCATTTGTTGAAAATACTCTCTTTGCTCCATTGGATTGCCTTTGCTAGTTTATCAAGGATCAGCTGGCAACATTTATGTGAGTTTATTTGAGAGCTGTCTATTCGGTTCCATTGATGTACTTGACTATTTCTTTGTGAATACCACACGGACTTCATTATTAGAGCTTATGATAAGTCTTAAAGTCAGCCGGACATGGTGGCTCATGCCTGTAATCACAGCACTTTGGGAGGCTGAGTCGGGTGCATCACCTGAGGTCAGGAGTTCGAGACCAGCCTGGCCAACATGGTGAAAACCCTCTCTCTACTAAAAATACAAAAAATGAGCCGGGCATGGTGGCAGACAGCTGTAATTCCAACTACTTGGGAGGCTGAGGCAGGGGAATCACTTTATCCAGGAAGCAGAGGTTGCAGTGGGCTGAGATCACGCCATTGCACTCCAGCCTGGGCAACAAGAACGAAACACTGTCTCAAAAATAAAATAAAATAAAATAAAATAAAATTAATTAATTAATTAATTAAAAAGGTAAGTCTTAAATCAAGTAGTGCCCATTGCTCCAAATTTGTTTCTCTTCTTTAATATTGTATTGGCTATTTTGGGTCTTTCACATCTCCATTTATACCTTAAAATTAGTTTGCCAATATTTACAAAGTAACTTGCTGGGATTAAAATTACATTGAATTTATATATCAAGATGAGAAGAACTGATACTGTGACAATATTGAGTCTTCCTATCCATGACCATGGAATATCTTTCTATTGATTAGTTGTAAAAAAAATTTTTCATCAAACGTTTAGTTTTCCTCACATAGATCTTGTGTGTGTGTGTGTGTGTGTGTGTGTGTGTGTGTGTGTGTGTAGGCTAATACCTAAATATTTTATTTTAGAGGTTGCTAATGTAAATGATATTATGTTTTTAATTTCAAATTCCACATGTTTATTGCTAATATATAGGAAAGTGATGGATTTTTCTAATATTAACCTTGTATCCATAAACCTTGCTATATTTGCTTATTAGTTTCAGACAGTTATTTATTGTTTTAGATTTTTTACTTACAGGATCATGACATCTACAAGCAAAGACAGTTTTATTTATTCTTTTACTATCAGTATACCTATTATTTTCTTTTCTTCTCTTATTGCATTAGCTAGGACATTCAGTACGATGTTGAAAATCAGTAATGAAAATATGTATTCTTGCCTCGGTTCCTAATCTTAGGGGGAAATCATTGAGTTTTCCACCAGTAAGTATGATGTTTATCTATAGGATTTTTGTAGATATTCTTTATCAAGTTGAGGAAATTCTCCATTCCTATTTTACTGAGAGTTTTTATTATGAGAGGATGTTGGATTGTCTCAAATGCTTTTTCTGCATCTATTGATATAATCATATGATTTTTATTTTGTTAGTTTGTTAATGTGATGAAATATCTTAGTTGACTTTTGAATGATAAACCAATTCTATATCCTGGGATAAATCCCACTTGGTTGTGGAGTATAATCCTTTTAATATGTTGTTGGATTTGATTTACTAATGTTTTGTTGAAAATGTCTGAACCTATGTTCATGAAAGGCATTGGTCTGTAGTTTTGTTTTAATACATTTGTTGGACTTTGGAATTAGGGTAATACTGGCCTGATGGAATGAGTTACAGAGTATTCCTTTTGCTTCTAAATTCTAAAAGAGATTTTAGAGAATTGACATAATTCCTTCATTAAACATTTGGTAGAATTCACCAGTAAACCCATTTGGACCAAGTACTTTCAGTTTTGGAAGATTATTAACTATTGATTTGATTTTTGTATAAATACAGACCTATTGAAATTGTCTATTTCTTCCTGTGTGCGTTTTGGCAGATCATGTCTTTAAAGATATTTGTTCATTTCATTAAGGTTATCAAATTTGTAGGCATTGAGTTGTTCATAGTATTTCTTTATTATTTCTTTAATGTCTATGCAATTTGTAGTGTTTTCTATACTTTCATTTCTGATGTTAGTAATTTGTCTGTTCTTGTCTTTTCTTAGTCTGGTTAGAGGCTTATAAATTTTACTGATCTTTTCAAGTAATTCACTTTTGGTTTGTTTGATGTTTTCTGTTTATTTCTTTTTTCAATTTTATTTATTTCTGTCCTAAATTTTATTATTTTCTTTCTTCTGCTTACTTTGTATTTAATTTTCTTCTTTTCCTAGTTCCCTAAGGTGGAAACTTAGATGATTTACTTTAGGTCTTTATTCTTCTCTAATATATGCATTCAATGCTATAAATTTCTCTCTAAGCATTGCTTTGGCTGCATCCCATAAATTTTTATATCTTGTGTATTCTTATTCATTTGGTTCAAAATACTTTGTTAAATTTCTGTGGAAGTTTGTTCTTTGAACCCTGTATTATTTAGAAGTGTGCTTATTCTACATGTCCTTTGGGATTCTCAAATTATGTTTTTGTTACTGATTTCAAGTTTAATTCCATTTTCATCTGGGGACAGACATTTTATGATTTCTATTATTTTAGATTTGTTGAAGTCTCCAACTATAATATTGAATTTATTTATTACTCCTTGCAGTTCTATCAATTTTTTCCTGATGTATTTTGATGCTCTATTTTTAGGCACATACACATTAAGTAACGTTTTTATCTTTTTGGAGAATTGACCCCTTTATTTTTATGTAATGCCCTTCTTTATCCCTGATCACTTTTCTTACTGTGAAGCCAGCTCTGTCTGAAATTAATATAGCTACTCTACTTTCTTTTGATTAGTGTTAGCATGGTATATGTTTCTCTATTTACTTTTAATTTATATGTGTCTTTAGATTGAAAGTGAGTATGTTGTTGATCAAATTAAGTTGGATTCTATTTTTTGATTCATTCAGAAAATCTCCACGTTTTAATTGGTTCATTTACATTATTAGTATTCAAAGTAATTATTTATATAGGTGGATTAATATCTGTCAAATTTGTTTTTTGTTTTGTTTTTGAAATGGAGTCTCGCTCTGTTGCCCAGGCTGGAGTACAGTGATGCTATCCTGGCTCCCTGCAACCTCCACCTCCCGGGTTCAAGGGCTTCTCTTGCCTCAGCCTCCTGCGTAGCTGGAATTACAGACATGTGCCACCACTCCTAGCTAATTTTTTGTATTTTTTAGTAGAGACAGAGTTTCATCATGTTGGCCAGGCTGATCTGATCTCAAACTCCTGACCTCAAGTGATCCACCTGCCTCAGCCTCCCAAAGTTCTGGGATTACAGACATGAGCCACCACTTCCAGACAAATTTGTTATTGTTTTCTATTTATTGACCTTATTCTTTGTTCTGACTTTTATCTTCAATTCTTTTTCTAAACTTTCATTTTTGTTTTACCTTTACTTCTTCCTTCTTTGATGCTCTTATTTCTTTACGTAGATCTGAGTTTTAAACTCTGTATTTTATAGAGAGTTTTTAAACTCTATATTTTATAGAGAGTTTTTAAACTCTATATTTTATAGAGAGTTTTTAAACTCTATATTTTATAGAGAGTTTTTAAACTCTATATTTTATAGAGAGTTTAAACTATATATTTTCCTTCTTTTATAACAGCTGCTTTTAACACTTTTTGCAAGGCATGTCTACCAGCACCGAATTCTCCAATTATCGTTTGTCTGAAAATCTCTATTTATTCTTCGTTTTTGAAAGATTATTTTGCAGGATACAGAAGTCTAGGTTGGTGGGGTTTTTATCTAAACACTTTACATATTTTTTTCTACTTGCTTCCCATTTGCATGGTTTCTGAAGAGAAGTTGAATGTAATTCTTATCTCTGCTTTTCTATAGCTAAGGTGTTTTCTCCCTCTGACTTCTTTCAGTAGTTTCATCTTTATCTTTGATTTTCTGTAGTTTGAAAAAGGTAAGCCTAGGTGTAGCTCTTTTCTCATATTTATCCTGCTCAGTGTTCCTTGAATTTCCTGAATCTATAGTTTGGTGTCCTGAAATTAATTCAGGGACATTCTTAGTCATTATTGTGTTAACTATTTATTTTCTACCCTTTTTTAAAATCCATCTGGTATTTTCATTTTGCCTATGTTACACCTTTTGTAGTTGGCCCACGGTTCTTGGTTATTTTATTGGTGGTGGTGGTGGTGGTGGTGGTGATGATATTTGTTCTCTTTATTTTTCAGTTTCTATTGAAGTTTCTGTTGAAATATCTTTAACCTTAGAGGTTCTTTCATCAGTCATGTTGAGGCTACTAATAAGCCCATCAAAGGCATTCTTCATTTTGGCACTGTGTTTGATATCTTATATTCTAGTTTTATTCTTTCTTAGACCTTTTAAATCTCTTCTTACGTTGTCCATTTGTTCTTGCATGCTGTCTCCTTTATTCTTTAGGGTCTTTTGCATACTAATGGTAGTTGTTTTAAGTTTCCAATCTGATAATTCCAATATCCCTGTCATATCTGACTCTGATATTGATGTTTGCTCTATCTCTTCAAACTTTGTTTTTGTTTGTTTGTGTGCTTGTGTTTTGCCTTTAGTATATGTCTTGTAATTTTTTTTTTCATAACCAGACTCAGTGTACCAGGTAAAAGGAAATTCTGTAAATGAGCTTTTAGTAACGTGGTGTTAAGGTGTGGAGAAGGGAAAGTGTTCTATACCCCTTTGATTAGGTCTCAGTCTTTTAGCAAGCCTGTACCTCTGAATTGTGAACCTAACACATGCTTCTCAACCCTCCTCACCACTTAGATGGGGCAGGGTGGCTAGAGTGGGCCGGAGTTGGGTATTTTCCAATTCTCTGCATGGAAGGCTGAAGAGAAGTTGGTTATTTCTCTTTCCTCAGGTCAGTTCAGCTCTGATAAAATCCCAGCAGGCTAGATTCTGATTAAATTGTTTCTCCTGAGGGCAGACCTTGTTAAAAAGAACAAGGGTGCTCTGCTATATTTCTAAATGGTTCCTTTTCATCTCTCTCCCAGAAGCATGAGGAAATTTTTCTCTGATAATTACTGTGAGGACCTGGTAGAACTCCTGCAGGTAAAACAGACAGAAGTGTGAGTATGTCCCTTATAACTAGGTAACCCTGAGGTTTTTAATTCTCAAAGTTGTCCACATCAAGCCTCCAGCAATTTATCAATTACAGTTCAGATTTCCCTACCCAAACTCTGGTTTCCGTGGGGGTTACTAGTGGTGAATTTCTGCTCTAGTAGTTGTGATTCTCTGTATTCACCTATTGGTCTCTCTATTTTTGAAGGTGGCAGTTTGTTCTATGACCTCGCTTCTTTTACAGATCTAAGAAGAGTTGTTTATTTTTGTTGCTGTTGTTGTTGCTGTTTTTCAGTTTTTTTTAGCTTTTTGCTCATTGGGACAGAGTGGCAACTTCCAAGTTTCTTATATGCCAGATAAGAATTCTGAAGCTCCTCTTTAGCCTTTTAAATTTTGTATTTCTCTATAAAAATCCAGAATTTGCTCAGTGAACGCCATGGAAAGGCATTTGGATAAATTATTTTGAAAATAGTCATTGACATTAAAAACATATTATACTAAGACTACTGTCAGAGACTGCAAGATGTTGTAAATATTCTTTGCTAACCCAATTAGAATTTAAGTTATTTGAAACTTGTACTCTTGTCCATGAATAAATAGTGGTTTACTTTTAACACATGCATTTATTTGAGTTTATCTATTTAAAAGAAATAATATGTGACTAGCAGAGCAATTTATACAGACATTAAATTGTACTCAGCTCCTATATGTAATCTTACTTCTCCTTCCTGAACAATTCATTCTTTTATTCATTAAAAATATTTATTGAATATTTTCCAGGGGTTGAGTGTTAATTAGTGGAAACACAGCAGTGAGCAGACAAAAGTACATGACCCTTGGGGCTGTCTAAAAATCCCTAATCTCAAGAACTTTCAAAGAAGCCTCTGTCTTTTCTTGACTCTGATTGTAGTGTGATAGAGGACTGACGGATTCTAGGAAAACAGCCTCTTTCCTAGTTGTGGTCTTGGCCGTGACACCAAATCAGTAGTGATCAAAGTGGACAGAAAACTAATGGGCCCCTTTCTGACTCTTCTGGATTGGGGAAGAGGAAGTTCTTTGGGAGAATGAGTATGAGAGAGCACAAGTAGGAGTGAATTCTCTACCAAATGGGGCCTGAGAGCACATTCCATTTTATTTAGGAAAGTACAAAAGATATTGTTTCTTATACCAGGAATTGCAGATTAAAATTCATACCTACTAGCAATGTTTAATTATAGAATTTTTAGAAAAAAATTAGAAAATGATTTTTTAAAAATAAAAAGAATAAAATACAAAATATGGTATTCTTATGAGAACATCATTCAAGAACAACATTAGGATCATCTAATTAATACTCTGATCTGATGTTTCTCTTAGCAATATATATTTTTCCATGAATCCAAAAGTCTTCATTGACACGAATTTTAAAGGACTCTCAAAAATTCATTGATTTGATGTGTACATTCCTAGTGATAAATCTCTTTAAATTTGTGGGAAGTGTATATAAGCAAACGAAATCTTTTCAAAACTCAAAGATTTCTTCAATTATAATTATTGCCTGACTGGCAGTCTAAGAATCTCTAGTATGTCTATTTAAATGTTTAATACAAAAAGCAAAAGCTCCAAAATTCACTGCTCCATAATGTCAGAGGCAAGTGAACCAGAGCAACTCCATATTAAACAGGAGCTGGGTAAAATGAGGCTGAGTCCTACTGGGCTGCATTCCCAAACAGTTAAGACATTCTAAGTCACAGGATGAGATAGGAGGTCAGCACAAAGTACAAGTCATAAAGACCTTGCAGATAAAACAGCTTGCAGTAAAGAAGCCAGCCAAAACCCACCAAAACCAAGATGGCGAAAGGAGTGACCTCTGGTCATCCTCACTGCTACTCTCCCACGAGTACCTTGACAGTTTACAAATGCCATGGCAACATCAGGAAGTTACCCTATATGGTCTATGGAGGGGAGGCATGAATAATCCACCCCTTGTTTAGCATATCATCAAGAAATAACCATAAAAATGAGTAACCAGCAAACCTCAGGGCTGCTCTATCTATGGAGTAGCCATTCTTTTATTCCTTTACTTTCTTAATGAACTTGCTTTCACTTTGTACTGTGGACTTGCCCTGAATTATTTTCTTGCAAGAGATCCAAGAACCCTTTCTTGGGATGTGGATTGGGACCTCTGTCCTATAACAATAATGCAACTCCAAAGAGGAAATATAGCTTAGGTGGCATTTGGTTCTGAAATTAGAGTATAATATAAAAAACTAGGTATAATAAAAACGTTTATGAATTCCATAAAGAGGCAATCCAAGGAGATTGACTTTTAATATGTTTGCCCAGCCAGTTTTGTAGCAGCATTAGTGAAAATTGGTGTTTCTTTGGCACAGTGCAGTTAAAGCAGTTGAGTTGCATTTTGGTACTATGTTGCAAGAAAACTGTGTAGTGGGTTATCAGAACCAAACACTCCTATGAAATTCCCATTTTATGAGAAGCACATGGAGACCGAGGCCTGTGAAAAAACAAAAGGTTTAGGTCCCCTTCATCACCGCTTAGGATATAGAGGAAAGGAAGGCTCTGTGAAGAAGGCAGTTTTTAATCTGGTTTCTGAAAGTTCTGTAGGATAAACAGGAAGATGGTATAGGAAACAAGCATAAATGTGAAGGTGGGAGGCTGGCAGAAGGGAGGTGCTAATATATTCCAGGTGTGAAGTTGACAAAATAAACAAAGCTTTCAAGGAAACAAAGCACCATAAATAATCAAAGAAAAAAATAGCATAGGATGCAGGGCAGGGGAGCATAGAGAATAGGATCAGAAAGTAGGTTTAAGTCAAATTTTGATGAACTTAAGCTGTTGTGGACAAAAGACTAGTAGAATCGTTCAGGGAATAAATCTTAAGGCTCAGATTGCCTTGCAATAGGTGGAGAGAAACCAAGCTCTCCTTCTGTTCCAGTGGAAGGGACTGCACAGGAACTCAGCTTCCTATGGGTCTGAGTGCATTCCTTTCCCCAAGCAGCTAACATTTTCAGACAACTCTTCGAAGGATCTGGCATGTACATTAAATGTTGACTCTTGCCTCTCCAGAAGGAAGCAAAGGGATAGTGTACCATCCATGGAACACAAACCCATGGTGTATCCAGAAGTACTCTGTCCTCGAAGAATTTCTCAGGGGGCTAATGAGACATCAGGGAACCCCTGCCTTCTCCTCTTGAACTTTGTTATGTTTCCTCTATTAAAGCCTATTCTCTGAACCCATACTTCCCAACATCATGAAATTCCCTCTAACCCACCTCTCTATGGTTGCTGGTTGTTTTTAATCACTACAAATTCACTGTAGATTTTTAAGCAGTGAACTTTCATTGCAGAGGTGTTCACTGTCCTGAAAGGAGTACATGCGGGAAAGAAGCAGCCGGAGTCGAGGAGCTAGGTCAGGAGCTAGCTGAGACTGAAAACTATTAGAAGCCCTAAACTTTGAAAATGTTATGGTATTACCACCTCTAACTAAACCAAAATAAAATCAATGCTTAACTATTAATAATGAAACATGGGTAGGAAAACTTCAGTATATTTGTCAAGGTTTTCTGATGGAAAAAATCCTGGAAAGCTTCATTAAAGCTGAACTATCGTCAGCTTTATGATATCCCTGCTTTGAAGGACCTTAAGGATTTGCTTGACTGCCTATTGGGTAATCCAGGCAAGGTTTATCTGGGGTCTAGATAAAAAGCAATAAGAATATTAAATGTGGCAGTGGCAGTGAGCATGGAATGAAGGAGAGAACTAAAGGGAGGGGGAGTGAAATTGACCTTATAAGGGAATTGATTGGAAAAACAGAAGGGCTAAGGGAGAGAATTAATCATGCCTCTGGTTTTTAACTTGGGTGGTTGAGAACCAGTAATGGCATTATCATCAGAGAAGCAATGAATAGAAGGAGGAAGAGAGGGCAGAGGAGGAAGAAGAGGAGTAGAAACAGAAAGAAAAGAATAACAATAATATTTTTATTATAGTTAACATTTATTGAGTACTTACAAGGTGCCAAGAACACTTCTAAGCACTTTATTTGAATTTCCCCCAAATATCTTGGCATGTACTCATAGGAGGACTAGACTGTTTTACATGAACATATTTATGACTGAACATGTGTTCTTCGCATTTCACTTATACATATATGGAATTTTTACAGAAATGTATGGCCATATTTCTCACATATACATAGTGACATTTAAACACTTTAGGAGCCTGAGTCGATTGCTTTGGCCACATGAAATATCCCTGAGCAGTTCATGTAATATGAGTTAAAATGGAAGATTTCATAAATCACTGCTACGACCAGAAGCAATCTGTTCTCAATTTCTGGCTTCAAAGGAGTTAATATTAGGTGGTGTCTGTGGAAAATAAATGGGTTCATCTGCATGTTTGGACTTGACGTATTGGGCTGCTACATGTGTGCAGTTCCCTCCCATGATTCTATCTTTTGATCCAGGTAAAATTGATTCACTGTAAAAAACTTCCAGTGGCTTCTAATAATTTCTCAGTCTTTGGTTTGGTTTTGTTTCCTTTTTCTTACTAAGCAATTGCCTACTTGGCTTCTCCACCTTTATGTGAAAAGCACCAGGCAATTCACATATCCAAAACAAACCCAGCATCTTCCATCACTTGTAAACACTATTCTACGGTCACCCAACAGACCAATTCCTTCTTTCTTGATTTCTCCACTATAGAAATTGGAAAATCTGTAGATAGCCATATCCCCCTAATATCAGCAATTCATTTCTGAAAATCTGATATTCTGGGCAAGAAACACTAATCAGGAGCTTATTTTCCATTATTTTAAATAAAAAACTTATCAAACATTACACATAAACACTAAACCCCCAATTTTGTAAGTAAAATATACACACACAAAGCACCCACCTATATACAACTAACAAACTAATATTTATGACATAAAATATTAAAATATGACTAGTCTCCAAGCAAATAACATGTTTTTTAAGAAACATGTACAGAAGCATAACATGTATGATACAGCATGACAAATTCACAGCAATTTTTGTTGAAAAACTGCAGCAAAATTTTCAGTAAAAGGACAGATCTTTCTTCTAATGACATATTACTCACTCCCTTGACCAACATGGAGAAACCCTGTCTCTACTAAAAATACAAAATTAGCTGGGCGTGGTGGTCCATCCCTGTAATCCCAGCTACTCGGGAGGCTGAGGCAGGAGAATTTCTTGAACCCAGGAGGCACAGGTTGTGGTGAGCCGAGATCCTTCCATTGTACTCATTGCATTCCAGCCTGGGCAACAAAAGTGAAACTCTGTCTCCAAAAAAAAAAAAAAAAAGGCTTAATACTTGAAGAAAGCTGAGAAGAGAGAAGGGGAGGAAAGTTGAAAAAGCACAATTTGTCATTTGTTGTGATGAATGCTAACAAGCAGGTAGGGATGGGACAATTTTAGATGTTCCAGTCATTCATTGCACCATAAAAACTTAATGGCTTAAAACACCAATTCATAATTACTTTAGCCTTGCTTCAACATCTACCTAACTAGTAGCAATTCAGTCTGCAAGTTTTAGAAATACTTCTGTCCAATTTGTGTTGTGCAAAATTAAGAAAGGGATCTGCTTTAGCCACACTAATCTGCTGACATGCTCCTTGCTTATCCTGATAGAATCATTACAGAACGACACTGCCACCTTTTTGCTGACAGGATAAACTGGTGTTCCCAAGGCCAGTGCTTCTGTGATGGGTAATGAGTCACGTAGACTGGTATTCACAGTCTTATAGCAGAGATCTGATCATCTCTCAAAGCTTCTTTCCCATGACCCATTCCAGTCTCAGGACTGGGAAACCCTCATCGCCTCCCCCTTATCAGGAAAAATTCTCCAAGTCTCTCCTTGGTATGATTCTTTCTACCTCCTACCAAGTTCATAGTTCCCTCCGCTTCCTTTTACCTGGGAGAATACAACATAATTTTACCTTTATGTGCCTTGAAAAACACAGTACTTGTTCCTCCTTCCTGTGGCTCAGACTAAAGTCAGAAAAGGCTGAGGATTTTTGGTTTGTTTGCTTGATTTCTTTCAAACTCATTCTATTAAATGGTCTACCATTTAAGCCTACTGTCTACACTATGAACACACATATTTTCCAAGTGCAAATAATGTCATCCTCTTATCTTAAAACCTTCTATGACTTTCCATTAGAATCAAGACCAAAATACTAAACAGACCCCAGAAGGTCTGCCTCCAAACTTTGTCTTCTCCTTTCTGTGTATTTTCAGCGACTCTGGCTAGCTTCTGGATCCACACAACACTCATGTTTGACACGTCATAATCTGTGCTCTTCTCTCCACCCTTTCCTATTTATTTCCCTGCCAGTGACTCAGTTTGCCTACTTAAGGCCCACTTATCCTTCAGAGCTCAGCTTAAATGATACTTTCTTAGGAAAATTCCCACTTCCATCACGCAGGCCTTATTAAGTCACTTTGACAAACACTCAAATTATTCTTGCTCCTTGTAATTTTTCCTATCAACATTGAAAATACTTTGTGATTATACTTTTGTTTGTAGGACTCATTTTCATCTCTTTCTCTTGTATTAATCTATGAATTTATTGACAGGAGTCACATCTGTTTGCCTGGATTTTTTACTAACATGTATCTGACATGGCACTATTTGCCTAATTAATAATAATGAGCTAGTGGTGAGTGGGAACCAGCCTGGTTACAAAGGATTCCCTGTTGTGGTAAAGTATAACCTTGCTTTTGTGTTTCACATTTTTCCTCTCTGATCTGAGACCTTCACTTCTTGTTTCAGGATCCCTAGTAACAAGACTTGTTCTTTGCTTACATAAACACTCATGTAGGGTTTTGGGGAACCAAGCCTTTATATTTTACTCTCTCGAATAGCTATGTAACACATTGCTGTATTGCTCTGAACTGAGCACTGAGCATATTGTGCCTACCACCTCTCTTAGTCTCTCTGCAAGGAAAAATGTTATTTTCTGCTCCAATTATGTACTCTCCCTGCCTAAGTATGGAAGGGGTTTTAAAGGCCCTCTGATTGGAGGATCTGCTCCTGCTTGGATACTGAGCTAGGCACAGATCCTCCACTTGGGCAAGAATCATGACACTTACTTTGTAGTATCATTAAAACTTCCCAAGGCAACGGTAGCTGGAAGCATTGCTGTTTAATCACTTTATACCCAATAAAGTGTAGGTTACACAATATTTTTATAATGTCATGGTAACCTAATGAGTCATCCTCCACTATAGGCCAGAATACTGTATCCATGATCAGGGCACACTGTCATCAAAGCCAGGATGGAGGCATATGGTCAGAGTCTTACCAATGTTTATTTTTTTAGACTTCATGATAACCACCCACAACATTTGCCCAAGTTACTGAAGCAACAGACTTAATTCTTACAACATGCTTTCGTTATGTGTTGTGATTTCCATATTTTAAAGTTATTTCAAATTGATCGTATTTAAGAAAATCAGGCTTCAAATGATACCTGTAAACGATCTTAATGTTATCAATAAAATGTTTCCAGTTCTGCTAAGGAATGGTGACTTCTGAGAAGTTTTCCAGAAGGTGATAATTCAGTCAGCTGTGATCAGAGACGCCCTTTCCCTGATATTCTATTGACTTCCTGATCTTTTGTGAGTCATTTTTTGTTCTGAAACTGGTATTTCTACAAATTTATATTTCCGCTTTAGTTTTATGACATTATAGATTGATGTTTTTGGTATACTAAACTACTTAATTCTTTACTATACATTAATAACATTATTTATTGTTTATTTGTCTGATTGGTAGAAATACCAAGAAAATAAAATTATTTATTTTAAAATGTTAAAATTTAGTTGAAAATACAGCAAACAATAGAAGACAGCTCAATATGTGAGTTAGCATCAATTTGGTAGAATAACTGAATACTAGAGAAATTTGGAGAAAAGGAAGATCAATGAGACTTGAAGAAGATGAAGAAGAATTGGGAGAGGAAGAAGTGACTCTTAAGTAAAAATGGATACAGAGTGTACGTTTATCTAGGGAATAAAGAGAGGAGCAGGGAGCATTCCGATTAAAATAAATAAATAAAATAAATAATAATAAATATAAATACAGAAATACACATGGAAAAGTATAATCATGGATCAATGAAATGGGATACGTGGAACAAATCACAATTACTTTTGGGATTTAGTTGATAAATATAGCATTTGGCTGAATTTTACCAAAAAACAGAATATTAAATGTCAATTACACTAATGTTTTCTGGGTGTTAGCACAGGAAGAAAATGGATGGTGAAGCCAAGCCAGAAGGATCTAGTGTTAAATACCAGATCCTTTACTTATTGGCTGTGAAAATTTTGGTAATTATTTTTCTCTCAGCATCAGTTTTCTTATTTCTAAAGTGAGGGAGAAATATTGACTCATTCTTTTGCTGTGACTACTATACACGATAATGCCTATGAAGGATTTAGGCACTCATTATTTATCAGCTGTTCTTCTTATATCCCACTGATGAATTCTCAGTATCCAGAACAGTGTCTGGTATATATTAAGCCCCCAGTAAGTTTTTATTCATTGAATAATATTACTTCTAAAAATTCCCCACTCTCCCAGCCTTTTATTCATTAAGACTCATGTTTGTTTAACAAGTACAAGAGTAAAGATGGTTCAAATAGTCAATCTCCTTTAATAATAAAATAAAATAAACACAAATTCAAAGAATGTTAGTTAACTTCAATTTCATATATAAGCTATGGAACAAAGTGATAATAAACAGAATTTTTAAAATGAGCTATGAAATAAGAGTTTGTGATTACATATAGTACTTGGAGGTGATTGCCTGCTAAACTCTTTGTAATTTCCACAGAGGTGTCTTAGAACTAAGAATTGTTCCCCTTCCCCAATTTCATACTCCCCCTATACATACACCAAGAGTTTTATAAATAAATTTATTTCAATATGAAGGTTAAATTTCCAAATGGTTTCAAATGGTTCTTCAGTGCCTGGGATTAATGTATGTGGTTAAAGAGGATGGTCAAGTTTATTCTCCTTAAATAGTAAATTAAAACTGTTTTAGAAATATTTTACTATTTTGATTCCAAATATCCCAAGAAATATAGAATGAAATACATAAAATATGTTACTCTGCTTTCACATTTATTACCTAGCAATGGTAAAATGGCAGTATATAAATGTATGACAAATTGATAAAGAAATCTGGTAACTAAATCAGCTTCCTGCATTTCAAATATCTGTGCAAAAGAGCCAGATGGTGAACTGAAAATCTGCATGAGTGCTGACTTTTAATGAAAACACTTACATGCTCTTCATGGCCACAATTAGTATAGCTTCTCTGCTTTCCTCCCTTGATGTTAGGATCTTGTTAGACTGACCTCTTATGTCAATAAAACCAGCTTCAAGTTCACATGCAAACACATTCATAGCAAGCAACCTCCCCTGTTAGTTAGAAAGGTTAATCAAGGTAAAGCCCTTGGTAGATGCAGGATATTCATTTCTAAATTGAAAAGTCCTCTTGATATTAAAGTTTGAAGGGAAAAATATTTGCTAACCCTATAAAATTGAATTACCATCAAGCAAGGGAAGTGGTTCTGCATATTTCATACATGAAAAGGAAATATTTGGTATTCATTCAATTTTTTCACTTATAAGTCCTGTCTCAGAGACATTGCACATATATGAAAAGGAAAAAAAAGCATTAAATTAATGCAATACCATTCCAATAGTTTGGCTCATTTTTTTTCCTGGAGCCCTTTTTTTTTTTTTTTTTTTTTTACTGCTGTGAAAAAAATAAGAATATGTAGGACATAGAACAGCAGTTCTCAGACATTTTATGCTTCATGAAAACCTCATCTGAACAGCTGTTGTTCAGGGCTGCTAAAGAGAAATGGACATCTGTTATACAGACATCTTGCTTTTACTAATATTAGTTTTCTTAAAATTGTAAGTAACATGGATTGGAATATCCATCTGTCCATGTTCTTGGTGTAAATACAAGCATTTTAGCTTTGAGACTTTCCTTCCTCAATATTTACTTTCAGAAATTCAAAATGAGAAAGAGCTGAAAAGATAGCAGTAGTTCTACTATAACACAGAGAAAATGAAGGGAATTTTTTTCCTTTCCCCTGAAGGTTTGAGTCCCTTGAAATAAACTGACAATAGAGTAACAGTAGAAGAGGCATACAAATTTATTAATGTGCAAAAAAGCACGGGAGCCATACAAAATACGAGACTCAAAGAAGAACCGGAGAGTTGAGTCTTAAATTCTCTATTCACAGGAGAGAGGGAAAGTGGGGATGTAGGCAATTTTGAAGGGAGGTAAATGATTTTCAGAGGAATTTAATGGGCCCAAAGAACAGACGGTAGCTTGTGACAAAGTCTGCCTAGGTGTGATGACATTCCTCAGTCTTTCTTCCTGCTATATAAACTTAATCATCTCCGGTTAATAAAATTTCAGGGAGGCAGTTGAAGGCAACTGTGTTCCTTATGGAGGAGCTTCAGATAGGAGAACTTCAGAAAGAGTTCCACCTGGCACTTAGGGGAAGAAACAGGAAGAGGTCAGAAAAGTTCTTGGTTCTGAAGCTGTTTCTAAACCCTTTTAATTTCCTTTAGTTTAAAGTGCTCAGCATGCTAAAGTGTCACATGCTCAGGTACCGTTTTCTGAGCCCCAACAAAGGAAACTTGTATTTAATATGGAAGATAATAATTCCACTGATAATGACTTTGAAAATTATCAACTCTCCTCTCATTTCTAGGGCATGAAGGATCTTATAAATGTTAAGCACCTTCAGTATAACCCTGTCTCTAACACGATTTTCAGACATATTGCACGTGTCTTTTGATATCTGCCCTATCCAGACAATGCTGGCTAATGTGGTCTATCCTAAGAAATATTTTGAAGAGGAAATTTAGCTTGATCTTTTAAAAAAAAAGTGTTGGATGTTGACGAGTAGAGAAGAAGAAGCGTGATAATTTTAAATGGAGGATACAGATGAGGGGAAAAGAAAAGGAGTAGGTACTGTGCGCCATATGAACCCAGATAATATGGCCTTTAAGACCATGGTCTCTGCAGTCAACCAAACTGGCTAGAGCACAGCTTCTCTCCCTACTAGCAAATGACTTGAGACAGATTTCCAGATCTCTCTGCTCCTTAGTTGGATCATCTATAAAATGGGGATAATAATAGTACTTACCTCTACAAGTTGTTATGCAAATTACATTAGTACGTGTAAAGAGCTCAGAACAATTCCTCCAAATCATGAGTACTCAATAAACTATTATTATCATCATCATTATCATTATTGGCACACAAGATATGTTTATTGAATAAATAATTCAAGAATGTGTCAATTAATGATAGTAAAGAGATAGTAAGGAGACAAGCCAAGACTGAGTAGAGGTAGTGAGAACTATACTTGGAAAGATCCTTCCAGAATTTACATTTTCTTGTTTTGAGCTCTCTCTTTGTATTTAGGCTCTGTGAAGCCAAAGAAGACTTAGGTTCAACTATAGGGTGATTAAGAGCAAGGCCTCTGGATTGGGATTGACTTGCATTTACATTCTAATTCTAGCCCATACTATTGCTTGACCTTGGAAATTTGTTTAGACTTCAGCTTTCTCAACCATAAAATCAAGAAAATAATAGCATCTACTTCAAAGTCTTGTTGCAAAATTTAAAAAGTCTTGTATAGCTTTTTACCACAATAAGTGAATCAGTAAGTATTTAGTAAATAGTGACTTTATATTATTTTTACTATCATTTCTCCCCTTTTCCCTGAGAGCAACATTTTCTGTATAAGTAAAGTACATAATTGGATGTGTATATAGGTCTGGGGTTGGGTTGGGTCCTAGGGTGGTAGTGCCTTCTGGGCAGAAAACTACATTTAAGCAGAAATGAAATTATAAAATTCAGAACAATGATGCAATTATATGAAAGGAAAGAACTGGAGAGGTAAAAGATCTGTTAAAGGGTGAATCAGTCAGTCCTCTGGGATGCTGCCTGATTAACTATAAGGAGTAAAGGCAAAGAAGTATGTGGATTCCAATTAGCAGCAATGCAAGGCACCACTGACTCAATTACTAGTCAATATTGACCTCAAATATCTAGAAGATCTGCACAATAACTTAAAAAGAGCTTTCCTATATACCACTTCATATAGTTTTCATAACATTTTTATAATGTGTATTTTATTATAATGTTTCTTCTTTAATAGGTACGGGAAAAAATTTTCCCAGAGAGGAAGAAAACACTCCCAATGTAACCAGTAAGTGGTACAATCAGATCTCTCAATCTGGTTTCTAATTTGAAATTCCATGGTCTTTCTATGATATTATTGCCTATCTGGAAATTAGGTTGTCTCTCAGGCCTTGTCTGTATAAATCAATTATGATGAAACAGTTGATAGGTTTTCCAATATTGAAAATTGAATTTGACCAATTGATTTTTTCAGACATTCCTGTCTGATTCAGTAGGAGTGTGAATCCCTTAGGGTCAGTTCAGGTTCATTCATGGAAAAAACCCAGAGATTATTCTTAGTCCCCAGGCAACCTTCAGTGTGCAGACAAACTGAAGGTTGTTTGGTTGTTAGATTGAAAGTGGTCAATTTGGTTGATCTTCATCCAATACTGAATCAAGTGAGAAGCAGACTATGATGAGAATGTTGTCTGGCATAGTGATTCTCAAAGCATGGTCCCCAGACTAGCAGCAACAGCATTCCCTAGTAAAACATTAGACATGCAAATCCTCAAACCTGAGTACAGACATAATGAGTCAAAAACTCCTGAGGTAGGGTTCAGCCATCTGTTTTTTAACAAACCTTTTAGGTGATTCTGATGCATATTAAGTAAGAGAACCACTGATACAGAAAAAATGCCTTATGAAAGCATTAATTTCGTAGCATAAGGCATGCTGTATTCAGCTTGGCATTCAGATTTCCCAAAATATTATAGTTGTCTAATAAATGTTTAGTAAATCAATGAATGCAAAACCAGACGTGGTAGGCAATAGCACTATCTGTAGATTTAAAACATCTTTATACATCTTTATTTTCATATTTTCTGTACAGTTTTCCTTTTATTCCTTGAGACATGTTTTAAATATTTATTGGCTGGTTGCTAATGTGTTGCCTGTAAAAATCAACTGGCACAATTATATAGTGAGTGTGGGTCAAGGAGAGCAAAGATTATCTCGACGTGGTGTCTTAGAAAACATAAAAATAATTGATGATCTGTTAAAGTAACACTTCACATGTTAAAACAGAAAGTTATTTATTAATAGGAAATTTACATATTTATATATTTTTATGTAGTATTGGTGATCTGTAGTTACTGTATATACTTCAAGGAAGGCCCTGAAAGAGATTAAGACAATACGAGCAAATTACAGTGCTTAAATTCCAACAGCAAGCACCTGAAGAAGTTCCCCAAATGATTTACACCTCCCTCTACTTAAGGCTTTGGTAGTCTCCTCCCACAGGCAATTTGGTCTGACCCTGTGTAAAATACTTAGAAGACGCTGCTTGGTTTTTGAAGCTCTGTCACAGGTAGCCTTGCAGCTTCTGTCTTGCTTTCTTGAAATACACATCCAGGGGTGGAGGTGGGGAAATAGCCACCATATAAATAGTCCTACTCTCTTGAGACTGCCATCCTGTGAGGAAGCCCAAGCTAGCCATGTGGAGAGGTCGTGTGGACAGAGTGTTGCAATAGCTGGCCCAGCTGAGTCATCAGCCATTTGAGTGAAGCATCTGTCTTAGACATCCAGCTCAGCTCAGCCTTCTGATCACTCACCTCAGCCACCAGTTAACAGCAATCCCAAAAAAGACTCTAAAAGTGGGAAAAGTGCAGATGAGCCCAGTTAACCCACAGAACTATGAAAGATAATAATAAATTGCAGTTCTAAGCTGCTAAGTTTTGAAGTGGCCTTTTACACAAAAACAGATAAAAGAAACATTAATGTTTAAACAATCTTTAGGTTAATAATCACAGAAATAAAATATATACATGAGTGAATATTAATCTGATTTTGCTATTGCTGATTATTTCTATCATTTTATTTCAAAGTTACACAAATTTTGATTTAATACTTAAATGTGATAGAAGTATCCTCCAAATTCTGCCCTTTTCTACTGATGTGATTTGATCAACAGAAACCTGGAAAAAGCTGAATTTTAGGCCAGGCACGGTGGCTCATGCCTGTAATCCCAGCATTCTGGGAGGCTGAAGCGGGTGTGTTACCTAAGGTCAGGAGTTCAAAACCAGCCTGACCAACATGGAGAAACCTCGTTTCTACTGAAGATGCAAAAATTAGCCGAGCACGTGGTGGCGGGCACCTATAATCCTAGCTACTCGGGAGACTGAGGCAGGAGAATTGCTTGAACCCAGGAGGTGGAGGTTGCAGTGAACCAAGATCATGCAATTGCACTCCAGCCTGGGCAACAAGAGTGAAACTTCATCTCAAAAAAAAAAAAAAAAAAAAAGCTGAATTTTATACCTGACCATTGTAGCTGTTTTGTGTACACAATATCACTTATCAAATTACTCTCTGTTGAGCTCTGAGCCATAAGAGAGGAGGAAAAGATAAGAACAGCACAGCAAGTAACAAAGCTTAGAATATAAATGAGAATGGTTGAAAGGCAACTCTAAAGGGTATGCTTCGGGAGGTTAATATGCTTAATAAGATGTAAGCACATTTGTATTTTTATTCATATCACTGTGCTTTGTACATTGATAAATAGTGGATAAAGAGGAAGTACTCCTCTTTAATTATTTGCTATTAAACATATTCAGCCACTGCGTTTTTCAACTGTACCTTGTTGTTAAAGAGGAACTATGCGAAGAAAGCTGATAATGTATAGTCTTGTTTTGTACATTAGAATATAAATCACAGCAAGAAACCAGATTGCTGCTAGAATATTATTAGCATGGCCCTTTCAATACACATAAATGGATTCATCCCTTACAAATAGGTAAATACCCAAAATCTAATTCTGTATCATACTTTTTAAGTAGTTTGATTATTTTGATCATCATGAAACAGAGTTAGATTAATAATATAATTAGTACTTGGAATTCACTATTAATAAGCTGCTTGATTTACTATCTTCTAGGATTTTCATTAACAAAAGACATTTATCCCAGCTCAAAGAACACTATTTTTCTAGACCAATGGGTGTATGTTTATCCTCCAATTATCTCCTGACAACTTCATCCCACAGAACCAATGTGACATAATTGAATGAGCTATGGACTGCAAGTCAGCAAGCATCAATTATTTAACCAATACTGTCAAGCTGTCATGAAATAGCAGGCCCATGTTAGATTCTGGCGTGCACAGTCCCTCTTCATGTGGATTTTAACATCTACTATGTTCTGTTTCTGACCTTGTCATAAGGTAGAATTGTGAACGAGAAGTCGTGTGACATTAAACACATTAGTTAATGACTCTGACTTTGGATTGTCATCTATGAAATGAGGCTGAGGAGGTGACTACCAATATGTCATTATTCCAACATCTTGAGGCTAATTACTTAAGTTCTGAGCAAACCACATTTTCATCAAAATACAGTGCTTCATGATTCCATGAAAGAAAAAATAATAATAAGACTCTTTTTATCTGAATAATAAAAGTTTACTAAATTTTAAATCCTACTTCTGTCTTAAATACATTTTACTTTTCTTCTGTTTTAAAAATTGTATTGCCTAAAAATCTCCCTGGATGCTCCACTGGTTTATGCCTTTCAAAAGCTTTGCACTGAGTGCCCACAGCTAAAGTAAACTAGAAGAGCCATGTGTACTTCTAGTGTTCAAAATTATCTGTAGGAGACAATTTTCTTTTAAATATGGAATAGAGTGGTAAATATACTTGATAACTATTTTGGAAACACTAACCAGGAACACCCAATATGACCTGGCTGGCAATCAGGGAAGGCCAAGTGCTTCTCTTATGTAATGAGCTATTTCTCTAAAAAACACTATTGGAATATTGTATGAGACTAGTCTTCATTGTGTTAGGGTGTCTCATGGATTGAAGGCCATTTAGCACCTCCTGTCTAATATCCAATAAATGGCAGTAGTCATCCCCAGCCCTGTGATAATCAAAAATATTCTCAAATATTTCCACATATTCCCAGGAAGGGGATGATACCACTGGGTTCAGAGTTTTATAACCTTGCATCTGTCAAGATGGTTTAGACAAGTCTAGAGGATAAATGAGTATCTACTTGAAAATAACAGGAGAGAAAATGCAATGAATGAATTCAGCAGTCCTCTGTTGTTCACTTGGTCTGTAGCAACAAGATGTGCCTTATCTTAATTTCCAATTCTTTGGCAATATTTTTTTTTTAAAGATCTGGCTAAAATATTGATGAAATATTTTCTTAAACCTCTTCTTTAAAATTCAAGAGGGAACACTTTGTTCAACAAAATAAAGTGGAGAGGAGAAATCATGATATACTCAACACTATAACATTGTCTTCTAACCGACCAATGCAAAAGACAAATTCAAATTGATGTCATAACCTATAATCCCTTTTATGGACTGGGAAAGTCCAAGTGAGGAAAACTTGGAGGTTATATCTTAGCTAGCAACAGTATCTTAAAGGTTTGTTTTCTTTAAGTCCTTTATCTAATAAATTTGAGAGCCCAGAGGATTTAATAACCTGATATAATCAAACTTAAAAAAAAAAGGAAAACTATTAACTCTTTTTAACAGGTAACTCTGTTTGCCACTGGCGGTTACAGCTGTCTTTGCACATAATGTCACAGGATCGTTGGGGTGTTGTTTTCCGGCTGGAAACCTCTGTGGCTGGTGGTGCCTTTGCCCAAGTTTCGGTCAGGCCCACTGAGCTCATTCTGTCCACTTGGCCTGGCAGGCTGCACTTGGCTCGTGCTACTGACCTGAGTCCCATGCCTGCCAAGGGCGAGCCAGGCGCAGAGCAGTGAGGAGTATGTGAGTGAGCAAGTGTGGGGTCCAGCCACTGCACACAGCCAGGCTTGCTGGCTGTGGTGGGGCAGGCAGCTCCAAGTACCGGCACAGGCGCTGGCTCCCTGCAAGGCTGCAGCTGGACCAGGCATACTGCAAGCAGCTTCCATGACTGGCATCAGGGAACACGGTGGCACTGGAAGCTTGGAATCACCAGAACCAGAGATCCCCAAAGACGGTGTCACAACCCTGGCTTGGGGAGCTCCTAGGTCTGGGCTTCCTGAAGGGCAACTCTTTTCTCCTTCTAGCCCAGAATGTGGCAAGCAAAGGGCATGTTTCAGCTCTGTTTGTGTTGCAGCACTTTCAGACCCATCATTCTATGGGTCCCAAGTTGTTGCCCTGCATCCAGGAAGAAGGAAGTACACAGACAAGTGGAGGTGGAGCTAGGTGAAGAGGTGCTTTCTTGAGCAGTGGAACAGCTCAGAAGAGACCTGCAGTGGGTAGCTCCTCTCCACAGACAGGTTGTCCCATTATCTGCCCATCTCTCAGCAAAGAGAGACCCACAGTGGACAGCTCCTCTCTGCAGGCAGGTCATCCCCTCATCTGCCCCAGTCTGGCTGAGTCTGGGATTTTTATGGGCTTCAGAGGGTAGGAAGTGCATGCTGATTGGTCCATGGGTGGCCACGGGTAGGCCCATGAAGAATACCATAAGTTCTCACTCCTGTCGGTGGAACTGGCAGCCTGGTCTGCAGGCCTCAGGCTGTCCCTGGCCTGAAGATTGGGTTTCACTTGGGATCCACCTTTTTCTGCCCAGGAGCCTGTCTGCCTCCTGCTGCCATTAACCTGCCATCCACAGTGCCTGCAGTGCCAGGCTGTTCATGCCCAGGCATGCCTATAGGCCAAGATGAGCCACCCTTAGCTTCCCCTCAGCCTCCCTCCCATGCTCATCACCCCCCACTCCTCAGGCTCCTTGGCACCCAAAGTCCAGAGGGGGCTGAGGCAGCAGGGGTTTGGTGTGTCAGTCCTGCCCTGAGCGTGCACACACAGCCGGGTCATGACAACAACCAGGCTGAAATTGGAGTTCGCGCCAAGAGTCGGGAGAGGCCAGGTGGCAGGAGCAAGTACGTCCAAGCCTGCAAGGTCAGGGGTGCTTCCCGGGCCCTCGAGATTGCAGAGATGCCCAGGTCCGCAGCCCCAGCTGGGTGGCTGCAGCCGCTCCCTGGAGGGAGAGAATCCCGCCCCTCCAACTTGGAGGGGAACGGGGCTTCCGCCTGTTCCAAGCTCCCCCAGCTCTCTGGAACATACAGCCCCAGCTGCCCTTCCCCCACTGCAGCTGGCATCATGGCAGCAGCACTCCAGACAGGCCGTGGCTGCCATCATTAATACATAGAACTACTAATTATTCACCGACAGAGTGGCAATTAAAGTTTATCCCAGCATGAAACTACTGGAAAGCAATAAGCCTGTTCTCTTATGCTGACCCACTTAAAAAGATTTAAATTGTATCTAGTTTAAATGTTACTAAGTCAATGAAAATTATGTGTTGGGCAGCACTATACTACAGATTGCAAGTTCTATGTGCATTAAATTGCTGTGAAATATCAATGAAGCCTCTCGTGCATTTATATTCCAGCCTAAAACTGTGTTGGTTTTAACCTAGCCATGCCGGCTCAATTTCTTACACAGGAAGCCTCATTAAGGGACACACTAGGGTAGCTCCTCATTCTTCTGTCTACATGGAAACATCTATCAACCAGTTCTAAATAGTGCTTCACAGAAAGTATTAAACCATTTCTAGACATTGTCCACATGCTGGATGCCAGACAACTCAGTATTTGAGAATAATAATGTTTCTGTACAAAAAAGAAAATGAATTTTTTTCTTTATCTTTTACTGTTACTCTGGTTGTTGCCTTCATTTTCCTTGAGTTGCTTCATTAAGGTGTCATTTCACAACTGTAGGCTTATTTGCTCATGAAAATACATGCAGGTGTACACATGCACACACACACATACACACACATACACACACACACACACACACACACACATTTTGTCCCACAAATTATATGAAAAGCACCAAGAATGTTTACTCAAGGCATAAATTATTAAGATCTCAGAAATTTTTCCTTATTAAATTTTTATCTTGTTGATTTAATCACACACATTTAATCACCATAACAATGATATGATTGCATTTAGGAAAATCTCACAATAAGCACAAAAAAATGAAACAGTAGTCTCTAGTAATATTTTCAATCAACTACAAAATTGAATATGAAAATAATATAGACTATGCAAGCCGAGGAAATCAAGAAAGAAGGCATTTAATACTTGCTCACATCAATATAGAACTAGTCCAATAACAGCCACCAATGTTTTCAGTAATCCAGCTTGTAAATGTCTTTAGCAAAGTAACCTATTCTTCTGCCCCAGGAGATTATCTCATAATCCAATCAATAGTAAGACGGTTTTCACTAACTACCTTAGTCTATTTCCTGGTACTAGATAATAATGTTTCCCTTGTTGATTTTTAAAGCTTTCATGTATCTGTAAATAGTTTTCTTACAATTTCTCAGATGCTATTTAGCCCAATAAAAATCATCTATCTATCTATTTATATGCTTATATTATATAATGCTGGTCAAACACACACACATCCACACATATATGCACACACTCGCCCTTTGTGGAAAAGAGACTCAAATCAAATCAGTTTTCCTTACTTGCCAATTAGAGTTAGTTTTAACACCAATTAAGTTTGCAACATTATTCATGGTTAGGAATATGCAGGGAAAAACATTTTTTCTCTCAAGAATTTTTCCATTTAAGATGTACAGTTAAGATAACCGTAGCCTCACATGTGGAAAACTGAGAGTGAAATAGGGAGTGGAATTCTGTCATCTCTACTTCCAAGGCCAATAATTGTACAAAAATTGTACATTTGGTAAGACAGATAATCTTTTAAATACATGTTATACCATGACTTAATAGAATAAAATAAAAACAATTCTGTTCCTTGCAACCTCTGTATAACTGCATTTACTTAAATCAAAATTAGATTAAAAAGCAATTGGACTCCATAGTTTCCACTGGCCATACCAAATTTGTTCTAATTTTTATGCACAAGAATATGTTAATTTGTCTGCCGGACTCAACCAACATGTTAAGCAATGTTCTGAAAATAATAGAGCTAATTCTGAAGTAAGCACCATGTCTGTGGTGTCACCTACTCATGAAGATAAGCCCTTTAACTAGGATGCTTGTTGAGCTATCTTCCTAACATAAAACCAAGCTCTATGTCCCCTTTTAATTATCTTAGTATTACTGAGACCTAATTAATAGAAAGAACTCCAAAATGTCCTCTGCTGAATGATCTAGGCAATGGATCCAAGGGTCTCAATGCTAATTTCTGAAGTATGCACAAGGATGTTCATTTGGAGGACAAAGGCAAATGCTGGGGAATGCAAACACATAAATGGAAGTTTAGGAATCACATGTGCTGGACTCATACTTCTGGGAGATTTGCCAATTCAGCGTTTCAACAAAAATAAACTGAATGCCTACTATGTGCCCAGTGCTGAAACCATAGCAGTCAACACATAGGCCAGGTACCTGTCATATGAACCTCATATCCCATACAGAGCTGTCACCTATACCCTTAACAATGGATTTCAAAATGCCAGGAAACTGACTATGGAATTCTAAATAGGATTCACTTTTCACCTGATGGTATTTATTATATAGGGAATAAGAACCACCACAATAGGCTGTGGCCATGCTGCTAACATGAATTCTAGAAGCTGGAGAGAGTTTGCAGTGCTCTCAATTCTGAAGTTCAACCTTTAGGCTTTTGTAGACTCCATGCCTTGAAAATGGTCATGGATCCCCTATCATTTCTTCCCCAAACTATTTCTTCTCCTCTCTGCTGGCCGTGAATCTGCATTTCTTGTTACTCTGATTAATAACTGACTAACATCTTGGGTTTCTAAATTACCTGAATTGATAGGAGGCTCTATTTGCTATCACCTTGCGTACCACCAGGCAAATAACACACAGCACTAAAAATAACACCCTTCAAAGTCATTGAATAAGTCAGGGAAAATATTTATTTCCTCTTCTTTCTCTTACCTATCCTCTTGCTTCCTCTTTTTTTCCCATTCTCCTTCTTTCTCTTCTTCCTCCACTCATCTCTCTTGTAGTCTTTACCTCCTTCTCCTCCTCCTGTAACTCCTCTTATTTGTTTTATTCTCTATCCCTATTTATTTATTGATTTAAAAGACACTCCCTGTCCCTTTGCCTCTTCAATGGGCCCTCTATTTATTCCTATTAACAAACTCATTATTTCATATCTGTTCCAGGCTCCCCCAGCTCTTTGGAACATACAGCCCCAGCTGCACCTCCCCCACTGCAGCTGGCATCATGGCAGCAGCCACTCCAGAAGGCCACGGCTGCCATCATTAATACATAGAACTACTAATTATTCACAAACAAGACATAGAACATTATATCAGAAAAGTTTCTGTCTACTTTCAATTTCCAGTTTCCAGAAGCTTAATGTGTTTAAAAAAACAAACCAGGAACAAAAGAAAACTCCAAAGGAAGCCTAAGTCATACAAATATCCATTTCAATGGGTATTACCACTTCTGTTTAAATAAATGAGAAGAAAGCCCCACTATTTACATAATTAAGGTCTGCCTGGCAACCCAAAAACTTCTTGAGTCCACAACTTGCAAGTTGGAAAATCTGGGGATAAACTACATGTATGCTCCAATGGCAAAATCCTCGGTGGAGCTCTGTTTCCTTAAAATTTTTTTTTTTTTTTTTGTTAAACTGAGAAAAGCAGACACATATTATTAGAGCATATTTAATCCTATTACCAGGGCTTACTCAGCCACAAGGAGAAATTCTACTATTTTTTTTTAAGTGCCATTACCCTATTCAGAGTGCTCACCACCCTGACACAATTAATGCAATGTATTTTTAATTGTGTAGCAGGTCAAAGTGATAGCATCCAAAGCTCTGGGTTTTCACATTCAGTGTCAGAAATTCTTGCTGCCACAGGAATATCTTTCAGTTGGTTCAGACTCATATAAGCAGTGACACCCAGTGGATGGAAACATCTCATCTCAAGCAAGAACCTCTCGGCTCTCTGCCCTCCACCCCCATCTCCTCTCTCCAGGGAAAGATTTTTGTAAGTGCTTTGTTTCTCTGACCTTACAATTCTCCACAGGAAAGGAATTTATCAGATTGCCTAATGCCAGCCAGCTTTTCTTTAAAATTTACTCAAATTAAAAAGACTCAGACCTTTCCCTTGCACTGAAGACATTTAAACCTATCAAAATTTGTTCAACTAATCGGATATTTGGATTCTAGAAATAAAAGCAGATTTACAAGTATAAGGATAAAAGAGGAAGTTGCTCAATTAATTTCCTACATTTTGCAGTTAAAAAAATGTAATTGCTAGCAGAAATCATGGCTTTATTATTTATTCATTGCAAATCATTTAGAGCATATTAAACTAAATTTGTGAGGAAAAAGTAATATAAACTGTGGACTGAAACCATCTTCATTCCAAATGATGGCTATCAATAAAGACATATCCACTCTAATGCAACCATTTTATTAAGATTAACTGTTTCAGCTGCTCTCACAATATGGAATAAATGGCTTCCTCTGATTTGAAGATAATACAAAATGTAAATCTTTTTAAAAAGCTCTAACATATAGCTTTTTATTCCATAAACTCTTCTGAGCAATCATTTTTAATAAAATTCCTTCAAAGGCAAAGATGGGGTCTTATTTTATTTTGTTTGCAAGACAAATTATTTTTTTTCCTTCTGTGTAATTAGTTCCAAAGGAGGTATTAATTCACCTTTATGTAGATCTTTGTCTAGAATCAAGTGTTAGCATAGGTTCTCTTAGTTACTGAAATACAAGTCAAGGAAGCACCTACAGAAAAACATTGATGGTGGGGTAGAGGTTAACATAACTTTTCCTTACTTTGTCAAAATCACTACCTACTCTGGTGTCTCTGGTTTTCAAAGTGGGTCTCTGGCATGGATGTGCATATTTCTTGCATGAAGAATTGAGGGGATTTGGGAAGCAACGAAACCATTACTTGAGTATTATTAAAGTGGCCAACAGCAAAGTTAGGAAAAGGCAGCAAGCTCTTTGAAATAAAATTACCTTGACGAAATGAGAGTTTGTGCTGGTAATCTAAGCTCAGGAAAAGGAATGTATTTGATTAAAGATAGTTGATTTAGTTTGCCATAGTTTATCCATATTTCTCAAAGCTCATAGATGCCTAGATACCATGACATGGAGATTGACTGAGAAGGAGAGTATGAAATAATATGTTTCAACATGACGCCTAACATGGAATGACATTCCCCAGCAGGAGTGCGTCCATTGGATTCTGCAGGACAGTTACTAAATAGTGCTACCACATGGTAGTAAGAAGGGACAGAATTTATGGTCTGTTAGGACTTCTCTGACCCAGGGCCCTCCAAAGGCTATATTCTTCCCAAGGCACCAACATCTAAAGGTTTGCCTTTCGTCTATTCCTTGGGAAAGTAAAATGCAGGTCTGCTGGCTAAGTGCTAGAACAGCAGTAGAGAGGCATCTCCAACTTAGTTCATATGAACTATGGTCATGCCTGTGCAATTGGAAGAGTACACTCTCTCCCACTCACTAGAACAGTTGTCTTGGCCCTTTCTTTGTGCTGTGGTTTGAATGTGTCTACCAAATTTCACGTGTTGGAAACTTCATCCCCACATTTTTATGTTGGTGGCATTTGGAGATGAGGCATTGGGACATAATTAGAATTAGGTAGTCATCTGGGTAGAGCTCCATGACGAGAAGTGGGTTCATAAGAAGAGGAAGAGAGATGTGCGTTGACACACTCTTGCCCTCTTCCCATGTGATAGGCTCCATCATGTTATGACACAGCAAGAATGCCATCACCAGATGCTGGAGCCATGATCCTGGACTTCCCAGAACGATGAGATAAATAAGCCTCTATTCTTTATAAATTGCCCAGTCCGTGGTATTTAATGATAACAACAGAAAATAACTAAGACACCTTGCTTCAGTCCCCTCCTGAGTTTGCTTTTCTCACCCACTCACAGCTCCGGCACATTCAGTTCCACCCGCTAACTCCCATTCCTCTTTGAATATGACTGGTTGCCTTACTTGAAAGAGCATATGTGTGTACACAGCCCCTAAGGTCCAAAAAAGCTCTCCTAGGCCATGCTACCCAGATTCCACTATAATCTAGTCACTTAATACAATTTTTCTTATCACTTGAGGAAGGAACACTTTCCCTAATGCCCACGAAGGAACAAGGATTCTGATAGCTTAAGACTTAAATAACCTAGTGATAAAGGAAGGCAGTGGAAAAGCAAAAAAAAAATAAAAAAATAAAAAAAAAAAGGCAAAGAGACAGAAGGAATGAAACATGAAACATGAGTAACGTGAGGTCTGTGATATCCATGTCACTGTAAGGAGATAAAGTTTATTCATTCTTAATACTGTACAGTATTTTATTGTATGGCTATACCACTGATTATTCAACCATTTTGCTAATGATCAAAGATTATATTTTAATATCAGTAGTTACTTGTATAAAAGATTGTTGTCTATGAATTTAATTTTAGAATAGATTTACATGAATAAATAATTACTGTCATATTCACATTGGTCCTTAATAAGATTAATTCTTAATAGGCTATGTCCAGGAGGAGAAGTTGAGCAAAAACCTTCTTGTCCCAACACAAACACAGACACACACACACAGGTTGAGTGAAAGAAAAGGGGCAGATTGTGTCTGTAAGTTGAATGAACAGTATGAGAAAGGAAGTAAAGTTACCAAGCTATGCTTGAAACCGACTGAGTTAAGACTATGTTGAGAAAAAAGATTTATGACTGACACCACTGTTTTCCAAACCTTACGTATAGAGGTCAATAAGACTCTTATGAAACTCATGGGCTTATTATGGAATAATTTTTATTTATGAATAATAAATAATTTATTATTTTCAGTTTTAAAAACTTTCTTAAATCTATAGAAGAAATGCAGAATTTGGTTTGGTTGTTTATGCATAGACACACACAAACACATATGTGCACAGGCTGAAAAGCAAATGGTTTATAAGACCTGCCTATAGAGGTCCCACAAATGATTGAGTCAGACAGCTACCCCTTTTCTTTATTTAATTGAAAATAAGGTGTATTTTGCAAAATAGAACATACAATTTACCCACAGGAAGTGTGAATTTATGCAGGTTTCCTATATGAAAGTGTGCCTTGCACTGATCTAAGATAGAGGTCTAATGCCAGTTTAAACCTGATGATATACTCTCTCCCATAGTGCCATAGCAATAATGTTTCTGATAATGAGTTCCTGTGGACTGGCCATTTTCTGTTTCACTACACTCATACACAACTCAGGTTCTGGCTCAGTCTCATACATGTAACCAGACTTAGTAAGCTCAGGGGACCTAGCTATCCAAGGCAAAGTTGAAAATTTCCTTATCTCCCACATTGTTACAATGAATCTGGCTTTAATATGTGTCCCAGTCCTATCAAATTTGACTGTCTACAAAGCTTGAAATGATCACAATTTACCAATTATCCATCTCCTTTTTTTTGTCTGCATGTGTGTGTGTGTGTGTGTGTGTGTGTGTGTGTGTGTCATATATTCATAACAACAAAAATTGTATCATTATAGAATCAGGTATTACCCTGTCCAAGAATAAAATCAAATGTTACTCTCTCTTACCTTATTTTTCTAATAATTTATGACTGAATGAAAATGAGACTTAGACACTGTCAATGTAGACTCCTCCCAGCATATTATTACTAAATAAGTCTTTCTGTATACAAGGAAAGGACTTAACGGTTTTTTAAATAATATAATGCATTCTTAACTAAGTTGCTTTTGGCCACAGTGATTATTCTGCCCTCTTTTGGAGAGAACTTAATTGGAAGTAAGATTATGAACCAAATCACTTCTTCATATTTACCTGTTTCAGCCAAAACATTGCCCCAATTCTTCAATTACTTTAACATGGGTTGATAGTATTATAGAAAAATATGCTGATGCAAATTTATAGAACTAAATGAATGAAGGAAGAAGCTGAATATGAAAATAGGGAATTTTTCCTGTTCTCTTTAAACTTAATGGAAGAGAGGAGAAACCACTATTCTTTTCAATGACGCCAATCAAATGATTTCATTTCTATTAGAGCACTGTCGAGCTTGTCTAAATCTGGGCACTCAACTCAGAGTCTGGAAGCGGGATGTTGTTATTGTGGAATTAGTCTCTGAGGACTACATGCTTTCACATATTTCACTAGTCCCCATGGCAAACCTTGTGTGTGAGCCGCCTAGTATTATTTATTAACTAATGAGGACTTTTCTATTCATTCTTTCCAAACTCGGACATTTACTCAGAGATCTCATATTATGACCAGGAAATGAATACAAAATTAAGTAGACTTCAAGCTATTATTAATTCAAGCTATATAACATTTTTCTTAGTATCTCTGGATAATTGAAGCAATAGTATTTAAAAATCTTCTTTTGATCTTATGAATTATTTCCTCTTGTCTCCATTTCACTTGAAAATCATCAGTGCATCCCTGGGGAAAGCAGGATTATGACCTCTGCTTCTTGAAACTCAGCTGGTGCTCCTTACTACCATGATCCAAGAAGAAGTCTGCCAAAGAGTTGGGAAGCCATATTTCCTGTTTGGGTTTATGTTCTGAAGGCTGTGGCCACCCGTTAAAAAAAAAAAAAAATCGGTCACTAATTGTTCCGGTTACTATTGCTACATCACAAAATTAACTCGAAATTGAGTGTCTCAAATTAATATTTTTATTATTCTCACAAAGTCTATGTTCTGAAAAAAATTTAGACAGAAAACTGCAGAAACGACTTGTCCCTAATCCACGGTATCAAAAGGTATATGGGAAAATTTGGAGGTTGTGGATGACTTAAAGGTTAGAAACTGAAGTCATCTGAAGGTTTCTTCACACACATGTATGGCACATGGGCTGGGAGACTTGGGCTACTGCCAAGAGCATTTACAAGAGTCTTCACCACGTGATTTGGGTTTCTCTTAGCATGGTGGCTTCGGAGTAGTTGGAATGTTTACATGGTAGCTCAGGTCTCCACTTGAAAATATTTAAGTGAAAAAGGGAAAAACTAGATTGCCTTTATGACCTCATCTCATAAGTCACTTCTATCTGCCAAAGTAGTCACAAGCCTACTCTGAATTATGTAAACCTGCCACAGTCATCTAAAGATAGTAGGAACTATCAGAGGCAGTTTCTTAATGAATTCATATGCATATAATATGCTCTTCCTACTAATATTTTCTGTAGAAGTTGCTACACATATCTTTACAAGACATCAACAGAAGCCAGACTACAATTAGTTTCAGGTTATGTCAGCTTATGACAACAACTATTTGAAAGCTTGAAAATGTATGCAACAGTTTTACTTGAGACCAAGAGACAGTTTGACCTACCTATTTCAGCAGAGCAGCAAGTTATTAGCTAAATTATTACAAGAGTCCATTCATTTATTTCGTATGTTCACAGATGAGGAAAAGTTAGCTTTCTTTATTTCAATCTGTAGTTTTCAACTTGCTTAGACTTACTTCTTCTGAAACAAATGGGAATTACCTAGGTTTACAGCCAAACATTTTTGAAAATCCCCAAGACTATATAATTATTACTCAACACATTCTTCTACTTGGGCATTTGAGTCAAGATTAGTTACCTGCTCAAAAAATAAAAAATAAAAAAGAGAGATAAAATAAAAGCTTGCATATTAAAATGTCTACTTCCCACTTAGGTGTCACTTAATACTTTATTATATTAATTTATACACCAGTGGCAATTAAAAAGTTATATACATATGAGAAAATCACAGGGAGCTTTCCTTAAATTCATGTGTTATTGAATCTAAATGAAGAGAACATTCCAGGTTTAATGGGTACTGTAATCCTTGAGGCCCCACTGTTTCTTAGGGCTCAGTGTAACCCCATAGCCTAGAATGATTAGGTTTCAGAGATAGATTTTTTCCAGTAATGCCAAACTGATAAACATCTGAAATTTCAACACAGCTGCTCTGAGTGGTTTCCTTATTCCTGTAATCACACTGAGAAATCAAAATTGGAATAAAATATTTGGAACACATTTTCTCTCCTATTTAATGGCCTGTTTGAGTATGTGTGGTGTGGTGATGGGTCCAAGGGAGGTGGAATAGGAGTCATGTTTTTTATTACTGTCACTATGTGTTTTTGTGCCTTAATGGAGGCTTTTCTGGTATTTGTCTTTAATTTTCTTTAGATTCGGATGGTTGAAATTTTCCCATGTATATCTTAGAAGGGGATTTATTTTGAAAGTCAAACTAGCTTTGTCCACTCAAGGAAAGTAAACAGTTGAAGCAATTATTCTGGTTATGTAGACCCCAAATCACTTTAATCTCCCTTTTAAAAATATTTCAGGTGTCTAATTCCATTTCAGCAACAATGAACTAATTTCAAAGATGAAAAAGACACTATTTTAACACTCAAATAGCTGCTTTCAGTGCCAACCTAGATAACTAACATACTCTTCCATTCTTTCTTCTGCAATCCTCTGGTATATGTCTGGGGTCCCATAACAGCCTCTCATTGCTACTATACAAGATTTCTCATGTTAAGGGGCAGACACCAGTGTTTCTAACAGCACATAAGATTCTGTTTATAAGATTGTGGATATGATAACTTCTTGGAGCTTTCCCTACCTGTAAAACAGCAATAAAACTAGTGCTTACTTCACAGGGCGTGAATGAAACCAAATGACACAATATGTGTGAACACAATTTGTAAACTGAAAGCGGCCATAAAAATGCCAATTAATTCAAAGTTCCAGGCCTAAAAATGACTGGCACACATTATATGTGAGTTTGTTTATAGGGCCACCGCAGGTGATGTCCATACAGGAAAAGCAGAATAATTGGTGAAATAGTTTCCGATGCATTCATTCATTCAGTATGTCATGAGAGAGAATAGCAAGGGAAATTTAGATTAGATTGGGGAGTGAGCTGAGATATGAAGGCTGTGTAAGTGTTAATACCCTGAAGATATGGAGAAGAGCGTGTGTGAATATTGTGAGCCTCAAAAAGCTTGGTGCACTTAATAGACTCAAGAAGAATCTGTTCTCCAGTGTAGCTGGAGTAGAATGAGAAGAGGAAGAGGGCTTCAGAGTGAAACCAAAAGTTATGCAAGGGATAGACCATTCAGGGTTTGGTAACCTGAGTTAGAAAAGCCTTGGAAAATCTTTGAAGGATTCAAGAAGAAACTATTGTGATAAAATTTACATATTTTAAAAATTGCTGAAAATGCTGCTCAGGGAATTGATTAGATGGACAAGACTATTATGACAGTCAGAAGAGGAAAAAGGTAGGCTTGGATTATGGTGGTAGCAATGAAAATGGAAAGATATGGCCCTAGACAGAACTAATAATGTGGGCTTGGTGATGAATTAAACATATAAGAGTGTGGGTGAGAAAAATAGCAAGGATCAGTCCTGATCTGTTCCTTCATGAAGCAAAGGGGAGAACTAGTGATATTTTCTAAGATGAAGGCTGGGGGAGGATCATATTCTGGATGGAATATCAGTAATTTAACTATGTTAACTTCAGTATGGTAATAATAGAAACAACAATAGATAATCTGCAGTTCACATGTATTAAATAACATATATTTAATGGTACCAGACATTGCACTATGTGTGCATGATTTAGGTAGTAAAATTACCTCCATTTTTCAGATGAGGAAACTGGTATTTATGAAGGTTAAGTAAAGTACACAAGGTCACATGCCCATAAATAATAGAACTGGGTTTTGAAGCCCCACAGTCTGACTCAAATCCATTTGCAGCACTATACTCTGACTTTCAGATTCACATCTCTACTGGAAGGTGCTGTCCAGTAGTTTGAAATGTGGGGCCTGAATTTAAATTTTGGTACGCATAATGCAGTGTGACCTTGGTTCAGGTAATTTCCTGTCTTAAGTCTCAATGGTCTCACCTCTGAAATGAAGGGAAAAGTACCTACAACCAAAGGGTTGTTATTAAAATTAAATGAGATAAAAACTTATTCCTCCTCATAGGAAATAATAAATTAATAAGCCATAAATATAATACATCTGTGCATTATATTTATGTACATATTCTATTTATGTATGTATAATTTTAATACTAATATATATTATATCTACATTAGAGTGAAATACTGTAAGTTTATTATCAAATAATCATCATATTAAAATTAAATGAGATAAAATGTTATTCCTCCTCATAGGAAATAATAAATTAATAAGCCATAAATATAATACATGCATGTAAGAGCCTTGTTGGTGTCCTGCCCAGATACACAAATTCATTTCATGGGCTAATAAAGATATATAACTTAAATGTTCTACGAAGGATTACCCTTAGCTTTGATTAAAGATTCCCGGGGGTTGCAAACCTCATCCTGGGCAGCCAGGTTATGGTGACTGGTGCAAGAATACAAAAGTTTCACCCCCTTGTCTCAAGGTATTAATAACTCGTCAGTGCCATTTAAACTCTAGAGTTCCCTGCAGGGTCATGTGAAATCTTTACTTAGCTTTTTCATGTTTCCAATTCTTTTTCATTTATTCTCACGTAAGTTTCTCCTGCAAACACTCTTATTATAAATCACCTACACAGTAAACATTGACCCAACCTCTGCTTCTAGGGAAGCCAAACAAAGGCAGCTGAAGCATGGAAAAAAAGACTGGAAAGATATTGAGGAAATCAGCATATTGATATTTTTTAAGCTACAAAGTTGGATAGGATAGCCTTAGGAAGTGTGTGAAGACAGAGGAAAATTAAACCAAGTTCAAACTTCTAATCCTTCCTAAATGTAGGTGTTGGGAGGAAAAAATGGAGGAGCTAAAGGAGACTGAGGAGGTAAGTCCAGAAAGTTAGGAAGCAATTCAGATAAGCAGGCACCATTAAATGCACATAAAATGCACAATCTAGAAGTAAACAGCTGGTCAAGGAGAATTCCAGACTTAGAGAGAATGGGAAGGAGTACAAGACTCCAAAGGAGAGAACTTAGCAAGAAGAGGTCAGCCTGCCACAACTGCATAGGAGCTGAAAACAGACTCAATAGATTAGAACAAAATGGTTTATTACATACAGCAGCAAACAGCAGAAACATCAACATGGTAGCATCAGTTCACCTGCCCCTAAGTCCCATGGGGAGATTCAGTGTGCACACAGAGCAGTCACACATGCAGCAGGTTGTAACTTGGATGAGGAACCCAAGGCCAAGGGCTCAGTACCTTTTTTACTAAGCAGTAAACAAGCCAGTAGACATACAAGCAACAAGCAGTAGATTTGTGCTAGTCATGCTGGGTGTATTAGTCTGTCCTCATGCTGCTCATAAAGACATACCCAAGACTGGGTAATTTATAAATGAAAGAGGTTTAACGGACTCACAGTTCCACATGGCTGGGGAGGCCTCACAATCATGGCTGAAGGCTAATGAGGAGCAAAGTCACATCTTACATGGCGGCAGGCAAGAGTGTGGGTGCAGGGGAATCCCCATTTATAAAACTAACAGCTCTCATGAGACTTATTCACTATCACAAGAACAGCACAGGAAAGACCCACTTCCATTATTCAATTACCTCCTACCAGGTCCCTCCCACGACATGTGGGAATTATGGGAGCTACAATTCAAGATGATATTTGGGTGGGGACACATCCAAACCATATTACTGGGGTCACTTTGACTTATTAAATTACCTGGGAGACTACCTATAGATATGGCTCAGGGTAGGAGAAAAGTTTGGCCTTGCAGTTTGGCAGACTCAGCAAGGATGTGTAGGGACATTGGAGACTTATGGAAGACAGTCTCTCTCTACAGCTTAAATCCCCTAGACTCTCAGTGATGACAACTGAGGTGGCAGCACCTTTCAGTGATTTATATCAAAAACTAATAACCAGTTGGATCTACCACCAAAGCGCTACAACAGAAAAAGCTATAATTATATACTTAAAATAACTGAGTAACATATATATACTCAGTTAATTTTAATAGTGGTAAAGATAATTATCAAATCGACAAATGCTAGGTGTCCCATTTTTAAATTTATAGTATTTTTGTTTTTATGTAAATGTAATGTTTATACCTCCCTCCTGTTATTGGCTCAAAATGCTTTCCAATAATTCCCTTCCTTTTTAAACACTTCAGGTGTTAGAATGGTTTTTCCTTTAAAAATAAGATATGTGAAATACAGGAAAATGCTGAGAGCTGACAGGAGTGTCCAAGCCTTGCAACCATGTTGATGGCAGATATGAAACTAGATCACATCTATCTTTGAACAGCTAGTGTTATACAGGCTAGTCTTCCCTATAAGGGAATATCTAGTTGACTCATGAGGATGGTCTTCAAGTCATGTCAGCATCCCTCAGCTTTAAAGCCCTTTCAACTTTGAGCTGGAAGGTAACTCATAGATCCCTTACAGAGCATATAGGAAAACTGATTTTTCTATTTAGGACATAGTCGCCACATAGGGTGCTCACAGGGTCTCTGGCTCCAGAGGTGAGAATTAAAGGGCTTCATTAGGTGAAGTCCACATCAGAGAAGGTATTTAGAAAGTGATTCTGAGGAATTGGCAATAGACTCCATCCTGCCCTTTTTCTCACTCTTCACCCCTGCTATTTTCCACTGACAATTTTATTCTCTTTTGTTTGCCTTCCCACACTGTTCCCTGCCTTGTGTTTTTCCTCCTGATCTCAGTGATCTATCCACTCTGTCATTTCCCTGATGATGCAGTCATGGCTCAGAGGGAACTGCTAAAAACTCCAAGTCTCCCTTTATTTCATGGATTTAACTGCTATTAGAATAGAGAATTTTTGTGAAATACAAGCTTTTCTAAAGTGCTGTATGAGTTGATTAAAATGTCAGCTTGTCTTTTTGAACCCACCTTCCATTGGAGGCAAAATTAAACAGTCTGTGCACAGTCATAGGGACATGACATGCATGTGAAAGCGGCAAAGAGAGGGCAACATACTAACTAGCTCAGACCCAGAAATGGGTGCCCTTTGAAATGAGGCACTTCTGGGAGCTCCTACTGCATTTGAAGAAGAGGAGAAATCAAGCCTTAGACTGGTAACCCGCACACTGATCCCAAGTGTTCTGGGGCGATTGATATTAACAGTTGTGACAAGAGTAAAAAAGCAAGCTACCAGGCAGCAATAGCATCTACTTACAAAAGGATCTCACTGAAGGGTGATGTGATCATAAACAAAATTGGGATAACATTGTTTCCTCTACCGGGTGTTGTAAAGGTGAGAGAGATAAGTATTGTACCTAGTGGTTTGTCTGTAAAGTAATGGAAAGATATTAGCTCTGATTTTTTATCAAACCATCATCTTCAAAGTAAGTGGATGGATCTTCCTCATTGTACTATTCCTTGCATTTAACACAGTGTGGTGCAAAACACAGCACGTAGATGACCCCAAATAAATGTGTGGAAAGGAATAATAAACCTTTTCTTAGTCTGGGATTCTTAAGGTAGGGCAGCCAACAGTCAGGAGAGAGTTGGCTCTGTTGCCTTGTTATATTAAGTTACATTGCGTTGCATTGAATTAACTGCATTATAGTGTATTATAGTATCCATTCCTCATAGCCTCATAGTCTTTGAATGTCCGCTGAAATATAACAATCAGGGAAGATAACTCTGTGTGTGTGTGTGTGGTGTGTGGTGTGTGTGTGTGTGTGTGTGTGTCTAGGTGAAAGAGAGAGAAATGATAGGTGTTTATTAAGAGTAGCCTTGAGAAAGTGAAGATTAGGGCTAAGAAGGGTTGTAACAAGTGACTGATCACAGGATTTGCATAGGAGTACTACACATTTTTTACAAGAATTCTAGGGAGGAAAGGGAAGTAGGGGACTGAGGATGATTGCTGGCTAGGAAAGATATGAAATCTTGAATAAGGCGTATCTCCATGAAAAGAGCTGTTGGAGCTTGTTCTGGTACCTTTCTTGATGGTTTAAGGCTGCAGGTGAAATACATATTGGTTTCCAAAAAGAGAAAACAGCGATAAAGCCGCAGAGAAAAACAGTAGCTCGTTTCAATTGTATCTGCCGCTCATAACTCTCACGTTTTCACTGAAGCAACTAAAATAATGTTGTACCTGTTGTGATTCCATTTCTTTTAATGGCCATCAAGGGGCAGTGTTTTGCACTCAAACCAGAGCAGGTGACAAATGTAAAAGAAGGTGCCTTACAGGTTATAACTTTGCAAGGATCATAGAAGGAAACACGCTTGCAAACTATGAGAAATTTGGGCTTTGAGCCAAGTTTATCTGATCACTAAGGACAGGAAAATACTCACACGATATCTGGGTAACACATATAGTCAACACCTCCTCAGCCGTACTTTGTAATATCCAGTCAATTTGCCCAGCCTCAATATCCTAAATAACATAAAATAGGAAATATGGTTTGCAGATTAATAAAGTCAAGATGATATCTTAAACGTTCTCTGAAGCCCTTTTGCTTACTATTATTCTATATACAGGACCACAGTCTTTATGATGTAGAAAATTCTGAAAACATTTTTACGTATCATCTGACATGGTCCATATTTTTCTTTTATTTGTCAACTTAACCAGAATACCCATGCTGACCTTTTTGAAAACTTGGTTAGAAGACCTGGCTATTTATTTTGACACTTTGATATTTTCTAATTCATCTTTGTTTAGAAAGCCGAATTTTAAGTATTAAGTCAGTAAATGCTTTAACAAGTGGGATAGCCTGAAAGTACTATATTCATCATGCTGAATAAGTTTCAATTTTTTCAAAAATTATAGAGACATAAAAAGAAACACCCTGTAGGCATCAAAAAGAAAAAAAAAAACAAAACCTCAGTGCCACAACTGTATTCTAATGGCTAAAGGCATTTAAATTACCTACATTTTGGAAACATTCATACCTAGCACCAAATACTTGGTTTTTATAACTCTCAGACTTTGTCTTGTTCTTTTAAATGAGATTCTACAAATAGATATTTCTACTCATTGTCATTCTAGGGGAACAGTTTGTTTCTTGATAAAGTAAGGGCCTTGGAAGGGGAAAATATAATACAATGAAAACAGCACCAAACTAAGAATTAAAAAGTCCATATTATTGTCCTTGTTCTGCCACAGGTATGATGAATAATCTCAGACAATATACTCTGCTTATTCTTAATTTCTAATATTTTTTAGCCTCTTTTGCCTTTGGCTTCCTGATAGCATTATAGTTGAACAAAATTTTCTGGAGCTAATAAAACAAAAAAGGGATGGAGTGGAGGCATGAATCATAGAGGTGGATACTTTCCAAAGTGTCTTCTATTTCTCAAATCATACCAAACAATAGTAACAAGCAAAGTCCTTGATCGTGTGAAAATTGATGTTATCCAGAGCACTTATGAAATTAACATAAATGTTACTATTTTACAACATAATATTAAAACCCTCCTGTTACATTGGGCTTTTAGTTCCTCCAATATAACAGATACGAGAGAGAGAAGGTGGGTGCAAATGTGCATAAATTTGTACCTCTGTTGGTGAGAACATGCTGGTAATTCCTGGCTAATGGCTCCTCTTCCTTCCTCTAGTTTGCGATAAGTGACTTTGGACAGCATACTTCTATGAACTTCAGTTTCTCCCTTCAGTTGACTAGATAACATGAGAAAACACATATGAAAGAGGCTAACACTCATTCTAAGTACTCAGTAAGAGTGTATTTCCACAGAATAAGAAAAGATTTGTTTTCTTAATATTTGAGGTTGGACAGCAATATAATTTTTAATGGTCAAAATGGTAATCTTTATAGAGGAACCAAGTATCTGAGGGTAAACAGAGTTACCAAAATATGAGTCAAGGGCATCCAAGAATAGAGGCATAAGGTCACAGTACATATAAAGAATGGTGAAGTGCTCTATGGTGAGATGGCTACATGATGTGTTGTCAGGGGTGGCAGCAAGAAGAAAAGCTCATTGATCCAGAGACCTTTTCCATAATCCACAGGATAGCGTTTCAGTTTTATCTTATGGACTTTCAGCCTCCAATACAGTAGCCACCAGCCACATACGATTGTTGACCACTGGAAATGTGGCTAATGTGACTGAGAAATTAGATCTTTTATTTTATTTAAATTAATTTAAATGTAAAAGCTGAAGTGATGTACACTTGTATTAAACACAACTTTCTTTGGGGACAGAATTCCATTTCACTTTAGATGCTGAAAATTTGGCATCCCAGTTGAGATGCGTAAAGTGTAAAATACACTTTAAAGGCTTTATACAAATAATCTGGAGTATTAATAATTCTTAAAGTGATTGCATGTTGGTATAATAATATTTTCTATATATTGGGTTTAATAAACTATATTATTGATCCCTTAACATTATATGCAAAATATTATGAATATGAGTATGTGTGCAATTGTGTTCATTTTTCTAATGACATGTGTCAAGGCTTTTACCATATTATAAAAGGAGGTACACGACATTCTCTAGGGGAAAAAAAGACTAAAATCATTGATCTAGGATCTACATAGACTAAGAAGACCTGGATAAATAGAGAAAAAAACGGAATAGACAACCTTGGAGAGGGTTTACATTTATATGAGAAAAGAATAATTAAGTAGACTAACCCTCAAAATGTAATTAAAAATAAATGGCAGTTTTTCATAGGCTTTTAATGATTTGAAAAACTTGGAGAGAGTGTTTGCTAGCTGGAATACTTTATTGTTTGTAAGAATGGTTCCCATGAAAATATTCTTTGATCATGCTCTTTTTTGAATATCTAAGATATAGTATCTGCTAGAGTATCTATATCTAGAAGTAAGATCTTCATTTTTAAATACCATTTCCTGCCCCGGAGCTGGGAAGTGTCTAGCTAGAACATCTGTGAGATAATCAGCTACTACTCATCAGCTATCTCAATGGCCCCTTGTCCTGGAAGTTGAAGCTGGTCATTTCAAAACAATGTGGAAACTGAGTTGTACCCCCATGGGCAGCTGAGAATTTAAATGGATTTCAGGTGCAGAGGTAGTATCACTTACCATTGAAGACTTCTAACAGGAACAAGCTTCAGACCTGGGAAAATTCAAAATAACAGAACAGATGTAATCATGACAAGCCAAACCACAGACTTGTAACTATAGCCCCAGAAAACTATGGATCAAAATGGATTCACATATGGACTCATTGTAACACACTCATTGAACAAATCAGTGAAGACCAGAAAGAAGGCCAAAATTTTAGTGAACATGTCTTTTCCCAGCATGCTTGCTCAAGCTTAAAACTCCAAAAGGCCTTTCTGCCATTGCATAGGTTGATGACAAATTTTTGCCATTGTATAAACAGACTGGCAGTTTATAGAAGGAGCACAGGGAGAATGAAAATGAGACTGAAGTCAGAAGACTTTCATCTAGAAGTCTGTTCTAAGACCATGAGATGTGTCCTCTTAGAGCTTTACTTTTTCATCTTTCCATTGAAAAGATGGTACTAATGGACATTGAATTCTTTCCCTTTCCTGACTTTCAATGGTTTTATATCAAGGTATCGTTAATAAAAGAAAAATTGACATCATGCACGGCTTAGGTTTTTGCCTAACTAGCTTAAATGTAAGCACTCTATTCAATATTATTTTCAGCTCTAGCATTATAGATAAATGATTTGTGTTGAAACTCAATCCATTTATTTTTATTCTCAATTGGTGTCCAATATTGAATTTCTCATCAGTTATGCAAATCATAGCAAAAAGAAAAACAAATAACTGAATGAGGGTTTTTTGCAAATATTTCTGCATTGGATAGCCGTAAAAATTTGGTGAAAATGTTTATTTTTTCCACATGTTCATATTTTATTTTCAAATAAGACAGAATATATACATACACACATATATATTTAAAATTCACCTTCTGTGCTTTTAGACAAGCTTTCTATGAATGTTGATTTTTTACAAATTATTTTCATTTGTGTAATATAAGTCACAAAATGCACACTGCTAGTAGGAGTAACTATATTATTATCCCCATATATATGAAAGGCACTATCCAAAGCATTATACATATTTCATCCTCACAACTAATATATATTATTTCACTCATTTAACATATGAGAAAATTTAAAGATTAAATAAGTAGCTCAAGGTAAAATAGCAGATAAGTTGCATAACCAGGAGTGGAACAAAGGTTAACCTTACTCCCATTTCTCATGACGTTTTCATTTCACAACTTCTCTTCTCCTACTTTACTGACTCTGTTTTCCTCATCTGCCATTTCTTTAATCCATTAAACATTGCACATGATCCAGCTTTAACTCCAGACGTTGGACAAAAGGTCATTCCATGATCTTTGAACAAGTCTTTGCATCTCTTTACTGAATTATGTAAGTATTCACTTTTGTGGAAAAAAAATTAAGTCTATTGGCATTTGGAATTTTCCATTTTTCAACTAACCAAGAAATCTGGGAAGCAAACTGGAGAATTTGAAGTCTCCTAATGAGCACTTTTACCATAATAGTGACCAAAATTCTTTAACATCTATTAGAATCTTTTCAGTGACAGAAGATCAACAGTTTAAAAGTAGTTCATTCCTGTAAGATGACTTTCTAGGTTTTTAGAAGCTATACGTATGGAATGAGTAAGAATATAAATTTATCATTCCAAAGCCTTAATTTTATTCTAGTCTTCTCACTGAAATTTCAGAATAATATATCCAGACACCAACTAACATCTCTTTATAAGCTTAGATGGTTCAGAAGCAATTAAAATCCACTATATTTCAAAGTAATGCCATCCTCTCCTTCCCCACACCTGCTCTTCTTCTAATGTTTTCTATCTTAGGAAATGTTTCCTTTCTCAGCAAATGATACCATCATCCACTCAGTTTCTCAAACAGAATCAACAAGATTTGACATTTTCTTGAGAGGGTTAGATAAGAAGTAAAAATGCTCTTTGATTTTTCCTCTTTCATTCTCACTAACACTGTCATCTCATTGTTAGTTTTCTCCAATTGTCTTTTAATTGATTTTAAGTTTTTGAAAAATTGTTGAGCATATAAATAAATGTGCACCAAATAAATTGAATATTGAAGCCAGAGGTCTATGTGGCCAGGTTATAGCCTCATTTCATGGTTGTACAATCACCTTCGATGAGATCACGAGAGGTTTGTCTCCAAGTGGGATTCTAGGTAATAACAAATGCTTAGAACTGGTAAACTGAGCAGAGATTCGAGAAGCAAGACTGTTTCATGTGGATAGAGTGAGGCTCCCAGAGACCTTGGACAATACAGAAAAAGAGTTGAAGGCTTCAAGAAAAAAAAAAACTTGGTTTCCTTTTTAAAAGTTAATGAAACTTTGATTATGTTAATAATAATAACAACAACAAATGTTATCTACCAATTGTTATATTCCTAATTAGTGAATAAGGGCAAATTACTTAGATTTAAATTATATTAGTTTTATTATCTGGATAATTAAAGTTTCCAACTCTACCACAACAACCTGCTTTCAGATGGCTGATAATGTGATAAAAATAAACTATGTTTTCAAGCCCCATGGTATAATTTTCTATTCTTTGCCTGCAAATTAACTCATAACCAATATAGTTGCATTGGTCCCTTTATTTTTCTCCTGTGTGAAATTGTTCTCTTCTCATCTAAAGTATACTAACTTATTAAATATAAATTTCAATGTCATACTATTATTTAGTCTGCCATAATGTAAATATGACATCACAGAAGTCATCGGTTATAACTTTCTTTGAAAATTTATATATTAACTTCTGAGCCACATATCTGACAGAAAGTAAAATAATCAAGAAAACATACAAACAAAACCAAAAATAGAGGTTTGCATAGTACAACTCCTGGAGAGTTTTTCAATCAAATACAAATAAATGATAAACCAATCTACTTGTATATGGTTATTAAACAAGAGAAATGAGCAAAATTTTCAGTCTACATATGCTTGAAATCTCCCATCCTTTATTCACCAAATATAAATTGAATCCAAAAAAGCATCCAATTATTTTGAAGTCACTCTTTACTAAATATATGTTTAAACCAACTCATGGAAATACTTCCTTTTGATTTGCAAAGACAAAAAGAGAAACAATCTAGGACACAATTTTATCAAATACAATTCTGTTGGCATTACATGTTTTTTTCTTCCAGGGAAGCATATTCTTCCATCAATCTCTTTTTAAGGCGATTATTCAAATATCACTACAATATTTTGCAGCTCTATTTTATAAAAGTCTATTAACTTTAACTGAAATCAAAATAACTACAAAGCAAGCAAGTTTTACCAGTGCCATCATTCTTCATCCCCATTGCTGCCAGAGTAAGTATAACTAAATAGATAGCAGAGGTGGTAGAGGATTTTGCCTGAAATATTTAGAAACCTATGTTAAAGCAATTGTTGAAAATCAACTATTCCTGAAGGCCGCTGAATTTTATAATTCCAGAGAGTACCATTTATAGAAGCTAGCCCAGAAAAGGTTCCAAACACACCAGTCCTTCCTGTAATATATTTTCTGCATATCTGTTAGGGAGAATTATCGCAAATGACTTTCCTATCTCATCCACAGATCAATGTTCTCAGCACAAGAGGTTGTGTCTTTATCTTTGTATCATTATTGTCTACTACACTGACTGGCACAGAGAGAGTGTACAAACAAAGATTCTTCTTTGAACTGAAGCAAACTTCCGTCTATATTTCAAAGTATCAACTAGGGAGCTAGTTTGGAGATCCTAGCTATCACCAACATCATTTATTTGATAAAGTTGACTTTAATCTACTACACAACTTTAGGAGGAAACTCCATGGAACTTGGAAAAAAGAAGGAAACAGTTGCCAAACCTGCTAGCACAAGAAATCAACCCTGGGAAATAATGGAATGCAGGTGGTTTGAGCCAATTTTATCCATAATCAGTCACTCTCCATTCTAGTCAATTCTTCCTCAATTCGTTAGCTCTCACCTCATATTGCATATCAGCACGCCATATAGTTTGATTTTTCGTTCTGATTCTCTTAATTTTTCAGTTTTAGTTGCCAATTCATCAGCTGCCTACATATGACAATTCCTCTTCTCTCTCATTGCTAAAATTCACGCAAAGTTTCCAATTGCTAGCACTTGTCCAACATCTTGCGGTGAAAAGTATCACTATATGCTCCATGTAGTAATTTCGGAGAAAGAAATTGTCACTCTGATTTCTGACTTGATTTCTAAATTGGCATTAGGGTTAAATATAGGAAGTATTGTTTTATTGAAATACTTAAATTTACTACTGTAAATACTTTTATACTTTTATATCTTTCCTTTCCCCAACCCCATAAGTTAAAAAAAATTCCATCCAACTTTGTTTGCCAAATGCAATAATAAGAGGCAACCAGAACACATTTAGAGAGCACTGTTACTCTCTTAGAATTGAGGAAACAAAGGGGACTCATCTTGCATTGACACCTAAGGAATATAAATTTCCAAGATTGTAACTATGAGACTATGATGCCAGATCAGGAAGAAGCTGAGATGAATCTGTTGGTAGCTACACTTTGATGAGCAAAGTTAAAAGGGACAAGGGTATATGAGAGTTTCTTACTGTTAGGAACAGCGTCAATTGAGAAGTTCATTTTCAACTATTTGTAATCCCAATTAGAGGAGGTAGGCTGTTGGTCACCTACATGATTAAGAAAGAATCATACGCAACAAACCAATGGAGACATTGCTAAACATTCCCTGTTAAAGTATCTTTAAGAAATCCCCAAGAATGCTGTATGAAAATGCTACCCTTGAATATCCACCAACCCTCCATAACACAAATGTCAGATCATAGCAATACCTGTCAATAAAAAAAATGCTTGCTCCTTACGGCCAACCTCAAACTCAGAGGAGCTAGAAAGGAACCAAGAATGGGATGGGGAAATGGGTAGAAGAAAAAACACAAAGTGGAGAAATAGAGAAGGTGTCCATAACCCTCTATCCCACTGCAAGTGCCCCGCCTGAAGCAAGGTAGAGCTTGGGGAGGGTGTTAAATGAGCAGAACACATGGACACAGGAAGGAGAACATCACACACCGGGGCCCGTTGTTGGGTGGGGGGAGGGGGGAGGGATAGCATTAGGAGATATACCTAATGTTAAATGACGAGTTAATGGGTGCAGCACACCAACATGGCACATGTATACATATGTAACAAACCTGCACGTTGTGCACATGTACCCTAAAACTTAAAGTATAATAAAAAAAAATGAGCAGTTCACAGTGTTGAGTTTTATATGGGTTTGGAAATTTATTAAAATTAGGTGTTTTTTGCCCACAATTTACTGATATTTTATGATTGAGAAATCACCAAAAGTGCAATGGGATGTGTCTTTAATTTTACTCAAGATGCAAAAGACTATTTGTCCCATTGAGCAAGTTTGAATAGTCTTAACAATTAAGTTTTTTTTGTTTGTTTGTAACTTTTGTGTTAAGTTCAGAGGTACACATGCAGATGTGTTACATAGGTAAACTTGTGTCATAGCAGCTTGTAATACAGATTATTTCATCACCCAGGTATTAAACCTAGTACTCCTTAGTTACTTTTTCTGATCCTCTCCCTCCTCCCACCCTCCAACCTCCAACAGACCTCAGTGTGTGTTATTCTCCTATATGTGTCCATGTGTTCTCATCATTTAGCTGTCACTTATAAGTGAGAACATGTGACATTTGGTTTTCTGCTCCTGTGTTAGTTTGCTAAAGATAATGGCCTCCAGCTCCATCCATGTTCCTGAAAAGGACATGATCTCATTCTTTTTTATGGGCACATAGTATTCCCTGGTGAATATGTACCACATTTTCTTTATTCAGTCTATCATTGATGGGCATTTTGGTTTACTCCATGTCTTTGCTATTGTGAATAGTGTTGCAATGAACATACCAGGTGCATGTGTCTTTATAATAGAATGATCTATATTCCTTTGGGTATATACCCAGTAATAGGATTGCTGGATCAAATGGTATTTCTGTCTTTCAGTCTTTAAGGAATCATCGTACTATCTTCCACAATGGTTGAACTAATTTACACTCCTACCAACAGTGTAAAAAAAATTTTCTTTTCTCCACAACCTCACCAGCATCTGTTATTTTTTGACTTTTTAGCAATAGCCATTCAGACTGGTGTGAAATAGTATCTCATTGTGGTTTTGATTTGCATTTTTCTAATGATCAGGGATGTTGAGCTTTTTTTCATATGATTTTTGGCCACATGTATGTCTTCTTTTGAAAAGTGTCTGTTGATGTCCTTTGCTCACTTTTTTATAGGTTTGTTTTTTTTATTGTAAATTTGTGTGAGTTCTTTAAAGATGCTGGATATTACACCTTTGTCAGATTCATGATTTGCACATGTTTTCTCTTATTCTGTAAGTTGTCTGTTTACTCTGTTGATAGTTTCTTTTGCTGTGCAGTAGCTCTTTACTTTGATCAGACCCCATCTGCCAATTTTTGCTTTTGTTGCAGTTGCTTTCAGAGTCTTCATCATGAATTTTTGCCCATGCCTATGTCCTGAATGGTATTACCTAGGTTGTCTTCCAGGGTTTTTATAGTTTTGGGTTTTATATTTAAGTCTTTAATCCATCCTGAGTTAATTTTTATATATGGTGAAAGGAATGGGTCCAGTTCTAATCTTCTGCATATGGCTAGCCAGTTAACCCAGCATCATTTATTGAATAGGGTATCTTTCCCCATTGTTCGTTTTTATCAAGTTTGGTGAAGATCAGATAGTAGTAGGTGTATGGTCTTATTTCTAGGATCTCTATTCTGTTCCATTGGTCTATGTGACTGTTTTTGTACCAGTAACATGCTGTTTTTGTTACTGCAGCCCTATAGCATAGTTTGAAGTTGGGTAGCATTATGCCTCCAGCTTTGTTCTTTTGGCTTAGGATCTACTTGGCTGTTCAGGTTCTTTTTTGGTTCTGTATGAATTTTAAAATAGGTTTTTCTAGTTCTGAGAACAATGCCCCTGGTAGTTTTCTAGGAATGGCATTGAATCTAGAAATTGCTTTGGGCAGTATGGCCATTTTAACGATATTGATTCTTCCTATCTATAAGCATGAAATATTTTTCCATTTGTTTGTGTCATCTCTGATTTCTTTGAGCAGTGGTTTATAGTTTTCATCATAGAGATTGTTCATCTCCCCGGTTAGCTGTATTCCTAGGTATTTTACTCTTTTTGTGGCAATTGTGAATGGGTGTATGTTCCTGATTTGGCTCTTGGCTCGAATGTTGTTGTATAGGAATGCCAGTGATTTTTGCGTATTGATTTTGCATGCTGAGACTTTGCTGGAGTTGTTCATCAGCTTAAGAAGCTTTTGGGATGAGACTATGGGGTTTTCTACACAGAGGATCATGTCATCTGAAAACAGGGATAGTTTGACTTCCTCTTTTCCTAGTTGGATGCCCTTTATTTCTTGCTCTGGCATGATTGCCCTGGCTAGAACTTTCTATGCTATGTTAAATAGGAGTGGTGAGAGAGGGCATCTTTGTTTTGTGCCACTTTTCCAGGGGAATGGTTTCAGCTCTTACCCATTCAGTATGATGTTGACTGTGGGTTTGTCATAGAAGGCTCTTAATATTTTGTGGTATGTTCCTTCAATACCTAGTTTATTGACAGTTTTTAACATGAATGGCTGTTGAATTTCATCCAAAGCCTTTTCTGGATCTATTTAGATAATAATGTGGTTTTTGTCTTTAGTTCTGTTTATGTGACGAATTACATTTATTGATTTGCATATGTTGAACCAACCTTGCATCCCAAGGATAAAGTCTACTTGGTAGCAGTGAATTAGCTTTTTGATGTGCTGCTATATACAGTTTTTGTTGAGGATTTTTGCATCAATGTTCATGAAGAATATTGGCCTGAAGTTTTCCTTTTTTGTTGTATCTCTGCGAGGTTTTGGTATCAAGATGATGCTGGACTCATAGAATGAGGTGGTGAAGAGTCCCTATTCCTTAATTTTTTGGAATAGTTTCAGCTCGAATGATACCAGCTCTTCTTTTTGTATCTGGTAGAATTCTGCTGTGAATCTGCCTGGTCCTAGGTGTTTTTGGTTTTGTTTGTTTGTTTGTTTGTTTGTTTTTGGTGGTGGTGTTGTTTTAGTAGGCTATTTATTACTGCCCCAATATCAGAGTTTATTATTGGTCTGTTCAGGGATTCAGTTTCCTCCTGGTTCAGACTTAGGAGGGTATATGTGAAACAGCAAAAATGGCAGCCTGCCCCTCCTTCTGGGAATTCTGTCCAAGGGAGGTCCAGGCCTGTTGCTGGACTGAACATACCTGTAGGAGGTGGCTAAAGACCCCAGTAGGGAAGTCTCTCCCAGTCAGGAGGAACGGAATTAGGGACCTGTTTAAAAAAGATATCTGGCCATGTTTTCGTAGAGCACCTATGCTGTGATGGGGGTCCGCTTCAGACCTCGGTCACCTCGGACACGCCAAAGCCCCAAAACTGGAATGGGTAAGGAACCCAAACAGCAAAGATGACAGCCGACCCCTCCCTCTGCGAGCTCCATCCCAGGGAGGCCTGAAACCACTGTTAGCCAGGGAACAGGAACGCTGGTGGAGTTAGCCAGAGACCCCGACTGGGAGGCTCCACCCAGTGGTGAGAAACAGGATTGGGGACCCGCTTAAAGAAGCAGTCTAGCCATGCTTTTGTAGGGCCACTGTGCTGTGCTGGGGACCACTTCCACCCCCAATCGGCTTGGGCTCTCCTAAGCCCGAAGACTGGAATAGGTAAGTTGCCCAAACCCCAAAGATGGTGGCCCGCCCCTCCCTCTGGGAGCTCTGTCTCAGGGAATTTTCAAATCTCTGTCAGCCGGAGAATACCGGTGGGGTTGGCTGGAGGTCCCGGCAGAGATTGAGTATAATCCAACCTGTATTTTCAGTGCCTGCGTTATCTGACACGTAATGGGTTTGTAGTAAATGCAGAGTCGACGCTTAATGAATAAAAAAATAAATATTTATTTGATTTGATTCCTGTATCTATGAATGTTCTCACCTATAGTCAAGGCAGTTATTTTTCTAAATAGAATAATATTCTTGGTGCTAATAGCTCCTTATCTTTAACACATACAGCAGGACCTGGATTAACCAGATTATTTTTAATATCTGCTCTTTCCTCTACTCAAAGTTAATGCTAGAGTTGACAATTTTCTTACTTCCAGTAAAATAATGCATATTTGAAAATCCTAAAAATGTAAAGCTCAATCAAGAAGAACTTATAGTACAAATGCAAACACAGTAGTTAACTCTCTAATATGTATTTCCCTTTTTACTGAAGAGAAGCCTACACCTGCCACTTTACTAACATAGAAATGTTATTTAGATGTTATTTAGAAAATAGGTGTGAAGAATTCTCTGAAAGGTGATATACAACTACAAAGTGTCATTATAATATTCAAGCTGGTATTTTGATTCTTGTGTCTCTAGAAATTCTGTTTCTCTTACAACAAATTCTTGAATAATTTTCAGAAGATTGCTATACAAGTCATTCTTCACATATCAGCTCTAATGGCCCATATGCTACTTAGGAAGCATTAGCACCTTCCTGCGGAAATATTCACTAACACATGATGTAAACTTCTGTAGCATTAGTTGTAATGCTACAGGTGCAAAATTTGTTATAATATAAAGACATATGAGCTTCAGTTTTTAAAACATTTAAATTGACTTTTCAGTTGTAATCATTTTTTAAAAAGTATTTTTCCATACGTGGGAGGGAAACAAAGTTCTTCCACACTTTTGAGGCAATGTAACACAAAAAAATTTAATTTCACCTTTGAATTTAAAAAGAACTTGAAAAACATATAATTCTTAAATGCAGGTGATAACACCAGGATTCCAATAACCCCATACTCTGTTCTTAGAACAGCTGCATTTATAGCTGCCCCTCTATGTACCAGAAAACTAAGACCAGTCAAGGAAAGATATCTTACACACGAACACTGAAACTGGTAAATATAATACTAAAAATAATGCTAGATAAGGAAGCTACAGAAGCATTCTTAGGGATTTTCTAAATTTCATTTCATGCATTTCCTCACTTAATCTTCAAGGCAACCCTATAGTGTGGATGCTCCTATCCTTCCTGTTTCCTATCCAAAGAAACTAAACTGAAGAAAGTTATAACTAGGCCAAACTCATACAACTGGCATTTGGAAAATGTGAGATTTGTCTACCACTGGCAGACCAAAACTTGGGGCACTCTGCACTACTGCTTGCCAGCATTTTAAAAAGTCATCAGTGCTGAATTCTTCAACTTGTGGAATAAGAAGTGTAAATCTTGGAGAACCTGTTCCTCAGTGATTATATTTTTTAAAAAATAATATTAAATAAACTACTGTAAGGAACATTTTAATCCTGGAAAGGAAGTACTACAAGACATGAAATTCAGGTCACTGTCCTAATTCACAAATCGTCAGCAGAAAAGAGCCTTCTATTGTGGTTGTGCAGGTATCATAACTCATAACCCAAATATCAAGAGGTAAATCTGTATGTATTTGTAGTTCAATACTAATATTCCTATGAGTTACAACCTGCATTCACAATACCTACTAGTACTGATTCTCCATTTTCTTCAGCTTAGACTTGCATGTAGAAATCAAAGCCAAAGAGCTAAAAGCTTATTTACAGAGGAAGCAATAACTGGAAGGTATTGGTGACTTTTGTTTTAGCTGGTTTTTACTCTATGAAAAATATGTGTTCAATTCAGGAAGCAATAGTAAATATATAATCATTCATTCCACAAGTATTTACTGAGAACCTACTATGTAACGGGCACCACTGCTGGGTCTAGAGCTGACAAAGTTCTTGTTTCCATGGAACTAAATATTCTAGTTGTCTAATTAAAAGTATGTAATTCTAATTTTTAAATACATAATTGTCTAATAGCAATAGGCAACAAACAAACTATCAAATATAGTGTCAAGTACCAAAAGGTGGGTGTGTGGTAACATGGGTAGCATTTACCATAGAGATAAGAAAAGGCTTCTCATAAAAAGTGACATTTAAAAGGTACCTAAAAGAAAACAGGGAGTGAGACAACCTGACATAAAGAAAAGGTCTCAGAACAAATAGAAAGTGCCAAAGCTTTGACATGCAAACTGGCTTGGCACCTTCATAAGACACATAGGAGTTTGATGTGGCTGGAATGGAGTTAAGTGAGTTGGAGAAAATGGGGGAAGAAGGGGAGCCTGATAGGAGACTAAGTATTGAAGATAGTGTTGAGAAGGGTGAGGTACAGATCTTGTAGAGCGATGAAGCGCACAAGAAAGCTTTTAAGTATTTCTTCAGAGGGATTTGGGAAACGATCAGTGAATTCTGGGTAGATGATAGATATGATGATGTGCTTTAAAATAATCACCCTGAAAACAAGGTTACAAATAGTCTGTAGGGCAGCAAAGGCAGAAACAAAGAGAAGAGTTAAGAAGCAGTTACAATGATACCACTAAGAAATGTCAGGGACTTAGATGCAAGAAGTCATGGTAGAAGGGGAGGTGTATTCTGATAGTGCATGTACCAGATATCATGACAGATTTGATGTGAGATGTGACAAAAGGAATCTAAGATGACTGACATGAGTCGCTAAAGAATGAATTTGTCCTATTCTGAAATGGGACAGATTAGGAGAGGAGCAGGTGGGAGAGGAAGAGAAATTTAGAGTTTGGCCTTGAACCTATTAATTTGTGATGCTTATTAGATATTCAAGTAGTGATGATTATACAAGTTTGGATTGCAGGTGAGCAGTCCATGTTAGAGATACAAAATTTGGCTGTAAAATAATTAAAGGCCATAGGTGTGAACAAGATCACTTAAAAAATGAATGGAGATGTGGGATGGTAGAGGTCCAAAGAATGAGCTGTGGGGGATTCGTTATTTAAAGAACATAAGACTGAAAAAAGAAAATCAGGTAAGGTATAGAAGAACCAGGTAATAGGAGCCCTGGAAGTCATGCGAAGAAAGTGTTCAAAGGAGGACAAGATAAGCTATGGCAAATGCATCTGATAAGCTTATTTACATGAAGACTGAGAAATGATCATTAACTATCACATTATCTAGTCAGTAGTGATTGGTCTATGGCAATTTTAGTTCAGAGGCGAGAAATAAATTTGGATTGGAATGAATTCAGGAAAGATTTGAAGGAGACTTGCTGCCAATGGCAAGTGTAAACACAACATGGTGACTATATTTTCCTAACAAAAATTCAGGATATATGGTATCATACATCATCTGTTAGGAGTCAGAACATTTAAACTTAATACTGTTCTAGCAAACCCAAGATCTACACTGGGATGTTACAATGCAATTATATTTACATTCAACTTTCCTTTAATAGAGCAAGCCCAGTAACTTAATCTTCACAAATTCTTACTTCCTAAAGATAGCTTGTCACAGCAGGCATCCATGGCGGATTGATAAATGTCTATCAAAAGCTTTAGTCCTTGTATGATTTAGTAGGATGTTTCCTGAAGCATAAGGCCAAATACTATTTCTAAATTTAAAATATCCTACATATGATGTTTACGCAAGTGTGCTTACTACCACATTTTCTCTCCATGAATAATGCATGTCCTATGCAACTTGAGTCCCAAATAAGAAAAATGCTATACATCTAATAATCCATATTAAATACAAGAATAAAAGCGCTTTTCTGGATAATTTAATCCTTGAAATAAAAGGAGTTACTGGATTACTTCTATACAGAAAAGAAAATAAAGTCGAATAATTTTCTCCTTTTCTCTCTTATATTTTTTATTGCCGTTAATTTCCATAACTGTTCAAATAAATGAATTCTACTTTAAAGCCACAGAGCAAAACTAGATAATGAATGGGTCATTCTAGACCAACATGAAACAGCCAAAGTAGTGGAAAGTATATACACTTCGAATAAAAAAATGCAAATATGATTGCTACACATATCTCTGACACTTTTTAATTTCTTTTTCTTTTTTTTTTTTTTTTTTTGAGACAGAGTCTCGCTCTGTCACCCAGGCTGGAGTGTAGTGGCGCGATCTGGGCTCACTGCAAGCTCCGCTTCCCGGGTTCACGCCATTCTCCTGCCTCAGTCCCCCGAGCAGCTGGGACCACAGGTGCCCGCCACCACGCTAATTTTTTGTATTTTTAGTAGAGACGGGGTTTCACCTTGTTAGCCAGGATGGTCTCGATCTCCTGACCTCGTGATCCACCCGCCTCGGCCTCCCAAAGTGCTAGGACTACAGGCATGAGCCACTGCGCCCAGCCACTTTTTTATTTCAAACAAGTCAAGCAACCTCTGTCCTGTCTAGATCATACAAACATTATCTTATTAAAATTTAAATTCAAAAGGAAAATGCAACTGTGGCTATCAAGCTGCAGGATTACTTGTGACTGATTATTTTAATGGATTGACTAACTTGTCAGCTAGAGCTTAATAATGTACGCCAGCTATTAATTAAGTAGTCCCCACTGTCTCTAGTAGAGTGAGCTCTGGACTCAGCTGTCAGGAGATTGGGAATTGAATTTTAGCTCCAAGGTATACCAGTTAAGTGACATTTTGTTGGTGATGTGACTTTGAATCTTAGTTATATTATCCATAAATTAACAGCATCACAGTTGTTGTGTTTATGTGTTAGAGAAAGACAGATTGAGAGAGACATAAGTGAGATAACGTATGCTCTAATCAGTGTTTCCTCCTGTGTCCTCAGACAATTATTTCCTCTTTTTTGTCTTCAACTCCTTCCTCTTTTCTGTTCAAATTAATCTCAATCCCTCTCTCGGCCATACATCCTTCTCCATCTTTTGTTTCCTCCCCGTTAGAGCCAATTTTTTAAGAGTTGTATACATGTGCACACACTTGTGCTCTCCCCCTCTTCCTTTCCCTCTTTCAGTCCTCACTTTAGATAAGACATTTTGTGGAATGTCTTACTTGTGTGTTCAACAGGTACCTACAATTAACCTCCATCCACAAAAATGTATTACTCATACCCCAAAACTCACATTTTTTCTTAAATTCCCATTTCTCAGGTTTATAACTTGAACAAGAGGAAACAGTGTATATCCTCTTGCTTAAGCCATAAATTTTGGAAAATAATCTTCACACCTACTCTTCTCCAACTCGCTGCAATTAATTCATCACCAGGTGCTGTTGATTCTACCTCTATGCACTTCCGTACACTTCTCCCTATGGCAGTTGCATCAAATTACCTCCTCCATCATTTATTGTCTGGATTCCCCCAATGGCCTCCTAACTGGGCTCCTTGCAAGCATATTTGCTGAAAGTAATACTTCCAAATGTAATCTGATGTCTTCCTCTTTCTTAAGAACTTTCAGGCCAGATACAATGGTACATGCCTGTTGACCCCTCTACTGAAGAGGCTGAGCTAGAAGGATTGCCTGAGCCAAGGAGTTTGAGGCCAGCCTGGTCAACATAGCGAGATCCCGGTCTCCAAACAAAAAGACCTTTCAGTGGTTCCTTATTTCGTATTTCCCTATTTCCTTAGAAAAGTATCTAAAATTCTTTAGATTCATCTGATTTTAAAAGTCAGTGTAAATCTAGATGGTGCTAATTTGTCCACTGTGATCCCTTGCCACTCTCCCCTATTAAGATATACACCACCGATTTTGAATTATTGCCCTCCCCTTTTTTGTATATGTACCATGTCCCTTCATCTCTAGCCTTTCACATTTGATTATCTCCTCTGGCAATCTCTCATGAACCCAAAGGTTTGAACAAGTGAATACATCATGAAATCTCAGTTAGTACTTGTAATAGTCTGTTCTCCTACTGCTAATGAAGACATACTTCAAACTGGCTAATTTATAAAGAAAGGAAGTTTAATTGACTCACAGTTCAGCATGGCTAGGGAGGCCTCAAAATCATGGTGGAAGGCAAAGGAGGAGCAAAGTCACATCTTACATAGCAACTGGCAAAGAGAGTTTGTGCAGGGAAACTCCCATTTATAAAACCATCAGATATCATGAGACTTATTCACTACCACAAGAACAGGATGGGGGAAACTATCTCCACTTGGCCCTTCCCTTGACACATGGGCATTATTGCAATTCAAGGTGAGATTTGTGTGGTGACACAGCCAAACCATATCATTATGCCCCTGGCCCCTCACAACTATTGTGTCTTCACATTTCAAAGCCAACATGCCTTCCTAAAAGTCCCCCAAAGCCTTAACTCATTTCAGCATTAACTCAAAAGTCCACAGTCCAAAGTCTCTTCTGAGACAGGGCAAGTCCCTTCCATTTATGTGCCTGTAAAATCAAAAGCAAGTTAGTTACTTCCTACATACAATGGGGGTACAGGTGTTGGGTAAATACAGCCATTCCAAATGGGAGACACTGTCCAAAACAATGGGGCTACAGCCCCCAGACAAGTCTGAAATCCAGTGGGGCAGTCAAATCTTAAAGCTCTAAAATATTCTCCTTTGTCTCACTCCATGTCTCAGAACCAGGTCATGCTAATGCAAGAGGCAGGTTCCCATGGTCTTGGGCAGCTCCACCGCTGTGCCTTTCAATTGTACAGCCTCCTTCCTCCTTTCTGGCTGCCGTCACAGGCTGGCATTAGTGTGTGTGGCCTTTCAAGGTGCACAATGCAAGTTGTTGGTAGATCTACCATTCTGGGGTCTAGAGGACAGTGGCCCTCTTCTCACAGCTCCACTATGCAGTGCCCCAGTGGGGACTTTGTGTGGGGGGTCCAACCCCACATTTCCCTTCTGCACTACCCTAGCAGAGGTTCTCTATGAGGGCACCACCCCTGCAGCACAGCTCTGCCCGAACATCCAGGCATTTCTATACATCCTCTGAAATCTAGGTGGAGGTTCTCAAATCTCAATTCTTGACTTCTGTGAACCCGCAAGCTCGACACCACATGGAAGCTGCCAAGGCTTGAGGCTTGCAACCTCTGAAGCCATGGCCCAAGTTGTACCTTGGCCCCCGTTAGCCACTGCTGGAGCAGCTGGGATGCAGGGCACCAAGTCCTTAGCCTGCACAGAGCAGGGGGACCCTGGGCCCGGCCCACAAAACCATTTTTCCTCCTAGGCCTCCTGGTTTGTGATAGGAGGGGCTGCTGTGAAGACCTCTAACATACCCTGGAGACATTTTCCCCATTGTCTCAGCAATTAACATTGAGCTGCTCATTACTTATTCAAATTTCTGCAGCCGGTTTGAGATTTGAATTTCTCCTCAGAACATGAGTTTTTCTTTTCTATCACAACATCAAGCTGCAAATTTTCTGAATTTTTATGCTCTGCTTCCTTTTAAACATGAGTTCTGATTCCACACCACATCTTTGTGAATACATAAAGCTGAACGCTTTTAACAATATCCAAGTCACCTGTTGAATGCTTTGCTGTTTAGGAATTTCTTCTGCCAGATGCCCTAAATCATCTCTCTCAAGTTCAAAGTTTCACAAATCTCTAGGTCAGGGGAAAAATGCCACAAGTCTCTTTGCAAAAACATAGCAAGAGTCACCTTTGCTCCAGTTCCCAACAAGTTCCTCATCTCCATCTGAGACCACCTCAGCCTGGACTTTATTGTCCATATCACTATTAGTATTTTGGTCAAAGCCATTCAATGAGTCTAGAAAGTTCCAAACTTTTCCACGTCTTCCTGTCTTCTTCTGAGCCCTCCAAACTGTTCCAGCCTTTACCTGTTACCCAGCTCCAAAGTCACTTCCACATTTTTGGGAATCTTTTCAGCAGCACCTCACTTCTGGTATCAATTTACTGTATTAGTCCATTCTCATGCTGCTAATAAAGACATACTTGAGACTGAGTTTAATTGACTCACAGTTCCACATGGCTCAGGAGGCCTCACAATAATGGCGGAAGGTGAATGAGGAGCAAAGTCATATCTTACTTGATGGCAGGCAAAGAGAGTTTATGCAGGCTAACTCCCCTTTATGAAACCATCAGATCTCACGAAACTTATTCACTGTCACGAGAGCAGTATGGGGGAAGCCAGCCCCATGATTCAATTATCTCCATCTGGCCCTGCCTTTGACATTTGGGTATAATTAAAATTCAAGGGCCAGGTGCAGGTGGCTCATGCTTATAATCCCAGCACTCTGGGAGACTGAGGCAAGTGGATCACAAGGTCAGGAGTTTGAGACCAGCCTGGCCAGCATGGTGAAACCCCGTCTCTACTAAAGATACAAAAAATTAGCCAGGCATGGTGGTGCACACGTGTAATCTCTGCTATTCAGGAGGCTGAGGCAGGAGAATCACTTGAACCTGGGAGGTGGAGTTTGCAGTGAGCCGAGATTGTGCAACTGCACTCCAGCCTGGGCTACAGGGCAAGACTCCATCTCAATAATAATAATAATAATAAAATTTCAAGGTGGGGACAGAGCCATATCATATCAGTACTTCTCCTGGTGAAGCACTTTTCAAATTATATTGATATGCCATATCATTACAATCTGAGGTCCACATAAATATATCCATTGAGCTTAGGTTGGATATCTCAGAATTTTCATAGTGTTTGGCTCTTAGTGACTACTTGATTAAAAAGTCTGATAAAGAATTGTGCAAACTGTTAACCATTATATAATTGAAAGGAATATTATCTAACTGAAATTCTTGTAAAACATAGGTATAAATAACTTACATTTCTTATACCTGTTGCCACATGACTGAATTTACCATTTAAATTTATGTTTTAGAGAAAGCAACTATTTACTTGCTCTATAAAAAACTATAACCCAAAGAAACTTTTTTCAGTTTTATCTGTTGAAACTATAATTTCACTGCCATTTTATGTAACAACCATTTATATTTCAAAACATATGAAAAAGTGTACTTTTATTAGATAAATCTAAAAATACCAGTAAATCTTTTTTTTTTATAATGGATAATATAATGGAGGGCTTCTATTAAGTTTAATGTAAATATTTTTTAATTCAGTAGTAGTTCATATAAATGAAAGAATCATAATTTTCAGAAATCCTCAGGTGATTTTTTTTAAGTGAATACTTTGTCAACAAACGAGCCACAAGTTCAGTTTAGTGAGAAGAGTTTCTCCGGCTGGGCACAATGGCTCACACCTGTAATCCCAGCACTTTGGGAGGCCGAGGCAGGGAATACTCACCTGAGGACAGGAGTTCAAGACCAACCTGGCTAACATGGTGAAACCCCATCTCTACTAAAACTAGAAAAATTAGCCGGCCATAGTGGCTCATGCCTGTAATCGCAACTACTCGTGAGGCTGAGGCATGAGAATCACTTGAACCCAGGAGGCATAGTTTGCAGTAAGATGAGATTGCACCATTGCACTCCAGTCTGGATGACAGAGTAAGACTCTGTCTCAAAAAAAAAAAAAAAAAGAATACAGTTTCTTTAGTTTGTTTCCTCAAAGACATTCTGGTCTACATTGAAAAAAATTATTAATGCCTTGTTTGATAATAGAGAATAAGCATCACTATAATTAGCTGCTACAGAAGTCTAAAACATGTAACAAAATATATCATTTAATAAATTGCTACTAGCTACTAAAAACTCTCCTAGAAGCCTTTAAAATATTATAGTTTTTCATAAAATCCTTTCTTCTTAGGGAGCTATTTAGATTGTGCTCACATAACTTGGCTAAAAACTACTCATTTGTATTTTGTAAGGCCCCATAGTTCTACCATGGATATTTAATTTAACCATTTCCTTGTCAAATGGATTTTTCTCCTGAAGCTATCAAAAAGACATCACTGAAAACATATGTTATAAATAAATTACTAAATGGTAGTGTTTCTTTTATCAATTGTTGAATAACAAATCAAACCAAAATGTAGTGGGTACAAACAACAAAAATGTATTATTGCTCATGATTCTTCCGAGTTGACTGGAACAAGCTGGATGGTCCTTTTATAATTGAAGTCACATTTGGGACTGCAATAAACTAGGAACTCAGCTGTGGCCAGAGTATCCAAGCAGACCCTCATCCTCTATCATCTCAGACTCTCACATGGCCTTCTCACCATTGAATAGCAGAGCCCAAGCTTCTTTACAGCATAACATTTGATGCCAAGCAACAAGCCCCAATATTCAAGTGCTTTATCAAGCCTTTGCTTGTGTCACACTCGCTAATGTCCTGTTTGCCAAAGCAAGTCACATGGCAAAGCCCAAAGCCAGCATGAACAAGAACTACTCAAAGCCTTGGAAACCACAAGGAATGGCCTTTGGGGGCCACCAGGGTAAGGCTACTATAGACAATTTATGTTTGTATACTTCTGTTGCCTGATCATTCATTAATAGTAAAATCCTGATTCTCCATCAGCTCCCATGCAACTATAACTTTAACCAAAACAGCCTTGAGGCTAGGCACAGTGGCTCACACCTGTAATCCCAACACTTTTGGGGGCTGAGGCAGGAAGATTGCTTGAGGCCAGGAGTCTGAGACAAGCCTGGGCAACAAAGCAAGACCCTGTCTCTACAAAATATTTTAAAAATTAGTAGGGTGTGATGGTGCACACTTGTAGTCTTAGGTACTCAAGAAGCTGAGGCAGGAGGATGACCTGAGCCCGGGAATTGATGGCTGCAGTGAGCTATGACTGCATTACTGCACTCCAACCTGGGCTACAGAGTGAGATTCTCTCTCTCTCTCTCTCAAAAAAGGGCAACCTTTCTTAAGTTGCAACTTAAATGTTAGAAACTTTGAAGTCTCTATTTATAAACGTGCATTGTTGTTGTTATTTTTGTTGTTGTTGTTGACAGGATCTTGCTCTGTTGCCCAGGCTAGAGTGCAGTGGCACAATCAAGGCTCACTGCAACCTAAACCTCCTGGGCTCAAGCAGTCCTCCCACTTCAGCCTCCACAGTAACGGGACTACAAGTGCATGCTGCCACACCTGGCTACTTTTTAAATTTTTTTTTGGAAAGAAGTCTCACTATTTTGCCCAGACTGGTCTAAAACTCCTGGGCTCAAGGAATCCTCCTGTCTTGGCATCCCAAACTGCTGGGATTACAGGCATGAGCCACCACACCCAGACTGGAGGTTCTTTTATACTGATTTGCACTTACTTTTTTATGAAGTCCTGAAGCTTCATATACAATATCATCTGTACATTTGAACTCTGTTCTAAAATTAGAAATTTTAGAAGTTTTCATTTTGATGCATGTTTATGTATAATATTTCTTAATATTGGCTCCGATTTTTTTTTAAGTTTAACATTTGTCTCTGTTATAGAAGTCGCAGAAGCATATTGCCAACTTGGAAGACACTTGCTATTTCTGGAGTCATGGCTTTATAATGCAACATTTCCAAGTCTTGTTAAACCACTAGACTGGGGTTGTATCAATTAGAATACTCTCCATTCATTCAGCAGCACTATCTTCTTGAAACTCAAAAGTTGGAAACCAGAGACTATACCAGCTGAGTTGATTCTCTTCTATGATTGCAACAGTTCCTGGAGTTATAGAAAGTTTTCCCATGTAAATAAAAAGAGATTAGAGTACTTAGTTTCAAAACAAATATTATATACACCTGTTCTCTTATACTTTCTTGTTACCCTTTCCTCACACCTTTTTAAAATGAATTATTTAATTTCATTAAATAGTGAAATTTAGAGTAGGAAAGGGTTCTAAAAGTCAGTTACCTGACTTCTCTTTCATCTCTTTAATTCCCGTAACCTCATGCCAAATACTTCATCTTCCAAGATGGGTTTTGATATATGAGAGAGGTTTGCTACCTCAAAGGCAGCCATTTTTTTTTGTTGTTGTTGTTGTTTGTTTGTTTCTGTTTATTTTTTTTGAGATAGAGTCTTACTCTGTCTCCCAGGCTGGAGTGCAATGACACGATCTGGGCTCACTGCAACCTCCGCCTCCCAGCTATAAGCAATTCTCCTGCCTCAGCCTCCTGAGTAGGTGGGATTACAGGCGCCCACCACTAAACCCAGCTAATTTTTGTGTTTTTAGTAGAGATGGGGTTTCACCATGTTGACCAGGCTAGTCTTGAACTCCTGACCTCAGGTGATCTGCCCGCCTCAGCCTCCCAAAGTGCTGGGATTACAGGCATGAGCCACCGTGACCAGCCAAAAGCAGCCATCTTTTAATAGCTTTGCCCTTTAGAAAGTTCTTTCTTATGATGAGACAAGAATATCTCTCTACATAATTGCTACATATTAATTGGAATTTCTATTCTGGGGTCACATAAAACAAGTCTAATCCAGCATTCCTGGTTTCTGTGTTTAGCACTATGTCCCCACTGCCTAGACCAGTAATTATTTAGATTGTGCTCATATAATTTGGCTAAAACCTGCTCATTTGGATTTTGGAAGGCCCCATAGTTCTACAATGGATATTTAATTCAACCATTGCCTCATCAAATGGATTTTTCTTCTGAAGCTATCAAAAACACATAACTGAAAACAAATGTTATAAATGAATTACTTAACTGGTAGTGTTTCTTTTATCTATTGTTGGATAACAAATCAAACCAAAATGTAGTGGGTTGAAACAGAGGAGGTACTCAACAAATACTTGGTTAGAGAGAGAGATAACAATTATTGAATGCTTACAATATGTTAAACATTGTATTAACTTCCTTAGACATTGTACATTATCTCATTTGAAGGCATTTATCAAATTTTTGCCTCTCTCTGTAGAATTGCCCCTATTCCTCTTCAAGACTAAATATCCACAGATCATCCAAGAGTTTCACAATGAGACCTGGTTGTTATGGAGTGAATTGTATACTTACAAAATTCATATGTTGAAATCCTAACCCTTGTATCTCAGAATGTGACCATATCTGGAGATAGTGTCTTTATAAAGATAGTCCTGTTCAAATAAGGTATTTGGGGTGGGCCCTAATCCTTATAAAAACAGAAAATGTGGACAGAGGAGACAGATGGCAAAAAGGTGATGTGAAGAAACACAGGGAGAAGATGGTCATCTACAAGCCAAGGAAAGAGGACTAGAAAAGATCCCTCCCTCATCGCCTCAGAAGGAACCAACATCTTGATTTTGGACTTCCAGCCCCCAGAACTATGAGACAATAAATTTCTGCTGTTTAAACCACCCAGTCTGTGGTATTTTGTTACAGCAGCCCTGGAAAAGTAATTTGGTCTTCTCATGATTTTCATGCGCAGTCTTAAAAATACCAATGACAATATCTACCATTTTATTCAGTATGCCAACTACAAATATTACTATCCCCTTTAAAACTTAAAAAAATCACTCCAAGAACAAATTATGTATCTCTTTTTACAGATAAAGACATGCAAGCATAAAGAGGTTGAGAGATTCACTCAGAGTCCTGCTAGAAAGTAGCAGAGTGAGGGTTTACACCAAACTCTATCTGATTCCAAAGTCACTGCACTGAATCTCTATTCTCTGTTGGTGCTCTTTCATTACAAGCTTCTAAAATTACAAAGAACAGAAATGAACACAGCACTTCACTTACGGATTTACCCAGCCTGTACCTTAACTAGGGCCCCAGTCTATTCATTTACTTTTCCATGTATTTTCTAGAAAATTAGGCAGTTAATACACATATGTTTATGAAGGCAAGAGAATCCTAAAGAATCTCATTCAATTGTCTCCTACTATCCCTGTCCCATTTTAGCTTAACACTTTTGATTGCCCCAATTTTCAACATACAGATTATATTTACAAGGAATTACATACGGAAGTTTAATTTGTTAGATTGTATTCCCAATCCTTCCATGTGGTCTGCAGGATTTTGGAGTGATCCTTCTCCTGTAGCTCCACATAATCTCAGAGGATAATCAAATGAACCCCAAGCTGCAGAATGCCACCCAGACTAGGAAACTCTCTCTCTCATTCTCCTTTATTCTGTTTCTTTCACTGGAATTTTACTCTTGAGCAAAAAGATCCAGGGACAGTAGATGGATGGAAATAGTCCAGAGTGAAGACAGAGCCCTAACAGATTGCTGGACATTTCTGCTACTGAGTTACTAGAGCTTCTCTGGAGTTTGTTTCTTCCCAGAGTTTGGCTTTTTAGTGTTTACTTATTTTCTATGATTTAGTTAACATTGCTACAATAAACAATTTTGTATATTAACTTGAATCAGGCTGAATAATTGTTATTTGAGACAAAGGAATAGAAGCAATGAAGTTAGAAGTGACACACCTCAGAGGGCCAGCAGAAACGATGAATGAAAACTAAGACGGACTACCACTCTTGTCCAGGCAATTGGTCAGAATAGGAAAAACCTAGCAGTTGCATATTACCTCATAGTATGATCCTGAGCTGCCTGTTAGAACGTGGACATGCCTGTTCAGTACCACTGGATTTTCCTGATGTTGTTTCATCACTAGTAACATGTAAATGATATTTTAATTTCTGATCTCTCTGTTTAGACATCAAAACCAGTACTCAATTTAATTCAAAAGTATACATCTGAATATGCAGTAAAAGGTTACAATACTGCTAGAAAAAATTGGATAGAGTTAATATGAATTTACCTGTAATAAACTCATATCTGTTAACCAGATTTCAGTAATTAGACACCTTGAGTTCCTTCTCTCTCCCCCTTTTTCTCTTTTTTTCTCTGCATCTCCTCCCACCCCACCATCACCCAGGAACTCTCTTGACCAAAAATATTCTGTACTATGAGTTTGAAACATGGTGAGTCCCTTAGCCAGTGCAACCTGTCAACTATACAGAATCTTCCTCATTCTGACTTTACAATTTCAAATGGTATCTTGTGTTTACTACTTTAGTTTAACACCTTTGCTTCTAGTCTCTTGTATTTCAGACAATTTATGCTTCTGTTCAGTTACTAATCTCTATGTTCTGAATCTCAGGTGAAAACATAGCCCTGATCACTCACGTGGACTCTCTAACTCAGGACTATAGCCTAACTCTGATAAACCTCTTCGTAGTGCCTCCACAGGATTGCCCTGCCCCCTTCCTTTGGGACAGGAAATTGCCTTAGATCCACATCTCTATTTGCAACCTGTTATCAGGTAACCTGGCCACACTGACTTAATATTGACATAGAAATGGGTGTACAGTGGAGGCCTTTTCACTTCCAAATCTGTGAAATCAGGCTGCAGAAACATGTAGCCAGAATGAGAGACATAAGGAGGTGTGTCAGAGGCTGGGCCTGCCAAGGCACGTTAGGTGGAATGAAGGCTCCTACTATACCTATTCTCCACCACCAGGACACAATTTGTCCTGGCACTACTGCATACCAGCAGCCAAAGGAGGCATTTAAAAATGATATATGAAAAAGGGGAATTATGAGGTTTGCATGTTAATATTTTCAATGAAATTCTAGACTTTGGCAAGTGATGACACTCCATCAATATCCTTCAGGAAAAGACATATAGATGCTAATGAATGCGCAGTGGAGTAAAGGGTTTCAACATGTACAGACTCCAGTAATTAATTGAGGAAAAGCATGCCATTTGAAGTAAATGAAAAATTAGACGTAATTTCTTTCAGGAATAGCTAATAGCACAAAATCACTTTTTTATTTTCTTGCTTAGTTCCCAGAGAAATTTACCATATTTTTAGGAAAACTGTCTAGACAGGCTCAGGTCACTCTGGAATTGGATTGTTTGAGAAAGACCCAAAGGATGAGTGACTGCTGAGGGCATTGACATATTTAGATATAAGAAGATCAGTTCTGACAGCTTGACACTAAATGTTTCATGGGGCGGAGGGGGGATGAAGTTGTGTTTGTTTGTTATTATAAATATTTTTAAATTATTTTTATTTGTCATTTTTTTAGATAGGGTCTCACTATGTTGCTCAGGCTGGTCTTGAACTCCTGGCCTCAAGAGATCCTCCCCCAGTCAGCCTCCCAAGTAGCTGGAATTACAGGCATAAGCCACCACACTCAGCTCCCAAAACATAATTTTAAAGATATTTAAATGTGAATATATCATAATTGCTACTGCTCTTTTTCTCTCACACATGTAAAGTAAATCTAAGTGGAAAGTTTCCTATCTTCTATCATCAATCATTTTCTTTCACTCCCTGGAAATCATTCCATTTGATTATTCAGAAGCAGATATATTTGCACCTAGTAACTATATACAAAGTTCTTACTTTTTAAGTTCCAACACATTCCCCAAGCTTCCACCTTTACTGCCTTTCTTCTTTTAGGAATGAAAAAATAGAAGTCTTAATGCCTTTCTACTTAAACTGTCATATCCACCCAAATCATATTGTAAAAATCTCACTTCATGGGGATGTAGCTGTCAAATGAGACAGTGTCTACAAAATGTTCATTTGCTGAAAACTTCTAAAGAAATTTTCACTGAATCCAATTCACTTCATTAAGCTTTAAACTTATCAAAAGTCTTTCACTTAGTTTTTAACCTTTGTGAGGCGCATGACGAATTTACTCTTCTTAACTCTCTGAAAAGTTAGCTTCAATATTCATACAGAAACTGATAGATCTATGTAGTTGGAAGTGCTTAATTTTCTTAAAACCCAGCTCTTCATTATAGACAGTATTCCTCTTAATGAACCCTGGAATAACCTAATAATCACAAAGTTACCAAGAACAACCCTTATTTAGAATATTTTTCATTATTTTTAAGATATCTCCAGTCCCGAATCCTAGACATTCATATAGCCCTCTGAACACAACTCTCTGAGTCTTTTGCCATATGCTTCAAAATGTTGATGACTGAAATATTTCATTCAATGATGATGCTTAGAAGGAAATTAAGTCTCAGAACTGATTGGCAGGCATGGATAGTCATCAAAATGTGAAAATGCCAGTGGTCATTATAATGAAATGGAGATCAGGCAGGAGAAGAAACAAAAGTTTTAGATCACAATAAATATAATTCTAAAAGACCTCTAGAAGCACCAAATGCAAAAGTAATAGCATTTCAGTACAGTAGGAACAATTATTTTCAAATTGCCCATCTTAGAGGAGAAAACAAGACTTGAATTAAACAGAAGTAGCATATTTAATTGTACAAAACTGTGAAGATGTGCTATAGTTTGTTTACAAGAAAGCCATTGTTTACTACAGTGTTACAAAAATATATATTTTTCTTATAACTGCATAGTTGCTCATCTGTGATCTTGAGAAAAGCACTGACTCACTGCTATTTTTTATTTTTTTATTTTTTAAAACTAGAGAGGAAGTCTCCCTTGTTGCTCAAACTGTTCTCAACTACTGGGGTCAAGCAAACTTATTGCCTCAGCCTCCCCAAATGCTGAGATTACAGGCATGAGCGACGATCCTCTACCAAGATTTCCAATAATTTAATAAGTGGCTCTCAGGAGCCAGTACAGCCAGCTCTAGCACACCACTGTTTCCCAAATGCATTCCTCCCTAAAAGGTATTTTTCAACATCTGTTTCAACTAAGCAAGGTAAAGTAGGTTGTCAGCCTATTAGAAAGACTTCATTGTTGGAAACTCTTAATTTGAAAAAAACACAAAATATAAAACATAGAAATAGGTAGTATTCACATCGATTTCTACATTCAAACAGATAGGCTTTACAAATGTTTCCAGTTAACTGATTGGTCTCATGCAGTATTCCATTGACAACTTGTAAAAGAAAGCAGGTAGTCTCACTAAGCTTGGGATTGAGGAAATGTCAATAGCGAACACGTGAATAAAAGAGAATTAGAAGAGGATGGGTTTTTTGAGTCTCAGGAATAAGTATGGATACTGAAAGATGACTTTGAGCCTAAAACCGTGCCTACAATGAACAATCAAACGACTAATAAAACGAGTTTACATTTTTTAGGAGTCAGCAGCCTTTAATGTGAACCCTAAAGGAATGTCCTGTCAAAACAGATGAAAAGAATTAAATGTTTAAGAACTGGACAGGAGACATTGAATGAAATAATGCAGCCTTAGATTTTTAGAACTTCAACCTAAAGATCATAGTTGAAATAGATCAGGTTTGGTGGACTTAATCAGGAGATTGCAAAGTCTTTACATTTGAAAAACTCTCTCTTTAGGAATGTAAGGAATGTTCCCATGGTGGCCCACAACAAAAGATTGAATTCTGCCTTTTGAAGAAAAAAAAAAAGTTACTGTTTTGATCACAGAAGAAACAGATCCCCAGGATAGAGGGACCACCCCACATAGAGGAACCCCTACAACAAAGGCAGCTTGGGAAGGAAATCTGCCTATAATTTGTGTTAATTAGACAAACTCAATGAAATAAGAGAAATCTGAAGTTGTATAATGGTATTTAAATTCATTTCAATATTGAAGTAAGATATTAAGTAATGTGGTTTTTATAGCTTTTAAGATTAACTACTTAGGTTTGTATATTTCCATACAGTTTACAAAGTATACTAACATTCATTTTATCAAGTAATTCCCAGAATGACAGTATAAGGGATTATCCACACATTAAAGATAGGAATGCAGCCTCAGACATTAAAATAATTTACTCAATTTTTGATTTTTAGAAGGCAAAAGATTGAAGAATCAAATATAGATTTTCTTGTACAAGTCTAGAGCAAGGTTTGGAAAACTTTTCAGTACAGGATCAGTTTGTAACCATTTTTAGCATTGCAGGCCATAGGTTTCTGTGACAACTCAATCCTGCCATTGTAGTGCAGAAGCAGTCAGGGGCATGGCCATGGTCCAGTAACACTTTATTCTCCAAAACAGAGGGCAGGTTAAATGTGACCTCCACTGTGTCCGGAATGGGTTCCTTCCGGGGGGTTCTTGGTCTCACTGACTTCAAGAATGAAACCACAGACCCCTGCAGTGTTACAGTTCTTAAAGATAGTGTGCCCGGAGTTTTAATTCAGATGTTCAGATGTGTCCGGAGTTTCTTCCTTCTGGTGGGTTCGTGGTCTCGCTGACTTCAGGAGTGAAGCTGCAGACCTTCGCAGTGAGCGTTAACAGTTCTTAAACATGGCACGTCCGGAGTTGTTCATTCCTCCTGGTGGGTTCGTGGTCTTGCTGACTTCAGGAGTGAAGGCACAGACCTTCACAGTGAGTGTTACAGCTCTTAAAGGTGGCACGTCCAGAGTTGTTCATTCTTCTCAGTGGGTTTGTGGTCTCTCTGGCCTCAGGAGTGAAGCTGCAGACCTTCACAGTGAGTGTTACAGCTCATAAAGGTAGTGCAGACCCAAAGAGCGAGCAGCAGCAAGATTTACCGCCAACAAAAGAACAAAGTTTCCGCAGCATTGCGGCTGCAGGCTCAGGTGGCCTGCCTTTATTCCCTTATTTGGCCCCACCCACATCCTGCTGATTGGTCCATTTTACAGAGAGCTGACTGGCCCATTTTACAGAGTGCTGATTGGTCCATTTTTACAGAGTACTGATTGGTGCATTTACAAACCTTTAGCTAGACAGAAAATTTCTCCCAGTCCTCTACCTGATTAACTAGACACAGAGTGCTGATTGGTGCGTGTACAAACCTTTGGCTAGACACAGAGCTCTGATTGGTGCATTTACAATCCTTTAGCTAGACAGAAAAGTTCTCCAAGTCTGCTACCCAATTAGCTAGACACAGAGCACTAACTGGTGCATTTACAATCCTTTAGCTAGACACAGAGTGCTGATTGGTGCATTTACAATCCTTTAGCTAGACAGAAAAGTTCTCCAAGTCCCCATGGACCCAGAAGCCCAGCTGGCTTCACCTGTCACCATGATGGACCATAATTTGCTGACACCTGGTCTGGAGGAAAGGACTTGGACTTTTAGGTTAGACTTGCAAGAATTCAAATCTACTACTTAGTATCATGGTAATCATGGGCAATTTACATAACCTTACTAAGCCACCTCTTCCTCAGCAATAAAATAAGGGTAATTACACCTGCTTTACCACAATACTGTGAGGATTAAATCAGGTAACATGTGTAAAGCATTTAACACCATGCCTAGCCTGTTATGTCTTCAGTACTTGTTGATAACCTCTTCACTTTCCATCCCCACAACATTGTATTTTTCTTAAAAAGCATCTGATAAATATCTACTATGCAATACATGTCCATTGAAATATTTTTTTTTTTTGAGATAGGGTCTTGGTCTGTCACCCAGGCTGGAGTACAGTGGTATGATTATAGATCACAGCAGCCTCAAACTCCTGGGCTCAAGCAATCCTCCTGCCTTTGCCTCCTGACTAGCTAAGATTATAGGTTAACTCAAATTAGATATTAACTGAGCTTCCCACTTCCTCACATTTTATTCTTTTCTTCCTCACTTCCTTTTCATTTTTCAAAAGAAATGTCCATATTGTATTAGTTTCAAAAGGCTGCTATATCAAATTACCACAGATGAGGTGGCTAAAACTGAAAACAGTTTATTCTCTCAGAGCTGCAGAAGCTAGGAACCTAAAATCAAGGTGTCTGCAGGATCATGCTCCCACTGAGACTTTAGGTAGAATCCTTCTTTGCCTTTCCCTAGCTTTGGGTGGTGGCTGTGCATCCTTGACATTTTCTGTCTTTCAGCTGCATCAGTTCACTACAGTCTCTGCATCTAACTTCACATAGCATCCTCCCTGTGTGTGTCTGTCTTCACATGACAATTCCATATGACAGTCACATCAGATTAGAGCCCATCCTAGCCACCTCATCTTAATTTGAATACATCTGCAAAGACCCTATTTCCAAACAAAGTTACATTCAAAAGTACTGGGGGTTAGAATTTTAACATATTTTGTAGAAGGGCACAAGTTAAGCCACAACCCAAACCACTGCCATTATCTTCTTTGTAAAGAATCTCTTGGTAGGAACACAGGAAATCAAGAGGAATAGATATAATTCAGATTGATCATTACAGCAAAACCTAACAGCTTTATGTGTTTTTCCAATTAACTAATTTCTCATACACAATATTCAAAATTATCAACAAATATTTATGTTTTGGTACTTAACACTAAACTGAAATTTGTCTGCATGCCAAATAGAACAGCATCTACTACTGTCAGAGGCACTATAGAAATTCCTAGATATCACTTTAAGGCAATGCCCAAATTAGATATTTATCTATGTTTAATCATTCATAAAATGAATTGTTTCGTAGTTGTATCAGTTAGGATATGTTTTATTGCAGGAGACATATAGCCAACTCAAACTGTGTTAATGATTAGCAAAATGTATAGGTTCCCTTAAAAATGTTGAGGGATTATGGAATGTTAAGGCTGGTTAGATTCTATACCTTTAAATAATAATATTTTATCTCTGGTCTGTTTTTCGTGTGTCCGCTTCATCCTTACCACTGTCTTCTACTTTATGTCTAATACCAACAAGTTCTTGGGGCTCCTTTCTCTATGTTCACACTGAAGCCTAGAGAGCAAGTAGTTTCTCAAAAATACTCTCAGAGTTGATGGGATTCATTAGGTTGAGAAATATGAAGCCATTCTCTTTTTTACTGAAGTGGCTGAAATTAGGTCTTAGGATTGTCCTTGAACTAGTAATGGCCAGAGGATGACATGTTATTTGCTCCAATCTCTGAAGCTAATATAATAGTCTCAAAGCACATGGACACCTCCAGGTAGGATAAACAAGCTGGAAGAAAACTGAAGCACTGGGAACGGATATTGCAAAATGTTGCTGTATCCTTCAGCATTCAACCAGTGGGAGGTTGGGGGTGGTGGAGAGTGCGCAAGGGAGGTTTATTATCAGGCATTGGCTGATGTAATTGTAGAGACTAGAGACTATGTTAGCAAGTTCAATGTCTGTAGGGAAAGTCAGGAAGAGAAGATCACAAGCAGGTTAGAACCTTGTGAAAACAGGCCATCTTTAATCTCTAAACTCAGAGAAGGCCTAAGTCCTTTCTAAAAAGGCTCATCTGATTAGGCCAGATCCACCCAGAATAATCTTTTTTTTTGTTTGTTTAGCTTAAAGTCAACTGAGTAGGGGTCATAATCAGATAATGCAAAATCACTTCACGGCATTATCTACATCAGTGTTTGTTTGAATGCCTTGGGACTATAGTTCAACCTGCTGGAGTTCACACATCAAGAAACCATCACAGTTGCTGACATAGTCAGTTTTCTACTTCAATAAATATTATTTTAACTGGACAAATTGCTATCTAGGTAAAAGACTACATTCCTCAACCTCCCTTGCATCTACGTGTGGCTCAGTAACTAGCTTCGAGACAATATGACGTCAGTGGAAGTACTATGTGGGATTTCTGGAACGCTATCTTTAGAGAGAGTAAACTTTTCTGATGTTTTTGCCTTTCTTGCTGACTGGAATTTTGATGTGATGTCCAGAGTTCAAGCAACCTATTGGGCAATTAGGTTACAGGCTAAAGTTAGTATAATAACATGAGAGGAGTCAGAGCTCCTGACACCAATGAACCGCCAGATGAGCCATGGACTGTTCCACTCCAGACATCAATGCGTGATAAAAATATACCGCTACGTTGTATAAGCCCTTTTATTTGGACATTTATGGTAGAATCAGCCAAAACAAACCCCAACTAATACTGGAAACCACAACACCCACTAAACAGTGATGAAATTGAAACAACTTTTAAAGAATGTTGCCAAAACAATATTCTCTCTCTAATGGAGGGGGAAATTAATAAATACTTTTCGATTTTAAGCCAAAAAAAATAAGGCATTTTTGGATTTCACAGGTTCAAATAGGGTCTAAAAATACAAGGGAAACAAAGCCATGCTGTTTATAAAGCTTAAATGTTAGGCTACATCTCATCGGAAAGCAGGAAGGGCACTAATATGATTCCTTTAATTTAAAGGGTAGTTAACCCAATTAATGTAGAAAAGTTCAAATGATCCTGCACAGCCAATACTTCTGCTGTACTAGAGTCAGTAATATTATTAAGACAAAACCCAGGCCCTTTAACAAATTTAAGTAGCTTTATTGTATATTTCAAGCAAGAAAGTATAACTTTTAATTTAGCATAATTGGACAAATATAGGGGTCAACTCCCTTCTTGATAATGTCTGCAATCTGTTCTTTAAATTTTAAGTCTGTATTTTTCACTACATATGCAGAAAAGGAAAGCATTGAAACGGATTTATATCACAGACAAATGAAGAAATATATGGAAAAAAAGAAAGAAAGTCTTTTCAGTAGCCTGCTACATCTAAAGTATCACCAGATTTCACAGTTGTCCTTTAATTCCAATAGAAAAGTAAGATATTTTAATATTCCTGTTTTGTTCTGTTATGGAAATTATGTATGTTTGGTTTTACTAAAATTTGATCATGGGTATATGACTTTTTTTTTTAAGTTTTACATTTTTTGTGACTTATATGAAATAAAAGGTGTTTAATATCAATCTTTGAGCATTTTTTTGTGATTTATTCCAACTCTTAGATCATGATTTAACTTGGTCAACATCCTTCACCATAACAAAAGAAAACAAAATGACCAGTGTCAAACGGATGAATTTTGGAGAAGATTTATAGTGGTTTTATATGAAAATAAAATATAGCTTCAGACCAGAAAGAATCATGGGAAATCACTAGCCATTCAGAAAGTCTTCTGAAGGCGGTATGTTCCAATATATTACAGCTTTACGGGAGGTTATGCCAGGACAAAGTTCACGCCATACTGTCCCATCAGAGTTCTAATATTGACAAGTTATAAATGTCAATCTTTGAAAATGTCCTGCTGATGTACACAGATGCTCATTCTCTCTACTTTGTTGTTTACAGATTTTTAAAAAATTTCTCCACAAAGTGTTTTATTTGAACGTAAAAGACCATTACGCAAAGATCACAATGCAAATGCTTTCTGAAGCATGCTGTCATAGAAAAAATGTGTGCACATCTTGTGAAAGGGCTTTTCTTGACTTCTTTTAAGAGCAGAAATAATAAACCCATCTTTTTTAAACCACAAATCACCACTGGCCAAGTCTAGAAAACATAATTATTCAAACTCAAGATGAATCAATCCACAAATTCTTATATAAAATGCACATATTTTATACAAAATGTTTAATAAATAGGTTGTTCTATATTCCAGGTGGCTCTTCAATTTTTGACTTATAACAAGGACATGATTTTTTAAACGGCTTTTGAGGAAAGCTGAAATTTTCACATCAAGGGTTGACCTCCTTTATAGCATCTATGATGTTGCTTGACTTAAAGTGCCAAGAAATTTTTTCTATTGTTAGAGCAGGATAATTATTCCTTTGTATGGAAAAGTAAAGATATGATTGATCTGTTGAAATTTAGTTAAACTGGACAATGACTCTATTTTTGAAAGATACAGAGAATTTTCTATCGTTGTGAGTCTGAAAGTGGTTAACTACAAAAATAAACAAAAAGCAAACACGAAAACTAATAAAACCAAAATATCACTTATAAATCTCCTTATCAGCTATAATACATACAATTCTTGGAAGTCATCACTCTTGTTCTTACAAGTTGAAAACGCTAGACAAACCAAAAATCAACAACTTCTTGGAAGTGAGGCCTCTAGGCAAACCACTACTATGAAACCTAGAAGAACAGGTGCATCCAGATATACCAAAACCAAGATTTGCTTACCTGGAACAGAAGATGCTGGAGCCATAAACTAGTAGTAAATGGTAATTTAAGAAATTGCATGAGGCTGAGTGTAGCCTAGATTGGGAGTAAGGAATTCCTGGGGGCTCACAGTCTTAAAGGGATCCTACACATTTATGGGCTTTTCCTCTAGGAATCCCAACAGGTTCTTATGGTGAAGCTCTGAGAAATGGCTCTGGGGGGAGGAAGGCAAGAGTGATCATTATGAACTACACCCAGTGTCTTCGTTATAACATAAGCTAAAGAAGAAAAAGTTTCCAGGACCTTATCCCAGCCATGGGAAACACATTCTTCTCAGTCCAGCCACCTAAAGTTTTGTACCCCTCTTGGAGCCTGGAATGAATATGGTGAACAGGGGTCAAGGCTTCAGGGAAATAAATTAAAAACTCTGTTTCCAGGAAAAGCAGGAGGGAACAAGGGGGACAATAATCTATACTAATTCCTAATAATTTTATTATTTATATTGCTAGAAATATTTATGATGTTCACAACCCTGAATCATGGCCCAACTAAAAAACAGAGATTCATTTAGAAGATGATAGAATGTTTCTTTTTGTGGTGAGGCCTGGCAGCTCACGCATGTAATCCTAGCACTTTGGGAGGCTGAGGAGGGTGGATCCAGAGAGTTCAAGATCAGCCTGGTCAACATGGTGAAACCCTGTCTCTACTAGCTATACAAAAATTAGCCGGGTGTGGTGGTGGGTACCTGTAATCCCAGCTACTTGGGAGGCTGAGGCAGGAGAATCATTTGAACCTGGGAAGCAGAGGTTTCAGTGAGCCGAGACCATGCCAGTGCACTCCAGCCTGAGCAATGAGACCAAAACTCCATCTCAAACACAAAAAAAAGAATGCCTCTTTTTGTACACATCTAACCACCACACCAACAGGACCCTAGAATAATAGTAGAGTAAAGCTAAAGAGTTGCAAGACACAGACTTTCTATGAGAAGTACATAGGAAAGCCTAACACAAGAAAAGAAACAAAACAAGCACAGTTAGAGGACTATAAAGACAATAGCATCTATAACTATGTAGCTCAAACACTCAACAAAGCAGCAGCCATAGCCACATAATTATAAATCTTCGCACTAAAGGACTCTTTACCACCATTTCTGTTACCCAACGTAATGTATCTGACTTTCAACAAAAAATTCCAATGCATGAAAAAGGCAAAGAAATACACAGCATAAAAAGACAAAGCAATCATCAGAGTCAGACTCTTATGACAGAGATGCAGAAATTATCAGACAGGAAATTCAAGATAATTATAATTTGTACGTCTAGGACTCTAATGGAAAAAGTAGACAACAGGAAAGAATAGATAAGAAACATAAGTAGACAAAATGAAAGTATAAGAAAATTTTTTTAAAAGTCCTGTAAATTTTAAGACAGTGTAATACAAATGAAGAATGCCTTCAATGGGCTCATCAGTAGGTTCAAAATGGCCAAGGAAAGAATTACAGTGAGGCTGGGCACCGTGATTCATGCCTGTAATCCCAGCACTTTGGGAGGTCAAGGCAGGCAGATGACTTGAGGTCAGAAGTTTGAGACCAGCCTGGCCAACATGGTTAAACTCTGACTCTACTGAAAATACAAAAATTAGCTGGGCATGGTGGCACACACCTGTAATCCCAGCTATCCAGGAGGCTGAGGCATGAGAATTGCTTGAACCTGGGAGGCAGAGGTAGCAGTGAGCCAAGATCATGCCACCGCACTCCAGCCTGGGCAAGAGTGAGACTCTGTCTCAAAAAAAAAAAAAAAAAAAAAATTACATTGAATGTTTCAAATGAAACCATGTAGGTTAGAAGACAGTGAAGAGAAGTATTTGAAGTTTTGAAAGAAAAAAATAAAAAAATAATACCACCATTATATTCAGCAAAATTATCTCTCAACAAGGAGAAATAAAGGTTTCTTAAATGAAATTTAGGGAATTTATCTCTAGTGAATCTTAAATGTGAAAATAATGTTAAAATGTTAACTCTTCAGGCAGAAAGATAATATGTCAGAAACATATCTGCATAATGTAAGAGCATAAGGACTGAACAAATGAAGGTAAAATAATGTATTTATCTTATCTTATTATTAATTGATATAAATCATAACTATGTGTTTAAAACTTAAGGATACACCAGGTGATTATGTATGTGAAATGAATGTCAGCAATGTCACAGGAAGAGACAGAAGGGAGAAAGTGTAAGTACTCCATTATGAACTACCAATACTACATGTGAAGTGTTATACTGTGATTTGAAATTGGATTTAGATAAGTCAAAAATGTATATTGTAAACTCTAGAGCAACCTCTAAAAATATATTTCTAAGTGCCATTGATGTGCTATGAGAAGAGAAAAAAATGAGATTATAGAAGATGCTCAATTAAAACCAGAGGGCAAAAATAACAGTGAAGTGGCAGCAGGGGGTAGAAAATAGAATAAATCCAACATGCAAAAAACAGTTACAAACATGGTGGATATTGATTCAACTATATCACCAATACATTTACATCTGAATACCAAATTTTAACACTACTTAAAATGAGATGTTCAGACTAGATTTAAAACACAAGACTGATTACGAGTTACCAAAAACTTACTTTACTCTCTATAAAGACATAAAAAGTTAAATTAAAGAGATGTAGAGTGATATAGCTTACTTATAATACTCAAATGCAAGCTAGAGAAGCTTTGTTAATTACAGAAAAAAATAATACTTCAGACAAGAAAATTATCAGTAATGAAGAGAAGCATTATAAACATAAACAGAATATAAAAATATGTGAAGACAAAACTGATAGGACTTAAAGGAGAAATAGACAAATCCATTAGTATAGTTGGAAACATCAAAAATCCTCTGACAGGTTTGAGAGATCAAGGAGGCAGAAAATCAGTAATGATAATGTTGTATAAGACCTGAGCAGCATTAGCAATCAACTTGATCTAATTGACATTTATAGAATACTCCACATAGAAACAATAGCAGAATACACATTTTTCTCAAGCTCACATGAAACATTCACAAAGAGCATATTTTAAGCCATGAAAATGAAAAATTACTTAAATCTAAAAAAAATGAAAATTATACCAAGTATATTCTCAGGTGACAACAGAATAAAACTACAAACCAATAACAGAAGATAGCTGGAAAATTCCAAGACATTTGCAAATCGAACAATACAATTTTAAATAATCTTCATGTCAAAGAGGGCTAAACAGAAATTTTTAAATGTTTTAAACTAAATGAAAATAACAATACAATTTACCAAAAATTATGGAATGTAGTATAAGCAATGCTTAAAGAGAAATTATAGTATAGTGATACTGTGCCTACGTATAGTCACGTACCACATAATGATGTTTCAGTCAACAAAGGGTTGCAAATACCAGGGTGGTTCCATAAGATTATGATACCATATTTTTACTGTACCTATTATATGTTAAATAGGCTTAAATGCACCAATACTTACCACTGTGTTACAATTGCCTACAGTACTCAGTACAGTAACATACTGTATAAGTTTGAAACCTAAGAGCAATAGGATATATCATATAGCCTAGGTGTGTACTAGGCTATACCATATAGGATTATGTAAATATACTCTGTATGATTTTCACACAACAACCAAATCACCTAATGATATATTTCTCAGAACATATCCTTGTTGTTAAACAATATATTGGAAAAGAATAAAGATGTGAAATAATCTAAAATTTTACCTTAGAAAACTAGAGGAAAAAAAAACCCATCATAAGCTTAAAAAGAAAAAGAAAAAAAAATAAAAATTGGAGGAAAAAATCAATGAAACTGAAAAAATAAATCAATAGAAAAAAAAAATCAGTTTAACCAAAGTCTGTTTCTTGGGAAGATTGATAGGTGAAAAACCTTTAGTTTAGAAATTACTAATTTCAGAAATGAAAAGTGGTGTCATCATACTGATATCTCTAACTTTAAAATGTTAAAAGAATACAGTGCCAAGAAATTTAATGAGTGGATGAAATTAGCCAATTCCTCGAAAGACGCAAACTACCATAGACTACTACTCTGTCTATTAAAGAAAGTGAATCAATACTTAACTACATTCCCAAAAGACAGTTCCAAGCCAAGATTGTTTGAACAGTGAATTCTACCAAACATTTAAGGAAAAAGTAATACCAATTCTCCACACAGAAAAAGAAAGTACAGAAAATATAAGGAATGAATGCTTTCTAAGACATTTTATAAAGTCAACGTTACCTAATACCTTACAAAAGGTAAAGACATTACAAGAAATGAAAAACACAAACTAGTATTTCTCATGAATATAAATGCAAAAATCTCCAACAAAACCTTAGCAAATCAAATCCAACAATGCATAAAAATATACACTACAACCAACTGGGATTTATTACAGGTATGAAAGATTGATTAAACATTCAAAAATCAATTCATAGAAACCTTCACATTATGAAGCTAAAAAAAACTCATCTGTTCAAATTAATTGGTGGCAATAAATTAACTTGACAAAATTCACCATTCTTTCTTAATAGCAACTCTAAGCCAAATAGGAATAGACAGATATTTCCTTAACTTGATAAAGAATATCTATAAAAACTGTAATGCTAACACTGTGTTTAATGATAAAGAAACTGTTCACTTTTTCTCTATGATCAGGAGCAAGGCAAGAATTTCCTTTCTTACCTCTCTTATCCAACATCATAGCAAAAATTCTAGTTGTACAATAACACTTAGAAAAGGAAAGTATATATGTATTGGAAAGGAAAAATAAAATTGCCTTTATTTGTAGATGACATGGTTGTTTAACTAAAACAAGTCCACAAAACTCTTTGCTATGAAAAAGTATAGAACAGTCAAAGCAGGAGATAAATATAGACAGTCAATTGTTTTCCTATACACAAGCAATAAAAACTGAAATTTGAATTTTTAAAATGCTATTCATAATAATACTGCCAAAATGAAATCATAGTAAAATACCAATGATTTATAATATCCATATGTGCAAAACTACAAAACACTGAAGAAGGAAATAAAAGAAGATCTAAATTAATCTAAATATGCCATGCTCATGGATTAAAAATTGTCTAAATATGCCATAAGCATAGGAGCCTAAGAGCAAAATAGATTATGCTCATGGCATATTTATATCTAAGATCTTAATATGCCGTGCTCGTAGATTAGAAAAATAAATATTGTTAAGATACCAATTTTTTTCCCAATTTGATCTATAGATTTAACACAGTCTCAGGCAAAAACCAAGCAAATTATTTTGTAGATACATAGAAAAGAACAAAGTTTGGCCCTTAACTGACGCCATATATTAAAAAATCTCAAAATGGATTAAATACGAAAATGTAAGGTGTAAACTATAAAACTCTTAGAAGAAAACATAGGCCAGAAGCTTCACGACATCGGATTTTTAATGATTGCTAGGATATGGCAACAAAGGCACAGACAACAACAATAAAAAAAAGACAAGTTGGACTTTATGAACCTTTACAAATTGTGCACCAAAAGACAACAGAGTGAAAATGCAACCCACAAAATGAGAGAAAATATTTGTCAATCATATATTTGATAAGGGATTCATATCCAAAATATACAGTAGTACCTCCTTATCTGTGGCTTCAATTAAGCAGTTTTAGTTACCCACTGTCAACCACAGTTGAAAAATATTACATGGAAAATTCCAGAAATAAACAATTTCTAAGTTTTAAATTACATGTCATTCCGAGTAGTGTGATAAAATTTCGTGCCATTCTGTTCCATCCTACCTGGGATGTGAATCATCCATTTGTTCAGCATATCCACCCTCTATGTGTTACCCTCCTGTTAGTCACTTATTAGCCATCACTCAGTTATCAGATCAACCGTCACAATATGAAGTGCTTGTGTTCAGGTAACTCTTATTTTACTTAACAATAGCCACAAATTGCAAAAGTAGAAATGCTAGCATATTGTAATTGTTGTTCTATTTTATTATTAGTTATTGTTGTTAATTTCTTCTATGCCTAATTTATAAATTAAACTGTACTACAGATACATATGAAAAGGAAAAACATAGTATGTATAAGGTTCAGTACTATCTCTGGTTTCTGTCATCCACTGGAGTTCTAGGAACGCGTCCTCCATGGATAAAAGGAAACTGCTATAAAGAGAACTCCTAAAATTCAACAACATAAATACCAAAACACCCTGATTCAAAAATGGGTGAAGGATTTGTATATACATTTCTTCAAGAAGATATACAAATAAGCAAGAAACACATGAAACAAGGTTCAGTATCACCAGCCATTGGGTAAATGCAAACCAAAACTACAATGAATACCACATCATACCCACTAGGATGGCTACTATCAAAAAACAGACAATAACAAGTGTTTGAAAGGAGAGAGAAATTGGAACCTTTGTGCACTGTCGGTGGGAGTGTGAAATAGTTCAGCTGACAGATGAATGAATAATCACAATATGGTAAATATACAATGGAATATTTTTCAGTCTTAAAGGAAGAAAATTCTAACATATGCTATTGCTACGGCATGGATTAACCTTGAGGATACTATGCTAAACGAAGTAAGCTAATCATAAATAGAAAAGTACTGTATGATCTCACTTATATGAGGTATTCAGAACAGTCAAAATCATAGAGCAAGAAAGTAAAATTGTGGTTGTCAGGGACTGGGGAAGAAGGCATAGGAAGTTACTGTTTAATGGGTACAAAGTTTCAGTTTTACAAGATGAAAAAAGTTATAGAGATGGATGGTAGTGATGGTTGCACAACATTATTCATGCATTTAATACCAATGAATTGTAAACTTCAAAATGGTTAAGATGCTAAATTGTACATTACATGTATTTTACCATGATTTTAAAAAATGGAGGGAAGGACACAGGAGTTGAATAATAGATTTCCAGTGGCCAAACTGAGCCAATTCACTCATCAAAATAAAGTACTAATAAATTACCATATGTCCAAAAGTATAAGAAAAATATTCATGTGTCTGTACTGATATCAATAAATAATTGAATAAATATATGAAGGACAACAGCTAGTTTTTCATGCAGAAGAATGCCAAATAATTAGCAAGATCGCCAGGCACAGTGGCTCACGCCTGTAATCCCAGCACTTTGGGAGGCCTAGATGGGTGGATCATGAGGTCAAGCATTCAAGACCAGCCTGACCAATATGGTGAAACCCTGTCTCTACTAAAAGTACAAAAATTAGCTGGGCGTGGTGGTGCCTACCTGTAATCCCACCTACTCAGGAGGCTGAGGCAGGAGAATCGCTTGAACCCGGGGGACAGAGGTTGCAGTGAGCTAAGATCATGCCACTGCACTCCAGCCTGGGCAACAGAGCGAGACTCCGTCTCAATAATAATAAGTGAGATCCCATGCCCTCAAGGAGGTGGAGAGTCACTCCCTACTCCTTAAATATGGAGTGACTTCATATAGTGACTTCCTTCCACTCAATAGAATGTGGCAAGGAGGAAAAAGAGTAACTTTACAGTAAATCCGACAAGCCCTACCTCTGCTAGGTAATCAAGACTGTAATTAACATATGGATCATATGTACCCCTGACAAAAGTGGTACTTTATTTTTGTGCCCTTCCTCTTAAAAGCCCATATACCCAGTTTAATCATGAGAAAAACAGCAGACAAATCCCAATTGTAAGGGTCATTCTAACAACATATCTTACCAGTTGTATTAGTCCATCCTCACACTACTAATAAAGACATACCCAAGGCTGGGTAATTTATAAAGGAAAGAGGTTTAATTGATTCACGGTTCCATATGGCTGGGGAGTCCTCAAAGTCATGGCAGAAGGCAAAAAAGGAGCAAAGTCACATCTTACAAGGTGTCAGGCAAGAGAGCATGTGCAGGGAACTGTCCTTTATAAAACCATGAGATCGCATGAGACTTATTCACTATCACAAGAACAGCATGGGAAAAACCTGCCCCATGATTCAATTACCTCCCACTGGGTCCTGCCCACCACACTGGAATTATTAGAGCTATAATTCAAGATGAGATTTGGGTGGGGACACAGCCAAACCATATTATCAGTACTCTTTAAAACTGTCATTAAAAACAAGTGAAGTCTGATAAATTGTCAAAGCCAAGGGAAGCCTAAGGAGACATGACAGCAAAATGTAATGGGGTGTCCTAAATAGGATTCTATGACAGAAAAAAGGACATTAAAGGAAAACTAACAAAATCTGAGCAACATGTGTACCTTAATTGATAATTGATAATAATGCCAATATTGGTTAATTAACTGTGACAAAGGTAGCATACTAATATATGTAAGGGTTTAACTATAGACGAAACTGCGTGTAAACGATATAGGAACTTTAGGTACTTCCTTTATAATTTTTCAGTAAATCAAAAACTATTCTAAAGTAAAAACTTCATTAAAAATTGTCATCTACAGCTAATAACATCAATGATATACACTGATATGGTGTAACAATAAGTATTATCTTTTTAAAACCCCATGATTCCAGTATAATCATGAGAAACATCAGAAAACCTAGATTCAGGGATATTCTATAGGATACCTAACCAGTATCCCTCAAGACTATCAAGCTCACAATAAAACAAGGAAAGAATTAAAAAATTCACAGACCAGTGGACACTGGGGACATACTGATAGATGCAGGAGGCAGAGAAGGGAACTTGCACAAGATCTTGCCTAAACATGCCCATGGTGAAAAATTCCATCCCTTAACACATGCACAGTAAGGGAAACAAATCAATGTGGAGTGGCTCAGACTAAGGGCTCACATGCTCAACTGGGAGAATGGAGTGGAGCAACCAGGAATTCACACCTTTTGTAGGAGAGGAGCTGGGCCTCTTCAGCTCGTGTGTGGTGGCCTGGTATTTAATCTGTGAGGTGGGAGCCAGTTGGCAGAATCCCCCTTTTTTTGGCGGAGGACTTTCTTTTAATAAATTCTGCTTTCCTCACCTTTCAATGTGTCTATGTGCCTAATTTTTCCTGGTCGTGAGACAAGAAGCCGGATTTTAGCTGAGCTAAGGAGCAAAACAATCCTGCATTAATATAACAATTACATATAATATGATATCCTGTACTGTATCCTGGAACAAATGGAAGATATTAATAGAAAAACTGGTTGAAACAAAACAAAACAAAACAAAACACATGAAGTATGAAGCTTACTTAATACTGGTATACCAATATCAGGCTCTGGTTGTGGCAAATGTAGCATAGTAGTACAAGATGTCAACAATGGTGAAAACTAGAAAAGACTTGTACAAGAACTCTCCTTTTGCATTTTTTTGTAAGTCTACAACTATTCCAAAATAAAAGTTTACTTAAAAAAGTCACTTACTGCTGACCAAGAATAAATTTGAAATGAAACTGTGAAGAAACTAGAAGACCTATTTCTCCATGTAATTTACTAAAAACTCTAACTTATTTGGAAGGAAAGAAAAAATTAAGGATTCAATTCTGGGTTCTCTGTGCTTGAAGTAGAATGAATTCAAAGAGCAAGTTTCCCATATCACTTGGGCTCAGTTAAGAGGCACAGTTTACCAGTGGTACTAGTTGCTACACAGATACTTCTGTCTATGATAACTATGCAATTAATTGGTTCAAAGTAATCTGTTTGAAAAGTAAATATGGTAGTCTGGATATCTCAAAATCCTTTCCACTGTAAGTATCCAGAATTGTTACATAAAATACAGCAAATAATGTTTTAAATGCATATTTAATAGTACTTAATAGAATAGATAAGGTCACATGTGAATGAGTGACGTGATTAAAGGAAAAAATTAATTAAAAATCAGAGTGGTAAGCATTAAGCCACTCTGGGGACTTATCAATGCTAGTAACATTAGAGCTTTAATGTCCATTTGAATACAAGTGACAAGGTACTGGGGCCACATGTGTTGAAGTGTTAGAATTGAAAGTTGGAGACATGTAACTGACACACACGCATACATGCACACACTGTCAAAATCAAGACCCTACAGGTTGAACTAGAAAATAAAACTCTATTAACTCCGAAGAAAATAAAAACAGAGTCTGCCTTTGTCTGTGCTCTCAGTAAAAAAAAATATATTTCTCCAGAAAACTTAAAAACACATTTTATTTTTTACTCACATGGTTCTGGCTTTTAGTTACAATTTTCCTATAATATGGGAACCATGTGCTTAAATTTTCAGAAAGACCTTTATAACAGGCCAGTAATTGACTGAGGCTTCTGGCAGGGGCACAGAAAGCAAACAAATAAAACTAAAAAAAAGATTTCTAGTTCAGTCAGAACACATGACATTTCTCCCCTCCCCCACTGTCTCTTTCTTTCATATACATAATTCCACTCAAGAGTTCATAGTCAAAAATTGCAAAATATATAAGATATATCCAACAATAGTGAAAGTTAGCAGAATTAGAACTTAAGTGTTTGGAATTACAGAACAATTTGAGAAGGAGACACATTTGTTTAAAACACTGGTGAAAAAAACTGTGGAAGTACAATATGCAATCTTGAAAAAGTATATAGGCTAGAACTTGAAATGCAGGAAATAAATATTAAAATACAAAATAAATGGCTATATTAAATAGTAGACTATACCCAGCTAAAAGGGATTCATAAATTAGAACATAAAACTGAGGAAGTTTTGTAGATGGAACAAGGAGTGAAAAGACATAACAATTTGAAAAGGATGTTAAAATGCATAAAGAATAACATGAGAAGAGCCGGAATACTCACAATAAAAAGAATAAAGAGACAATGAATAAGGCATTAAAATAGAAGATCTTAAGGTCAAGACTGTACAGTTACTACAAAAGTATAAAATCATCAGCATCAAGAAAAACAAGAAAGTCTCAAAGATGTTAAGTAAAAGCAATCCTACAATTACACACATCATAATGAAACTACAGAAAACTAAAAGAAAAGAAAAAAACTTAAAAACAACTAAGGAATATCTCTACAGACTGAAAATTTAATTCACTACAGTAACAATATCTTCAACAAATTAAGATAAAATAATTGTGAACTATTCATAAAAATTTTACATCCATTTAGATCATCATTACAATTTAAGTAAACAAAAGGCATATCCCAATAAAGATAAAATGTTTTACTCATGAACCATTGCTGAAAAATAGTAAAGGCTTAACTTTAGAATAAAGGTAATTAAATCATGAGAAATAAATGGAATTAAAGAAGTAATGAGTATAAAAAATTGTACATATGTGAGAAAACAAAGATATAAAGACAATGATAAATAATTTTAGTTGATCAAAAAGGTAAACTAAAGTGCAAGAAAGCAATAGCAGGTAGAATAGGATGGGTAGTGGGAGTTAATGGCCAATTGTGGGTAGTGCTTATGGTCTGAATGTATTCTTCCGAAGTTAATATATTAGAGCTTAATTCCCAGTGTGATGATAGTTGGAGCCTTGGTAATTTGAAAGTCATGAATATGGAGCCCTCATGAATAGGAATAGTGCCCTTACAAGAAGAAACACAGGAGCACATGCTTCCTCTCTGCTTTGTGAGGATACAGGGAGGAAAAGGCTGTCTACAAACCATGAAGAGGGCTCTTCCTCAAGCCCAGATCTGCCCGCATCTTGATGCTTAACTTCCCAACCTCCAGGACTGTTAGAAATAAATGTGTGTTGTTTAAGCCACTCAGTCTGTGGCATATTTATTACACCAGCCTAAACTGCCTAAGAGAGTTAAGGACTGGGGAAACAGTAGAGATAGTGATGAAATATAGACATGTAGATACTGTTGAGTTGTGACTGCAGGTTAAAAATGTGCGTGTAGCCATTAAAATAATATCACTTAAATATATATCCCTGCATTGATCAGGATTTGCCAGAGAAACAAAACCAACACAGTGTGTGTGTGTATACGTGCGTGTGTGTGTGCGTGTATGTGTAAAGAAAGAGAGAGAGAGATTTATATTAAGGAATTGGCTCATGTGATTGCAGAGATTTGAAGAATCCAAATAAAATGGGGTAGATCAGCACGCTGGAGGCTCGAGGACAAGTTGCAATTGAAGTCTAAATGCAGTCTGCTAGCTGAATTCCCTCTTGTTCTGGAAAGGTCAGCTTTTGTTCTATTATGGCCTTCAACTGATTATATGAAGCCCACATTATGATGGAGGACAATCTACTTTACTTAAAATCCACAGATTTAAATGCTATTCTCATCTAAAAAGAAAAGCATCTTTATGGAAGTATCTGGAATAACGTTTGACTAAATATGTAGGCAGCATGGCTCTGGCAAGTTGATGTATAAAATTAACCATCAGGATGCCCAAACTGTTAGTGAAAACAAAAAAGAAACATAAAATTAACACAGTAAGATACAGGAACTTGGGAGAAACATGAAATTAACTAACTGCATGATTTAAAAAACACTAACATAATCCAAATCCAAATATAACATTAAAATATCTACAAATTGACTTAATAGTCAAAATTCAGAAGAATTTCAAGCTCAGCGACATAATGAATAAAATAATCTGAAAGCTCTTCCTGTTACACACAACTAAATCCTTCATAAAAATGCTTTTTATTATAACACTGCATTTTCTTGGATAAAAAGTAAATCTTCTAGGGTCAGTCACATACATCACCTATAAAAAAATAAAGCTGAGTTCAAAATGGTTGGCAATAAACATGCTTAAAAGAAAGAGTTGTCTGAGGACAAAAGACTAAATAAACTCTGCCAAAATAGGAATAATCATGAGGTGAGTGCACTATGAAGGTGCAGAATTTGAGATTTCTATATTGGGCCAGGGATCTTAAAATGGAGATAAATTGATCTGAGGTTTGTTGCACTCTTATCTTACAGGAAAATAAACAAAAATTAAAATCAGCCATGTATGAATTCACAACCTAAGATCTGTAAGATAAGAGTTTCAAATATTAAACAATACATAGAGCAGGCCTGGGTCCCTGAGCAGAACCCAGAAGATGAGGCCTACAATTGCCCTAGTTTGGGCCAGAAGGAACTTTCTGGACAGGAAAGAGAATCATAAATAGAACACGTAGGCTCACTAAGTTAAGGAGATATACATTATACTTTGAGGTGGCCGAAAGGACTGGGATTTGTATGGTAGACAATCAGGAATGAGGGATATACAGATAATTAGTTCCAGAAATCGGCATTCCTGTGAATCTGTGCTACAATCTAAGCTTTGCACAGGTAAAATGTAGTTTAAAATTTCTAGAGATCATACATAATTTAGAAATATTCAATTTCCAACCAGTAAGGATAAAAACTCCCATGTGAACATTGAGGACATTCAATAGACACTTCTCATTTTAGTAAGAGGACTAAACTAGTTCTAATGTAAAGACTATTCAGATCTACTTTAACCAAAACATAAACCAAGCATCAAAAAGATTAAGTTAATTCACTTGTAATTTAACGGACTGGGAAAACAAATTCTAAAACACTAAATCAAAACACTGGAAACAATAAAATCTAGCATCAACAACATAAAATTAAATGCATTCACTACCTAATAAAAAAATCACATAAATCAAATAATTTTTTATTGGGTAGTGAATGTTTTGAATATTATGTGAAGAAGCAGAAAAATATGACACATAATCAATTGAAAATTCAACAACTAGAAAGAGACCAAAAAAGACAACATTATCAGACAAGAATTAAATAATTCCTACAAATACATTCAAAGATTTAAAGGGAAATATGAACATAATGAGAAATAAAACAGAAGATTTTTAAAAGAACTAAATGGAACTAGTAGAAAGGAAAAATACAATATCTGAAACAAAAACTTCACTTGATGGTTTTAGTAGCAGACTGAACATGGCAAAGAAAAGACCAATGAATATAAGTTAATGGCCATGGAAATAATACAAACCAAAGCATAGACAACAAAAAGGTAGAAAATTAAAACAAAAATTAAAAATTAAAAAGAAACTAAGAGATTCTGGCCTGCGGGAAAATATAAAGCAGTTTATCATAAAATATGAGTCCAAGAAGAAAAGAGACAGAAAATATATTATAAAAAATAATAGCTAAATTTTCCAAAATCGATAATGTCTACAAAACCAGAGATTCAAAAAGCTCAGTAAAAGAAAACCTGGATAAAACAAAACAAGAAAACACACAAGGGAACATCATAATCGAATTGACAAAAAAACAGTGAATCAGAGAAAAAAATTCATTACATGAAGTGGAACAATGTAAAGATTAATCAGTAATTTTTCATCTGAAAAAAATCCAAGCCAGGACACATAAAAAACTGACATATCTGTAGCTGAGAAAGAAAAAAAAAAGTCAAACTAGAATTTATACACAATGAAAACATCTTTATTATATGAGAGCAACATGAAAACATTTCTGACAAACAAAAGCAGAGAGAATTTGTAATGAAAAAAAAGCTACAGGAAGTTCTTCCAGCTACAGGAAATCAACACCAGATGAAAACTTGGATCTACAAAATGAATAGAACGCACTGAAAATTATAAGCTTATTAGTAAATATAAAAATATTTTCTTGTCTATTTAATTTTCATATTTATTTGAAAAACAAAAAAAGTAACAATATATTGAGATTTGTAACATACATAGAAGGAAGATGTACAATAAAATCAGCACCAATGATGGGAAGGGCAAAGGAAAATATAGCATACCATGGTAATTACATTATACATGAAGTGATATAATTGAATTTGAAGACAGGCTGTGAAAAGGACAAAAATGCATAAAGTAAATTGTAGAGCCACCACTTAAAAATAAATAAAACAAAAAAGGAAGACTGTGTTAGTCTGTTTTCACACTGCTGATAAAGATATACCTGAAACTGGGCAATTTACAAAAGAGAGAGGTTTAATGGACTTACAGTTCCACATGGCTGGGGAGGCCTCACAATCATGGTGCAGGGTAAAATGCAAGTCTTACATGGCAGCAGACAAGAGAAGAGAGCTTGTGCAGAGAAATGCTCCTTTGAAAACCATCAGATCTCATGAAACTTATTCTCTATCACAAGAACGGTATGGGAAACACTTACCCCCATGATACAATTACTTCCCACCTAGTGCCTCCCACAACACGTGGGAATTCAAGGTGAGATTTGGGTGGGGACACAGCCAAACCATATCAAAGAGTAAATAAGCCAAGAGAAGAGATTAGATAGAATACTAAAAGGTGGTAAAAAATAACACTTAGACAAATGGCAAAAATAAAGATGACGGGCAAATGCAAAACAACCTAACAGTATATAAACCCAACAATATTAATATCAATATTAAATATAAATAACCTAAACACTCCATTCATAGACGGAGATTTTAAGATTATGTTTTTCCAAAGAAGCAAGACCCAACTATATGCTATCTATAGGAAATATACTTTAAATATTTAAATAGAATATATTAGTCTGCTTGAGCAGCCATAACAAAATACCATAGAAAGGGTGGCTTTAACAACTGAAATTTATTTTCTCACCTTTGCAGAGTCTGGAAGTCCAAGATTAAGGTGCCAGTGTTGTTTTCTAGTGAGGTCTTCTTTAATGGCTTGCAGGCTGCTTTCTCAGCTGTGTCCTTACTTGGCCAGTCCTCTATGCACAAAAGAAGAGAGTGAGGTCTTTGGTGTCTCTTCCACTCTTACACCACTGAACACCAGGATTAGAATTAGGTTCTCACCTTTATAGATTAATTTGACCTTAATTATCTCCTTACAGGTCCTTTCTCCAATTACAGTCACCTTGGAGGATTAGAATTTCAACATATGAATTTGAGGGAAGGGCACAATTCAGTCCATAACACAAAGGTACATTAAGTAGAAAGTGAAAAAAATATATATTGTGCAAACAATAATCACAAGAAAGAAGGAATAGTGATAATAATATTAGACACAGTAGTCTCCTTGCAAGAAATATTGTGAGACATAAAAAAAGGGCATCTTAATAAAAGAATCAATTCATAACAAATATAAATGTGTATGCACATGATTACAGTTTCAAAGTAAATCAAGCAAAACTAACAGAAATGAATACAGAAACAGAAAAGACTACAATTGTAATTTTAAATTTAACAGACCTCTCTGATAATTAATAGAACAAGAAAACTGAAAATCAAAAAGTATATAGAAAACAAAAAACACTACCAACCAAATCAACATTGATAGGTATAGAACAGTACACCACACCACAAAAGAAAACATATTCATATCAAGTGCTCTTAGAACATTTAATTGAAGAGAATATCGGTTACACTTAAAAAAATTAATAAGTTCATGGATGAATTTATTAATCTCTTTAATAAATTTCATTAATTATTAATGAATTAAAAACATACAGAGTATGTTTTTGACCACATGGCATTACATTAAAAATCAATCACTATTAAAAAGTTATCTGGAAAATATCCAAAGGTTTGAAAAGTAAACAATATTATTTTTAAAAACTCATGGGTTAATATAGCAATTATAAATAATATCAGAAAATATTTTGAACTAAATGAAAAGAATAGCACAACATATCAACATTTGTAGGGTGCAGCTAAAGCACTACTGAAGTAAGTAGAGTGGAGGTAATAATAATGATAAATAAAAACAAATAAAATAAACCATGGAGACAATTTTTAAATGTAATATAAGCATTTATAAAGATCAATACAATTGATGAAACCCTGCTAGACTGGTTCAGAAAAATAGAAAGAAGATTTACCAATATTGTGCATAAAGAGGAGACATCATTAGCGATCCTACAGACATTAAATTATAATAAGGAATTTTATTAATTACTTTATTCCAATTTATTTGAAAACAGATCAAGTGGACACATTCATTAAAAGATGCAAGCTACCAAAATTTATTTAAGAAATACAATGTCAAAATGTAGTTACATTGTTTAAAATTGAATTCATCACTTAAAATCTTCCTTACAGACTAAAATCTTTTAAAACAATTAGTAAATCAGCAGTATATATTCAAACTGGAAACAAACAATATGTATTTTTAAATATTTTGACTAAGTAGGGATTGTCCTAGAATTGAAGGGTTGTTTTACAATACAAAGATCAATGTTGTTCCACAATTTAGCAAATAAATTACGATCTAGATGATGACTATTATAGAACTTAACAAAACTGAAAATCTATTCATAATTTAAAATCAGCAAATAGAACAGTCAGGAACTTCCTCATCCAAATAAAGGTAACTATGAAATATCTACTCCTAACCTCATTTTTTAATGGTGACAGATTAAATATTTTCACCCAAAGATTAGAAATTAGACAAGGATATCTGTTTTTACCACTGAAATGGAAATCCAAGCCATAGCAATAAAATAAGAGAAAGAAAAGTCTTATATATTGGAAAGGAAGAGGTAAACAAACTATAGATATTAGCATTCAGCATTATCATGTATGTTAAAATTGCTAAGAAATCTTATAAAATAACTACTAAAACAGGTAAGGAAATTTAGCTAGGCCATGTGATAAAAGAACAAAATATGAAAATCTATTGTAGCTTTACATGCTAGCTATGAAGAACTAGAGATTATTTTTTAAAATTTCACTTAGAATAGCATCAAAAATAGTTAGGTATAAATTTAATAAAATATATGCAAGAGTGTACAATAAATGTATACATTTTTGCAAAAGGAATTAAAGAATTTAATAAATTAATACTATGTTCATGGATTTTAATATTTAATATTGTTGGATAGCAATTATTCTCTAATTATACTATAAATCTTTATGTAATCCTAATTAAAATTCACATTAGATTTTGTTAGAAATTGATAAACTGATACAGAATATAAAATAACTTTATAAGGAATATTTTAAAATGAAATCCCAGAAAAGATCTACCTAAAAGAGGTTATATTAAAAAAAAAGAAAGTCTCAGGGGAAAAATCATAGCTTCAATGCTTACATTTCATAGATCAGCAGGGTGACTATAGTTATCATTAATCAATTGCACATTTCAAAGTAGCTAGAAGAAAATATTTCAAGTATTCCTAGCATAAAGAAAAGATAATCATTTAAGAAAATGAATATCCCAATTACCCTAATTTGATTATATGAATGTATCAAATTATATCACATGCACCACCAAAATATGAACAGTTATTATGCAGCAATTGAAAAAAAGAAAAAAATTAAGGCTCAAAATAAATGAGTTAACTATTCAGTTTAAAACATTAGAAAAATATAGTAATTCCTTGAAGTTGAAAAAGATGTTAGTAAACATTTAATATCAACTAAAAATAAATAATAAGTGAAGAAAAGACAAATTTTCCTTACAATAAAAGTCCAATAATGGAAATAAAAACCAGCATTTGAAAAACACAACATTAATGACTGTTGCAGGCAAAAATCATTGATAGAGGTTGAAATTAGCAAATAGAAATACAATGAGATAGCATATCTGCATAGTCTCAAAGTATCTCCTTACAAGATAATTATTAATTATGAAGAGAAAAATTATAATTTTAGCGTGGATAAACCTGAGAGACATTACCTTATCCAAATGATTAAAGTTAAAAATCATCAGTAATGAGACCAATTTACATTATGTACCTCATGATGACTGAAAAGGGCAAAATATCACTTCTGTGATGTTCTTGCAAAAGGGCATAAATTTAGTCTAATACTGAGAAAGCATCAGGCAAATGCAGCACAGAGACATTCTGCAAAATAACTGACCAGACTCTAAGAGGGAGGGAGGCTGTATCTCAAAAAAAAAAAAAAAAAACCTTACAGGGGAAAAAGTGTTGATTAAAAAAGTAAGCTGTAAAATAAGTGGTAAATTTCTAGTAAAAATATAAAGTTATAATATTTATTTAATTAAAATTAACCTTTCTCTAAATTTAACAGAGGTCAATAAGTCAACCCATGTATTGTTTATTATCTACTATAAGAAAGAAATTAAAATAAAGAAAATGCTTTTGAAACATTGATGTATAAATCTACAATTTGGTAAATTAATTGCTATTATTCCAGAAAATATGTTTAAAAATATTTTTGCAATTTATTATTCAGTGGAAAATTACATTATTTATTTATTATAATGGATTTACAAATAATTTAATGTAATTAATTGTAATGTCATCTAATTCCACATCCTGCTATAAACTGTATTGTCCTACATCTAGACAGATGAAAATCTAGCCTATTTTAAACATCTCCAAAAACAGAGACGTCTCACATTCTCTAAGAAACTACTTTGATATCCAGCCTAGAGCGCAAGATTACTTTAAAACTTTAAAAAATTCTCTAATGGCATAATTTAATTTTAAAAATACATTTATAAATGAGTTCCATAAAGGTAAAAACAAATTAAGTTTATTTCCCAAAAACCCTTTTGTCACAGTCACCCCACAACCCATAGAAAGCATTTTCAAAATTTAACTAATGTTTTGCACCTGGAAAATGCAGGCATCTGTGGGGAGTAGGAGAACTCAGCTGACAGGATTTAAAATAAAGTTCTCAGTTGTGGAGGATTTTGTTGATGGAGAAAGCCGGAATCTTCTCTTTCTGGTCAGCAAAGCAAATTAGGATGGTGTTGAAATTATATCTATCTTGTCATCTCCCTGGCAGGACACCTTTTGATAGGACCTTCTGTTCCTCCCATTTCTTGGCAGATTCTTACTTTGGGATGTCTGGAAATAATGGAACTTTCAAGACTAAATAATGGAACCTGGCAGAGCTTCTATAGTTCTTAAAGATCTAAATCATATATTTGCATCAGGTCATTTAAAGTAAATTTGAAGTACTTGAATTGAAGCTTGAAATACAACTGCTTAGTAACAGAATTCAATTTTGTCAACTCTCCTTGTGATTGCAATTTTATCTAGAAAACAGGACTTGCAGTATTTTAAGTGTATCATGCTGCTTTTAAAGAATGTGATACTTCACACTTCAAATAAGAAAAGATAAAATATCCAGACAGAAGATTTGGTACCCATCATTGCAACCAGATGCATGGTTTTTTTGTTTTTTGTTTTTTGTTTTGTTTTGTTTTGTTTTTAATGGGCAAAGGATGGGAATTTGCCTGTATGTGGTTTTGCTCCATTCCTCACAGGCCTGATCTAAGCAGGAGCTCTCACTGACTTCAAAGGGAACACTACACCTTTGACTCCAGAACAAATTCCTGTATGCAATTCCAAGGGCTCAGAGCAAAACAAAAATGGGTTGGTACCTTTCAGCATCATCATGATTTATGTAAAATTCCCAAATACATGTTCTCCTAGGGCTTGGTATCTTGAAGAAAAATTTTATTTATCCCTAGATGAGGTCTGGATTTCACAGCTAGTATTTTTCTGAGATGACAGATTTAAGTAATGTCATTTTCATAAGCACAGGGAGGACTTCATTAAAGGCTTGCTGGTGTTAGCTTTATTTTAGTCTCGAAAAAATATGACTAAATAAGACAATCCAAAAGCATTCTGCTGAGTGAAAGAAGGCTTACACAAAAATGTACATGTTGAATGAATTCATTTATATGAAGCTCTAGAAAGGGTAAAACTAATCAATGCTAAAATAATAAACTAAGAATTTGTAAAGCCTCTGTGTGGGAATAACATGTGCATTTGATTTAAAATATCTTCATTTGCAAATTTACCTGAAGTAATAGCTAACACTCAAAAAGGATGTTTCTTAGCAGATAAAATTTTGTTTCTCAGATAGGCGGTAAGAAGCAAATAATTTTTAATTGAAATTTTTCCCTTTAACATTTTTTATTGTGGTAGCATACACATAAAATTTACCATTATATTTATTCTAAAGTATATGATTTGGAGGCATTAAATTCACAATTTTGTGCAAACATCACCAACATCTAGTTCTGGAACTTTTTCATTACCCCAAAGGAAAATCTCCTACCTATTAAGCAGTCACTTCCCATTTTCCTCTCCTCCCAGCATTATTTTTAAATGTATCTTTTTTTTTCACTCACTCATTGACTACATGACTAATTTTTCAATGCCTCCTGGCACTGGGACAGAAGAGCAGATGGAATGGTGTCCAGGACAGACTCACTAGGTCTCTCCCTTTAGATAGCTCCTTCCCTACCTTGCCCCAAGGGTATGGCAGGAAGCAGAAGGAATGGAAACACAGCTAAGAAAGAGGCTGACACTTGCAAAGAGTAGCAGTGCAACATAAAATTGCAACATTTGTTTTCTAGCAACACTTTTTAAATATAGTCTTCCTTTAGAAGGTGAATTTTAGATGTTCAGACTTTCATGAAAAGTTTTCCGTTGACTTTGAAAGAAAGGCTTTGAAGTGTTTTAACAAATTATTTAGTGAGATTAGCAAAGGACAGGGAATTAGTAACTTTTGGTTCTATTCTTGTATACTGGTGACTTCCTGTGTGGGTTGAGGCAAATCATTTACTGTTTGCTGTGTTATTTATTGGGGTGTTCTTATTTCTCAGAATGAGTAAAACAGTTAAATCTATCTAAGCTGGAATGGACATATAGAATATGCCTTGTGAATTTTATGCAACAAGGGTAATAACTTACTTTCTGAATGACTAAGAATCTCAAGCTTTCTCGGCATGACCTTTTTGCATGGCCTCATCGGTATCCACGCAAATCATGTTTGACAGAGCGACATTTGACAAACACTGATCAGAATCACAAACCAAACTAGATTCTACATGTGTTTTTAATGAGGAAGAGAATGGTGACATTATCAGGGACATTCATATGGATGTATAGAATCAACACCTTTATACATACACACCTCACAGATACATATTTTCTTCAGATTTTCCAGTTTAGTCCAAACTTCGATGTCAAGTTCCCTTGACAAACTTTAAACATCAAAAATATTTCTTCCTCTGGGCTATTCATTCTCATATAATCTATTCATACTCTTATACAGTCATGTTCTCTAGTTTGCCTCAGTCTCTTTTCACAGCAATTTGGCAATAAACAAGAAAATTAAAATTTTAAATAAAAATTAACTTATACCTTGATTCTAAATGCTTTTGATGTTTACCCTAAAGATATAATTTCACACACTTGTGGGGAAATAGTTTAAAATATTCCATTATAGCATATTTTAATATAGACAAAAAATAGAAATAATACCATAGTAATCTGTACCTATCCATACAATCTACAACACATCCATACAACTGAGAAACAAATAAGGTAGACCTTATACATGCTGATGTAGAATGATCATACTCTGTTGTTACACAGTCCATTTATTAAATCATCAAATAACTAATGGAGTGTCTACTATATTCCAGGTACTTTTCTAAATACTGAGATACAATAGTGAAAAAAACAAAGCTCCTGTCCTCTAAGAGGTATACACAGACCATAAACAAATATGCCAGGTAGTTTAAGTGCTTTGGAGAATCATAAAGAGCTTAAGGAAAGTCAAGAAGAAAGGTGGCAACGCATAAGCCAGGGTAAACTAGGTAAACTCTGGTAACAAACCCCAAAATCTTTTTTGTATAAAACAGAATTGGCCAGGCGCGGTGGCTCACACCTGTAATCCCAGCACTTTGGGAGGCCGAGGTGGGCAGATCACGAGGTCAAGAGTTTGAGACCAGCCTGGCCAATATGGTGAAACCCCATCTCTACTAAAAATGTAAAAATTAGCCACATGTGGTGGCACTTGCCTGTAGTCCCAGCTACTCGGGAGGCTGAGGCAGAAGAATTGCTTGAACCCAGGAGGTGGAGGTAGCAGTGAGCCGAGATCGTGCCACTGCACTCCAGCCAGGGCAACAAAGCAGACTCCATCTAAAAACAAACAAACAAACAAACAAACAAACAAAAAAACAGAATGAATACCACTCATTCACACCCTAGTCCAGTGATTTTCATGTGGACAGCTGTAGCTCTATGCAGTGATCACTCAGGGATCCATGTGGTGGTGTGTGCAGCAAGTGTCAAGGCAAGGAAAGAGGGGTCATGGAGAATCGCCCACTGACTTTTAAATGCTTTCACCTGTCACTCCTGTTTACATTGTATTGACCAAAGGAAGTCACATGGCCTCACCCGACTCTCTCAGAGTGAAAATGTAATTACCCTGTCCCCCACACCCTGTGCCAGAACAGAGAGAGAGATCCCAATATGAGTGAAAGGGGCTTATGTCTACACAGGCTTATGTGGCCATTAATCAAATCTCTGCTGGAAAGGTGACATCTGCACTCTGATGAGAAGGCAATGAGAGAATTCGCTCTGTGGACATTAGAAGGGAGGGCACTCTGAGCAGATAAAACAGCAGGGCACAGATTTGAAGGAATTATGCCTGGTCTATTTCAGGAGAGTAGGGAGGCTGGGCTGATTGAGAGAATTTGTGGGATAATGATAAAGATATTATGATAATGCCACAGAAGTTGTAGAAAGCGAAGCACTGCTTACTCTCAGGATTTGGCTTTAACACTGAATGAGAGGCTAAAAGCAAGAAAACGAAGGATCTGTCTTGTTTTTAGAAGATCACTCTGCCTGCTGTGAGGAGAATAAACTGGGGTGAGGGGGGCAAAAGTGGAAGCAAGGAAACAAATTAGAAGACAATTGCAATAATTCACAAGCAATGATGGTTTGGGATGGGATGATGGCAGAAGAGGATTAGAAGTGGTCAGAGTCTGTATATATGTTAAGGTACCATACACAATGGAGAAAAAGTAAAAGAACAAGGTAGTAAATAATATATACAATATAACACCATTTGTGTAACACAGGAGAAAATAGAAAAAATTATTGACAATAGTTACACCCGGAAAATGATTGGTACTGGGAATCAGAGGAGGTGGTAGGAGACATTTACTTTTATTATACTGTTTCAAAAAATACTACTTTCTGCATAAATATATATATGCTTTTAATAACTAACAATAAACAAATTAGAAAATCCAGCTCTTGAATGTACATACTGTCAAAAACAAAGAATTTCAAAATTATTATGAACTACAGGTTAAATACTGAATACTGAATATTTGAATATAATATTTTAATATTCAAATTATATTCATATGATCTGGATGCAAGAGAAGAGTGCATTCAAGTTATAAAGAACTATAACATAAATTATCTAATTGTATCTTTCCAACAACCCACAAACACCTATATGAAATGTATTCATTAGAACATTGATTCATTCTTTCATGCTTCATGATGCTTCACACTTTATGTATTTTACTGTATGCCCGGAATTACATTAAAGACTTAAGGAAAAACAAGGTGAAAGAAGAAAACAAATGTAGCAAACTAAATGTAAGTACACATAATTTATGTTATTGTTGTTTTTAAAAAATTAAAAAGTGTGGGATGTTGAATCATGTGAACAGGAGTAAAATTGTTTACAAACTCAGAAGCACCTGGTATACGATATTCAGCACTTAAAATTCTCATTAGATCATCGTATCTAGGTTGGGTCTCCAAAGTACAGACAGATATGAAAGTCTTTAAAAAACCTTCTCACAGGAGAACCACGATGACAATTAAAAGATTAGGAAGTAATGTTTATGAGTAAAGTTTACAAAAAGGGGAATATTGAGCCTGCAAAAGACGATGTGAATGCTGATTGAATACTCACCCTTAGAGTAACTAAGAAGTTTAAAGGTCCTGGATGATTATTCTCTGCCTCAACCAAGAAGAGAAAATAAGGAAATGGTTTGAAGCTATCACACCAAGCTAGACGTGAGTAACGAGTGAGGATGTTAGACACCGGAGTGAAGTCACGGCATTTCTTCCTCAAGGGCCTTGCTCTTTAAAACGGAGATCAATTTTCATATGCCTAAATGACTTCCTAAATCCCCTTCATCCTTCTGATTCTCTCTCTGGAGAAAGGGATTCCTTGACCTGGAATCCATCCCTATGCCAAATAGCCTTCAAGGTCAGGAAGCTCTCTAGTATAATTCACCTAAATAGATCCGGCTTCAACTTGAATCCATTTCCTCTTGCTCTTTTTGGTAGAAAGAAAGAAATATTTGTCATGGAGCTCCATTTCAGAGCATTTCCAATAATTCAAAACAGTAATTTTGTGTTCTGGCCTTTCTTTCTTCATGCTAAATGATTTCTATTGCTTCAATATTTCACAAATTTTGTTCACGTTTTAATCTAGTTCATTACAATATCAATCACAGCGCCTCAATTTATAGTATGAATTACAGTGACAGTCTTCTAGAATCTGTTCTTCATATCTTTTTCATGCAATGGAACAAGCTTTGATTAAGAATCTGCATCTCTAGGTCTCTCATATCAAAAGATCCATAAGGGCATTATATTTTTAAGCCTTGAAAGCTGAATGATCTGTTCATCTGAATATTCAACTTCATTCATCCACAACAGAGGGGTCAGATCTTGTATTGGAATGTCTCTTCTACTTCCTAAAATTTAAATGTTTGTGGTTCCTGGGTATACTAGTCAAAAATATTTTTGCTACAAATGCCAAAAATCCAACGGGAATTAGCATAGAACAAAAGGAGGATTTATGTAACCAAGTCACAGAGGCAGGGGTTGCAGCTGAGCTTCAATTATAATACAAAATCAAACATGACCAGCATTTTTTTTCCTCTTAGTCTCTTGACTCTGCTTCTCTTTGCACTCCACCTTCAATTTTTCTTCCTACTGACCAAGTCTTGAAAATTTTAACTTGTAAATATCAGTTACATTTGCCCCCTCATCTCTATTTTTAATTCAACAATCACCAATCTGTTCTTTATCATATCTAACCCAGACTAACAAGTTTCTCCTAATAGGTTTCCCCAGTCCTCAGTTTCTTTCCTCTTAATCCATTTACAACGTAAATTACATCATGCCACTTGTCTGGTTATAAACCTCCGAAAGTTCTTATTTTTTGTCAGGTGTATAAAAATCTAAAATTCTACAATATTCAAGATCTGTAATGATTGGCACCCTTTGGATTTCACTAACTCCAACTTTTCCTAACAATTTATTCTGAACTACTCTCATTTTTCTACATATGCCATGAATTAGAATATCAGTCTAGGATGCTTTTTTCTGCTTTGTCTACTAGGTGATATTTTTAAATCATCCTTCAAGCTGCAACTTAAATGGGATACCTTGTTTTAATGCCCCTAGTCAAAGTTAATCACTACTGTGGCAGGGGAGATGGTACAGTGCAATAATAAGCACCAGTATGTAGTTTATTTTCCAATTATTTATTTGCCAGTTTTTCTTCTTTGCTGGAGTATGTATTTTTTGTGAAGGAAAAGTTTATATCTGTTTCAGTTCTCAACTTGCACCCATCACTTATAAGCTGTATCCTCAGCATCTTCACTTCATAAATGTGACGGTGATAATAGTATCTCCTTCACAGCGTAGTTCTGAGGACTAAATAATTAATTAATACAAAGTGCTTAAAATATAAAATACCTGGCATGGAAAACATCCAATTAATATTAGTTGTTGTGTTTGTTGTTGTTTGTTATTTTATTTTTACCATTGTTGCCTGGTTCACAGTTATACTCAATAAATGTTGGATGAATGAAAGAATGATTAGATCTGTGTAAGACAGAACAAAGGAGTAAATATATCTGGTGACCTCTAAATCTCTAGTAATACTACTTCCTAAGCTACAAAAATTTCCTGAAGCCTTTAATGAATGTTATCAGCTGGTCACACCCAAAATGCATTATTAATAGAGAGATAATGGATGAGGTGTGAAAACAGAGTGGGTGATGCCACTTGGGTCCACGTGGGCATAACAAGGAGCTCTTCAAGCACAGCTGCACCAGCTGCCAAGAGAGCCTGACGGCTCCTAGCACAACCCTCCACAGGGCAGATTCCCCAGTGTCCCTTTAGAGAATCTATTCTCCACTAAGTCCAAGACATACTGGAAAGGAAAACTGGCATTCCAACTGCATAGGCTAGGCAATCACATCCACTTCTTGCATTCTCTTCTCTCCTAACATTCTCCATTTTATATTTCATCAGTACTGAGGGAAAAAATAACTTGCCCTTTTTTTTTTTTTGAGACAGGGTCTCATTCTGTCACCCAACCTGAAGTTCAATGGTGCAATCATAGCTCACTGCAGCCTTGAACTCCTGGGCTCAAGCAGTCATCCCACCTCAGCCTCCCAAGGAGTTGGGACTACAGGTGCGCACCATCACACTAGGCTAATAGTTTGTAATTTTTGTAGATGTGGGATCTTGCTATATTGCCCAGGCTGGCCTCAAACTCCTAGCCTCAAACGATCACTCTGCCTCGGTCTCCCGAAGAGCCGGGATTACAAGTGTGAGCCACCACACCCGGCCTAATTTATCCTTTTTAATGAAGTATATACACTAGGCTTTCTGCACTAAATGCTTCATTCAAGTGGGCTATGCAACTGAGTCTTCATAATAATCATAGGAGATAGCTTATCAGTATGAAATTATCAACTAAAAAACTAATAAGCCAAATCTGTGTCCTTTACACTTTATTGTGTTATTTTTCAAAAATGAACTAGTAAGAAAACAATGGAAGGCCTGGTGTGGTGGCTCACAGCTGTAATTCCATGTAATTCCAGCACTTTGGGAGGCCAAGGCAGGTAGATCACGAGGTCAGGAATTCAAGATCAGCCTGGCCTACGTGGTGAAACCCCATCTCTACTAAAAATACAAAAATTAGCTGGGCATGGTGGCACACCCCTGTAATCCCAGCTACTCAGGAGGCTGAGGCACAAGAATCGCTTGGACTCCGGAGGCAGAAGTTGTAGTGAGCTGAGACCACAACACTGTACTCCAGCCTTGGCAACAGAGAGAGACTCCATCTCAAAAAAAAAAAAAAAGAAAAGAAAAAAGAAAAAAAAAAGGAAACAAAGGAAGATTGGAAATACAGGTGGCATTCATCTTGTATGTCTTATATGTTTATCTTCTTTTGGAATCAGAGAGATGGACTAAGAAAATGTAAAATGACTTTGGAAAGAAATAAATGTGAGAAAGAGACGGCAGGGAGACAAAGAAATTGTCAAGAAAGAGCAATAAAACGTAGACTTCAGAATGAAGGCAATGTGACTTACCTTTTGTCATTCTTACCTAATTTCCATGCCTTTCAACTGATCCTCTAGTACCATGTAAAGCCATAGATTTGGGAATCACATAATGTATTTTCATCTCTGCCAATGTTTGTATGAGTTTGGGGAAATTAATTATTCTCTTTGAACCTGTCTTCTTCATCTTTAAAAGGAATAAAATTATATACTTCTTAAGATTGCTGAAAGGATGAAATGAGATAATTTAAAGAATCCATAGAGTCCAAGTTCCAGCAGAGAGTTTGTGGTATGCATGTGTGTGAAGAGAGAAAGATACAGAGAAGCAGAGAGAAAAAAAATGTGTGAGTGTATGTATTTCCTCCTTTTTCTCATAAATTTTCAAGACCTATCCTTTTCATCACTAAGAAGAGAGGAAATAGCGATATACATATGTTATAAATCTTGTGGCTTGTGTGCTGGAAAATATCTTTAAGATAATTTAATCCTGTGTCCTCGTTTTACAGAGTCAAAGTCCTTAGAAAGTTAATCTTACCAGTCTAAATATATGTTTTATCTTCTCCCATGCACAATAACAACAACAAAATCAGGAAACTTTTCTTTCTTCTCAAAAATGATTAAGAATAAATGAATTCAACTGTAGATATCACAGTTATTTAACATATATACACCCCTATAGACCTTATATAAGAACAAGCTATAATAAGCTAAATGGCAAATGAGAACAGAGACCAATCCCATCATTTCTTTCACTAATAAGGAGAACTATCACAGCTTATAACAATATCATAGCGGCAGGTGTATTTCTCAGAGTTGAGTGCCTGGGGCACAAAACAAAGCAAGGAGATAAGGCTCTGTCCTATTTGTCTCTCATTAGTCTTGCCCTTAATGCATTATTGGTGGTGGTCTCCTACCCATGGTGTCAATATTTGTCTCATGTTACTATGTGGCTTCTCAAATAGGAACTTGAAATGGATATTTCTGTCCTGATACCTTTTTATCCTATGAGGCTACAGCTTCTTTATTTTATGGAGTTGAATTGCCTTAGACATTGAGGGAAGATAATAACCATGATATAATAGATGACTAAGTAGAATGCTTGACATAGTCATAGAAATATGACTTACATAATAGAAATTTCTCCCTGATCTTAAAATTGTCAATCATTTCTACCACCCAGATCTCTAATAACACTTTCAAGAAAAGTGGAAAATGTTGATGTTTTCCTCTAAAAATTATTTTAAAGTTTTAACAAATTATTTATTTTGGTTCCAAACAAATTGGGGGGAAAATTTGAAGTTTGTTGTAAGTGGATTTTTCCATTTTTTTACCTCTTCTCTTTCAGTATCATGGTAGAAAGAACACTAATTTGGAAATGAGGTGATCTAAGTTTGAGTCACGGCTGTGCCCGTAGACAAATTTGTGCCTTATGAAAAGCATTTAACTTTTTTGTCTGTAAAATGAAGAGCAATCCAATTAGATGGTACCCAAAGTAATTTCACTATGGGCATTCCACTCTCAAGTTGGATTATAATCCTGAAGGCCAAATTCTAATTTGATCTTGAGAAGTTCTTCAAAACCTAGATCCTCCCTCTCCACTAAAAAACAAAAACAAGCAAACAACAAAAAAAAGGGGTAACTCACATTGGTTGTTATCATAATTATTCCCTGCATTCTTATAAAATAGCTATTGTCTATATAATAAAAGCACAGAGGTAGACTGAGGTGAAGAAAGAGGAGACTTGGACTACCCTGAGAAAAACGCAATAGAGGAGTTGTACTCCCTCCTCTGCTTCTGTTGCTCAGAAGCAAGCATGGCACAGATTTAGGGACTACCCCTATCATGACTCTCTTCTGAGAGAACATGCTAGACGTATGCCCCAGGAGGCCTAATGGGACACCAAGTGATAGCACAGCCTAGAAGGTTATGTGTCATATTCAGTGCAGTTTTATTGCCAAATGGAGAAAAAAAAACCTGGGCCCAGGCCACAGGGTAGTACAGCAGCGGCTTGAGCTATTGTTGCTTCTCTGATTGCTTGCCCAAGCCCACCCTTGACCTCCGCAGGATGCTGTCCAGTCTGAGACAGAGGTAGACGCAGCCCCTGAGAGAGGAGAGCAGAGCTGGGACTCAGGAGAAAGCATGAGGGCATGGGGCCATCCACACTGGCCTTAAGCCATGCCTGTTCTGTTTCTTAGCTTTCTTTCTGTGTTGTGTTTTGTTTTTTTATTACCACCACAAAAAGCCTTAAGATTTACTGACTTTGCTTCTGATCAATTTATTTTTTCTTTAGAAAATTAACTCTCTTCTCTAAACCTTCATTTTATAACACTCTCCTCAGATTCCCTTAATCCTTCAATAACTTCTCACTCTCAACCACAATAACAAAACTGCATTTCATTTTCCGTGCTCCCCTTATAAACGACCAGATTCAAACTTAGACCAGAATAGTTAAGTCTCTGCTCCTTACCATCCATCAGGCTTCGCAATGTCATCCCCAACTCGGAACAGAATGAGGCAACCTGGCCTTAAAGATGTGGGTTTTCAGAAACGGTGGTGTTAAATTCCAACTCTGCTCTGACATTCAAGAGATCACAAAGTTCTCCCAACCTCTGTGAGTCATAGTTTACTTACCTCTTAAAGTGGAACAATAAATCTCCACTTTGGAGGATTTTAATAAATGTTTAATTTGATAATTTAAATAGACAACACACTACCTGGTACAAAGTAAAGGTTTAAAAATGATATTTAATTTTAATGCTTTCACTGCTGTTATTAATACAATATGTGAAATTAAAAAGCCAAAAAATGCATCAAATGATGCAAGAAAATAATATATGTATTTATTTGTTATCTTCGAGTCATTTAAAATCAAGTAATACGATTTTTAAGAAATTAAAATTTATTTCTTATTTACATTGCTGGAAGAAGTTAATTTGAGAAAGAATAAACTGTTTTCACAAATTCTAAACAATATCTCACACCAGGAATAATGTCTGACAATAGTAAGTGCTCAATAAATATTTGAATAAATGAACAAATGTCTCTCTTTATAAACTTTCTCTGAAATCAGGAGACACTAGAAGATTCCCACATTTACTCTCTTTTCTTGTGAGTCATTTACCTGGACTACTTCCCACAAGCCTAACAAGACTTTCTGATCAGCAGCTCTGTTCTTTACACTTTATTTACTCTCATGCGTTCCCTGAATGCAGAAAGTGCAGCTTTCAAGTAGGGAAACTGATTATCTTCTCTGTCTGTTCACTTTGGTGTCTGCCAGGAGATTAGGGTGATTAGGTGTCCTTGACGTACAGTATACTGGTTATAAAAGAAGTAATAGTGCCTCTCTCCTTTGGACAAAATAGCCCATATTAGCACGCTCATGTCCAATCATGAGTGTTCATTTTAAAAGGAGCATTAAATAAGAATAAAATACTAAGTGCCATTCAATATTCTAGACTGGATTCTGGACTAGAAAAAGGGGTATTCATGGAAAATCTGGCGAAATCTTAATGCGGCCTGTAATTTAGTCAATAATATTGTGTCAATGTTAATTTCTTAGGTTTGACAAATGGACAATGGTTATGTGAGGTGTTAACATTAGCTGGAGCTGGATGAAGGCCATACAGTAAATATGATATCTTTGCAACTTTTAAATAAGTCTAAAATTATTCCAGCATTTTAATAAACCCACACAGGTTGGTGACAGGTAAAAAAGAGCATAGAATTGTGGGTGATTATCATAATTACAGCAAACACACATAGGGCTTGTATATATAGTGATCAAAGTGATTTATCTATATAAAATATCTTAATTTTCACAATAGTAGGTAAAAACTGTTAGTATACCCATTTTGTAGATAAGGAAACTGACGCTCAAATGACTGAATTATTTCCCAAGTTTACCAAATTAGAAAGATGCAAAGCCAGCATTATGAACTTAGGTAGTTTAGCTTCTAATCTTGAGCTGTTAACACTAAACATCCTGCAAGTGAGGTAAGATATAGTAAAAAATAAAAAGAGGCTAAAGGTGTGTTTATGAAAGATGAATAGGGAAATAATAGTAGCACATTAAAAAAGAAGCAGCAGCAATGTTAAAGATGACCTGGGTTTTCATTCCAGCTGTACTATTAGGTTCGTGCAAACATAATTGCAGTTTTTGCATTGTTGAAATTTGCTGTTTGATATTGGAATACATTCTTAAATAAATGTGGTTATGGTATACACCATTTTAATGTGCATTTTTCGCTTTTTTTTTTTTTTTTTTTTGCTAATGACTTATGACTTGCTGTTTATTTTATATTTATTTTAGACTATGGAAATGATGTTAGACAAAAAGTAAATTTGAGTGATTTTCCTTTTCAAGTTCAAAACGGGTCATAATACAGCAGAGACAACTCACAACATCAATAATGCATTCTGCCCAGAAGCTGCTAACGAACTTACAGTGCAGTGGTGGTTCAAGAAGTTTTGCAAAGGAGACGAGAGCCTTGAAGATGAAGAGCACAGTGGCCAGTGATCAGAAGTTGACAATGACCAATTGAGAGCCATCATCGAAGCTCATCCTCTTAAAACTACCACAAGAAATTGCCGAAGAAGAGGTCAGGCGCAGTGGCTCAAGCCTGTAATCCCAGCACTTTGGGAGGCCAAGGTGGGTGGATCATGAGGTCAGGATCGAGACCATCCTGGCTAACACGGTGAAACCCCGTGTCTACTAAAAATACAAAAAATTAGCCAGGCGTGGTGGTGGGCACCTGTAGTCCCAGCTACTTGGGAGGCTGGGGCAGGAGAATGGCGTGAACCCGGGAGGCGGAGTTTGCAGTGAGCCGAGATCGTGCCACTGCAATCCAGCCTGGGCGACAGAGCGAGACTCCGTGTCAAAAAAAAAAAAAAAAAAGAGAAATTGCTGAAGAACTTAATGCTGACCATTCTATGGTTGTTTGGCATTCGAAGCAAATTGGAAAGGTGAAAAAGCTTGGTAAGTGGGTGCCTAATGAGCTGGGTGAAAAGTTTAGAAAGTCATCGTTTTGAAATGTCATCTTCTCTTATTTTACACAACAACAACAAACCATTTCTCGATCGGACTGTGATGCGTGATGAAAGGGAATTTTATATGACAACCAGTGATGACCAGCTCAGTGGCTAGACCGAGAAGAAGTTCCAAAGCACTTCCCAAAGCCAAACTTGCACCAAAGAAAGGTCATGGTCACTGTTTGGTGGTCTGTTGCCGGTCTGATCCACTACAGCTTTCTGAATCCCAATGCAACTATTACATCTGAAAAGTATGCTCAGCAAATCAATGAGATGCACCAAAAACTGCAACACCTGCAGCCAGCAATGGTCAACAGAAAGGGACCAATTCTTCTCCACGACAACGCCCGACCACACATCGCACAACCAACACTTCAACAATTGAACAAATTGGGCTATGAAGTTTTGCATCATCCACCATATTGACCTGACCTCTCACCAATCGACTACCACTTCAAACACCTGGACAATGTTTTGCAGGGAAAACACTTCCACAACCAGCAGGATACGGAAAATGCTGTCCAGAGCTGTTGAATCCTGAAGCACTGATTTTTCCACTACACAAATAAACAAACTTATTTCTTGTTGGCAATAATGTGTTTATTGTGATGGTTATTTTGATTAATAAAGATGTGTTTGAGCCTAGTTATAATGATTTAAAATTCACGGTCTAGAACCACAATTACTTTTGCACAAACCTAATAGTATGGCAACTAGCTGTGAAAACTTCAGCAATTCAATAAACTTTTTGAGCCACAGTTTTCTTATCTTTAAAAAGATGATCATGGTGATTACCTCCAGGTGTGTTTCAAAGCAATAATTCTACAACTCTAAGGTATAGTACAAGTGGCAGATAATTAGAATGCTCTCTCCTCCCATTTCCCCCTGAAAAACATCCTAGGAAAATAAAAACAACCCGCCATTTCTGCCAGAATGGGTTGCTGTGGGAGCAACATTAACATAGGTATTTTATTAACATAGTTTAAAAGCTAAGTAATTTAATTTTTAAAAATACATCTAACAAGTCATCTAGTATTTTATAGAATATTAAAAATAAAGCAATTGTACCTAAATAGTTAATGCAACTTAATTCCAAGATAATTTATTAACTAAGTGAAAAGTTTTGAACATCTAAATGTGCTAGACAGAAAATAAAAGCCTGGGAAACAAAAGTGAATCATATGTGATTTCTGCCATCAATGTTGGGAAAGTGCTTACAGTTGGGGTGCATATGCTTTAAAGATAATAACAATAAAATGTGCCAAGTGAGACTGAAAAGGGACTGAAGGAGAAGGACCATCTAAGACAAAAGAGAAATGGAGAACGAGAAACATTTCTTCAGGTGGAGAAGAGGAAAAGAAGATTCTAGAAAAAGAGAATTGTGCATGCAAAGGAAAGACTGGGAAATGGTGAGGGATCCTGAGAAGTTGGTGCATCAGTTGAATGAGAGGAAATTGAGATGATGGAGTGGCGGGGGCATGGGGAAGCCATCAATATAAATTTAGCACCATTGGTAAATACCAAGAAAGGCAATCAGATGAGGGCTGTAAGCAGCAGGAAGTTACTTTGATTAGATTTGATTTTGAAGAATGGCATTAACTATACTATTGTACACTGACCTAATCAGATCACATCTGGAACATGAGGTTCAATTATAAATGTTCCATTTTGAGACGAGCACTAACAAACAGAAACACATGCCAAGAGGCTACCGGGATGGCAAATGAGCTGAAAACTCTCTTTAATAATGAAAAAGAGCATTTTAAGCTAATTTCTGCTAGTGTAGCTAAGAGCTACCTCTTGCACTTGACTGCAATACCTATCTCCCACACAATCTTGCCCAAATCTAATATTTACTCCATTCCTAAGAATGTGTGCTTTAGTTTGTAAATGGGAATGCAGAAGCTTGGGGCAGTGCAGGTTTGTGAGAGAAGGAAGAGGTAACTGGAGAAGGGAGGAGGATAGAATAGCATCTTTACCTCACCAGTCCCATGTATTAGTATACACCCATTATGGAAAAAGAGGAAGAAGTTCATAGAACTATTGAGGGGAATTTCTGAGATGACAGAGAGCAGCTTTTGGCATCTGAAGATAATTTAAGGCAGAAAGCTGAGAAAGATGACCTTACCTTTTCTTGGTATTGCCAGTAGCACTGCTTGATTTGTTTGTTTGTTTGTTTATTTGTTTGTTGTAAGGTCTAAAAATCCCAGTAGCATCTGGTATATACTTTTGAAATGACTTTGGGCTTTTCATGGTGAGCAGTGATAACAGATATAAACAAGTGGACAAGTAGGAATACCAGTAGAGCTGAGGCCCATGGTTATACTGCTTAAAAACTTAAAAATTCTTTTGCAGACCTCCAGATAGAACCGAAGGCAATTTGAGGATGAGGACCAAAGTCCTTTTGCTTCACAGGTGGAAACAAATCCATAGACAATGAATTACTCATTGAATATGGTTCACCCTAAAAGAGGGTAGACCAAAAGAAGATGATGAAATCCTGTTATGAAGAATAAAATACTATAGGAGTGGGCTAGGGACAATTGAAAAAATAATACAGAGGCAGGTTTCAGCTGAACACAAAATAAAAACAAACCACAACTTGAACCTGTTTCACATTTAACCTGGAACAAGCTACCTTAGAAGGAAATATCATCACTGGAGGTATTCAAGGAAGAGCTAGATGACTGTCGGTCCAGGAGAAGAGAGAAGATCTTGGGTCTTGGAACCTGTCTGGATTTTATTCTGGCTTGCTGTGTGATCTTGAGCACATCACTTCATCTCTGTGAGACTTGCTTGGTTCATCTGCAGGCGCAGATTATATCTACCTTTTAGTTGATTTGAGAATTAGAATTACATTTCATAAAGTATCTGAAACAGTGCCAGATATATAGCAGGTGTGCAATCAACAGGAGCTGCTAGTCTGTTTATCACATTATTATTACGAGAGTCAGTTCAAAGGATGAATTAGATAATGACTGTTTAAGTCAGCTTGGCTTGCCATTATATCATAGACTTGATAACTTAAACAATAGAAATTTGTTTTCTCACAGTTCTGGAGGCTGGAAGTTCCAGATCAAAGTACTAGCACGGTTAGGCTCTGGTGATGGCTCTCTTCCTGGCTTGCAGATGGCAGTCTTCTTGCTGTGTCTTCCTGTGGTCCTTCCTGAGAGTCTGCACTAGGAGAGAGAGAAAAAAGAAGGGAGAGGAAGAGAAACTTGTAGAATTCATTTCCTCTTCTTACAAGGCCACCAATCCTATCAGATTAGGGCCCCACACGTATAACTTCATTTAACCTTAATTACCTTCTAAAAGCCCTATCTTTAAATAGTCATATTACAGATGTGGAGCTTCAGCATATGAGGTTTAGGGGGACACAATATAGTCCATAGCAACCATAAGGACTTTCTGTAAATTTTCACATTTCAAAAGCACTCTATAATTGACAAACACTTTATTTCACTTAATTCCATGATTTCATGCCTACTCTTGCCAGTGTTGCCTCTTACCCTCTGCCTTTTCAGTTCCCAATCATTACAGGCCTTTACACATCACTCCCCAAGGATGTTGTCTCTGAAGCTCTAGGCTAACTAAGATGTCCTCATTAGGCATTCACATAGCACTCTGTATGTTCATTTTGCAGTCCTTCATAAAATTGCATTAAACATTTTGAGTCTTTCCTAAATGCTTCCTTTCACTAGTAACACTTTATGCTCCATTGGGAGAGACAGGTTTTGCCTTTTCCACTTCTGTATTGTCTGAGGTAACATAGTTGTGGCATACAATACATTTACCATAAGTATTAATTAATTAAAAATTATCAGGTTGGTGCAAAAGTAATTGTGGTTTTGCCATTGAAAGTAATGGCAAAAACTGCAATTAGTTTGCACCAACCTAATAAGAGATGCTCCTTGCATACCTCTACGCCCAGTAATGTTGTTCTTGATACCTACTTGAAACCTGTCCATCCAAACTTTATCCACTAAAGTAAATTTGGTACTTCCGTGTTCACTTTGTCCATACTAATGATATAACACTTGACTAAAATTAAGCATAACTGTCTTCACATAAACTTGCTAACACTGATGCCAGGAACTCAAAGTTTTTATTCCCAGAAATTATACAAACTGATAAAAAGATGGGTAGGAATATATGCAACACAGAGTAAGGTATGTTTGCCCCACTAGTATCTTGCTCCCTATAACACTGGACATAAAGGTGCAAGAATTTTCTAGAATCTGAGACACAGATCCAAGAAATTAGTTCTACTAGTCCCTCAGGATGCTCATGACACAGTGTAATAACCCCTCATAAAGCATGTAAATTCTTGTTTCTAATCCAGAAACTTAAGTGGACACCTTGGGACCTTCTGACAAATACCAAATATGAGTTTTCCAGTAACAATCCATACATTAAATATTAGTACACTATATTTCTCTTATTTCTACATTAAAAATTATAAACTACATCTTTATGGTGGAGACACAACATTTTGGAAGCCACTGCTCTCCAAACCTTTTTGATTGACCACCACATAATTAAAAATACTTTAGCTGCACTCCTCCTGTATTTGTGGGTTGATTGGCTTATGTTATTCAAATATATACATCCATACCACTGTTACATATGCTATAAAATATGCATAAAGTATACATAAAGTGAAAATTAGATAAGTATTAAATGAACAATATTTATGAATACTTTTACTGTATTATTGATACAACATTAATCAGGCTATATATCAATATAAAACTAGTACAAAATTAATGACAAAAGTTAGTCCTTTAATAAATACCATAACTATTATTTTTTGATATGAATTTTAATGTCTGTCATAGCTTAAAAAGAAATCTATAAGGTCAAGTATATACATATTGAAGATATTTATGGTTGGGCCATTTTTTATTCCCATCTACAGATATTCAAATATTTAGGTTTTAATTTGGTTGGAAAAACTCAATCTTCTGATATATTAATAAAAAATTAATTTATCCAAATTAATACAAACATGTTGGATGTTTATTTATACAAAGATTTTAAAATTATTAAAACAACTGGAAGATTTTTAAAGTTTTTTAAAAATTATATTTCTATGTTTTTAAGTATGCAAATATGAGACTTTTTTTTAATAGGTGACTCACTTGAATGTTATTTGGCAACAAAATCTACACAATTCCAGGCATGCTTTTTGAAATATACTGTCCATAGCATATGTGTTTTATCTTGTTTTTAATTTCTTTCACATAAACACGTTAAATGGAAATAATAAGTTCTTAACCTTTTGTGCTGCACACTATCAAAAGCTTTTAGTCTTCACAGTGAGCTTACTACTTTGGGGATCTCATCTCTTATAAAAGAAAATGTATAAATGATGTTTAAGTTTATGAATCCTTGTAAACATTATGGCATGGCAGCTGCATTTCACCAATATTCATTCTTTCTTTTAGTGAGAGGGTTGCTCAACTTTAGCTGGACACATGGACACATAGTTAAAATTATAATTTCTCATTTCCCTTGCAGCTGGGTATGGTATGGGAGGCCAGAATATGCCACCCCAGTATAAACTTCTTTAGCATATTCTGAGTTGGTAATTTGAGAACCGAAGATAGAAATATCTGAAAAGCTGTCCTTTTGATTTAAAAAATTTACATGTATCTATCTTACTAAGATAAATACTAGATGCAAGTTAGTTTTTCTGTTAGGCCCCTTTACCTACCTAAAGAAAGATAAAGTTCAGAGATGGCCCTCAAACATCTTTATCTTCCCAGATAAAGTTCTGAGAAGTCACCAATTCTTCTGATGGCTATTACCTAAAAGATTTTATAACACGACGGCCTTTGCTCACCAAGCATTTCCTCCCCTCACCCTTCTATAAATAGCTGATGCCATCCCACTCTCCAGGAACCCCACCCCCCTATCACTTTCTGTACAGTATAACAACTTCATTTATCTGGCCATTGGGTCTCATATTTTGTATGGCTCCCGTGCACACATATGCATATAACAAATTTGTATGTCTTTTCTGTTAATCCGTCTATTGTCAGTTTGTTTTACAGACTCAAATTATCAAGTCTTCAAGAAGGAGGGAAGAAAATTTTCTTCACCCCTACAGATTTGGTGAGCCAAGAGAACAAATCACTCTACTCATTGGGAGCCTGCAGATGGGATCCTGGGAAAACTTACAAAAAAACCAGCAAAGAAAGATAAACATTTCTTCCGATGTCTCATGTCCCTGCCTGCAGTGCCTGGTTGATGTGGGTGGTAAGAGTGTCTTCTTGTCCCTTTTATCTTTACAAATCTATATTAACAGATGGAAGTGTGTATGTAAACTAGTTCTTATATTTGTTGGAATCACCTTAGGAATAAATAAATTAGTTATATTTAAAGGAAAAAATGTTAGAGGGTTCTTATCTTAACCATCTGTCCTATTGGTACATACGGAAAATCAAATTTAAACAAAAGACACTTCAGCCTGAATCTCCAGGCCTTTCTCAGTCTCCTGGAGATGTAAATCTTGCCATGTTTTTGAAATGTAAACATTCAGGGAGTTAACTAGACAGTCACTATACCTAATTGAACAGAAATCAGATTTAAGGCAGACTTAAAGTCTTTTGAACCCTCCATAAATTCCTTTCCTCACTAAATTACTTTAGCTCATGAGAGAAACATTTACTTTATAGAAATTAGTTAGAAATATTTGTTTTGAATTTGTATGGCTCATCTTTTGGGATACCCATTTATTAGTAATCTTTTTCTTCCCATAAACAGCTTTTGTTTTCCTATTTGTATCATTTTTATTTTCTGTCTATCAGTAGCACATGGATTATTAAGCCTTCATGTGTAGGCACCCAGCTGAAAGGTTGGGAACCCCAAGAATATGACCAGACAGAAATGCAAGTTGCACCCCATTTGTGAGTAGCATACTGATGGTTGTTTAAGCTTTCCTTTCTTTATCCCTGTCTTTGGCAGTTGTCTGGATTTTGAAAGGGCTGAATTTTATTTTGCTTCCTCTTTAGAGACTTGGTTAAAGTCATAAAGTTTATTTGCTTTTGTCTCATGTATGCTTATTTATTTTGATTTCAAGTCACTTGTAGGTATATTTTTGATATAAAACGTTGGTTTCTATTTAGAATGCAATAGGAACATGCTATTTTGTTTGTTTAGCCTTCTCCCTTAAGCATAATGGAACCACATACTCTGAATAAAAGAAAATAATTTATTAAAACATATCAAAAGCAAACAGCTTTCAGTACAGAACAGAGAAATCTTTTGATTTGCATCTTAGCTGGAAATCTGCTCCCTGTTATAAAAGAGCAAATTAAAGATGATACTGTTGGATGTATGGGTTATCATCTAGATATCATTCAGGTTGCCACACAGTTTTTAGGGGAATTAAAAGCAACTGTCTTTGTCTTACAAGTTAAATATTTCAAAAAAACAGAAATGTTTCTTTGATAGAAATTTAAAGCCCACCTGTTCTTGCTAACCACTGAACTGCAGTTATTTATCTTAAGATGTCTGAAAATACTATAAAAAATCAAAGCATTAGAAATGAGACTCTCCTGCTCTTAAGAAATGGAAAAAAAATTGAATGCTGATTATACAAGATGTCTAACATGCAAATATGTCCCTCCAAAGTCATTCTTGGAAAAACTTGCATTCTTTCCCTATGCCTTTGAGATGAAAATTTTCTAACCAGTCTTGCCCAAGAAACCACTCCATTTAAAATGCAAATTTGAGGGAAATGATTCTCAAAAGAAAAAAATAAAACAGTTTAATACTGCTATTTGCCCTTGCTAAAATGTGATAATAAGTTTTTTTAATTTAAAGAAAAGAGCTCTATGATCTATGGTCAGAAATTGGCTTAATTAAAAGCTAATATTGAGACTCTCTCTCTTTCTGTGTGTGTGTGTGTGTGTGTGTGTGTATGTGTGTGTGTAAGGTCTTTGTTGTGTGTTTTAGATCCTGTTTTTTCTATGGGAACTTATCAGTTAACTGAATTCTATGTTTCTGTATATTTATACATGTGTACATGTATGATATATGTGTATGATATATGTGGTGATGACTTGGTATAAAATCCCTTGAAGGAATTTAGATAAATGAGCCCTAATAAACTTAAATCCTAAAACTAATAAAAATATAGAAATTAACTTAAATACTTTTCAAGTTCATGTGAATTGGGTGGCTCTTTCGTAAATAAGACTAGGTTAATATCATTGGTTTAAAAAAGACAAGTCTTCTGAATTATCAGTAAAATACTCGTGTATTTAATTTTAATATTCTTACACATGTTATAAAAATCATTAGCAGGGTAATAACTTACTTCATTTAATGTCTTATTGCATTTTAATGAGAAAAAGAAAACTAAATATATATAAGTGGGATGAAAGTTTATAAATGCACTTTTTAACAGTAACTATTTTGTAACATGTTTGCTTAAATAGGTTTCCCAAATCTCTTTGGTAACTACACCCTTAGAAATCTGCTAAGTTAAATCAAATGATAGTCATTGAATATCTAGATCATTTCCAAATTTGATAAAATATTGAAACATTCATTGCTGAACATGTTTATTTGCTTTTGGCTTCTTAAATTTTATAAAAGACAAAATATATTTGGGTCTGTAAGTATATAGGTCCTGACCCACATTTAAAAATTACACAATAATCAAGCATATATTTTTATGTTATAAAATAAATAAGTTGGTATGTGACCGTTTAATTGCTTACTTTTTAGGTTTTCAATAGAAATTAAGGTTACTAACAGTAAAAATTTTAATTACCGTATGTAATTAAAACTGCTAAAAATAAAGGAAACAATTCTGTATTCAAAGCATACAAGGAAAGTAAGATGGGGTGTTGGTTAATAAAGTTATAAAGCAAGCATGAGGCTGTTCTTGTTGAGCAAAAAGCAATTTTGACCATTTAGAAGGATATTTAAAGATTGTTTCAGAATGAATAAACATAAGAGTGATATTGATAAAACTGAATGGATAGGTTATGAAAGGTGTATGAAAGATGATTCTTATAAAGAAGAATTTAAGTATGATTAAGTTGACTAAGAATAAAAAGAAATTATTTATGTTTTTTTTAAATTAGCCTTAATATCAAAAGGAGACTAATATAAAACTAGAATTTGGTCCTCTCTTTTAAACAAGATTTTTGTTTAGTATTGATAGGGAATGATAAAAAAAAAATTTTTGTTTACCTTTTTCAGAGAACTGCAAAAAGAAAAAAAAAGGGGGGAGAGAGAAACAGATTCTGTGTACTGCATCCTGTCTTTTGATTACTTGGAAAAACTGCTTCTCTTCTCTCTATCAAAGAGTAAAGGTTTTTTGTTTTGCTTTGTTCTTGTTTTTTACAACTATGTAACTTCCTGTGTTTGCTTTTAAAATGTTTTAATTCTCACTCTGATTAAAAGAATGACTTATTTTGCAGTAACCTATAATTCTATTTTGATGAAGTGTTTAGAACCTTTATTTCTGACAAACTTCCCAAAATCAAAATTAAGGTTTTTTTGGCTTTCAAGTACCTTTTGGGTATTCTGGAATGACCCCTAGAAGTCCAAAAGAGAGATATTAAACCAATTAGGTCTATTTAATATAAATTATATAGTAAGCACTGTAAAATTGGAAATGATATTTAACATTCTTTGAGTGATATTTATATGGGTATGTTATTGATATGAGTAATCCAAAATTGTATGAAATTTCTAGAATTCTGATATTTTGTCAGTCATAATTCTGGTTATTTTGTTATAGTTTTCTACGTGAAAAAAATAACCACTTTTTTAATCAATGGCTATTTATAGTAAACTCATTTGATTTTTAGCCATTGCCATTCTAAGTTTTTGTCATCTACAGATAATGGCATTGACTCATCTCTATAAATGTTTTGCAATTAGCTACAGCGCGAAATTGCTTCTTCAAAAAATTTATGGTAAGGACTCTGGCAGGTACTCTGAAACACTTTCTGATGACTTTAAACCATATTATTAGACTGGGTAAGATTTCTAGAACTCTAATAATAATTTTTTAACAAAGGACTCATAAAACTGCTAACCCAACATCTAGTTTTATGAGCCCAAAATTTGCATTAAAGAAATAATTAATTATCTGATAAGAAGAAAGAAAAATTAATTATGTGGGACTGAACTGATGAAGGACTATATTTTATGACTTTTGTTTGAAACATTGCTGTTTCTTTTTGTGTTTTGTTTTCTAGATTTAAGGAAACTTTTTTCTTTTAAGCTTTCTATAGCTTACAGCAATCTGGTAACATATGCTTTTATAAACAGAATTTAAACATTTATATTTTTCTCCCTGCCTAATTTATCCAAAATATGGAAACCATTCATCAGTATTCTTACTTTATGGCAATATTTTTATCCACATAAGTTCAATAAGAATCTCTGCTCTTTGTAACAGGACAATTGGTAACACTGGTTACATTACCAAGATAGTGACTGGAATGTCATATTCTTAGATATGCTCAGACAGCCTTGAGAAACTGAGGTTGACTTTATGAAGCCAATAGAAGCCCTTGGAAAACTGGCCTGGTATCTTGAATACATGCTTTTCTTACAGGGTTCCCAGCCTTGCATTAAGTAAAGAATGTTACTTCCCGACAGTTCAAGGAACTTCAGAGTATTTTAGAAACCTCAAGAAGATAGGAATTTCCCTAGGTAATACAGGTAAAACCTGATGGCAAGTTCTTGGCTTAGCTTCATAGCAATGAGTGGTTTTTAAAGGCCTAATCTGAGATTCCTTATGAAAAATTCCAGCAAAACAAAATTTTAAAAGAGCCTATATGGTCAATCATCATTCTTGTGGCACCTTATGCAAATAATCAGGCCACATTCAATGAGACTAAACTCATTTTGCAAATAAATTCATCTTATTATGATTATCTTTTATGCAAACTGGTGTGAATGGAAAGAGGAAAAATTAGGTTTCAGAAGAAAGCTATATAGTACAATCATTATTATATTTCAACCCTGCTCATTATTTTTGAGATTTTTCTTTACCTGCAATTAGGACTGGATTCTAAATTTTTTTTGGCTGTAAGTCTCCAAACTAATTTTACCAATTTTTCTCCCATTCTTCTGACTTGGAATCACAAACATTAAAACCTTGCAAGCAGAAAACTGGTCAACTTGATAAATACACTCAGAGAAATTACTACGTCAGCTGCATTTAAACTGCAAATCAGGAAAATCTGTCAGATTGCCATTGTCTGCTTTTGCTTTCACTGAAGATGCTTTGAGCCAACATCTAGAAATCTCAGCTGGCTGCCCTTCAAACTCAAATGTTAGTTTTTAGACTGCTTCAAGCATTAACCTTTGTTTTCATTTTGTTTCCTTAGAAATGTCTCTTATTAAATACCTGTTTTATTGAAAGATATAGAGGCCTAACTTTGGGAGCCCAACTGCAACGCCAGTTCCTCAAATGAGACACAACTATTTAACTGAACTGACCTATTCTCAGGACAGAACTAACTTAATTATCAGGACTACAAGACTGATAGGAGGTTTTAATAAATGAAACTTTCTGAAAATAAAGTTTCAAAAGGAAAACTCTGGAAGACCAGAATAAACTTCTTTGGCATATTTTGAATTGGAAATCCAGAGACCTGAAAATAGGAATAGCTCCGAAAAACTGTCCTGTTGTAAACGAAATTTACATGTTTCTACCTTACTAAGGTAAACAGTGGATGCAAGCAGAGGTTTCTTTTGGAGCTCCATTTATCTCTCTAAGGAGACATGATGTTCTGACATCTCCCCAAAACTAAGATTGTCACAGAGAGCCGCCCATTCTGACTACTTTTATCTAAGAGATTTCATAACAAGACAGTGTTGCTTACCATGTGTTTCCTCCACTGACCTTTCTATAATCTTTTGCCACCACCCTCCAGAAGCCCCAAGCCCTTATTCCTTTCTGTAGGATATGAAAACTTCATTTATCTGGCCGTTCTTTGAGTCTCACATTTTGCGTGTCTCCTTTGCACAGGTGTGCATGTAATAAATCTGTATGCATTTTCTCCTGTTGATCTCCCTATTGTCCATTTATTTTATAGACTCAGATTATTGAACCTTCAAAAGGAGATGAAGAAAAATTCTTTTTGCCCCTACATGGCCATGGAAATAAATTCTGGCAAATGGAAGGTGAGCTTAAGTAAAACAGGATACTTCCTGATTTGTATTGTCCTGCTCTTCGGATCCTCTACCTTTAATGGCTGGAAGGTGGTTAGGATACTAATCTTTAACCATGCAAATGAGAGAAACAGCTTGAAGATGGCAGAGGAACAAAACATAAAAAAAGCCATCTTCACCATCATTAAATTGCCATTCTAGCTAGCTCTGATTGCACACTTGGATGCGTCTTTGAGGAAGAGAAAAACAGGAACAAGAGCCCTAACTTGTTGTCTACTTTACAATGTGTCATCTTCAGCAACTGTACTTTGGAGAACATTTTTTTAACAAATCCACTTTTTAGATATGTAAATATTAACAACTGGAAAAAAATAACAGAGGGAGATCAAACAGGTTCGTCAAAAGGAGGGAGCTAGGGAATTAATTTTCTTTTCATTCTACCTTTTTTAACTTTATTTTTCCTGTTAATTTGGCCGAAAACTAAATTCCAAACCATTTAATTAGTTCAAGAATGGCTTTGCTTTTTTTAAAAGAAAACATACACAGCCTCTACCAAAACACTGCATTGTAAATATATCATTCATATATTACTTGAAAAATAATCTATTTAATATTTGTATTAGCCAGGGTTCTCCAGAAAAAACAGAAACAATCGGATATAGACAGATAAGATAGGACTTACAATATGAAATAGCTCACATAATTATGGAGGCTGAACAGTCCCACAATATGTCATCTGCAAGCTGGAGATCCAAGGAAGCTGCCAGTGGAATTCAGGCTGAGCTCTATAGGACCCTACTTCTGGAGTGTAAAGTTGTCCTAAGAAGACAATCTTTAAGAACTGATGTTCTAATATAATCTCCTCCTTCCACACACAAGACAATGTGACTCAGACCCTCACATGAGAGATAAGTGTCTGGCCCCAGGTTACCACATCAAACTCAGAGCCTACACTAAAATCCAACTCTCTTTGCTTCATTTATCAAAGCTGAACTGGAAAGAAAAGGACAATTTTTCTAGCACACTTAAGTATGTAATCTTAATTTGATGTGAAAGGTAGGGAAGATATGGTGGCAGGTGATAAAGGTGAGAGGAGAATTTTTAAAACAATTTTTACTATAGGCCTCAAAGTGGCCAAATGTCATATAAGACATATTGTCAGAGGCATGTGAACCAGAGAAACTCCATCTTGAATAAGAGCTGGGTAAAATAAAGTTGAGACCTACTGGGCTGCATTCCCAGATGGTTAAGGCATTCGAAGGGGTCACAGGGTGAAATAGAACGTCGCTACAAATACAGGTCATAAAGACCTTGCTGATAAAATAGGTTGCCATAAAGAAGCCAGCTAAAACCCACCAAAACCATGATGGCCACAAGAGTGACCTCTGTTTGTCCTCACTGCTACCCACCCACCAGCATCACGACAGTTTACAAATGCCATGGTGACATCAGGAAGTTACCCTATATGGTCTAAAAAGGGGAGGCGTGCACCCTTGTTTAGCATAAAATCAAGAAACAACCATAAAAGTGGGCAACCAGCAGCCCTCAGGGCTACTCTTTCTATGGAGTACCCATTCTTTTATTTCTTTACTTTCTCAACAAACTTGCTTTCACTTTACTCTATGAACTTGCCCTGAATTCTTTCTTGCATGAGATCCAAGAACACTCTCTTAGGGTCTGGATTGGGCCCCTTTCCTGTAATAATATGGAATTCTTTTCTAAATAAAAGGATTCTACAGGTAAGCAGAATTAACAGAAAAGAGCAGCCTCCTAAGACTAAAGCTTCTTTATTCCTTAAATCTCCATCTCCCCTGAAAAGAATGTTTTAACAAAAGACATAATCCTTTCAAAAGAAATAAATCATAAGTTAAATAAACACAGAGAATTATGCAGCTCCCCTTTATTTGAAGGATGAGAGCACAACAGTGCACTTTGAAGGAGTGCAATTACAGCTTGATGCCCTAGGACACACTCTATGCACCCAACCATAAATCAAAGTCAATCTCCAAAGCAGATATGCTCAATTCTATCTATAGAAGTAAGGCCTCATGCTTGTTTATCACTTCCTAAGGAGAGGGATAGACAGACCTTGGGTAAACTCTCCCATATTTGAGTCAATCCAGAATGTTCTTGAGATATATGCTTATGTTACCACATTCCTATAGAATCTTATACAGGACACAGTTGACCTGGGGGAGAGCATGCTAATAAATTCATATAAAACTTAGGAAAGCAAACTGGTGAAACACAATCATAGTCCCCATTGGTAACTTATGGTGACTCCTTTAAAATTCCATTTCTTTCCTCAATCAACAGGGTTTATGGAAATGGAGAGTGTGACAGGCTGTCAGAACTAAAAACAAACAAACAAACAAACCAGCATCTCAACAAAGAGATCAAGACATCACTCTGATCATAATATCAGTGCTATGGCTTAAATGTCCCCTCCAAAACTCATGTTGGAATTTCATCCTCAATGTGCTTGCATTGAGAAATGAATTTTTAAGAAGTGACTGGATCATGAAGGCTCTGCTCTCATGAATGGATTAACCCATTCACAGATTAATGGATTAATGGGTTAATGGGTTATCATGGGACAGGAATTGGTGGCTTTACAAGAAAACGAAGAGAGACCTGAGCTAGCATGTTAGCACACTCAACCTCCTCCCATGTGATCCCCTGCACTACCTTGGGACCCTTCAGAGAGTTCCCACCAGCAAGAAGGCTCTCACCAGATGCGACCTCCTGCCCTTGGACTTCTCAGCCTCCATAACTGTAAGAAATAAATTCCTTTTCTTTATAAATTATCCAGTTTCAGGTATTTTGTTATATGCTACAGAAAATAGACTGACAGTGTTTAGCAGCCCTTACTGGATATACTAACAAAGACTATTTAAAGAAACCACTGATAACCGCATAAACACATTGTCAGGCCTCTGAGCCCAAGCCAAGCCATCGCATCCCCTGTGACTTGCACGTATACGCCCAGATGGCCTGAAGTAACTGAAGAATCACAAAAGAAGTGAATATGCCCTGCCCCACCTTAACTGATGACATTCCACCACAAAAGAAGTGTAAATGGCCGGTCCTTGCCTTAAGTGATGACATTACCTTGTAAAAGTCCTTTCCCTGGCTCATCCTGGCTCAAAAAGCACCCCCACTGAGCACCTTGCGACCCCCACTCCTGCCCGCCAGAGAACAAACCCCCTTTGACTGTAATTTTCCTTTACCTACCCAAATCCTATAAAACCGCCCCACCCTTATCTCCCTTCACTGACTCTCTTTTCGGACTCAGCCTGCCTGCACCCAGGTGAAATAAACAGCCATGTTGCTCACACAAAGCCTGTTTGATGGTCTATTCACACAGACGTGCATGAAATTTGGTGCCGCAACTCGGATTGGGGGACCTCCCTTGGGAGATCAATCCCCTGTCCTCCTGTTCTGTGCTCCGTGAGAAAGATCCACCTATGACCTCAGGTCCTCAGACCGACCAGCCCAAGGAACATCTCACCAATCTTAAATCAGGTAAGCGGCCTCTTCTTACTCTCTTCTCCAACCTCTCTCACTGTCCCTCAACCACTTTCTCCTTTCCACTCTTCAATCTCTCCCTTCTCTTAATTTCAATTCCTTTCATTTTCTGGGAAAGACAAAGGAGACACGTTTTACCTGTGGACCCAAAACTCCGGCCTGGTCACGGACTGGGAAGGCCGCCTTCCCTTGGTGTTTAATCATTGCAGGGACGCCTCTCTGATTATACACCCACGTTTCAAGGGTGTCAGACCACGCAGGGACACCTGCCTTTGTCCTTCACCCTTAGCGGCAAGTCCCGCTTTTCTGGGGAAGGGGCAAGTACCTCAACCACTTCTCTCCTTGTCTCTACCCCTTCTCTGCTTTTCTGGGAGAGGGGCAAGTACCCCTCAACCCCTTCTCCTTCACCCTTAGCGGCAAGTCCTGCTTTCCTAGGGGGCAAGAAACCCCCAATCGCTTATTTCCGCACCCCAACCTCTTATCTCTGTGCCCCAATCCCTTATTTCCACACCCTGACCTCTTATCTCTGTGCCCCAGTCACTTATTTCCGTGCCCCAACCCCCTTCTCTGCTTTTCTGGAGGGCAAGAACCCTCCACCCCTTCTCCGTGTCTCTACTCTTTTCTCTGGGCTTGCCTCCTTCACTATGGGTAAGCTTCCACCTTCCATTCCTCCTTCTTCTCCCTTAGCCTGTGTTCTCAAAAACTTAAAACCTCTTCAACTCACACCTGACCTAAAACCTAAATGCCTTTTCTTCTGCAATGCCGCTTGACCCCAATACAACCTTGACAGTAGTTCCACATAGCCAGAAAATGGCACTTTGAATTTTTCCATCCTGCAAAATCTAAATAATTCTTGTCGTAAAATAGGCAAACGGTCTGAGGTGCCTGACGTCCAGGCATTCTTTTACGTATCAGTCCCTTCCTAGTCTCTCCAAATCTTTCTTCTTTCCCTCCCGCCTGTCCCCTCAGTACCAACCCCAAGCGTCGCTGAGTCTTTCTAATCTTCCTTTTCTACAGACCCACCTAACCTCTCCCTTCCTCCCCAGGCTGCTCCTCGCCAGGCCGAGCTAGGTCCCAATTCTTCCTCAGCCTCCCCTCCTCCACCCTATAATCTTTTTATCACCTCCCCTCCTCACACCTAGTCCGGCTTACAGTTTCTTCCGTGACTAGCCATCCCCCACCTGCCCGGCAATTTACTCTTAAAAAGGTGGCTGGAGCTAAAGGCATAGTCAAGATTAATGCTCCTTTTTCTTTATCCCAAATCAGATAGCGTTTAGGCTCTTTTTCATCGAATATAAAAATCCAGCCCAGTTCATGACTTGTTTGGCAGCAACCCTGAGACACTTTACAGCCCTAGACCCTAAAAAGTCAAAAGGCCGTCTTATTCTCAAAATACATTTTATTACCCAATCTGCTCCCAACATTAAGTAAAACTCCAAAAATTAAATTCCGGCCCTCAAACCCCACAACAGGATTTAATTAACCTCACCTTCAAGGTGTACAATAATAGAAAAAAGTTGCAATTCCTTGCCTCCACTGTGAGACAAACCCCAGCCACATCTCCAGCACATAAGAACTTCCAAACGCCTGAACTGCAGTGGCCAGGCATTCCTCCAGAACCTCCTCCCACAGGAGCTTGCTACACATGCCGGAAATCGGGCCCCTGGGCCAAGGAATGCCCGCTGCCTGGGATTCCTCCTAAGCCACGTCCCATCTGTGTGGGACCCCACGGAAAATCGGACTGTTCAACTCACCTGGCAGCCACTCCCAGAGTCCCTGGAACTCTGGCCCAAGGCTCGCTGACTGACTCCTTCCCAGATCTTCTCAGCTTAGCGGCTGAAGACTGACACTGCCCGATCGCCTCGGAAGCCCCTAGACCATCACGGACGCTGAGCTTCGGGTAACTCTCACAGTGGAAGGTAAGCACGTCCCCTTCTTAATCAATACAGAGGCTACCCACTCCACATTACCTTCTTTTCAAAGGCCTGTTTCCCTTGCCTCCATAACTGTTGTGGGTATTGACGGCCAGGCTTCTAAACCTCTTAAAACTCCCCAACTCTGCTGCCAACTTAGACAATACTCTTTTAATCACTCCTTTTTAGTTATCCCCACCTGCCCAGTTCCCTTATTAGGCTGAGACACTTTAACTAAATTATCTGCTTCCCTGACTATTCCTGGACTACAGCTATATCTCATTGCCGCCCTTCTTCCCAATCCAAAGCCTCCTTTGCGTCCTCCTCTTGTATCCCCCAGCCTTAACCCACAAGTATAAGATACCTCTACTCCCTCCTTGGCGACCGATCATGCACCTCTTACCATCTCATTAAAACCTAATCACCCTTACCCCACTCAACGCCAATATCGCATCCCGCAGCACGCTTTAGAAAGATTAAAGCCTGTTATCACTAGCCTGCTACAGCATGGCCTTTTAAAGCCTATAAACTCTCCTTACAATTCCCCCATTTTACCTGTCCTAAAACCAGACAAGCCTTACAAGTTAGTTCAGGATCTGCACCTTATCAACCAAATTGTTTTGCCTATCCACCCCGTGGTGCCAAACCCACATACTCTCCTATCCTCAATACCTGCCTCTATAACCCATTATTCTGTTCTAGATCTCAAACATGCTTTCTTTACTATTCCTTTGCACCTTAATCCCAGCCTCTCTTCACTTCCACTTGGACTGACCCTGACACCCATCAAGCTCAGGAAATTACCTAGGCTGTACTGCTGCAAAGCTTCACAGACAGCCCCCATTACTTCAATCAAGCCCAAATTTCTTCCTCATCTGTTACCTATCTCGGCATAATTCTCATAAAAACACACGTGCTCTCCCTGCCAATCGTGTCCGACTGATCTCTCAAACCCCAGCACCTTCTACAAAACAACAACTCCTTTCCTTCCTAGGCATGGTTAGCGTGGTCAGAATTCTTACACAAGAGCCAGGACCACACCCTGTAGCCTTTCTGTCCAAAAAACTTGACCTTACTGTTTTAGCCTAGCCCTCATGTCTGTGTGCAGCGGCTGCCACTGCATTAATACTTTTAGAGGCCCTCAAGATCACAAACTATGCTCAACTCACTCTCTACATTTCTCATAACTTCCAAAATCTATTTTCTTTCTCATACCTGACACATATACTTTCTGCTTCCTGGCTCCTTCCGCTATACTCACTCTTTGTTGAGTCTCCCACAATTACCGTTGTTCCTGGCCCAGACTTCAATCCGGCCTCCCACATTATTCCTGATACCACACCTGACCCCCATGACTGTATCTCTCTGATCCACCTGACATTCACCCCATTTCCCCAAATTTCCTTCTTTCCTGTTCCTCACCCTGATCACGCTTGATTTATTGATGGCGGTTCCACCAGGCCTAATCGCCACACACCAGCAAAGGCAGGTTATGCTATAGTACAAGCCACTAGCCCACCTCTTAGAACCTCTCATTTCCTTTCCATTGTGGAAACCTATCCTCAAGGAAATAACTTCTCAGTGTTCCATCTGCTATTCTACTACTCCTCAGGGATTCTTCAGGCCCCCTCCCTTCCCTACACATCAAGCTCGAGGATTTGCCCCACCCAGGACTGGCAAATTAGCTTTACTCAACATGCCCTGAGTCAGATAACTAAAATACCTCTTAGTCTAGGTAGATACTTTCACTGGATAGGTAGAGGCCTTTCCTACAGGGTCTGAGAAGGCCACCGCAGTCATTTCTTCCCTTCTGTCAGACATAATTCCTCAGTTTAGCCTTCCCACCTCAATACAGTCTGATAACAGAAGGGCCTTTATTAGTCAAAACAGCCAAGCAGTTTTTCAGGCTCTTAGTATTCAGTGAAACCTTTATATCCCTTATGGTCCTCCGTCTTCAAGAAAAGTAGAATGGACTAAAGGTCTTTTAAAAACACACCTCACCAAGCTCAGCCACCAACTTAAAAAGGACTGGACAATACTTTTACCACTTTCCCTTCTCAGAATTCAGGCCTGTCCTCGGAATGCTACAGGGTACAGCCCATTTGAGCTCCTGTATAGACGCTCCTTTTTATTAGGCCCCAGTCTCATTCTAGACACCAGACCAACTCAGACTGTGCCCCAAAAAAAACTTGTCATCCCTGCTATCTTCTCTCTAGTCATACTCCTATTCACCGTTCTCAACTACTCATACATGCCCTGCTCTTGTTTACACTGCTAGTTTACACTGTTTTTCCAAGCCATCACAGCTGATATCTCCTGGTGCTATCCCCAGACTGCCACTCTTAACTCTTGAAGTAAATAAATAATCTTTGCTGGCAGGACTATGCTGAATCTCCTTAGGCACTCTCTAATCAGATATCCCGAGTCGTCCCAATTCTTAGACATTTTATACCTGTTTTTCTCCTTCTGTTATTCCATTTAGTTTCTCAATTCATCCAAAACCGTATCCAGGCCATCATCAATCATTCTATACAACAACTGTTTCTTCTAACATCCCCACAATATCACCCCTTACCACAAGACCTCCCCTCAGCTTAATCTCTCCCACTCTAGGTTCCCACGCTGCCCCTAATCCCGCTTGAAGCAGCCCTGAGAAACATCGCCCATTCTCTCTCCATACCACCCCCCAAAAATTTTTGCCGCCCCAACACTTCAACACTATTTTGTTTTATTTTTCTTATTAATATAAGAAGGCAGGAATGTCAGGCCTCTGAGCCCAAACCAAGCCATCGCATCCCCTGTGACTTGCACGTATACGCCCAGATGGCCTGAAGTAACTGAAGAATCACAAAAGAAGTGAATATGCCCTGCCCCACCTTAACTGATGACATTCCACCACAAAAGAAGTGTAAATGGCCGGTCCTTGCCTTAAGTGATAACATTACCTTGTGAAAGTCCTTTCCCTGGCTCATCCTGGCTCAAAAAGCACCCCCACTGAGCACCTTGCGACCCCCACTCCTGCCCGCCAGAGAACAAACCCCCTTTGACTGTAATTTTCCTTTACCTACCCAAATCCTATAAAACGGCCCCACCCTTATCTCCCTTCACTGACTCTCTTTTTGGACTCAGCCTGCCTGCACCCAGGTGAAATAAACAGCCATGTTTCTCACACAAAGCCTGTTTGCTGGTCTCTTCACACGGACGCGCATGAAACACATGATAACTAAATAAATTCAAACTTGGATAATTAACAAGACAAAATTTCAGAAAGGTTTAGGAAATTAAAATTTCCCTGGAAAAATCAATTGTGGAACATGCTTTAGAACTTTAAAACATCCTTGAACAAAAATTATACTATTCCTACTATCTTCTCTAAAATATATTATCTTACTTCTGTTTTGCCTTCATAACACTGATCATGATCTGAAATATATACTTATATTTCACTTGCCTGTTGGTGTTTTTTTTGTTTGTTTTTTGTCTTCTCACCCACTCACAGAACACAAACTCTGTGAGAATAAGGGCTATATCCTCAGGATATAGAACAATGCCTACCACATGTAGGATAGAAATAATTATTTGTTGAATGCACAAATGTATAAATCTAAGATCAATCTCTCTTGTGTTCATTTTTCCTTCTGTCTTCAAAATTTCACATGAATGCCTCTTTTTGGCGGACACTAAACAGGAACCATATGAGGAAGGACTCTAAGAATGCAGTTTCTTGTTTCTCCTCTGCCTAAGAATTGTGTTGGTGGCAAACCTAAGCTGAAAATAGATAATCTGTCATGGGGTGGTAGGTTGAAATCTGGGTCTCACTACAGGCTCCTTTAGTGCTACCTCACCAAGATAGTTTCCTAATATCTCCCAAGCTCCATTGAACATAAATGTAAAATCTCTATTCTGCTCTAAGAAAAGGCTCTGAAAGTTTGCAAGAAAAACGGAGTTCCCCTAGACAGGCATTATAATAAAACTGGTACTAAATTCCATTGAGCAGAAACCAAAAGTAAAATACAGTAAGGCAGAACAAAGGAGGGTTGTTGTTGTTGTTTAACTGTTTTTCTAGTGCTTAATGAGCACCACTTGTGATGTCAGAACCGGCAGAAAAGGAGCCTGGTGTGAGCTACATGCAGGTGTGTAAGCAGCTAATGGAAGTGACAGCTAAGATGATATATAACCAGAGTGTTGAAAAATGAATTATCCATGCGGTTTAAATGGGCCAGATGATATATTGGAACACCATGTGGTTTAACACAAAGCATGGCATTCAAGATGGAAGATCCAAATCCTAACTCTGGCTCTAACACAGACCACTTTTACAAGACTGAATGAGTCATTTAAACCACACCATGCTGTGGTTTCTCCCTCCCTCAGTCAAATCAGTGTAGCAAAATGTATTACCCAGTCACAACACAGGATGTTGCGAGGAAACAAGGGTGGTAGCAACAAATGCAGCCTATTCTGAACACTGCAAGGTGCATGCACTGTGCAAAATAGCAACCCTCATGTGTGTTGTCAAGGCAGGACTCTTGCAAAATTAATTACTTTTTCAAACTAAAAATCCCACTTTCTTAAACTGGTGTAATACATACAAAATATTAAGGTTTATTACCATAATTCTGGAGTTTCTCCCTTTATATGAATTTATATAACATACCACAAATATTTAGAATTGAAAAATCCATTTCAGTTGTGCCAACAGTTGCCAATACTTCACAATATTTTACCATAATTGTGAGATCCCCTCAGGCCAGAAATATGCATCCTTGTCCCTGTATTTACAATCTTATATTTAGACCTTGCCAACTGGCCGTTTAGGTTGCTCCAAATCAAATAAACTTTGAAGCCCACACAGTAAGTATTAGATCATTACTGAGCAGGAGGTACACAGGCTGGAGGTGCAAACAAAACTCAGGGCAAAAGAGAATCACCAGACGTGAATTAGATACAGAGGCAATTATGGCATAATGAAAAAGAGTAGGACATGGAGTCAAAATAGCTGACGTTAAATACCTGCTCTGTCACTTACGGTATGACCTTGGCCAATCTTGAATAGGATTTTGGACTTCATCTGTAAAATCAGAATACTAGATTATGCCAGGTGAACAAAGGCAAGAAGGCATGCATTAATCAATTCACCCAGTAAGTGCCTATAAGAACACAAGCTTTACAGCCACATCACTTGGGGCTTTCATTTATAGCTCTAATCTTAACTGTGTTACCTTGGACGAGATACTTAACCTCTCTGTGTCTTAGTTTTCTTATCTCTAAAATGAGAACAATAGTACACACTACCTTAGAGGAATGGTTTTGAGGACTAACTGAGTTAATTTGTGTAAAATAATTCAAACAGTATGTAGCATATAGTAGCATTATCATTATTAGTATGTGCCAAAGGAAACAAATATCAAAGATCAAGGAAAACCATGCCCAAATGGAGTCACAGTGCATATCAAAATGACCTCCCAAGATCTCTTACAGATTCATGATTCCCTTACATTTAGTTTTGTTTTCTCTTTTTTTCTTATGACCAAGGAAGTTTCATAAAAATTGGCTGTTTATTGCAGATAGAATTGTTGGCTTTTACAAGCTTTCCCTCCCCTTAAAAGTTCTCACCAGTGACTGTGACATTAATTCTCTCTAACAATTGCTTTATCACAGAGAATAAACCACCATGGGAACCCAGAGCAAGAGCAAAGTTAGGTACAAAAAATTTAAAGCAGTTTTCATAACCTTATTAGAGATCAGACAAGAGGAGGCAAACAGGGTGAAAATTTCTTTTTGTTCTTTCCATGAATCTGCTCTTTGTTGAAGAATCTCGTGGGTGAGAAACAAAACAAGGTTTAATGAACTCTAAATTAAAGATACTTTGAAAATGCTACTATGGTAGGTTTCCTAAGCCAACATTTCATAGTAATGACTCTTGTCTTAGTCCACTTGAGCTACTAACAAAATGTTATGATAACAAAAATATCATAAGTTGGGTGGTTTATAAACAACAAATATTTATTTTTTAGTTCTGGTGATGGGGAAGTCCAAGATTAAGGTGCCAGCGGTCTTAGTGTTTGATGTGAGCTCTCTTCCTTACAAATGGTGCCTTCTGGCTGTATCTTCTCATGGCAAAAGGGGCAAGACAAGCTCCCTTGGGCCTGTGTTATAAGAGCATTAAACCCATTTATGAAAGTTCTGCTCTAGTGACCTAATCACCTCTCAAAGGCTCCACCTCTTAACACCCACATCTGGGAGTGAGTAAGTTTCAACATAATAAATTTGGAGGGACCCAAGCATTCAGATCATAGTTACTAAACCATTTACCCTCTTTTCAAGTTTCTAGCCTGCCGAATATACTCTTTTCTCTCAGCAAACTTCCTTACTAAAGCCCATGTTTTCATGAAAGTAATACAGGAGTTATTAAGAAGTTATTTTAGGCAGATAGAGAGGGTAAGGAGTCCTTGGTAAGGTTTTTTCTTTTAATAAAAACAGCCCCAGAAACATTTCTTTTCTAATAGAAAAACGGCTTGAATAGCCAGGCGGGCAAGATTTGATATACAAATGCCAGCAATTAGAAACTGAGTCCATCCAACATGGTGATTCCTGCCCTCTTCTCCTTGTCACCACTGTGCCAAGCATCATGACTACCTCCTGATAATTCCATGTGTGCAGGACATCATGGTGACCTGCATTTGCATATTAAAAGGCTAGGGTGGGAGGGCCAGTTTTCTCACAGGCTATGTGAATGACATACCTGGTCAAACCAATCCCCTGAGCCCTATGCAAATCAGACACCACCTCCTCCAGCCTCCTAAATAACCCACTGTTTTCCACGGGACTGGTGGGCGTAGGGGGGAGGGGGTGGGCAGAAGTCTCTCTCCACTAGGAGCCCCCCTCCCTCTGCATGGGGGAGTTTTTTCTTCTTTCTTACCTATTAAACTCTTCAGTCCTTAAAACCACTCCACGTGTGTCCGTGTCGTTTATCTAATTGGCACAAGACAAAGTACCCTGATGTTCCTCCAGTCATTGGAGTCATATCAAAAGGCATACTCCATTGGCTTCCTGTCACCAAATCTACCAATTTTCTTTCATTACTTCCCCATTTGCCCTTTATTGTTGCACATCATTCTTACTTAATGGAAGATTTGTCTTGCTTTTTCACTAAGGTGAAGTCTGTGTAATAAATCTCATCCAGTCTCACCTGCTGTAGTTCATATTTAATTATCTCCATCCTTTTCTGTAGCTACACTGCCCCTTTCCACTGGTTTCTCCACTTCAATATGTTATAGTCGGATATGAGCAGGGCAGGAGAGAGCCCAGCCCCACCAGGAATGTCAGGCATCAATCAGGTGATGGTCAGGCAATTGTTAAACTGCATCTCTAAAATAATAATTAGTCTCAACTGGCTCTCAGGAAAGGCAGTCTCCCAATACACAGAAAAATCCCAGAACTAGTGACCAGCAGTTTCCCAATAAAAGCTCAGGAGTTGGACAAGTGGGCTCAAGTATGCACACCAAGAGGCAAAATGGTGGAGTTTACCTGGCATATGACCTTCCTCTAGGAATGCTAGACTGGTAAGGGAAGAACACCTCCAGTGAGCTTGCATACAACTCTAATAAACACACTACACATGCTCCCCTCCCAAGTGCTAGCAGGCCAAAACTGCACATGTGGACAGCCCACCACAAGGGAAGAAGCAGGGGAGAAGAGATGCAAGAGCCCAGAAGCATACCAACGTATAAAACCCCAAGTCATAGGTCAAAACATGCACTTGAGATCTCAAGTCACCCACTTGGCCCTCTTCCAAGTGTACTCTACTTGCTTTCTTCCCGCTCTAAAGCTTTTTAATAAACTTTCACTCCTGCTCTAAAACTTGCTTCAGTCCCTCCTTCTGCCTTATGCACCCTCGGTTGAATTCTTTCTTCTGAGGAGGCATGAATTGAGGTTGCTGCAAATCTGTATGGATTAGCTGCCAGTAACAAATATACAAACGTGATAAAGGTTCCACATGGTAAAATGTGAAAGGAAAGTGAGAAAAACAAACAAAAAAAATCCTCCCCTCACACATCCTTCTAGCTTCAATTTTATCTTCTTATCTTCTTAAAAGTCGCAATTTTCAAAGAAGTTATCTGCAATTGGCATCTCCCTTTCTTCACTTCTCCTTTTCTCTTTAACTCATTCAAAGCAGGTTTCTGTTCCATTGAAACTATTCTTGCTGAGATAGTCAATAATCATCTATATGTCTAAGTACAGCTGACTCAGTTTTTTTCTTGTTTGACCTGGCAATAGCATTTGACCTTTCTAACCACTTCCTCCTTTAAAAAAAGAAATAACAAAACACTTTTCACTCAGTGTCAGCACACCACAACCTCCTGCTTTTCCACCTACGTCTTTAGCTGTCTTGCCAAGATCTCTTTGTTGGCTCCTCCTCATCTACCCATTTTCTAAAGGTTGGAATTTATCAGCACTATCCCGAAGACTCCATGCTCCTCTTTCTCCATGCACCTCCCCAAATTATCTCTCATATATCCATGTTTACAATAAATCTCACCTTTAGTCTAGATTGATCTTGTCTAACCTTCAGACCCATATACCCAAATTTGTGGTCCATATCTCTACTTGAGATATCTTTCAGGCATCTCAAAAAAGTTTTCTAAGACCAGTCATATCATCTCATTGACAGAAGTGCCCAAGCCAGTACTGGGGTAGTAAGCTTTGACTCTTCCCTCTTACTCACTCCTTTCATCCAATTTCTATTTAAAACATTTTGTTCTCTTCATTTCTCAAAAATAAATCATATCCTAAAAATAGCTTTTCTTATATCCAGAGATATGATTAGCTATCTTCCCTTTCCCTACACTATATGGTCCCATGGCTTTCCCTTCTTCTCCAACATGGTTATATATAAATCTAAATTATCATTTTCTTCTACTCATGTTTTACATTCATCTTAATAAATTATTCAGTATCTGTCTTCCCCAATAAGCAACTTAAATAGTTGAATGAGTGGATGATTTGATAGATGCATGGAAAGAAAAGAAGGGAAGAAGGAAGGAGGGAAGGAAGGAAGGAAGGAAGGGAAAGAAGGGAGATAAGTACATCTGGAAATCTTTACAATTAAAATAATAATTTATGAATTTAATATAATAATTTAAGGGAATAAAGTTTTATAAGAGAAATATAAAAATTAAGGAAAGAAGAAAAGGGGGAAAGAATTTAGAAAAAAATTCAGAGTTCACACCAAAATTAGAGAATAAACCTAGAAAACTTGGGACTGAGGATTGTGGTCATCTAAAGAGGTTAAACAAAATGCCCAGGGAGGTATGATTTAATGCAGTGAGTAGTCCAGTAGTTACTCATTTTATTATTGTAAGCAAGTTTCTTAATTATTCTGTGTCTTATTTTTTTATCTGTAAAATTGGGGCAATAATAGCATCAACTTCACAGGATTGTTATAAAAATTAAGTGATACTAATTGATATCATTTAATATTGATAACATCTTGCGAAAATGTAGAGTATTAGCCACCATTAGTATTTTTTGTTTAAGTGAGTGGGCTTCATGAACAGCTGCCTTCACAGTCTTCTCAGACCATCTGAACTTCCCTTTCACAGATAATCCCTTTTTCAACAGTGCAGAAAATGGACTACCTATACCCAAAATAGAGAATGCAGCCTGAAACACACACACACACACACACAAACACTCACACACACACACACACACACAGAGAACTTCATAACAGTGCTTTACAAATATATCTTGAAAATTAATGCCTCTGTGATTTTGCTCACTCTGTTGTCTCTGTTTATATATGTGTCAGGTTCTCCAGAGAGACAGAATAGGATGGATAGATAGATAGATAAATGGATATGGATATAGATATAGATATAGATATAGATATGGATATAGATATAGATATAGATATAAATAGATATCTCCCTCAGAAAAGATTTGTCATAAGGTATAATAAATTAGACTTCATGTAATATAATATAAATAACCTTATATACCTTACACAATTATGAAGACTGAAAAGTCCTCAGATCTGCAGTCTGCAAGCTGAAGACCCAGGAAAGCCAGTGCTATAGTTTGAAGGCTTCAGAGCTGAAGGACAGATAGTGTAGACTTTTGTTTGGGTCTGAGGGCCTGAGATCCACAAGTCAAGGACAGGAGATGATATCCCAGTGAACAGTCATACAGTGTTAATTCAAATTTCCTTCACCTCTTTTGTTATATTTGCACCCTCAGCAGATTGGATGATGCCCACTCACCTTGTGGAAACAATCTGCTTTACTCAGTGTACCAATTCAAATGCTAATCTCCTCTGGAAACTCTCTCCCACACACACCCAGAAATAATGTTTAATCAGTTATCTGGGCATGCCTTGGCCCAGTCAAGTTGACAAATAAAATTAACCATCTCAGTTTAGAACACCCGCCCTTCTGTTGCTGTTCAGCACCCAGGTCATCTTCTCCATTTCTCACATTTGGCTATGCAACATTATTCACCTTGTACAACATTATCCACTTCTTCTTTGTAACTCCTGAAGCCTATTGTTTCAACTCTAATGTAGTACACAGCCTGAGATTCAAATTTGCCTTGCTGGGGTGATCTTTTCTTATTCATCGTTGATGTTTTATAATCAAGTAGAGAGTTAGATACAAAAGTGCTTAATTTATGTTTATTGATTACAATTGAAACACTGAAAAAGAGGTAACTTGAACATTAGTCTGAAAACCAAAAATTAAGATGTTAGTCTCTTTTTCATAAAGTTGGTTGAGCTGTCATGAAATTTCCTTAATTCTCAATAATAAAATATTAGTGGGCCAAGTGTGACATTATATCCTCTAAAGAAAATAAATATACATTATTTTCTACTAGAAAATGGGAGAAAAGTAATGATTAAAGATTAATGGTGGCTAATGTGAAAAACTAAATAAAACTCTGACACATTAATAATTTTTGAAAAATAAAGAATATGATGATTCCCTTAGGCTTTTTCTTAAGAGACATAAAGTGAAGTATTTGAAGCAACTCTGCATAAATTCAGGGAAAACACTGTCTTCATTTATAATATTAATAGCCTAATGATGTTAGAAATAATTTAGTGCTGCCTTGAGCTTGGATGAGAACATAAAGTCTTCCAGGACTGATTTGGGGCCTACTGATAAGAAATCATAAAGGGAGCCTCATTCTCATCCTCTTTGTCAGGAATTTAGAGAATATTACTAACTTTGTTAAAAGTGATCATGTTCATATTATGTTGGTTGAGCTCCAAATATGTATTAGGTAGTACTATAACATGTCAATTATACAGAGAATATATGAAGCAGACCCTTTTCTCAAAGACTTTTCTGTCTGAATGGAAAGACACTTGAGTAAAGCTGCAATAACATACGAAATTGTAAAGACCATCTACACTATGAAGAAACCACATCAACTAATGGGCAAAGTAACCAGCTAGCATCATAATGACAGGATCAAATTCATACATAACAATATTAACCTTAAATGTAAATGGGCTAAATGCCCCAATTAAAAGACACAGACTGGCAAATTGGATAAAGAGTCAAGACCAATTGGTGTGCTGTGTTCAGGAGACCCATCTCACTTGCAAAGACATACATAAGCTCAAAATAAAGGGATGGAGGAATATTTACCAAACAAATGGAAAGCAAAACAAAGCAGGGGTTGCAATCATAGTCTCTGATAAAACAGACTTTAAACAAAGATCAAAAAAGACAAAGAAGGGCATTACATAATGGTAAAGGGATCAATGCAACAAGAAGAGCTAACTATCCTAAATATATATGCACCCAATTCAGGAGCACCCAGATCCATAAAGAAAGTTCTTAGAGATCTACAAAGACACTTAGACTCCCACACAATAAAAATGGGAGACTTTAACACCCCACTGTCAATATTAGACAGATCAACGAGAAAGAAAATTAACAAGGATATTCAGGATTTGAACTCTGCTCTGGACCAAGCAGACCTAATAGACATCTACAGAACTCTCCACCCCAAATCAACAGAATATACATTTTTCTCAGCACCACATCACACTTATTGTAAAATTGACCACATAATTGGAAGTAAAACACTCAACAGCAAATGTGAAAGAACAGAAATCATAAGTCTCTCAGACCACAGTGTAATCATATTAGAACTCAAGATTAAGAAATTCACTCAAGACCACATAACTACATGGAAATTGAACAACCTGCTCCTGAATGACTACTGGGTAAATAACGAAATTAAGGCAGAAATAAATAAGTTCTTGGAAACCAATGAGAACAAAGTCACAACATACCAGAATCTCTGGGACACAGCTAAAGCAGCATTTAGAGGGAAATTTATAGCACTAAATGCCCACAGGAGAAAGTGGGAAAAATCTAAAATCAACACTCTAACATCACAATTAAAAGAACTAGAGAAGCAAGATCAAACAAATTCAAAAGCTAGCAGAAGACAAGAAATAACTAAGATCAGAGCAGAACTGAAGGAGATAGAGATACGAAAAACCCTTCAAAAAAATCTGTGAATCCAGGAGCTGGTTTTTTTAGAAGATTAACAAAATAGATAGACTTCTAGCCAGACTAATAAAGAAGAAAAGAGAGAAGAATTGGCTGGGCATGGTGGCTCATGCCTGCAATCCCAGCACTTTGTGAGGCTGAGATGGGCAGATCACGAGGTTAGGAGATCGAGACCATCCTGGCCAACAAGGTGAAATCCCGTCTCTAACAAAATACAAAAAAATAGCCAGGTTTGGTGGCATGTGCCTGTAGTCCCAGCTACTCGGGAGGCTGAGGCAGAGGAATCACTTGAACCCAGGAGGCAGAGGTTGCAGTGAGCCAAGATCGTGCCACTGCACTCCACCCTGCCAACAGAGCAAGACTCTGTCTCAAAACAAAATAAAACAAAGAGAGAAGAATCAAATAGACACAATAAAAAAGATAAAGAGGATATCACCACTGATCCCACAGATACAAACTACCATCAGAGAATACTATAAACACCTCTAGAAAGTCTAGAAGAAATGCATAAATTTCTGGACACACACACACCCTCCCAAGACTAAACCAGGAAGAAGTCAAATCCCTGAATAGACCAAAAACAAGTTCTGAAATTGAGGCAGTAGCTAATAGTCTACCAACCAAAAAAAGCCCAGGACCAGATGGATTCACAGCCAAATTCTAGCAGAGGTACAAAGAAGAGTTGGTATCATTCCTTCTGAAACTATTCCAAACAATTGAAAATGAGGGAGACTCCTCCCTAACTCATTTTATGAGGCCAGGATCATCCTGATACCAAAACCTGGCAGACAGACAACAAAAAAAGAAAATTTCATGCCAATATCCCTAATGAACATCGATGCAAAAATTCTCAATAAAATAGTGGCAAACCAAATCCAGAAGCACATCAAAAAGCTTATCCACCACCATCAAGCTGGCTTCAACCCTGGGATGCAAAGCTGGTTCAACATATGCAAATCAATAAACATAATCCATCACATAAACAGAACCAATGACAAAAACCACATGATTATCTCAATAGATGCAGAAAAGGCCTTCGATAAAATTCAATACCCCTTCATGCTAAAAACTCTTAATAAACTAGGTATTGATGGAACATATCTCAAATTACTAAGGGCTATTTATGACAAACCTACAGCCAATATCATACTGAAACGGCAAAAACTGGAGGCATTCCCTTTGAAAACCAGCACAAGACAAGGATGCTCTCTCTCACCGCTCCTATTCAATATAGTATTGGAAGTTCTGGCCAGGGCAATCAGGCAAGAGAAAGAAATAAAGGGTATTGAAATAGGAAGAGAGGAAGTCAAATTGTCTCTGTTTGCAGATGACATGATTGTATATTTAGAAAACCTATTGTCTCAGCCCAAAATCTCCTTAAGCTGATAAACAACTTCTGCAAAGTCTCAGGATACAAAACCAATGTGCAAAAATTACAAGCATTCCTATACACCAATAACAAACAAACAGAGAGCCAAATCATGAGTGAACTCCCATTCACAATTGCTACAAAGAGAATAAAATACCTAGGAATACAACTTACAAGGGATGTGAAGGACCTCTTCAAGGAGAACTACAAACTACTGCTCAAGGAAATAAGAGAGGACACAAACAAATGGAAAAACATTCCATGTTCATGGATAGGAAGAATCAATATCATGAAAATGGCAATACTGCCCAAAGTAATTTATAGATTAAATGCTATCCCCATCAAGCTACCATTGACTTTCTTCACAAAATTAGAAAAAAAAAAAACACTTTAAATTTCACATGGCACCAAAAAAGAGCCTGTATAACCAAGACAATCCTGAGCGAAAAGAACAAAGCTGGAGGAATCATGCTTCCTGACTTCAAACTATACTACAAGGTTACAGTAACCAAAACAGCATGGTACTGGTACCAAACTAGATATACAGATCAATGGAACAGAACAGTGGCCTCAGAAATAGGGCCACACATCTACTAGCAACTGATCTTTAACAAATCTGACAAAAACAAGCAATGGGTAAAGGATTCCCTATTTAATAAATGCTGTTGAGGGAACTGGCTAGCCGTACGCAGAAAACAGAAACTGGACCCCTTGTTTATACCTTATACAAAACTTAAGTCAAGATGTATTAGAGACTTAAAGGTAAGACCTAAAATTATAAAATCCCTGGAAGAAAATGTAGGCAATACCATTCAGGATATAGGCATATGCAAAGACTTCATGACTAAAACACCAAAAGCAATGGCAACAAAGCCAAAATTTACAAAGAGGATCTAATTAAACTAAAGAGCTTCTACACAGCAAAAGAAACTATCGTCAGAGTGAACAGGAAACCTACAGAATAGGAGAAAATTTTTGCAGTCTATCCATCTGACAAAGGGCTAATATCCCGAATCTACAAAGAATTTAAACAAATTTACAAAAAAAAAAAAACCATCAAAAAGTGGGTGAAGGATATAAACAGATCCTTCTCAAAAAAAGACAATTATGTGACCAACAAACATGAAAAAAAGCTCACCATCACTGGTCATTAGAGAAATGCAAATCAAAACCACAATGAGATACCATCTCAGACCAGTTAGAATGGTGATCATTAAAAAGCCAGGAAACAACAGATGCTGGAGAGGATGTGATGAAATAGGACTGCTTTTACACTGTTGATGGGAGTATAAGTTAGTTCAACCATTGTGGAAGACGGTGTGGCAATTCCTCAAATATCTAGAACCAGAAATACCATTTGACCTCGCAGTCTCATTACTGGGTATATACCCAAATGATTATAAATCATTCAACTATGAAGACACATGCACACATATGTTTATCGCAGCCCTTTTCACAATAGCAAAGACTTGGAACCAACCCAAATGCCCATCAATGATAAACTGGATAAAGAAAACGTGTCACATATACACCATAGAATACCATGCAGCCATAAAAAAGGATGAGTTCATATCCTTTGCAAGGACATGGATGAAACTGGAAACCATCATTCTCAGGAAACTAACACGAGAACAGAAAAACAAACACTGCATATTCTCACTCATAAGTCGGAGTTGAACAATGAGAACACATGGACACAAGGAGAGGAATATCACACACCAGGGTCTGTCAGGTGGTGGGGGCTAGGGGAGGGATAGCACTAGGAGAAATACGTAATGTAGATGGCGGGTTGATGAGTGCAGCAAACCACCACGGCACATGTATACCTATGTAACAAACCTGCATGTTCTGTACATGTATCCCAGAACTTAAAGTATAATAAAATAAATAAATAAATCACTCTGATAGACTTGTTTTTATGACTAATAAAGAAATAACATAGATAAGAGAGAGTAAGGAATGCTAAGCATGAATGATTCAAGAAAATTCTATAAGAAAAGTGATTGAACAAAGTGTTAGTATTTGTTTAAAAGTTTTATTTATTATTAATCATATTTTAATTGTTGACACATTGAAAATCATAGAATCAAATAGCACCTGCAATCTAACACCACCACCTAGAGTTACACACAATAAAATTTTAGACTTCTTCCCATTATTTTTCTGACTACTTTTCCTTCATGTCATTGAGTTAATACTATATCTTATACTGTGCTTTTTGCCAGTTTATGTAACTAGCATTTTAAGTAATTCTGTGAACTTGAAGTATTTTTAGCAAACTCTAAATCTTTTTTACAAACATAATTTTCATAATTATCATATGAAATTATATTTCATGGTATACTAGACCATGCTATAATGTTGGGTTTTTTTAGTCGGTTTTGGTATTCTAAATATAATTATTACAAAAACAATTATAAGAAAGTTGTCTTCATAAATCTCTCTCCTCATTTAAAAGGATAATTTGGTACAGAATTCACAGAAGAAAGAATTTTATTTAATGAACAGAATTTTTATTGAATAACCAGAGTTCAACACTTGCATGATGACAAGATAAGCATGTTAGGCCCCTGCAAGTGAATGTACAAAAGCATAAAATCTTCCCACACAATAGTGGTTTTAAGATCCACAAGCACATTATCTTGCTATTCCATAAAGGTAAGTCAGGTGATGAGGCAAAGCTGAAGAAGCATGTAGAAACTAGATTATGAATACGCTTTTATGCCATGATCAATAACTTATCTTTTATCCTGCAGGCAATGAAAATTCAATAAATGTTTGCTCAATATAATTGATTTACCCACTTAGGAAGAGTTTGCTTCCTTAAGTAAATAAGACTAGTAATGCGATATCTAGCAAGCGCCCCATTGAAAATATCTTTTCTTCGGGAAGTATACCTTATCTTCACAGCTGAAGTTAGAGGAAGCCCTCATATCCTATTTATTCATGTCTTCTAATTGGTTAGTAAATCCAAAAAATTATAGCAACAAATACTTTTTACAGATTTAGCACAAATACTGAGTGTTAATTTACTTTAGAACTTAGACAGATTCTTCAGTTGAAAACTTTTAGTTAGAGCCAAAGCCTCTTCTTTGACTAGAGATCCATTGATCAGAGTTCTACCTCTTGATCTTTTGCATAAACCACACCCATAATTTATAATATAAGATGCTAATTTATTCAAGATGAAGCAAACTGTTTGATATGCAAAGCACTCTAAATGCAGACTCCATCACTGAAAATGTTTGTAAAACACATTTCTTATTGATTTTTCCAATTCTCAAAATGTTTTTGGCTAATTTGATAGCAATATTTTTCTTAGGAACTCATACATAAAATTTTCTAAAAATGCATTAAATTTAGATTTTATTGTAAAAATAAGTTTCATTTCACATTCATATCATTAGGTTACTTACTATTTAATGCTTTGAGTAGTCATATTAGTTAGTAAAACTGGCTTAATAAGGGTTGGAAACAACTGCAACTAATTCTTGATAAGAATCAACACCAAAGGAGGGAACAGAATGGCTGCTGGCTGTGGACATCAGTCACTCTGCCTTACAGAGGGAATGTAGGGCATTGCTAACCCAGCAAGCCTTTCAGTGGAGCTCTTGCAAGGAAGTTACCAATATGATTTCTCTTTTCTCCAAATTTCCAAAGCCCTTTATCTGAAACCGTCATCACTGTCTATGCAAATATATGATTACTTAGGTACCTGAATTTTCTCCCTTGACAAATCCATTTCTGGTATAGTTTTGTGTCCAGCATATGGAAACTTTCATTACATTTTTATCTTATTGTTGGCAAAGCTGAAAAGGTTGAACCAATTCCACATGGACTTTGAAAAATATAAATATTGTTCAAATTGATAAAGACTTTTCTGTGTATCCTATTACTACCTTGTGGGGGTTTCCCCACATGTGCTTTAGTCATTTAAACTCTTCTATGCAATAAAAGTTTATAAACTACAGATTGTTATGGTTGAGTAGTGACTTTATATTGTTTTTAAGAAAAAAAAAATGTAATGATCACAAAAGAGATAATACAGAAAATGTTCCAAGACAATTGAGACCAGACAGTCTTGGGCCAGCTCTTGTCCCTTTGCAAACTCCTGCTCTACATAACCTCTAAGCCCCCTGTTCTGACTCCTAGGATCTACTGCAGTCAATCCATCTAGCTCTACAGGCCAGAGGGATTTGTATAGCAGGAGGCCCCATAAGAGGATTGGAGGGTGAAAGGAGACAGTGGCCAGGGAATTTTGATCCTGTCTCCCACTATACCTCAGCAGCAAAGTTATAGCAGTGGCTGTCCCTGAACAACTCTATCTCCTGTGTGGCAACCTGGTTCCAAGAGGTTAGGTTCCAGAGGACTCCCAGAAAACCATGCTCTCTCCCTGTCCCATCAGATTTAAATTACTAGTGGCTTCCTTAGGGGTCTCGACATTCCCTCATTGGTTCTCTTAGTCCCACCCATACTTCTGTAAAGAACCCCTCAACAAATTTTCTTCAAGATTTCAGCTGAGTATGTATGTATTGTATTTTCTGCCAGGACACCTACTGATACCACTTCCAAATATTTGTCTATAAATCCCTGCATTAAGTTTCTTTTTCTCAAAGAAACTCAAGAGTTCTTACTTCTTTTTTCTACTTAATTTGCATTGCCTTTAGGTTTAGATGAGAACCTAGAAGTAAAAGCACTCTAGGTATTTAATGCAACTTGAAAAATAATTTCACAGTACTTAAAAAAATGTAGCCTGATCTACCCTTTGACCCAGAAGTTCCACTACTTAAATTCTATCATTTAGTAATACTGGCCCAAGTGTTTAATGATACATCTCAGGGATCACAAACTTAAGGATTCACGAGAACCAGGCAGATACTATAAATGAATAAAGGCAGCTACATGCAATGTGATAGGAAAAGCAGAGACAGTAGCAAGTGAAATGAGTATTAACTTATAAATGCAGCAGGTTATACTCTGTCAAAGCAGAGTTTTTGCAATGCAAAAACTAGACCGATAGCTATTGATCTTTAGGGTTTTCCTAGAGAAGCCCAAACTCTGGATTTTCATCTAAATTGCCTTGATTTATAAATGTTGACTCTAGGGCGCGGTGGCTCACGCCTGTAATCCCAGCACTTTGGGAGGCCGAGGCGGGCGGATCACGAGGTCAGGAGATCGAGACCATCCCGGCTAAAACGGTGAAACCCCGTCTCTACTAAAAATACAAAAAATTAGCCGGGCGTAGTGGCGGGCACCTGTAGTCCCAGCTACTTGGGAGGCTGAGGCAGGAGAATGGCGTGAACCCGGGAGGCGGAGCTTGCAGTGAGCCGAGATCCCGCCACTGCACTCCAGCCTGGGCGACAGAGCGAGACTCCGTCTCAAAAAAAATAAAAATAAATAAAAATTAAAAAAAAAATAAATGTTGACTCTAATTTTTTTAAACAATGTGGAATCCAAACCAGTTGAATCTGTAGTTTTGCTCTGGTTTTAGAGGCCAGTTTTTATCTTTGAAGGATGAATAAGAAAGTTATTGGCTGCACTGTTTGTAATAGCAAATATTTAGAGAAAAATTAAATCGCAGTCATAAGGTAGATTTTATGATACATATCTTCTATGTACTAGTATGCCACAATTGAAAGAATAAGGCAGATATATATGCATGAACCAAAAAAAGGATATGCTATATACATTTGAGTTATTTTTAAACCAATTTCAAAAGTAACATAAAGATGATTATCTATTATTTAAAAGGATTCATGTAGTGAGATTGCGTGTGATGAATAACAAACATCTGGAAGAATACACATCAGACTTCTGCCAGTGCTTTAAATATGGTTGGTGGGAATGGTAACGATAGAGGTGTATTTACCCTTGTCTTTTCTGTTTTTGTTTTTTTGTGTTTGTATCTGTTATCATTGAGTTTTTGTTTGTTTGCTTGTTTTTCGTGTTGAGACAAGATTGAGCAACATAGTGCGCTATGTTGTCTAGGGTGGTCTCTAATGCCTGGGCTCAAGTGATCCTTCCACCTTAGCCTCCCGAGCAGCTGCAATTATAGGCACACACCACCATACCTGGCTCTTTTTCTTTTGATTAATTTTCCTTCGAGTTATAATAGATGTGTAATTAAAATAAATATAAAATTTTGCCACCAAATAGCTTTAGATTATTCTATTATGAACTAAAGTAATAAGAAATACTCAATAGTCACTAGATATGGACTATTAAGTTCTGCCAGGCATGTTTCTAAGTGATGTGCATGTATGAACTCAGTCAAAGCTCACAACAACTTTTGGGAGGTGGCTACTATTATGTTCCTCATTTGCTGTGGAGAAAACGAAGAGGTTAAGTGACTTGCTCAGAGTCACACAGCTAGTGATGGAGCTGGTACACAAATTATTAGTTTAGCTCAAAAACTCACACAGCCCCAACAACACGGCGTAAATGCTGTCCATGAAACACCAATAATTAAAGAATGATTAAACATAAAATTAATGTTGCTTATTTTTATTCAAAAAATATGTAAACTGAATTATCAAAAAACTCTGAGAATATTTTATTCAAGCTAAAATAGCTCTGTTTATTGGGAAGCAAACAACCCACAAAGAATTTTATGTATCTCTTCTGTGTAAGTTTTTACTAAGGCTTAAGAATTTATAGATTTACCTCTATCCAAGCTAAAATAGCCAATAACTGTCTTTTAAATATTCAGCCAAAGAAGAAACACTTCACTTTCCAAGATGTTTTGGGGTAGACGCCAAAATCATGATTTAAAGAGAGATTGAAGCCATTTTATCTTCTGGGGAGAAAAGCATAGTTGACCTTGTAAAATCAAAGAACAATAAAGTAGATCAAAATATCTTGAAGACATGTCTCGTAACATTGAATATTTCTCTTAAGTATGACTACAATAGACATGTCTACAAAGAATCACCCATTGTTAGGCCATATGGGGTTGGTACACAACAAGCAATATGTTAGAACATGCTAAAGTGACTTTAGAATTTGCCCTTTATGAGTTCCTACACCTCGTTCAGTTTTATCCAGCATTAGTCAAGGCAGAAGGAATGAGTTTTGACAAGAGGAAAGATTATAATTTTGCCATTAGTACTTGCCAGAGAATGGCATAATTGTGGCAAGAAAGATCTCTGTGGTCTATGGTTAATTTAGTATTTAAATTATACACATCTACCAACAAATGAAACATGCCATACTTTCCTTCTGTCCTTAAGTATTCATAGTTCTCACCCTAATCCACTCAATCAAACATAAGAGCTTATCTGCAGGGCATTTTCAAGGCATCAAAACAAATTACTCTTTGCTCTTTTGCTTTTGTTTTTTGCTTTGCTAAAAAAGATAACTAGATATATTGCATATTCCTTTATCTGGGAAATTCTAAAGTTGTTAAAATGGATTCTTAAATGCCTTAAACGTAAGAAAAAAGAATGTGTAAAAACTTAACTCAAAAATATCAATTTTAAATTATCAATTGAATACATGAAAAATAACGGAAGAGACACTTCTGTGCTTAATTCTGCTGAATAACTGGAATTCATTCAAGAGATAAAATGGAGCTACCAAGTTAAAATTGAGAGAGAGAAAATGGTTTGAGAGAAAACGCAGCTCATTTGTTAATTCTCTTCTGTTTGCCTCTTCCCTCTGTGGTCATCCATATTGAGTCACAAAACACGAAGCCATTTTCCAGAGATAAAAGTACAATGGATGGAAGACAGGCATAAAATTGTCAATACTAAGATCAAATCTTTACCTATCTCAAGGACTAGAGCTGATAGATTGCCAGATATCTGAAGCAAAGGAGCAATTTAAGAAAGAAAGAAATAGACCAAGACCAAGAGGCAGATACTTACCTCCCCAGAGAAGCCACATTACACTTGCAAACCAGACAAAAGCTACAGATAAATGAGAATAAAATACTCTAGAATATTTACCTCAAGGATTCCACATACCAGAGTTAGCCCTTCCAACAGTTCTTATCCTGACTGGTTTCCATATTTAACACTTTCTTTGCAAATCCAACAGAACATTTGCAGCCCCAGAGGTTTCTTCAGGATTGAGAATTCCAGAGATTAATGTAAATGTTGATCTCTTTCCACTCCATACCAACAGTTCTTAGAATGTTGAAGAAGTCGTAGAATCATGTGTCCTCTTTAGGATGTTATAAATACTATAGACCATTTCCCCCAGAAAAATACACAGTGCAATTAGCTACAATTTCATGGTAACTGCTAAAGTCTACCCATAATCCTCTCATGTTGGGAACCATTACCCTGGATAGGTGCAAAAGATATAACAAAACAAAAAAAAATCTACGTTTATAGCAATTATAGTTTTTTGTTTTGGGGTGGGGGGTGGGGATGGAGTCTTGCTCTGTCGCTCAGGCTGGAATGCAGTGGTGCAATCTCAGCTCACTGCAACCTCCGCCTCCCAGGTTCAAGTGATTCTCCTGCCTCAGCCTCCTGAGTAGCTGGGACTACAGGTGCTTGCCACCATGCTCAGCTAATTTTTTTGTATTTTTAGTAGAGACGGGGTTTCCCCATCTTGGTCAGGCTGGTCTTGAACTCCTGACCTCGTGATCTGCCTGTCTCGGCCTCCCAAAGTGCTGGGATCATAGGCATAAGCCACTGCGCCTGGCCCATTTATAGTTTTAATCATCACTTAAAGGCAAATAACTGCTAAGTCTATGACTTTAACCTCACTCCTAAGGTCCAGAAACATAACATACCAGTTGCTTTTTAGACATTCAAACTAGAATCCCATGGTAGCTGGGTCTAAGTTGTGTGAACTATTTAGAAGTAGGGACTTAATATACCCAGGCTTGACTCTCAACTCCATGACCAATAGTATTTCTGATTTCTCATGATAATTGTATATATTTCATTAGGCTGTAATGAGAACTAATGCGTTTGTATATGTGAAGCACTTGGCACAATATCTAGCGTAAAGTTAATGCCAAATAAACGTTACGTTGCTATCACCTTTCTTATTAGCATTAACGCAATATCCAGATTAATATTAATATGAATATTAGCAATATCAATTCAATATTTATATAACAGAACTCTCCATGTATTTTCTAAAACCAGATACTCAAATATTTCTCTATCCTTCATCTATTCTCTCTTCCTGAAATCCTCTTTCCAGTGTATTTTATTAGCAACTCCTACTTTCTTAAAACAATTCTGGTTTAATATTACTACCTTTAGAAAGATTTTCATAACACCCATTCCACTAGATCAGGCAGAATTACTTATTCTTTTCTATGTTCCATCCTGTGAATACCCATAACATACATGACCTACATCCAATTCAATAACTGCCATAAAATATTGTAATAGTTAGACCTCTATATCTGTGACAAATTAGTAGGGAGTGTGTCTCATTTAGCTCAGCAAGCCTAGGGCAATCACAGTGCCTAACATACACTAAGTACTCTCAAAGAAGTATTGAGTACATCCAGATAAAATCAAGGACACTTTTTGTTTTTTAAACTGTTACCCAGGCTGGAGTGCAGTGGCTCCATCACAGCGCAGCTTACTGCAGCCCCAACCTCCCAGGCTAAAATGATCCTCCCACCTCAATCTCCCAAAGTGCTGAGATTACAGGTACGAGCCACTACGCCCAGCCAGGGACACAATTTTTGATAGTAAATAAAATATAACCTAACAATCATCCTCTCTATCCCCTACAGTAGTTCTGAGTGGGAAAATAATGTAAGAAAAACTGCTGATCATTCCTGAGAATGGAAACATCAGAACTTTATCATTGAGGTATTATTTCAAAGAAAAGCAGTCATGTCCAAAAATGTCAAAGTGACCCTGCCCTTTCATCAGTCATGTAATTAAGGCACTTTGCTTACAATCGCCAATTGCGTGTAAGACATGAAACACCAACAAAGTACCAAGACAAGGGACTAAATTTACGGTCACCAAATCTCTTAATTTCTTAATGTTTCTATTCATCTCAAGATGTGTTTTCCTAAAAACAGCTCTTACATTTTTTAGAGTTTTCTATTCACAAATGCCACATGAATCCATACTTATGATATAAAATATGACTCTCACATGAACATTGCTGTTGTACTCTACACATTCAAAGATAGCGTGCCTAAATGCATAATTCATTGCCATCAATTTATAGGCAAAAATATAAAATGTCTAAGAAAATGCTTCATAATATGTCTCTAACTTCCTGGCATTTGACAAAATTAAGTTACAGAGTTTAACCAAAGGGGAAAATATTTCTAAATTGAATCTATTTGTGATATACTGGTTTAAAATGCGAAACTGCCAACATATTCTGTTTACTCCCTTGGCATCTGCTGCATCTGCCAACTGGTGGCCAAAAATTAAAGCAGACTTAACTAATTAGAAGGGTCCCCATCTGGTAGCTGAACTTCTTGTTTATGTGTCCTTTACATCCTAAGTACAGAGATTCGAACCAGAACTTTTGTGGTTTATAGCAGAGGAGGCTGTCTCTGGCTAGCCTGCTAGCTATTGTCCTGCTGAGCTGAACTTGGCCCAGATGGAAGTGTTTTCTATATTTTATGGCCTCTGTCCCTGTGTTCCCTTTGGGATGAATCATCGTCTTTGCCACAGGAGTTTCCATTGTCTCTCCAAACACTTTTTTCATTCATTTTTTTCTCCGTAGGCCGAGATCTAGGACTATGAGTACTTTATTGAGAAATAAAAGCTTTCAAAAGAATCCATGATTTGGCAAAGTCAATACTACCTTCGTAAGAATAAAACTGGAGAAAATAATTAAAGTAAAATATCCTAGTATCGTTTATTTCTTCATGGTTTTTATTTAATCTTTGTGAGTATAGCTTCAGAAAAAAAGCAAACTCCTGGCAGGATCAGGAAACAGATACATTTGTATGCTTTGGATAAAGACTTCTGTGGGAATTCTGGCCCCGCCTGTCATTAGTTGTGTATTCCTCAGAAAAATGACCTAACCTCGCTAAACCTCAGTTTCCTCATATGCAAATTTAGAACAATATTTTAATTGCTATTTCATAGGATTGTGATGATTAAATAATAAATTATGTGTGACATGCTTAGCACCAATACTGGCATAAAGAAAACTGGCCATAAGAACCTCTACTATTGGCTGGGCATGGTGGCTCACTCCTGTAATCCCAGCACTTTGGGAGGCCAAGGTGGGCAGATCACGAGATCAGGAGATCAGGACCATCCTGGCTAACATGTGAAATGCTGTCTCTACTAAAAATACAAAAAAAAAATTAGCCAGGCATGGTGGCAGGCACCTGTAGTCCCAGCTACTCAAGTAGCTGAGGCAGGAGAGTGGTGTGAACCCAGGAGGTGGAGGTTGCAGTGAGCCGAGATAGCGCCACTGCACTCCAGCCTGGGTGACAGAGTGAGACTCCAGGAAAAAAAATAAATAAATAAAAATAAAATAAAAATAAAAACCTCTACTATTATTGAGAATAGAGGCAAAAATTATTTTTAAAATATTATAACCAATATTCCTTCCAAATGTAATGCAATACACCTTGTACCAATTGGTTGTTTTGAAGCTCAGATATTTTTCTATATTTTTAAAGTTTCTCTTAGAGGCATTTTGATTTCCCTGAGCACATTCCTGTCAATATTAGAGGAAGATTAGCAACATGATGGGTGGCTAAAGAAGGCAAACATGAGAAGATCTTGTTAGAAAGAGAAACAGAAGTACTCTATTCACTTTATCATCTTTTTGTCTATTTTCCAATGTTATTTTTTTCACTAAGCAAGCAAGAAGTGATAGTAAATTTGTAAACAAACTTACTTGGAGGGTGTTGAGGAGTTATTCAACATCTCTTGAACACCTATTATGTGCCAGCCCAATTTTAAACCTGGGAATAGAAAGACGAGTAAGGCATGATCTCTATTTGCAAAGAGTTTACAGTGTGTAAGGGGGGAGCCAGGTATATAATAAATAAATAGGTTTCCGTATAAATAACCCACACCTGTGTTATAGTGTCTGGGAACACCTCTGAGAGTAGTGACTACTGAGATAAAGTCTAAATAATTCATAACAGTTAGAGGAGCTTCATATAATAAATGAAAGATATTACAGTTAAAAAAAAAGCAGTGTGAGCTCAATTATGGAGTGGAGGTGAGACGAGAAGATGTTCTGTGTTAATACAAGTAGTTTAGAATTGCTGGAACCTAGAGTGCATGACTGGCAGCATAGAAGGCAGAGATGAAAAAGGTGGCAGTGACCCATTGCAGAAGGCTTCTGTAGGAGTTCAATGGCAGTGAGCAGCTATTGAAAGGTTTAAAATAGTGAAGTGGCAAATAGATGTTCATTTTAAATGACTCTCAGCAGCATTGAGGAGGACCAATCTGAAGTAGTCAAGATGAATTTTCTGCAATTCAGGCATTAGCTAAGGAAAAACACCCTCAATTAGGGCAGTAAGACCCTGAATAGAATAGCTATGACAGACCTCAGGAAAGGATCATGGAACAGGGAGGCCTTGGTGTTCTAACAATGTTAATGTTAGATATAGTGTGATAAATCTGGTACAACCACAGGAGCAAATGAGAACAAGGCTTGGAAGGAAGAAATGTGTTACACCCACAGGTCCCAGAGAATAGGCCACCACACAACATGCAGGGCTATAGGGGAAAGTACTAGTGTCCATCAGGAGTCAGGGGAGAGCTTAGGCCATGGCCTTTGCTAGAGTTCCCTTAAGAAAGGCAAGATAGGGCAAGGTGAACAGTGTAGGATTGGCTAGTTTAAATAATTTCAGCAGCCTCTAAACTACAGGACTGGTTTCCAGTAGCCTGGTGCCTGGTCCTGGAAATGATCAAGGCAGAGGAACATTGCCCCTTGCATGTACAGGTCAGACAGAGGAAATAAGGCTCCAAACTGGTTAGTTTGCCTATCAAAGACTTTGTCCCAGCTGAGCCTTTTGCTAGTCTAAGAACCGGCTAGTAACAAAGATTTTCTCTTTACCCAAGCTCTAGACAGTTTCCTCTGAACCCTTTCTTGTCTAGACCTCAACCTTGGTCTCTAAAGACTCAACCAAGACATTAACATAACTTCTGACAGCATAAAGCCACATCACTAGGATGAGTCTATCCCTCTTGAAGTTCCTGCCTGAGAAAACACAGGCTGCCAAAATAATTTAGTTTGTTTCTGCCAACACAACACCTTTAGATAGGACTCTAGTCTCCCAGTCTCTTTGTTAACTTCAATAAGTGCCAGTTCCAAACCCAAGGACCAAGCCCTTCTTCCTGCTTTTGTAATTTTTTTACTTTTCTGACTCTACTGCGCCCCCCATTCACTTCCCTCCCTGTTCCCTCATTCTCCCTTTAAAACATTCAATCACTTTTGTACAAAATGAAGTTGAGTTCAGTTCACGTGAGCTTTTTTTCTCTATTGCCAAAGTATATTACTGATTAAAATCTGTCCTTACCACTTTAACTAGTATGTGGCTTTGTTTATATTTGACACTAATCCTGGGAGGGGCAGTGGAAAGGGTTTTTAAGATGACAAAACATCACAATATATAGAAAACAAAAAATATATACAATATACTTGGTGACTTATCAGATCTGGGGCATGTGTCAGTGTGGTGAGGGTGGCATCTTAACTTGTAAGTGGGCAACTGGGGATAGTGACACCACATACAAAACTAGAGAACAGTGGAAGAAATGCCAGGCTAAGTAGAAAGATGAAGAATTTAGTTGAATTCAAAGTGTCTATTGCACATGGTGGCATAAGATGAGGGGGAGGGGGCAAGTTCTCAGTCTATTGGCTATCATTAAAATCATGTGAATGAATGAGAATATCCAGAAAATGCATAGAATGAGAGAAGGGGTACTTCAAGAATAAAAATCTGGGGGAAAATTCACTTTTAATGAACAAAAAGAGGAAAAAGAACCCACAAAGATGATAGAGAAGCAACAGTGATAGAGGAGAGTCAAGAAAGCGTAGAATCATTTAAGCCAAAGACATAAAGCACTAGAAGGAGAACAGTAGTGACAAATGCATAATGGCGATCCCATGACAAAACACAAAGTCTAAACTGTGTAGTGATAACTGGATTTTGGAGTCAGGTAGCTTGAGTTCAAGTCCCGCTTTCACAATTTACCATTTGTGTGACTTTGGGAAAGTTATTCTAAGACTGTAATATTCAGTTTCCAAGTCCATAAAAATAATGTAATATATCTCCCTCTGAGATTTGTTGAAAGGGCAAAATTGAACAATGTTAGTAAAGCAACTAGCACAGTGCTGGACAGATAATTCCTCCAATAAGGGCATCTATTTTGATGGAGGGTTGTTTTCCCCCTTGAAAATGTTAGTACTATAAAATGATCTCATAGTTTAAATGTTCTAATTAACAAATTAGAGTATGATCTCTGCAAGCTCATTATTTTAATATGAGTACTGTGTGTTAATCATTCCCCAAACACCTGGTATGTACCTTCACATATGTATTAATGAATGAAGCATAATTAAAAAGGCAATTTGCAGTCAATTCTTATAATCATAGGTCTAACACGTTATCAATCTGGGTAATATCTTTAGATACAATGGAAGTTAAAGAATTGCAATCGTGCTTTAATGGATCTTTGATGGAGGATTTATCACATTACATGCAACATACTTTAAACATTTAGGAAAGTTTGGCTCTAAAGTGGAAACAATAGTTTGCTTGGCTGCCCAAATCCTCTGTTCTCCTTCCCGTAATTTAGGTACAAACTACCTGTCACAGATGCTCTAAAAGAAGTCAAACAGAAAAACATGAGACATATAAGAATCAAAAAACAACATAGCACACAGTAAAGGCACAAATACAATTTGAGTGTTGACCAGATCAAATGCATTATCCTAGGTCCTATAAAGTACCCGTAAAGAGACTGCCTAGAAGAAATACACCCTCTAGTAGCAGAGACATGACACATCAAAATAAAGAGGAAGAAACCACATCAGCGTAAGCCCCTTAGAAAATGCTTCATGAAGAAGATTTTATTAGAGATTAAATATTAAATAAAAAGTAAACCTTGTAATAAGTAGATTTGTTCAAAAATATATGTCGTATGTCTCTGTGTCTGGCATTATTTTTAAGGTTGAAGACTTAGTGGCAAAAAGCGTTTCTCAGAGGCAATGGCTTGTTTGCTAAGCATCAATTGAGTCAGCTGGGAGAGAAGAGCAGTCCGTGCAAGAATCAGAATCTTTCAAGATGTGAATATTTTATGTCAGTAAAATAACTCATTTGATAACATTACAATTGATACAATTCACATGGTTCTTACTATTTCACTGCCAGCACCCTGTATACAATTTGTCAAAATACATGAGTAATAGATGGCCCCAGAGCCTATCTTACCCTGAGACCCCTGTTGTTCTACTTAACTAGTCTGGATCATCATGAATTTCTGTGGGAAACAAGCACGGCATAATACATTAAGAATATAGTAATAAAAACCTTGACAGAGCCCTGTTACTATTGACAGGCACTTCCTACCTCAATTGTAGTCATGGAATCTTATCTAATGTGGAGTCAATTGGGTGTTTACACCAGTTAATTGTGTCTGGAGAGAGAGTCATTGGTGCTGCCTTTTTTTTTTTTTTTTTTACCTTATCAGGCTTTCTCAATCTTAGGATACAAGTTTCTGTCCATATATAAAGAGGCAAACTCACAATAACCCAAATGTAGCACAGGCATAATTGACTGATCATCATTGGAACTGCAAATATCTAATTTTAATAATACTTTTTAATATATGTATTTCTAGGTATATTTTAGTCATTTTTACATAATGCAATGTTTTAAAAATTCTAAATATTTAAAAATACATAATGAAATATTAGGCAAAACTACACCAAAGTGCCAGTTTTGTAGATCGAAAACAGGTGATTTCATGTGGTCCAACCTAACAGACAGCTGGGAAAATATCATATGCAAATATCAAATGTAATATAAGATCCACATATCCAGCTAACAGAAAAATATAATTGAACCATGTACCAAAACTCATAAAACCTCTCAGCCAAACAGGTAAATTATCCTTACCTGTGCACCTTTTGATGATCTTAGTCCCACCTCCCCACCATCTCAACACTGCCATGGAGGTAACTACTACCTTAAAAATATCGGTTATCTCTACAAGTTATTTGTTTATACTTTATTCAAACAGTGCCATCACAATCATTCTTGTACAAATTTTCCTGAGCACATGCACATGAATTTTTCTAACATAATACCAAAGAGTAGAGTTGCTGTCTTATAGTGCATGTATATTTTGTGCATCTCTGAATATCACCAATGATTTTCTAATGTGGCTGTTATTATTTATATATTGGGCCAGAGTTAAAAGTTAACATGGCTCCACATTTATACCAAGACATAATGACCAAACATTTTAATTGTTTCCAATCTGAAGGATATAAAATGGTCTGTCTTCATGTATTTCACCTGCATTTTCTCGTTTACTGCTAAAATAATTGTTAGATATAAATGATACAGTTTCTAAAATTGAGCTTAGGTTATAAATCTACTCTAGGCTTATGAACTATCTGGGCATGTCTGGAAGGCTATAAAAAGGAATCACTTGATGTCTATTTGAATGAGACCTAGGAATCTCTTGAGGGACATAGGGAATTCCTGTGCAAAATCTTAGCATAAAGCCATTTGGATAACAGCTAAGCAGAGAAGGTGAGTTTGGATATTGTTAAGGATCAAAGCCAGTGTTCTCTACCATTTACTCCTCTGGATCTGCCTTGTGGACTCATAAATGAATCCTAGATAGAGAAAACAACCATAGAAAAAAGTTTTTGTAAAGAATTTATTTTGTTCAACTCTCTAAGACACTGGAAGATGAAGGTCACAATGCTTTGAAGTTTCTGCAAAAGGGTGTATTACAAGTGGCACACTCATAAGGTCTGCCATTTTCCTCTGCTCTCTAGCCCTAGAGCTGACCAAGGTGCTGGAAGACTTTGACCCCAACGACCCATTGACATGCCTACTACTGAAGATTCAGGTTACCAAACATATGCCAAAGCTTCAAACAACATTCTTCCCACAGTTCTTCTGTTCCAGATGTGAGACTAGGTTGGCTTCTTCTCAGACCACCCCGTTTAGTGCAACAACCTCTCCCTTTCTTGTCACTTAAAATAATATAAGCTATACCCTTACAATGTAAGATAAAATATAAAAATAGAAGGAAAGAACATTTGGGCATTATGTTCTCGCATGCATTGTGATACTTTTTAATTTATGTACCTAAATAGACACAAGAGCAATTACATTGACTTGATTGTGACGGTCAGTTTCAAAAGGTTTAAAGTACTAAGAAAAGAAGAATATAAATAAGAGGGAAAATGGTAGAACTTAACATTTTGAAATATTCCTTTCAAAATACTACTGTTCCTTGACAGTGCCACTGATCACCCAAGCACTCTGATGGGAGATGTACAAGATTAGTGTGGTTTTCATGCCAGTGAACACAACATCCATTCTGCAGCTCATGAATCAAGGACTAATTTTGACTCTCAAGTCTTATTATTTAAAAAATACATTTTGTAAGGTTGTAGCTTCCATAGATTGTGATTCCTCTGATGGATCTGGGCAAAGTGAATTGAAAACCTTCTAGAAAGGATTCATCATTTTACATGTCATTAAGAACAATAATGATTCATGGCAAGAGGTCAAAATATCAACATTAACAGGAGTTTGGAAGAAGTTGATTCCAGCCCTCGTGGATGACTTTGAAGGCTTCACAACTTCCATGGAGAAGGTAGCTGCAGATTTAATGAAAATAGCAAGATAACTAGTACTAGAAGTAGAGCTTGAAGCTGTGTCTGAATTGCTGCAATCTCATGATAAAACTTTAACAGAGAAGTAGCTTCTTATGGATGAACAAAGAAAGTAGTTTCTTGAGATGGACTCTACTCCTTGTGAATAGGCTGTAAACATTGTTAAAATGACAGGAAAGGATTTTGAATATTACATCAGCATAGTTGATAAAGCAGGATTTGAGAGGACTGACTATAATCTTCAAAGAAGCTCTGCTATGGGTAAAAGGCTATCAAACAGCATTATATGCTATAGAAAACTCTTTCATGAAAGGAAATGTCCATAAATGTGGCAAATTTCACTGTTGGCTTATTTTAAGAACTTGCCACAGCCGCCTCAGTCAGCAGTCATTAACATTGAGGCAAAATCCTCCATCAACAAAAAGATTACAACTCACTGAAGGCTCAGATGATCATTGGCATTGTTTAGCAATAAAATATTTTTAAATTAAAGTATGCACATTTTTAGACATAATGCTATTGCACTCTTAGTAGACTACAGTATAGTGTAAACATAAATTTCACAGGAACTGGGATACCAAAAAATTCACTTGACTCTATTGCGATATTTGCTTCATTTCAGTGGTCTTGAACTGAACCTGCAATATCTCTGATGTATGTCTGTATTAAATTACTTTTCTTTGAAAGAAAGAATGGGAGATGAAAAAAGCAGCAGAATTGCTTTTTATTTAGAAACAAAAACTATGAAAAATGTAAACACTTAAAATGTTTCAAATAGTAATATCTGCCACTTTGGGACCTTTATGAGCCAAACATTAATTTGTGTCTCTATCTCTGTCAGTGTCTTTCTCTCATACACATACACGTAAAGCCCAGATGTTCAACCCTCATCTGCCTGTGAATGTAAAATAAGGTCTTTAGATTTCCCATTAGTGACTTTGGAACTCTGCCTATCAAATTATATAGGTGTTTTGTCATCACCCAGGGTTCTCATCACAAATATTCTCAGGTATTTTTATTTGTGCAGTTTGTTACTTAGTATTGACCTCAGCACTGCATACACCCATCCTTCTCTCCTCTGCTCCACAGTGTTGGGGTAGACTTTTGTAACCTACATTTCTCCAGCTCCCCTGCTAGCAGTCTGGCTGCCCTGTAGCCTGTCTTAATAGGAGGGCCTGGTGGGTGATCACAAGCAAGAGAAATGATAAAGGCATATTTCTCTTCTCTCTGTCTCTCTCCCTCCCTCTGTCCTCTATTTTCCTTTCTGTCTTGCTGCTTCTAGCAGGAGCTCTGGAAGTTATAAAAATTCCTCAGAAAACCAAGCCTTTGTATAGTGCCCCCTTCCCCACTATCTCAGAATGAGCCGTTTGCCCTGGGCCTTGGTATATCATCCCCTTTTTTGTTTGTTTGTTTGCTTATCTAGCTCTAGTAGTGTTTTCTGCCATTATTTGTCACTAGATTACCTCACTTCTCCTTTTTACTTCCTTGGCCCTTTCAATACTTGTGTAACCAATTTCCTATATTAAATTATTTCTGTTTGAAACACTGAGTGTTTTACGTCTCTCCGATTGGACCTTGGCTGATGCATTTGTGTATTAAACAGTCCTCCTCAATCTTCCACTGGCTTGCCAGGAATGTGGAAACTCAAAAACATCCTTTCACACAAGAATCTGCAAGTCATATATGTCATATATGTATGTATGTTAGACACATACACAAGCACACACTTTAAGGAACAGTCTCAGAAAAGCATATGTTAGTGTAATTCTTTTTATGTAAAAATGTACATGTATATATGTGCACACACACACAGATGTCCATGTGGATCAGCACACTAAGAAAAATTATCTTCTGGTAGAGAACATTAACAGTTTTACTCTCATTTTTTATATGAAATCATATTAATTTGATCACTTTACAAAGCTATTTTTGTTTTGTTTTTGTTTTGTTTTTAATGACCTCTCACAGTCGTGTCAAAGCTACTTTTATTTTGAAAAACTTTACGAGCATATGAATATATATTAAAATATTTTATATTCATGAATTTGATTATATTAATTGGATATAACATGTAATAGAACTAGTAGATGGTAAAATACCAGATGTAATATAAAATAATGTGACTACAATATGACTTTCTCAAAATAGAGACTTGATAGATGTTAAAATTTTTGTTTAAAAGTCAATTATATTACATTATTTGTCACATTATCATTTTTAAATTAAAGGATAAGTTATCATAACACTGACCTGATAAGTTCTAATCTGAGTCATTCTTGCATCCATTAATCTGATACCAACTGAATTTACACAATAAATGAACAAAAGACTGAATTGAAAGAAAAGAAAGCACCGAATGTAAGATTGGTAATCATTTCTTCCAGGCACCTGTTTTTACTGTAACTGAACAGCAGGATACTGCATGACTCCAAAGAATGTCTAAAAGGAGGAATAAAGCAATTTTCACGGAAAAGTTAAAGATTGAGTGACTCCATTTTGTTGGTTTGTGTTATAAACTTAATGCTATTTAAATGTATTTTTTATAGTGTGTTAATAACAGTAATAAAAAAGAAAAAATAACAACATACAGCTATGTTATAACAAGCAGATGGTGGCTGGAGATGGGCTGTACTCCAAATGTTCCCATTCTTTTCCAATTTATGATCAGTAAAAGGAATAAACATTTGTGTTCCTCCAGTCTGCCATAATATTCCAACTAAAGTTATAGAGCCTCAATGTTTTCCCAGATGAAAAGTCCATACAATAATTATTTATCATTCTAAACTTGGAATTCTTAGTCCAAACCATCAGTGGTGATTTAGAAAGTTCAAGAACATTATTTTTGGGATTGTAGGCAATATTTTTGCCTATAATTAGAATTCTTCCATTGGAAAAGACTATCTGACAATAATTTACCATCGTAATTTAACAAAGACATACCCCCAGTGCTCTCATTTAACAAAGACATACCCCCAAATTTTCTCCCACGGTAACTTGTTTCAATGAACAATCTTCCACTGGAAGATTGTTATAACAGAATATACCAGTCAAACATACTAGTGTACATATTTGCAATCTGGTTTCTGGAGTATTTTTGGTGACATGAATTAGCATTGATCTTTAAAATCCATGTGGGGACATCTTTAGGAAAATATACACTGTACATCAAATAGACTCACCTCAATCATAGAGATTCCATGATCTGTGCTTACCAGTTGGTCTTATGCCATACAACTCAACCTCTGTTCTAATTATTTTCACACCTAGGTTTATTACATTCTTGATATCCCATTGGATTAGGCTATTCCAAGAAAACTGTGGCATAGAAGAAATCGTCTTTCTCCATCAATTTATCAACATTTTAGAAAATGTACCTGAATTGCACATATCCTTTTTTTGTCATCAATAGATAACCAAAGTCCTCATGCCCCTCTTTATTTTTCTTAAGGAACCAATGCTGTTCACGGGGTCTTATATAAACTCACACTGAAGTATAAATGAGTGCTATACATTTAAGTATTATAGCTATAGGTGCAATAAAACCTTAAGTCAGTCGCTTCTTCTATGCCTATTGCAACTGTCTCAACTTAAACCCTGAAAAGTTCTCATCTGGCCTCCTACAACAGCCTCTGAAACAATCTCCCTTTCTCCACAGCCTGGAACTCCTTTAATCCAAGCCAGAATACACTTGTGTAATATTTTTTTAAAAGATAATTTTTATGCAGTTATTCCCTCTGCCTCAAAAAGTTCCCCACTCCGTACTTGCTAACATCTATAAACTAACCCTTCTCTAATATTCTGACATTATCTCCTACAACTCTTACATCTTATATTTCAACCTTACTAAATGACTAACAATTTCCATATGCTTGACAATGTTACATGCTGCTCTGTTTTATTCAGGTTTTGTTTGTTTGTTTTTTGTTTTGCTTCTTCTGGCTGAAATGAGTTCCACACTGATTCATCTGTTGAAATCCTATTGCTCTTCAACATGTAGCTCTACTATGAGCTCCTTTCTGCAGCTTATCTTTGTCCTTGTTTCAGAACAACCATTCCCTCCTTGGTTATGCTTATGTATGCCTGTGTTTGTCTCTTTCTCACATTAGACAGTAAGCCCCTTAAGGGCAGTAACTACGCATAAATCTTTGTCTTATTTGTCTTTCTATCTCCTACAACTGAGCATTGTAGGTGCTTTATGCATGTGTGTTAATCAAAGAAGCTGAAATAACATAGTTGCAATTATTAAATTTCAAACATCACGAAACCAATAGAGGAAACATTTTTTGGGGGATGGAATTTACACGCTTGAAGCCATTTATGTATACAGCTGCTTAATCATAAGGCTAGTGCACAGATAATCCATATTCCTTGCATGGATACTATAATAACCAATTGCTGGATGCTTTCCCAACATATATTTTACTTCCTTCTCCCTGTATTAATAATTCTCTGATTTCCCTAGCTTTGTGGTTTGAGTGGAATAATTCATGCCTATTTAATAAGGTAAGCTTTGTTTTCCTTCTTCATAAAAGAAAACTTCATTCCCAGCCACAGTTATTGGTTTAGATGCAATCACATGGCACAAGTCAAGCCAGTCAAAGCCAATGAAGCTCAGTTCTGGGATTCAGTGTGAATTACCAGAGAAGAAAATTTGTGTTTCCTTGTAGATACGTTGACATAAGTAAGGCTATTACTTATCCCAAGGAAGTAAAGGCAATAATTCTGTGACATGGAGAAAAGAACATGCTTTGGAATAGAGTCAACTCTGAGAAATTAGAGCCAAATACAGGAATCTTGGTAATACAAATGAGCTTTGGATCAAGCTTCCTGTTCCCAGGAAGTTTATTACAAGCCAAATTTTTTTATTTGTTTTATCACATTTTTATTTTTTAGAGAATCTTAGGTTTATAGAAAGATTGCACTGAAAGTACAGTGAGATCCCATATACTCCCTCATCCTCTCAGCCCCAAATTTTCCTATTACTAATACCTTTCTTTAGTGTGGTACATTTGTTATAATTAGTGAACTAACATTGATACGTTATTATTAACAAAAGTCCATAGTTTGCATTAGGGTTCATTCTTTGTGTTGTGTATTTCCAGTTTTGACAAATGTATAATGCCATGTGCCTACCATTACAGTATTTTTCACTATCCTAAAAATCCTCTATGCTCCAACTATTGTTCACTCCTTTCTCCCTGCAAACCCCTGGCAATTATTGATCTTCTTACTGTCTCCATAGATTTGCCTTTCTAGAATGTCATAAAGTTAAGATCAGATAAGATGTAGTTTTTTAGGCTGACTTTTTTCACTTGTCAGCATATATTAAAGTTTCTTCCATGTTTTTTCATGACTGAATAGCACATTTTACTTTAGAATTGAACAATATTTTATTGTTTGGATTTACCACCATTTGTTTATTCATTTTCCTATTGAAGGACAACTTGGTGTTTAAAATTATGGCATTATGAATAAAGCTCCCAAAAATTTATCTGAAGGTTTTTGTGTAGACTAAGTTTTCAGCTCATTTGGGTAAATATCTAGGAGTGCAATTGCTGAATCACATAGTAAACATAGGCTTAGCATTGTAAAAAAAGCTGCCAAACTGTTTTCCAAAATTGCTGTGCAATTTTGCACTTCCACTAACAATGAATGAAATTTCAGGTTGCTTCTTACCCTTGCCAACATTTGTTTCCTTTAGTTTTCAAGGCAGCTTTAATGGGATTTTTTGGTTACTTGTAACTGATCAAATCCTAACCAATAGAGTAATCCAGAAGTATACACCAAAAGTGGAAAAACACATAAGTATAATATAAATACTTTATAATATAAAGTATATATAAAGTATAATATAAAGTGCACTACATCTGGATTAGAATTCTAGTTCTTTTATTTATTAAATGTAGGATTTTAACAAGTTGATTAGCCTCTCTGAATCTCAGTTTTCTTAGGGGTATACAAAACAGGAGGAATTATTCTTCCTGACGCTGCCATAAACCCTGCCACAAATGACAACCTAATAATCAGTGTATTAAAAAAGTCAACTGTTAGATCACCCTGGAAATTAGAAAAATGTAAATGAGGAGAAATAGAGGTGTATTGTTAAATCTTCCTTTTGAATAAAACTCAGATCAATTTAATTTCCTCTTTACATTCTTTGCCTGTATCAAAAATATTGGAAAGAAAACTAAGCCATAAGTCTCAGAATTAATCTCTCTTTCAAAACAGCAGATCTGAACTCTGGCACTTGTTCGCTAGCCTCTACCCTATTCACTCCCAAGCACTTAATGTACTATGTAATTAAGCATAAAAAATACCAGTTTTGTGCCCCTACATGTTGATACTTAAACAGTAGTGTAATCACTTCTAAGTGAAGAAACATAAAGTGAAAGTAAGATAATGCTTAACTGTTTTTTTACAAAATGAATTTCCTCTGCCCAATACAGAAATCCACAAAGAGACATTTCACTCTTACCTCAATATTTTCTGTTCATCTCTTCCCATGCTTGTGTAAATATGTTCTTCCTTTTCAATCTTTTTATTCTTCAGAAAACAGATCTTCACTCAAATAATCTCTTGGCTCTCTCATAGAGCCCCTATCCTCAAAGCTTTCTTGTATGTTCGCTTACATTTCTTAGGCCAAATATAAGAGTAATGTGAATAAAGTATTAAAATATTTTAATATGTATCCCAATTTTTATTTTGCCTGAGGATGGTCTTTAGCAGACAAATCAATCAAAATTCAACTATCTAGTATGTGGCTCTTTTTGCTAAGTACATTGTAGGAATTCCTGGGAAACTACAAAGAATTGTAGAAGTGAAACATCTCTAGCTTTCTTTCTCTATCATTTTCAGAGTTTATTTTTTCTTAAGAATTCCATAAGCTCCAGTAAACTCTTTAGCCCAGATAATTATTGATTTCTCAGGCTTTACTATTTCTAAAAGATTATTTTTCCTTTTTTTGTTTTTTCTTTCTTTTCTCTGCTAAACATCAGTTGTTTATTTATGACAATTAATAAAGTTTATAATTATAAAAATTGGTCAAAATCTAGATCATAAAAGCTACAAAAATAATAACAACCAAACATGACACAACCATAAATCATTTCACTTTGATAATTTATAGGTTGTGCTCATCCAAGCAACTAATTCATGTATTGAAATGCATCAACAAGTGGCCGGGCACGGTGGCTCGCCCCTGTAATCCCAGCACTTTGGGAGGCCGAGGTGGGTGGATCACGAGGTCAGGTGATCGAGACCATCCTAGCCAACATGGTGAAACCCCGTTTCTACTAAAAATACAAAAAATAGCTGGGTATGGTGGCGCGTGCCTGTAATCCCAGATACTCAGGAGGCTGAGGCAGGAGAATCTCTTGAACCCAGCAGGCGGAAGTTGCAGTGAACGGAGATCGCACCACTGCACTCCAGCCTCGGCGACAGAGCCAGACTCCATTTCCAAAAAAAAAAGAAATGCATCACCAAATAGTGACTACCCAAGATGTGCCAGAAACTGCTGCATTAGATATAAGAGGCACCAAGTCAAGTGGAGCCTATTTTCTCGTTTTTTTTGTTTTGTTTTGTTTTGTTTTTGTTGTTGTTGTTGTTGTCGTTGTTAAGATGGAGTCTCTCTCTGTTGCCCAGGCTGAAATGCAGTGGTGCGATCTCGGCTCACTGCAACCTCCGCCTCCTGGGTTCAAGCGACTCTCCTGCTAGGAGAGTAGCTGGGATTACAGGCATGTGCCACCACGCCCAGCTAATTTTTCTATCTTTAGTAAAGACGGGGTTTCACCATGTTGGTCAGGCTGGTCTCGAACTCCTGACCTTGTGATCTGCCTGCCTCAGCCTCCCGAAGTGCTGGGATTACAGGAGTGAGCCACTGCACCCAGCCTAAATGGAGCTTATTTTCTCAAGAAGCTTACAGTCTAGTAGAATATGATGGGAATATAAACAAGCACAATGATATGTTAGGTATACTGATTCGGTCAGTACCTAACCAGAAAACCAAAAATCACATTAAGTAAAACAGGAGGAATTTAATGCAAGGAAATATTAGATGGCTGATAGGAGAAGTATAAGCCAGAGAGCAATCAGTTAAACCAAAGATTAACAACGGCAGTAAGTCAGGTTATTGCTGAAAGGACAAAGAGGCCAGAATTGTCTAGCAGAAACTGGAATTATGGCAGACCAGCTAAGTGAGAGCTAGAGCCATGAAGGTGACAGAGCTCCTGCAGGAAAAACAGTCCGTGGAAGAGAAGGGGAAAATACCTTGGCTTTCTAGATCTTTCCTTTTGAATCATCAGCCGGTGTGTTGTGCTTGCAAATGGACAAAATCCAGCTAGAAACCAGCTAACATGAGAGCTTGAGAAATCTACCCCACAGCAGTCAAGCTCCCAACAACACAGAGCAGACCAGGAGAAAGACACAAAATAGGTCAGAGGGCCAACAGGCTGGACATTTCATATGTATTATGATAAAATCTGAGCAAAGTACAGTGAGGGCAAAAAAGAATTGATTAATTCTGGGGTGAAAAATGAGAAGCATCTGTAAATTCTTTATAGTAATATGAAAGACAGAGGGAAAGAAGGAAAGAAAGAGAGTGGGGTGGGGAGAGACAAAGAAGAATCAAAACTTAAAGCCATTTTATCTTCAGCCTTATTTTCCAAAAGAAAAAGTGGTTACAACTTATTGTCTACTTTCTGTGAGTAACAAAAGAAATATTTCAGATAGTAAGATGTAAATTGGTGCAGATAAAACATTTCTATAACGGTAGCAGTTCACCGCTACTAGTAGAAGAATGCCACTGTCATATAGAACCTTCTTTTCTATTCAGTGTCTAATTGCCTTGACTGAAGACAGGACACTAAGATCCTAAATCATAACAGGAGAATTTAAATATTTACCTTTCAGGCTCCAAGGGACTCCAAAATTGTTAGTGATCAACATCTAAAACAGAAATTTTCCATTTAAGTATTTATTATAGCATTCTGAGTTCAACCCTAAAAGAAACTCCAGTGTCGAATCTTTTACATATCATAATTTATTTCATTCCCAAAGCCTGGCAGGAATCAGTAAAACAAGAAAAGTGTTGGGAGGGCATGAGATGTAATAGAAACTAAATGAAGCAGAGTCCAAAAGCTTACAAAACCACAATGAAACAAGATTGCTAAGAGTCTGAGCCTATTCAGCACAAAGCACAATAGCCAAGAATAAATTGAAAATCAATAACCTCAAATGCTGAAATTGCCTACGAACTTTGAACATTGATATTTATCTTTTCTTTTTAAAGCAATGCATAACAGGGTCATGGAATCTTATGAAAACCACAACATAGGAAATTTTATTTCCCCAATGACCTCATGAATCTTATTTTGCCTTATGCCACAAACATTGCATGGCCATACACATTTCTTGATGTGAGAAATATGCCCCTGAAAAGACTGGAACTAAAGGCTGTAGCAAACTTATAATTCTATGTGTGTTTAATTTCATTTATGTGTTCCAATTTTTTTTTCAACATGTGCCTGTTAGCAATAGAAGGAAACACAAATCAGTACTTTCAATCTCCCAAATGTACTTCTATGCCTTCCTCTGTTTGCCTTCTAGCAGAAAAAAAACCCTCCAAATTCTCAAAAAACTAATGAATCACATCATTAAAAATAGACTTTACTTGAAGCCCGCAGATCTTTTACTAAGAAAAGAAAAACATTCCATGATTTAATCCTAAATCTCTGGATTTCAATATTGCCTGCTTTGAATTTAATTTGTCTCTCAAAATTGTCAAAAGCTGTAAAGTCGCTCTGATGGTCCCAATGACCATTTAGAAAGTATTTTCTCTAGTCTGTGAACAGGAAATAGCATATTGATATTATCACTGTGTCTGCAAATAGAATAACTCCAGCACTATCTTTGGGGGATAGGGAAGGCGTGTCAGGGAAGTGCCTGCCTTGATGAGACTCTCACTCTTATTCAGCAGTTGCTCAAGAAAAAATTTAAGGTATTTCTAAAGATTATTCTGCACACCCTAGAGTAGGTCAAAAAATATACGAGAAGCTTTTGCAAAGGATCCTGTTTCTCTAAAAGGACTCAGAAATGAGGTTCACTATAGACAAGCATTTTGCTTCTACAAGACAGAATAATTGTAATGTACTTAGTTTAGAGGTCGTGTGGTTGCATACTTGACTGACCATTCCAATCTACTTTATACAAGCATGGTCCCCGTGATTCAAATAGCTTGCCAGAGTGCTACTGGAGGCTTAAAAAAAGTCGGAGAGGAAAAGTTCCAAGCTTTCTCAGATCCCCTTCCTTTCAGGACACTCATCATTCCAATTTGTATTTGTTTTCACCCAAAGAGCTTACCAGTTTCTGTGGAAAACACAGATACTATGGAAAGATGTAGGAAGAGAAGAGGACAGAATTTGAAAAGTTCATCTGTTTGAATCCTTTAGATTACTGAATGTCCAAGTCATCCAGAACAAATATCTAGTTTCTTGAAGACCTCAGGGAGGGAAGGAATGGAAAGGATAGACTTACTGAGTGTCTAATGAACGTAATCTCAACATCTGCAATATCCGGTGATGCTGTATTCCATCGCCTTCATATTAAAAAATGTATTCCTTGTGCTTAGTTGTAATCTTTCTTCATTTATTTTTACTAACTTTTATTGTGTTTTTGTTGTCCAGAATCATAAAGAATAGCTCTTCAGCAAACCTCCTCAGTTTACTATATTTGTACAGATAAAGATCATAATCAAAACACCCTTTGGACTTTCCTAAGTTCACCACTCAGTCTCCTTAGTCATTCTTAATATGTTTTTCCTATTTTAAGTATCTTGTGATTTTCCATTTTTCTCACCCTTTTTTAATATTGTAAAATTAAATTAAAAGATTACCTTACAGCCTATCTGTTGTATTCTTTTCTCTACATAAAATCAGTTACCCTTATTTCCACAATGGCATTAAGCTGACTCATTCAGAGTCTACTCAACCAAGCTCCAGATACTTTTCTTTTTTGTTTTTATGCACAGGTAGTACTTCCTTGAACTTTATTTATAATGTTTACATTTTGTCCCTAAGCAAACTGAGCTATACTGTGGTTATAGCCAGGGGATGTAAGGAATTAAAGACAACAGATTTTAGAAAATCACCTTGAGACTTTACACTAGTTTCCTCTTGCACCAAATTTTAAGAGCAAGTTTCAAAACTTTTTGTAATCAGTTTTGATAAATTTGCCCAGTTTTTTTGTTTGTTTTAATATCTCACTGATAAAAGGCAAAATTTTAACACGGTCAACAAATTACTCAGCTGATAGCTTAGTTCCTTACAGAAAATATGACACACACAGGAAATTATACTTTAAGATTATGAGGATTCACAAAAAATAAATGAATTAAAAAAGAGTTGATTGATCGAAATTCATATCATGAATAAAATCTCGAAATGTTATGGCAATCAAAATAAACTTCAGTATTTGGATGCAAAAAAAAAAAAGAGAGAGAGAGAGAGAGAGAACTAGCTCCTTTTAGCTGCTAGGTAGTTTTCCGTGTCAGCATATGGGAATGTTGTCTATATCCAAGATAGAGATGATAAAATACTCAGACTTAGATCAAAACTAAATGGGTATCTTCTTGGGAGCTTGTATGTGCCTCAATGAAATCTAGTCTTTCTGAGATATGTATCAATTTACAAGTGTATGTCCAATTTTTAAATAATAGTTAGAAAATCATAATTATATTAATTTAAAATGACAGCCATTATTTTTACCTATTTGGATTATTTCCAGCTTGCAAACTGAGACATCATTCAACTTTTTTTCATAAAACCAAAAATATATAGACTTTTCACAGATTGTTTGGGATGTATTGGCACCTCACTCAGCAAACTGCAGGACCTCAAACTTTCCTCTTCCTTTGACACCGGCATTCATTTAGTCTCAAAAGACAGCTCAAAACTTCAGACATTTTTTAAGTCAGACTCTTCCTTCATTCCACATGGTTGATTATCATGAAGACATGTCAAAGTTTAACTTGAACTGTTTCTTATTCAATCCTTCCTCTTTTCTCCAACAGCCAATACATATGCTGTATCTTCCTCATCTTAATAGTCTGCCAGTTATTTTCAGCTATTCTCAGGTGAATTTCATGACATTGGATGATCTTCTTTTTGCTACGAGATGCATATAGCTTAAATATTTCTTTCCTAGCTTCACTTTTTGTTCAAAATCTTTTTGACTTCTTTATTATTTAGGACATTGGGTTACAAATTATAGAAAACTCAATAATGTAAAAAAAAAAATAGCCACATGACCACACATAACCACTAGGAAGGCTAGAACATGTCGTGTACATGGGCATCCATGAACACAGCTAAAACCAGAGTCAGCCTGCACACCACTGAAAAAAAGGAGAGACTGGATACTACTAACAATTAGCAGTCTCCGCATAGCAACACAAAAATACTTTGTATTTTTTACATGTCTCTTGTAAAAGCTTTGTTAGATAGAAAGAATTATAGTATGATTAGTCCAAAACTTAAAAAAAGAATAAACTATCCCCTGACAAGGCTTAAAATTCATCCAAGATGCCCCCTAGCCAGCCTTTGGAGGAAAAAAAAATTTTTTAACTGGTTAATTATTAGGAATTCCGGCCCTCAATTTCTATTCAATAAGAGTAGCACTGCTTTTTTACATATATATACATATGTGTGTGTGTGTGTGTGTGTGTGTATAAATATATGCATAAGTAATATATATGTAAAATATGTACATATATGTAAATATACTTTGTATTCTATACTACACGGGTTAATCATAGCCATTTTCTCATCTTGGGATAAATATTCTTCTTGACAAGTTCATCTCCATTACTTGAACAATTATCTTTTAAAGTCAAATTGTACTGAAAACAGATTAAAACACTTCTTAGATATTATTGTGTAAGAAAGAAATAAACTGAAAAAAAATGGCCTGCTATGTATGCAAAACAAATTTTCTTAGAGAAGAATGTGATTTACAGATAGGTACACTAGAATGATAGGAAAGGTAACTTTGGTCTGCACTTAATGTTAGATGCCAATATTTTTACCTTCCTGAAGAGTATTTATGACTTCCTATCAAGGCTTACAGTACTGTAGGGATAAAGAATGGTATTCTTTGAATTCCTTAAGCTTTCTCCACACCCATCCACTTAGTTTTTACCCTTGTCTACTACATGTTTCTTGGTATTTAGAATCTTAGAATATTTTCAATAGACAGAAATCTGACCTCTGAGATCTAACACACAGTTATAATTTCAATTGTGAGTGAACACCCATTCAATCCCTAAGACAGTAATCCCTGGCAAAGCTTTAACACATAGGGTGAAATCTCCCAAGGCTAGAACTTTTTCTTGGCAGAGAAACATCAAGGAGATGGAATATGCTCTTGAAAAAGGACCTGTTGTTTTAATTTGTACACATTAAAGTCATCTTTTCAAGGTGCTTCTTAAAAGTTCAGCCTGCAATGTCCAAAGGACAAAAAGTAGATGTCCCTCTGAGATTTTGCTACAATGAAATTTATTAAAGGGTTTTATGTGGTTTACACCTTCAGAAATAGCCAGAAGACCCCAGCACTCATCTTCACAGCCTGCCTCCAATGACCTTATTTTCCATTTCCTCTCTCAGAATTTAGGTGCAAAATCTCCATCTCTATAATATCTTCACTCATTCTTCTTCTAATTTTACTCCTTCATTTGAGAATGGTTTCCCATTCTCAAAATTTATATTATTCCTAATTGTATTTCTTTTGCATTCTATCAAAGCACCCATTAAATTCTAGAGACATGAAAAACATAAACCAACCATCGATTTCTTCTAGCTATATTGTCTCACATGTTAACACCATGTGAAGTCACAAGGCATTTCTTCTGGACAAATCCAGGACCCATTTCTCTATGCTAACCTTTATTTTATTTGTTCTATTTTTTTTTTCTAATTTGGGGCTTCCATAATAATAATTTACTCTCTTACTCAATGTAGTTCCTCATTACTCATTTCTTAACTCTCATTCCCAAATCTGTAAGTGGGTAGTCTTTTTAGTTTAAAAATGTTTGGAAATGTGTTACATAGTGTGGCTAATTTAGGCAACATATTGAATTTATTTGGCTCCCTCCAAAGAAAACTATTTCTTTTTAGTAAACTGCCTATATTTGACAATGTTGCTACTATTCTCAAATAATGGAGAGGTAAAACAATAGCTACGGCAGAGTCTCAAGACCTGAGGACATTTTATAATGGCTAAGCATCCTGGCATCCCTAGGTAATCAACATCAAAAATGGGGTGGGAGAAGTTGGTTTCAAAAACCTTTACTCTTCTGTAATCCAGCATCTCCTTGCCCGAGACCCAACCTCTCGAGACCCATATACCTTTCACATGGTCCAAAGGTATATGAATCAGAGCAGTTCAAAAGTAGTGAAAACTAATTAAATACCCAAATAACATTTCAAAGAGTTGAGATCAAAGATATGGAAATACTATTGCTAGAAAAGATAGTTTTTCCTTCTTACAAAGGGCAAATAAATTATGCAAAGTAAAATTGAAGCATCTGAGCTTGTTATAAATAAAAATTTTTAGGGAAAAAAAGATTAATTGGCAAGTTAACCGTGGGAAATGATTTGGAAAATTCTGGAAATTTTGTTTAAGAAGGTAACAGTAGAGTGATTATATTTAATATCTGGGATACTTTTAAGAGTATAAAAGCACATTATTAATAATTATGATGAAATGACAGGTATAAATTGTGACTGCCCCCAAATTAAGACGTATGATTATCCTTTAATAATTACAAATAAACTTCATACCCTTAGATATAAATTAGTCCCATAATTCCACTGCTATTTTTTAATTAAAATGTTGACAGGAGGCCGGGCACAGTGGCTCACGCCTATAATCCCAGCAATCTGGGAGGCCAAGGAGGACGGATCGCTTGAGCACAGGAGTTCAAGACCAGCCTAGGCAACGTGACGAAATCTTGTCTCCACAAAAAACAAAAATAAAAGGCTGACAGATCCCCAGATGCTATAAACAAACTAGAACGAAACAAATAAAGATAAATTACAAGGGGATTAAGGGTCTATAAAAAGCATGAAAACCCGGACAGAAGCACCACCCCTATTCTTAAAGAATAAACTAGCAGTATCCTAGAATAGAAAAGACAAATGAACAACTGGATAAAAGAACTATCTTAATTTCTCATTCAATTCAAAATAAAAATTGGAGTTAAGTTTAAACAAATTCTATTTCAAGTTAATATTTTAAAATTAAAAATAAAAGGAGTTGATCATCTAAGAGTAATAGTTATCTGTATGGTAGTTTATCATTAGCAATGATCAAAACTTTAGGGCATGGACCCTAGGCAAAAGAGACTGAGGTATCACATCAACTATTTCATACCTGGTTAAATTTACATACTTCTTATATATGAGCACACACATAATTTATCAACAAGCTTAAGGAATTTTTCCTATTAACTAAAAGAGAGAAGAATAAAGAGAGAAAATGCTTCTTATAAGTATTTATAACCTAAAGCACTTATTCGATGACTGTTTTGACATGACAATAGACTAGAATTTGTCCTCGGAATACTTAGGTCTAATTCTTTGGAACAAACAACAGCAATATTCCTCTATAAAGACAGGCCTATAAAGGTTGTAAGAATCATAGAATTCTAGAATAACGAGAAGATAATAATGGCTTTTAAATCTGTAAATATAATGAATCTATAAGAAAACATTTAACTTTATATTAAACTATATTTGGATCATTAATAAAGTAATATTTTTAATTTAATATACTCATAATATTTTTTCTATTTCGAAAGGCTTATAAAATAAAACTATATTATTCATTTTATTATCATTGGAACAAAAATCAAATATTTAAAATGGCACTCTTACAAGTTATTTCTACTTTCAAGACTCTGCCCCAGTTTAAATAGTCTCACCTGTGTTTAGCAAATGATAGGCAATTATTTCATTCTATAATAAACAAATTAACATTTATGAAAAGAACATTTCTAAATCTATTTAGGTTCCCTGTATCTCCCAAATTAATTGTTAGAACTAAGCAAAACTAAAGTGTCCCTTATTTTATACTGTAAATGCCTTTCAGCAAACACTGAATTCAAAGTTCCCTACATAAAATTACAGATTTTTCTTTTCACACAGATAAGGCTAGTGTCTTATTTTTCACTGAAATAAGGAAACAAAACATGTCCCATTTTCTTTATCATAATCAGTGTCAATCAGTGAAGTCATTACTTCCTTAATCAGAAAAAAAAAAAACACAAATCAACTCTAACACAAAGTAGGGTAGAGCTATGGAATTGGGTGTTTTTCTTAAAGATCAATACACTGACCACAAGGTCTGAATGCAGAATTTTTTTTCTGAATCCCTATGATGTTGAAATCAAATGTAAGCCATTTCATGATGTTTTAATGCAAACAAATTGGCTACATTTTTTTTGTTTTTTACGCAAATAATTGGATTTAGGATCTTGTGAAAAAAATTACTCTTTATATTTTGTTTTGAACAGCCGTCTTTATTTTGTGTTTCCGCAGCTCTGAAATGCATGGGAATGAGAAGCCTCCTCCTTCCACGCTTCCCTGCTCTGGTTTGTTTAAAGCTTCCCTCATCATCTACTACTAACAAAACTGTGGTAAGGGCATCCACTATTTGGTGGGACTATTACTCTGTTTGAGGCTATAATTTTTGTTCCAGTAACTAACACTTCATTAAGTTGAAAATCTTTCATTATGAAAGGAAATATTCACAAAGAATTCAACCAATGAATGGAAAATTACTGTTTCCAACTGGTTTGATTCAGACTAAATGTAAAACTTATTAATGAAATTGGTTTATGTTTTGGATTTCTTAAATTTTTTAATCATAGGAGAATGAAGACGGAAGTTATTTTTGTAAGCTTTTAAGTTTACCACAGAGAAGCACAAATGGCATATAAAAATACTTAATTACTCTTTAAAATGTCTTAGCTTCTATTTCACTGGAACTGAATGCAAACATATGCTTTGTTTTCTTTTCTTTTTTTAAGTATTATATCCTGGACTTTATGCTCCCATTTAAGCATAGAAATTCAGCCTTGTTTCATTTCATTCATCCGTTCAACAACTATTTACTAAGCACACACTTTGTTCAAAGCATTGAACTAGAAATATTAAGGTAAACAAAATTGGCGTCCATTCTTCCCTGGGGAACTAATATTTTAAGACGTGATAGAGAAATTACATCAGTCAAGGTTATTTTATTACAATCATTATAAGTGGCATGAAGGTGAAGTATACAGTGCTAAGAATGCTCCTCCAAAGAAATATCACTTAAATAACTGGAGAATGAGCAAGTCTGGCTTAGGTGAAGGAGGAGGAATTAAAAAAAGATAGTTAATAAGCATAGATACCCTGAGGGGAGAAATAGCATGACTTATTTGTGAAATTTGGAGAAAAAAAAAAAAGAAGAAAGCTACTGAAGCTAGAACACAAAGAACAAAGTGGAATTGAGTATTGACTCTAGAGTCAAACCTTAGCTCAATAATCACTTCCAGGTTATGTGATCTTGAGGAACCTCAATTTCCTCATTTATCAGAACGGATAATAATATCAACTCTGTCATTGTTACAAGGATTAAAGAGTTAACATACTTAAAAGCTGATGATGGTGTCAGGCGCATAGGAAATACTGTAGAAATGTTAGCCCTTTTATTATAAGGTTGACATAATCCAAATGAGAATCTAAATATATATGTTATTTATTGCACATTTTCTTCTCTGAACTATATCCTCAGTTATAGAATAGGATAAATAGGATGAGAAAAGGATTCTTTGTTTATCACAACAGATGTTGAACGCTTTAAAGAGATGGGCATCACCGCCGAAGCACCTGTGTACATTTTCAAAATGTCCTTTGCAATGATCTCTCACACTGCAGTCCCAGGAAATTCAGCTTTTGTTTTTGTGGTGGTGGTCATCATTACCATTGTTATTAGTAGTTTTAGTTTTGCTTCAACAATGTTAAATCTTTGTTTTGTTTTCTCTATCTACAACGTCTAGAATTAAGCTTTACTAGCATTGCCAGACTCTTATATAGTAATAATTCTTTTAGATTAAAGTAAATGTAGTCATAGGGTGTGAACATGTTTTATTAAAAAAGAATAATACTATATAAACATATGCATGTGTTTTTTAATCAAATTATAAGCTTTAAGCTTCAGTGTTGATTTTTACGGTTTTACTTCTTTCCTCCCTGCTTTTCTTCTTTATGTTCTTCCTTCCATTCCTCCTATTTAATGTCTATTCCTTACTATGTAGAAAACATAAGCCATACCCCTCCTGTTTCTTTTGTGTTTTTGGCTATTCAAATGTAATTAGACTTATTTTGTTGATCAGTTATTTTCTCTTTCTTGTTTGTCTATGAAGACTATAACATTTTGGGCCTTTCAAATGTAGAAGGATTAGCAAAGCCCTTCATTTTAATGTCATTTGTTACATGCAGGAGCTGATTCCAGCCCTGTTCTCTGACCTGAGGTCATAAAATTTTCACATATAGCCTATAAATGTAGAATTTACTACAGAGCCCAGCAAACCGACTGATAGTGATGTTCTTAGTCCAAGTACTTATCTGACATTCCTAGTGCAACAGAAATTCAGACTCTGGACAAATCCCTCTGTGCTTTCTTGGAAAGAGTCCCAGCTTTACTGATGTTCACTCAGGAAGAGATTCAGGATTTTTCTAAATTTATCTGAAAATGAAACCACTCAGGGGAGTGACTACAATCCATTTATAGTCTGGTTCTACATGAACATCTATCTTGAACTTTGCTTACAATTATGATAGACTGAAAGTATTCACTCCTGAAGCCCAAACTAATACTTTTCCTATTTGGTTTCCAAATTCTGTGTTAGGGCTTTCATTAAAGGCTTCCAAAACCGTATAGTTCCTCAGTTATCTTAATTTTAAATATGAGATGCTTTTATAAATTATAGGAAACATCATGTACTATCTCACTCCTAAGTTTGTTCTACATTTTTTTCTGATTATAAAATTAATAATAGATAATTATAAAAAAGTAAGAAATCATAGTAACACACATCCATCGTAAACCGTTTTTAGGAAGATTCATTGTGAATGTTTCAGCCTATTTTTTTGTTTCTAAAATATTTTAAATACCAGTGATTTTTTTCATGTAAACACCAGAAAAATAGTATTTATTCATTCAAAATTAAACCTACCATCTATATTCACCTACTCTCCCCAATAGAATGCATTGATTTTTCTTAATCTTTGTAGCATTTTAAAATGTAAAGGAAGACAGTTTCCCTTACAGATGCCACCATTTCCAAGGGAATGTATTTTTCTACTTTAAAAAAGTACAATAAGAAAGCTACACATTAAAATCAATAACCCTCTTTAGACAGTTAGTAGGAGAGAAAGAAGCCTTAAGCTGAGCAAAGAAACAAGGTAGTATTTTTTTTCTGGATTGCTGCATTAAAAAAATTAAATAAAATAAATAAAATGAAGTCGATAAGCTCCCCTTGACTTTTTACTCTCCTTGATGTTTTACTCTGCCAAGAAATTTTGCCATCTTGGTTAAATTATATGTCATAATTCTGGTGTATTTTAAGTAAAATTGCACACCAAGTAATTGTGGTTGAATGTGGGTCCATCTATTCAGAGATTTTTATAAACACCTACAAATATCTGAAGTATATTAACTGTGACTATATTTGTTCAGTGAAGAAATGGCATTTCTGTTTGTCACATATGGGAATATGATCACATCCAGATAAAGGCTAATGTTGTCTCATTTCTAAAATGCACAATCGATTTCACCATAAGGGGCTATGTCTACAAAAATCACACCTAAATAAAAAGAATGAAAAAATTACTTTGGGGTTATTTAGTAATTTTTGAACTCCTCTGATTTATTCATAGGAAGAGCAAATTTTGTAAAAAACAAAGACCAGAGTCAAGAAATCATATTTTACATCCTTTTCTGTCCTTTATCTTAGGTTAACCAGAGGCAGAATTGCTAAAAAAAATTGTTTTTATTTTTGTCTTCTTCCTTTGATGTCCATGGAACATAAAATAAATACACAGTGGGATGTTGCAATTACTCCAAATAACTATTGAAACCTAATGACTCTACAGTCTTTACAGTTATTGGCCAACAATCTTGAATATGTTTAGGACCTCACTCAATTTACACGTGATTTCTGCTTTAGTACAAGGAAAATAATAACCAAAGAGTTAATATTGTCAGTATATTTGCTAGACATAACACTGGGCTATCAATTGTTCTAGCCAGGTTCTAAAATTATGGAATGCAACTTGAGGTGGGTGTAGGAGAGAGTTGCCATTAGCAGGTAGGAGGGAAAAATCCATTGAAATAAGTCACATCTTGCATAGCTTTTCCTATGGGACTAGCATTTTGACCATGATTGCTTGGGTTCTCTAACACCTACTGCCTCTTCTTCGTCTTCTCTTCCATCATGTGAAATAATAATCTTCATATTTTCATCATGTAGACCAGCGCTCTACACATTGGGGTGTGTGGTACAAAATCACTCATTTGGGAATGAGGAGAAAATAGTAAAACTTCTATTTATATTGATCTTTGTCTAAAAACTAAAAAAAAAATCTTTTAATATTTACTATGTGGATTGACATTGGCACAAGCATGTAATATATAAATAAGTATACATTTATGAGAAATATATACTTTAACATTTTTACTATAGAGGCAAAAATTAAGGTGTGAGAGTGTTCATCTCTACTGGTAACTAATACAGCTTTGTTAAAAATACGCTTGGGAAGATGAGCAAAAACTCTCCCTGCCCCACCCCCACTAGCCTTCCACAAAGAAGGAAGCTTGTTTCTAGTGGACTGCTCATAAAGCAAGGCACGCTTCTATAAGGGGCTTCTCATAAGAGAGAGTATTTTATGCTTGAGTGAGGAGTTTTCTGGCTGTATTTCTGCAAGGACTTTTATGACAGTCTCCAAAATGACCCCACCTCCTAAGACTCATGAGTTTGTGTAGTCTCCCTTCTACATAGAAAACGGCTGACCTGTGCAACCCATACTGTATTGAATAAATCATAGTGCACAACTTCCAAAGGGTAATAAAAGACATAGTGATTTCCATTTTGCTCTCTTGGATCATTTTCTCTGGGAAAATTAGTTGCCATGCAAATATGCTCCAGTAGCCCTGGTGTGAGGAACTAAGACTTCCTGGAACATCCAGCAAGGAAATGAGACCTCCCAGCCACGGCAAGTCAGCAACTGACACCTCCTCCCAACAGCTCTGGGAATGAGGCATCTTGGAAGCAAATCCACCAGCCTCCGTCAGGTCTTCTGATGACTGTGGACCGGGCCAGCAGCTTGACTACAGCTTTAAGAAAGACACTGAGCCAGCCCATCTGGCTTAACTCCTCCTGAATTACTGACCCACAGAAACTCTAAACTAATATAAGTTCACTGCTTTCATCTGCTAAGTTTTGGGGTAATTTGTTACTAAGCAATATATAATTAATATATTTTGCTCCATAATTGCTACTCAAACACATAATTTGAATATAAATGTTAAAACACTGGACATACCAAATTAAAATAATCATAAAAATAAATACCCTCCTCTGACATTTAACATTGTGATGTCCCTAAAAAGTTGAGAAGGAAAACTGATGAATAAGCTTAAGAGAGATGATTCTTTCTATTTATTACAATGGGATCTCAAAGAACAGAAGACAAATTATCAAAGTACATTTAATATTTGTTTACTCTCCAAAATTTTGCCAAAGTCTTTAGTTAATAAAATTCTTCCTAATTCTAATGTCTCAAAAAGGCATATAATACCCCAGTTTTGCTCTATTAGTCAGTGAGAATAATAGGATTTCATTTCTACTTCTCCGAAAGCTATGCACACTGCCAATTTTTCACATTTTAATCTCTTTTTGAAGCTTGAGGAAAGACGGCTACTGCTATATGACTGCGTTAATCCTATATTCCCTCAGCAGTTAAATGTATTGTTTAATCAATATGGATCTCATATAATCTAAGAACATTTTTCAATTAATTTTTCAAACATGTTTTTAATCCTCTCTCAACAGACCAAATGATTCTTGATAAAAGGATGATAGGTCTTGCTTTTCTGTTGTTCTCAGAGTGACCAGAAATATGTTCTGCATACAGTAAGGGCCCAATCAATAAATGTGGTTAAGGAACAGAGCAAAACAAATAACAGCAGGCTTCGGTAAGGAATTATATCTAATATAGTTCAAATAAAGTAAATTAGCACAGATAAAATCATTTTGTGGGTCAAATCATGAACACACCAGCATAATGGACTATAAATATTTTAGTTAGGCTCACATTGACACTACAGTGTCAGAATCAGTCTTCTCCAGATTAAGCTATTATAATCAAGCTTCATAGCTATAACAAATAGCTATTTGTATTTTCAATAAGAAATTCAAAAATATAAGTTCAATTTTATTTAGTATCATTAAAAACATTGAACATTTAGTACCAGCATATTTAGGTGGTATTTTGCTTACATTTGAATGACTAAGCTTGTCTGCCCAGAGTTTCTGTAGGAGAATCACCGTGTCCACACGAGGCCCACATGTTTGATTACACAGTTGACCCACAGGTATTTAGATCAGATGTTTTCCAATGGGTCCCATTTATTGCTGGCCTGACACCTATAGTGTGGTTAGAAAAGATCAATTTGGCCAATCCATTCTTGTTTCACAATACTAGTTCATTAAACAAGGGATCATGCACACTAGTTTGTGTGATTATCATGCTAGGGCGTATGCAGACTCATGACAAAGAGAGAAAGCAAATTGATAATGGGAAACAACAACACAGAAGGCTCATTCAGAAAAGGAGAGGCAGGAGAGTCCTTGAGACTCTGAGACATGAGTCTTAGCTCTTGACTTTACTAATTTTGGTTTTATTTCACATGAAATTTGACAGTACCTCAGTAACTGTTCCTCCACTTTACAATAACTCTTCTAACCTGAGCGACTCTGAGTGGGTTTTTATTCCTTGTTCCAATAAAAAGCTGTGGCTGTGATATTCCTTTAGTTTAAATATAGGGATAAATAGAAATATTACATTAGTAAAATAGCATCGATGAAGATGAATGCAGAGCTGCTTTGGAAGAATAAAAATGAAATAAACAACTTACTTTAACCTATTAGTCTCGTCAAGAAAAAAAAAACCTTTCCGTGGTAATCTCATTTACCATCATGTATTCAACAACTATAGATGTATAGATGATTCCTAACTCTAGTCTTCAATCCACATTCCTCTCCTAAGAAATTCAGATTGTCTCCTCAACCCATCTACCTAAATGTCTAATGGCATTTTACATTTAACAGGTAAAAATGTACATTTATCATTCCCCTTAAATTAGTTATGTTTCAGTATTTTCTATCTTGGGTGACCTCACTGTCTTACCCAAGCTGAAATCTAAAATCCACTCTTGACTTCTTTGACTCCCTATTTCGGTCTTCTCCCTGGCGTCATATACCTAATATTTCAAGACTTACCGATTGACTTCCTTAATATTTCTGCAAAAATACACCCTCTTCTTCATTTCTAGTATTACTGCTCTAGGTTATCAGCTCTCCTCTGATGAGTCAAAGCAGAGGCAAATATGCTCGCTTACCTACATTTTCATGTACATAAAATTAGCAACCAAGTCAACTTTTCTCTTCCCTCCAAATAAAGCTGAGAACTGAAGGTATTGTATAACATAAGTGTTATTTTCTCCTCACTGTTGCTCCCAAACCATTTTTTTTCACCCATTTTCTCTCCAGTATCAACCATTGATTGTACCATGATGACAGTCCTGTCTTGTCATTATATCTTTTACCACTCCTCATTCTTTCTATCAACTAACTCCTAAGTCTTTCCCTTTATTTCTCATTGGTTTTAATGTTTGACACAGCTTCTTTCTTATATTTTGGTGATTTCAAAGTTCACCTACAAGATCTTCCCAACATCCTAGTGTTAAATTTTTCTTCTTTAATTATTTTATTTGGCACATATCAACCTTACATTACCAAAAACAGCATATCCTTCATCTGAATTTCAAAATCCCACTTTCCGATCATCTCTTTTATTCTTCATTCACACCCTCTGGTACACCAATTCTAAAAATCTTTTACCAGCACCAGGACTCTCCATTGATCCTACCAATATTTCATGCTCCTTATTCCACCTCCCCACTTTTCTGTTTTCCCAGCTTAGACCGTATTACACATCATTATAACTACGTCTTGGTATATGCTCTAAATTCCTTAGTCTTTCTCTCCTACCTTCTCACTGGCCTTGCATGATCCAAAGTCCTATAGAAATAAATTTTTTGCATGTGTATGTGTGCAGTTATTTTTTGTAAACAAGAGAAAATGTATTACCTTTATTTCAAAAAATAGTGGGATAGCAGTATTAAATACAATTATTTATATATTCTATGCTATGACTGAGTAGCTCAACGTGGTGAGGTAAAATGCACACATGCATTAAGCTCAAGTGGGTCCTTAAGGCTATATGGAAATTTATTTATTTTTCCCTAATCCATTCAATCTCTTACTTTCCTAGATGACTATTTCATGCTTTGTCCTGTTTCCTCAAATCTTCAACACATCCTCCCCTCTTATTAATCTCTGATGAGAAAACAAAAGCAATCAGAAAAGAAGCTTTATTTGCTGGTTTACTAATCTGCCTACATCTGAACTCACATATTTGTTTTTTCCTCCATCTAGAATAAATAAAATATTGGTGCACTACTTAAGGCCCATCACTCCAGCTGGGCACCAGAACCCGTTAACTCCCTCTACTGAATAATACAATTTTAGCAATATTTTCAGGCTCTCTTCTCCCATTACCTTGTTCCTCTCTATTGGGTAATCGCATCAGCCTACAAGCAGGCTGTGACATGCCCCCTCTTACAAAATAACTCTCCCTTAGGCACACATTTCTCTGCAGCTCTGTTACTGCCCCATGTCTTTGCTCTCCTATATTGCCAAACTCCTCAAAAGAGTGGCCTCATAATCCCCACCTCCAATTTAGCTTCCTATTTTCTCTTCAACTGACTTCAATCAGATTTCCAACACTGTAAGTTCACCATCTCAATGTCACCAACCTACACTATGCTAAATCCAGCCATGAATTCTCAATGTGTGTCTCATTTGACCCGTTGGCAGTATTTACACCCTCCCCTTCTTGAAAACTCATCATCACGTGTTTTGGGGGACTTCATATTGTCCTGGTTCTTCTTCTATCACCTCAGACTTTATTACTGGTTTGCATTTATTCTATTCTCCCACACCACAGTTTTCATTGCCAATTTCTAAACAGCAAGTTCCCCCAAGAAACTGTCTTTGGACCTCTTCTCTATCTATAATCACTCCCCATGTGGGATTTCATCTAGTGTCAATATTTTATACACTTTTTACATGCTGGTTACTCCCAAATCTGTATCTCCAGGCTTGACATATATCCGTAATTCTTTACTTAAATAATCATTGATTTGTTCAACATGTTTACTTAATTGTTTATTTGACACCTCAAACTCAATGCATAGAATAAATTTTTCCCATAATCCCTAAAAAATTCCATTCTACGTGGATTATTTTTCACAAAAGTAAATAAATTACATTTATCCCATTCTTAGGTGAAAATGTTAGGAATATTTATTAAGTCTTATCATTCTCTCTCACTCTACCTCCAAGCTATCTGTAAATTCTGTTAGTGCAAAATCCAAAATATATTCAAAATTGGATTATAGCCTCCTAAATGGTGTTCTATGCAACCTCCTTTGCTACCCCACATTTTTTCTTGCACTGAGCAACCAGAGATAATCTTTGACGAATTAAATTATACATAATACTTCCACTCCAAAACCTTTTGAATGATTTTCCTTTCACTAGGAATAAAACTGGAAATTCTAGAGTATCCTACAAGACCAATATAATTAATGTCTCCTCCTCGTGACATCTGTGACTTTTGAATGTACCAAACATACTCCCACCTCAGAGCTTTGGCACTTGCTGTTACCTCCGCTCATAAGGCTCTTCTCCCAGAGATTTGCACTACTCACTCACTCTCTCTCTCTTATGTCTCTGCTGGCTCAAATAACAGAGGAGATCCCTAACCACCTGACCTAAAAGAGCAAATTTTACTTTAGGCATTCCTCGTCCTACTTACTCTTCTTTATTTCAGTCAATTGAACTTATCAGAATTTGACACATTATAAGGTTTTTATTTGTCAGTTTTCTATCTCCTCAAAATTCAAATATAAATTTCAAGGGGACAGGAAAATTATTTGTTAGTTGCGTTATCTCATATTCATTATGGTACCTGGTCTATATTAAGCAATGAATGAGTATTTGCTAAATTGAATGATAAGTGAATGAACTGACTCAAGAACAGCACAGCTGACCCGATTTTGCTGTAAACAAAAATGTTGCCTATGGACCCAACAGCATTTTGATGCAGTAAACATCTTCAAAATTGTATCTACAGTGAATACATTAGAAGTTATTATACCTTTTTTATCAAGTCTTTCAACATAGACCAATAGCCTAAGTAAAAATAATTTTACATGAGGCCAGTAAAACATATGCTAGGTACATACTTCTCTCATGATCTTGCTTAATTCAAAGACTAATTTAGAGTTCTAGAAAAATAAAACACAACATATTAGGATTACAATTTATTGTAAAAAAAAAATTAGAAAATATTGGCTGGCTGTGAGTTTGAGAATATAGTTCTTCCTGACAGGGACCTAGGAGGTAAGAACATCCTGCACCGATTAGTCAAGCACAAGTAGTTTTGTTCTCCTCTTGTGAAAGTTGAGGAACTTTTAAAAGATTCAGTGTGTAAATAAAAGAACACCCATTTTTTCCCAGATCTGAGCCAAGGGAGTATTCATGGACAAGGTCAAATTTCCCCAAACAAGTAATATGAATATACTCCAATAAACCTGGATTATCTAATCCTTGAAATTATACATCATGAGAAAATGCAATAATTTGAACATATAAAATTAAAGCAATATTAATGTTGACCATTGAAAATGAGAAACTTGAAACAAAAGTTTTTATCATGTGACCTTCTGTTAAAATGTTTACAAAATGAGCTTTTCCTTGAGTTGCTTTACTATCAAGATTATAAGCTATAAAACAGTAGAAAGATTGTTTTATATATAAAGATACTTGTATATATACTTTATATATAAAGATACTTGTGGAGAATCTCTACAAGTAGTTTGAGATAAGTTTGAGAAGTTAAACTCTTGTTTCTACCAGTTGCTTGTCAGCAGAATTGGCTTTTAAAGAGCTCTCCTCGTTCAGAAAAAAAGACACGTTGCTTGTACATGGACACACCAAAAAATATAAATAAGGTAATAAAGAACTAAGCTTTTATGTATAAACTAGTGGGGAATAAGTTCATATTAAAATAGGCAGAGAAAAGCATAAATTTGACTTTACTATCTCACCTTGAATTAATAATAAAAGTGTAAGTTAACATCTGTACTTACTAAATGCCTGGAATTATCCTAAGCAGTTTTCAAATATTTTTATATTAATCTAATAAAAGGATACATAGACAGGTGAGGACACTAAGGCTCGGACATTTTAAATAAATTGCCTCAAGTTACAGAGTTAATAAATAAAGAAGCCAGTTCCTGAACTGACAGTGGAAGCCTGTAAAACTAAGGCTTTTAACCAGGACAATCTGCAGTCTCCACCTTGAGGTGAGCACGGATGTCAGCAAGGCAATTAAATAAAACTGTAAGAAAGCAATGGGGGGAAATTCAAAAGCTATCTACGTAAAATCAAGATCCAAGGAATGGAGAAATTATTTGTATTGTAACCTATACCAAGGAAATAAATCAGGATAAAACTTCAAGGCAATGTCAAAGACAACAATGATTGAATAATATCCTCAGAGAGCAGCAGTGGTGGTGATTTATTAGTTCTGACCATGTCATCTTGTCATCTTGTCAAGAACACCCATTTGGAGCAGAGGAGAAAGAGTACAAAGAGATTTAGAGATAGATTTTCAGGGAAACTAATGCACGAAGGATAAGAAGCATTTTGCCAGCAAGTCAAGAGAAGGAAAGGCATTTCAAAGAAAAAAGAAAACTGGGGCAAATGTATGGTTTAATGAAGAAAATAACCCAGCAACTTCAGGAAATTGGTAGTGTGGATGGTGGCAGAGGAAGGGGTTTCTTGAGAGAAATATTGTCAGCTAGAAGGCTAACTTAGCTTCTGAACAAAACTTCCACATTTGTAAATTAATTAATATAGACAGCACCTTGCAAACCTAATCCTAGATTTAAGGTAGAGAAATTATATCATTTGTCCAAAGTGTCCAAGAAGTCTCAAAGTACATGCAAAGCGATTTGACCCTGGATAGGTTCTGGTAGTGATTCATTAGTTTGAAATCGTGAAGATAAAAGCAGAACCAAAAAATGCAAAAAAAAAAAAAAAAAAAAAAAAAGATAAGAGAAAAACAGGAAATGACACTGGCAGGCCTATCACTTTTGGGCCTAAAGGAGAACTGCATGATTAAAAGACAGAGTTAGTAAGAAAAGTTTATTTTTATTTTTATTTATTTTTTTTTAATCTTCATGAGATCTGGATAAAACTAGACAATTCCATTTGAAGACAGATTTTTTAAATCATGAATTGTGGTCAGTCTTTTCTGAACTAAAATCTTCAAGTCTTTTGAAATTCATTATTAACTGCTGACTATAATTCATCCAGTCAATTAACTTTGGCTTTGAAATTGTCATGACACAGGGGGCCCACCGCACATCAGGGTGGAACCTCTGTGCCATGCCTGATGGAAAAGAATAAATAGCCAGAATTAGGAAAGTATTTAACAACCCAAAATGGCTTTGCTCACAAAAGGATAGCATTATATGCCAAAATCTGTCTTCATTTGGGCTAACGCTAATAATGAAGTCTTCTGTATTGCAGAAAGTAAAGTAGCAAGATGTTCCAATCTATTCTACTAAGAGGAGCTACATTGACTGAACAATTATGGTTTGATTAATAGAAGGGGATTATCTTGTCATAATGGGAGGACTGGCAACAGACCTATATTAATGACACTGTAATCATATCCACTGATTATATCAAGATCACCTGCCTCCTTTAGAATGACCACAAGAAATAGGTGGACCTGAGCCTGCAGAGGACAGAAGGCTCTAAACACAGTAAAAGCAGCATTGCCAACAGTTACTTCTTATTTTTCTTTCTCTTGTTGTTTAATTCCTACTTTATTATTATATTTTTAATATCTGTGATTAGTCTCTGCAGGTAATTGGTAAGTTCTCAAGAAGGAACAACATAACGCACAGATCATTGTAGCTAAGTCATAGCACCTCCCCATTAATTGGTGCTCAAACAATGTTGAGTAATTTGAAAAGCATACAGATTATGAAGATGCAAATTATAATTATTAAAGAGTGACATCAGCAAGACAGCAAAATAGGAAGCACCAGATCCTCCTTTCTCCAACAGTGACACTAATTTAACAATAATACAGAGACCAAATCCCTTTGTAAAAAATTTAGAGACCAGTTAAGAGGCTCCCACACCCCAAGTAAGTACTAAATCAGCTAGCTGTGTCAAAGCCAGAAGAAAAATTTGTGGCACCCTGTCACCATAGCCTGTCTCTTAGCACAGATCCACATGATCAAGAGGAAATTCTCAGCTCCCAGCTTCTTCCTGAGCAAGGAAAGACAAGACTGATGATACATCCTACATTTTGAATCTTAGGGTGGGCTGCCCGGGATTGGTTTCTGTCTCACCTATCTTGGAGTGCTAATGGGACCTAGCATACTTAGATCCTGGGAGCCATAAAATCAAACAAACAGAAAATCTGGGTAGCATGCTGTCGCTCCAGAGGACTGGTGGTACAGCAAACAGAGGCAAATACAGCTTGCCAACCTCTCCATCAAGAAGGAAAGTAAAGAGTGGAGCATGTGTCTAATGTTCCAGGTTTTATCTGGGCGAAGGAGGAGTTTGCCCAAGGGACTAGATTCGTTTTCACCCGTCTCAGACTGTGGGCAGTACCTCACATACTCTAGATGCCTGGGAGCCACTGAAAACTAAAAAGAGCAAGTAATATGCTGATTCTTCAGAGGACTCATGGTACAGTGGATAGACACCAAAGAGCAAGAGGTTATGAGCTCAACCACGAAAAAAAGCAAACTGGTGAATCCTTCTAATTAGGAATTTAAATGCCCAAGTTCAGAGAAGACACATCTACTGACAGATTTGAGAGAAGCAAGAATTTCTAGCAGGGCTGATTGAGGAAGACTTTTTTCTTGTATGAAGCTAGTCTGTAAAAACCAAGAGGAAGGATGTATTTATAAAATGAATGGATGCTAATACAAAGTTAAACAGAGCATAAAGAAACAGGGTAAACAGGGTGAGATAGCCCAATCAAAGAATCCAAATAAATCTCCAGAAACAACCCTGAGGAAATAGAAATACGTGAATTCAAATACTCATATAAGAAGAATAAGTCTGGGCATGGTGGTTCATGCCTGTAATCCCAGCATTTTTGGAAGCTTATATGGGAGGATCACTTGAGCTTAGGAAATTGAGGCTACAGTAAGCTATGATCACACCACTGCACTCCAGCTTAGGTGACAGTGAGACCTTGTTTTTTTTAGTGAGACCTAAAAAAAAGAAAAAACAAAACAAAGAATTCAAACTAACTGCCAAAAATATGTGTAATAAGCCCAGGAAATAATTGTTGACAAACAAAATAAGAATTTCAATAAAGAGATAGAAAATATTTTTTCAAAAAGCAAACAGAAATGTTGAAGCAGAAGTGTGCAGTAACTGAACTGAAAAATTCACTAACAGGATTCAATGACAGACAATAAAGCATAAGAAAGAATTAGTGACCTCAATGACAGGTCTTTGAAGATTATCCAGTCAGAGGAAAAATAAAAGAATAAAAAATTAAAAGAGTAAAGAAAGCCTAGAAACCTATCACATACCATAAAGCAAAACAATATACACATTATGAGAGTCTCACAAAAAGAAGAATGGGAAAAAAGAAAGAAAGCTTATTTAGGCCAAGAATGGTGGCTCATGCCTGTAATCACAGCACTTTGGGAGGCCAAAGTGGGTAGATCATCTGAGATTAGGAGTCTGAAACCAGCCTGGCCAACCTGGTAAAACCCTGTCTCTACTAAAAATACAAAAACTAGCCAGGTGTGGTGGTGGGCTCCTGTAGTTCCAGCTACTTAGGAGGCAGAGATTGCAATGAGCCGAGATTGCACCACTGCACTCCAGTCTCAGTGACAGAGTGAGGAAAGAAATAAAGAAGAAAGAAAAGAAAGAAGGGAAAGAAAGGAAAGAAGAAAGAAAGAAAGAAAGAGAAAGAAAGAAAGAAAGAAAGAAAGAAAGAAAGAAAGAAAGAAAGAACATTTAAAGATATAATGTCTGAAAATTTTCCAGATCTGGAGAAGAAAATGGACATCCAGATTAAAAAAGCCCAACGGTCTTAACGAGGAGGAATCCAAAGAAGTCAACACTGAATCACATTGTAATCAAATTGTCAAATGCAAGGACATAATTTTCAAAGCAACATGAGAAAGTGACTTTTCGTGTACAAGAGAAACTCTATAAGACTATTAGTTTCTCAGCAGAAAACTTGTACAACAGGAAGTTAAATGATATATTCAAAGTTCTGAAAAAATAAAAACTGGCAACCAAGAATACTTATCCAGCAAAATTGTCTTTCAAAGTGAATCAGAGATAAAAACTTTCCCAGAAAACCAAAAGTTGAGGGACCTCATCACCACTAGACTTGCCTTGCAATAAATACAAAAGAGAGCCTCTCAAGAGGAAATGAAAGATGCTACCAGCAAAAAGAAAGCATATGAAAGTATAAAGCTCACTGTGAGAGGTAAATATATAAATACATAATCTTTTAAAACCATTATAGTGATGTATAAATTATTTTTATTTCTAGCACAGAAGTTAAAAGACAAAAGTGTAAAACATAGCTATAATTATAAAATATGTTAATGGCCACACAATACAAAAAGATGTACTTTGGGACATCAATAACATAAAGTGTGGGAGAGGATAAACATGTAGAGTTTTTGTAAATTATTGAAGTTGAGTTGCTATCAAAGTAGATTGTTATAAGTGTATGAGGTATGTATGCCCCATGATACTCACAAAGAAAATGTCTATAGGAAATAAAATAAAATGAAAAAGAAATCAAGCATGTCACTATTTTAAAAATTAATGAAACACAAAGAAAGACAATAAGAGAGAAAAACAAATAAGGTACAAGACGAACAGAAAACAATTTTAAGTGGCAATTGTAAGTCCTTTCTTATTAAAAATTACTTTAAATGTATGGATTAAACTCTCTAACTACAAAATATAGAATGGCTGAATAATTTTTTTTAAAAAAAGAAACTCTAACTATATGCTGTCTACAATGGTCAAGACTCATTTGGGATTTAAGAATACACATAGGCTGAAAGTATAAGCGTACAAAAAAGATATTCCAAGCAAATGGTATTCAAAAGAGAACAGGGGTGGCCATACTTACATCACACAAAATAGACTTTAAGTAAACACCTGTCCTAAGTAACAAAGGACATTACATAATGATAAAAGAGTCAATCCACCAAGCAGATATAACAGTTATAAATCCAACATCAATCAGCTAAAGAAATGAAGCAAACACTGGCAAAACGGAAGGAAGAATTAAACAGCAACACAATAATAGAAAGAGATTTCAGTACCCCATTGGATACTGGATATCCCCCATCGGATATTCCCCATAGATAGAACATCCAGATAGAAGACTGATAAGGAAACAGAGGACTTGAAAAACATATAGACCAAATGGGCCTAGCCAACATACACGGAACATTCCACCCAATAGCAGGAGAATACACAATCTTCTCAATTGCACATAGAACATTCTCCATGATAGATCTCAGGATCGGTTTTAAAACAAGTCTAACAAATTTAAGATTGAAATCATACCAAGTATCTTTTGATTTCTTGAATGAAAGAAGAAGCAGAAGAAAAACTGAAAATTTTATGTTACATGAAATTTAACACTCTTGAACAACCAACGAGTCAAAGAAAAAATCAAGAGGAAAATTCAAAAATAACTTGACATTAATAAAATGAAAACATAAATTCCAAAACTTGTGAGCTTTGTCCAAAGCAGTATTCAGAGTGAAGTTTAGAGGAACAAACACCTAATTTAAAATAAATAACAATCTCAAATAAGCAACCTAAATTTACATCTCAGGGACCTAAAAAAGAAGAACAAATTAAGCTCTAAACTGGCAGAAGGAAATAAAGATTAGAACATAAATAAATAAATTGGAGAATAGAAAAAAAATGTAAAGTCAATGAAATTGAGTTGGCTTTTTGAAAAGATTAACAAAATTGACTAACCTTTAAATAGATAAAAACATGAGATGACTCAAATAATTAAATTAAAAAGGAAAGAGAAGACATTACAACTGCTCCCACAAAAATTAAAAGGATTGAAAGAAACTCTATTAACAAATATATGCCAACAATGAAAACATACAACCTACCAAAACTGAAGAATGAGAAAACAGAAAATCTCAACAGACACGTAACTAGTAAGGTGATTAAATCACTAATCAAAAACCTCTCAATATAGAACATCCCAGGACTAGATGTCTTCACTGGTGAGTTCTATCAAACATTTAAAGGAGAATTTATACTAATCTGTCTCAAATAATTTTCAAAATTAAAGGGAAGTGTATTATTCTGTTTTCCCATTGCTAAAAGGAACTACTTGAGACTGTGTAATTTATGCAGGAGAGAGGTTTAATTAACTAAGAGTTAGTTCCACCAGATGTACAAGAGGCATGGCTAGGGAGGCTTCAGTAAACTTACAATCATGGAGGAAGGCAAAGGTGAAGCAGGCACATCTTCTCATGGGGACGTAGGAGAGACAGAGCCAAGGGAAAAGTGCTACACACTTAAACAACCAGATCTCATGAGAACTCACTCCCTCTCACGAGAACAGCAAGTGGAAAGTCACCTCCATGATCCAATCACCTCCCACCAGGCCTCTCCTCCAACACTGAGGATTACAATTCAACATAAGATTTGGGAAGGGACACAAATCCAAACCATATCAGTAAGGAACACTTCCAAATTTATTATGAGGTCAATATTACCCTTATACCAAAGCTAGATAAGGACACCACAAGAAAAGAAAACTACAGGTCAATGTAACAGATGAACATAGATGCAAAAATCCTCAACCAGATACTAGCAAACTGAATTTAATGTCACGTTAAAAGGACCATACACCATGTCCAACTGGGATTTATTCGTGCTGCAAGGTGGTTTCAACATATGAAAATCAATCCATGTGATATACCACATTATCCAAACAAAAGATAAAAAGCACACAATTACTTTGATAGGTTCAGGAAGTGAATTTGACAAATTCAACACCTTTTATGATAAAAATATCCAACCAACTGGGAATAGAAAGAAATTACATCAACATAATAAAGGCCACATATGAAAGCTTACAGGGAACAACATATTCAATGGTGAAAATTTAAATGGCTTTCTGCTGAGATCAAATGCAAGAGAAGGGTGACCACTCTTGCCATTTCTATTCAACATAAAACTGGAAGTCCTAGCTAGAGTAACTGGGCAAATAAAAGAAATAAAAAAGCATCCATATCAGAAAGGAAGAAGTAAAGTTACCTCGATTCACAGATGACATTACCTTATATGTAGAAAACCCTACAGTTTCTACAAAAAAAAGGACTAATTTAAAAATTCAATAAGGTTGCAGTATACAAAATAAACATATACAAATCAGTGCTTTTCCCACCAAACACTAACAATCCAAAGATGAAATTTATAAAACAATCTCATTTAAAATAGCATAAAAATACTTATGAATAAACTTAACCAAGGAGATGAAACACTGGTACACTAAAAATTATACAACATTGCTGAAATAAATCAAGATGACACGTATATGTCAAGACATCCCATGTTCCTGAATTGGAAAACTTAATATTGTTAAAATGTCCTTGTTACCTAAAGCAAACTACAGACTCAGTGCAATTCCTATCAAAATCCCAAAGACTATTTTTACATAAACAAAAAAGAATTCTAAAATTCATATAAAATCACAACGAATCCCAAACAGTCAAAACATTCTTGATAAAGAAGAACAGAGCTGGAGGCCTTACACTTTCTTATTGCAAAACATTATAAAACTACTGTAATAAAAACCATATAGTACTGTATTGGTCTGTTCTCATTCTTCTATGAAGAAACACCCGAGACTGGGTAATTTTAAAAGAAAAGAAGTTTAATTGACTGATAGTTCCACATGGCTGGGAAGGCCTCAGGAAACTTAACAATCATGGTGGAAGGCAGAGGGAAAGAAAGGCACCTTCTTCACATGGCAGCAGGAAGGAGAAATGCCGAGCAAAGAGAGGAAAGCCCCTTATCAGATCTCGTGAGAACTCACTCACTATAATGAGAACAGAATGGGGGTAACCACCCCCATGATTCAATTACCTCTCACCGGGTCCCTCTCATGACCCATGGAGATTATGGGAACTACAAATCAAGATCAGATTTGGGAGGCAACACAGCCAAACCACAACAAGTACCATCATATAGACAGACATATAGACTAACAGAATACAGAGCCCAGAAATAAATGTACAAGAATACCCCATGTAAAAATGAAAATCTATTCAAAAAGTTGCATTGAAAAACTGAATATCTACCTGCAGAAAAAATGAATTTGACTATTATATCACACCACAGACAAAAATCAACACAAAATTGATCAGACACTTAAATGTAAAACATAGAACTATAAAATTCCTAGAAGAAAACATGGGGAAAACCTCATGAAATTGGTCTTGGCAATGGATTCTTAGATATGACACCAAAATCACAGGCAACTAAAGCAAAGATAGGCAAGTGGGACTACATCTAACTAAGAAAAGTTTGCATAGCAAAAGAAACAATCAACAGAGTGAAAAGACAAATTCCAGAATGGAAAAAATATTTGCAAAGTCATATATCTGATAAGTAGCTAATATCAAAAATATAAAAGGAACTTCCACAACTCAACAGCAAAAAATCCAGTTGAAAAAATGGGCAAAGGACTTGAATTGACATTTCTCCAAAAAGACATACAAATGGTCAACAAGTATATGAAGATATGTTCAACATCACTAATTATCAGAGCAATGCAAATAGAAACCACAATAAGACATCACCTTACATCTTTTAGGATAGTTGTTACAGACAAAAAAATTGAAAACTGTGAGGATTAGAAAACTTGGAATTCTTGTGCACTATTGGTGGAATGCAAAATGGAAACGATGTTACCAAAAACAATATGGAATTTCTTTAGAAATCAAAAAGAGAATTACTATATGGTCCAGCAATTCTAATACTGTATATTTATCCAAAAATGTTAAAATCAGGATCTCGAAGAGATGTTTGCATGCCCATGCTCATTGCAGCATTATTAATGATAGCCAAGAGTTGAAAACAACCTATATGTCCATTGATGGATGAATGAATAAAGAAAATGTGATATATACATGCAATGGAATATTATTCAGCCATAAAAAAGAAGTAAATCCCATCATAGGCTACAACATGGCTAAACCTTGAGGACATTATGCTAAGTGAAATAGGCACAGAAAGACAAATATTTCATGATTCCACTTCTTATGTGTGGTATCTAAAGTAGTCAAAGTCATAGAAGCACAAAGTAGATTGATGATTGTCAGGGACTGGGAGGAAGGAGATATGGGAATTTGCTGTTCAATGGGTATAAAGTTTAAGACATGTAAGATAAAATAGTTCTAGAGATCTCTTGTACAACATTGTACCTGTAGTTAATAACATAGTGTATATCTTGGGATATTGTGATACAATAAGAAATATATCTTTGGTCTTTGTCCCTGGTTTCTTATACACAGCTCCTAAAATCTTTGAAATCTCTCAAATAATAAGTGTATTTTTGGACGCTAAGGTATAACTGATGGCTGGGGACTGCAAGATAGCTTCAGGATGGGAGGACTTTTTGGCAGGGGAATCAACCATGATTAGAGGTTTGGAATTTTCAGCCTCACCCCTTGACTACCTAGGAAGGTTGAGGAGCTGAGGGTTGAGTTGATCACTATGGCCAATTATTTAATCAGTGATGCCTATGTAATGAAGTCGCCATAGAAATTCAGAAGGACAGGGTTCAAGAGTTTCCAGGCATCTAAACAACCTCAAAGGTTGTCTGCCCAGAGGAGTCATGGAAGCTTCTCGTCCCATCTTCCAAATCTCGCCCTATGCATCTCTTCCTTCTGGTTCTTCATTTAAACCCTGTGTAATATCTGTTATAATAAATTGGTTAACATAAGTAAAGTGTTTCCCTGAGTTCTGTGAGCCACTCTAGCAAATTAAACTTACTCAAGGAAGGGGACATGGGAACCCCAATTGGTAGCCAGTTAGATGTACAGGTCACAACCTGGGCCTTGAGACTGGTATCTGAAGTGGTGAAATAGGGCAGGGGTGGGGGGAAGTTTCGTGGGACTAAGCCCTTAACCTGAGGGAGTTCGTGCTGTCTCAGGTAGATAGTATAAGAATTGAATGATAGGACACACAGCTGGAGTCCACTGGAGAATCTGGTGTCAGAAGTGCTGTGTTCAGTGGTTATGTGAGAGTAGAAAAAGTGCTGTTTTGTTTTTCAATTTTCTATTAATTTACAATTTTGCTAAGACGGTAGATCTCACGTTATATAGTTTTTACCATAATAATAAAAAAAGAATAAAAGGATTAAAAATTGTGATAAGAATTAATGGGATAAATATAGGTTTACTGCTAAAATTTTGAAACTCAATAAAGAGAAGACATCCCTAAAATATGGAAACAATAAAATTAAAACAAAGAAAACAGCAACCTATATAAATGATTGAATTACCTTCAGGAAGTGGTTATTGGAAAATGTAACTCAGGTGAAAAATATACATAAGTCCAAGAAGCATTTCAATAAATTATCAGATAATAACCTCAGATGAAATTAATAAAAATCACATTTTTAAAAATTATTTGAAGTTAACATTATAGTGGATAATGTGCTCTCTTAAAAATAAAAATGCTTTCTGATGAACTTGACCTCTGTGTAGTTCCGCAAGTTTTATAGCAAGGTCACTTAGACAAGCTAAAGAAAAAGCCAGGGAGGATAATACTGACACTAACACAGATGAAGTAAAGAAAGAATCTTTCCAGCACTTGAAAAGTTTTGTGCTCAAAAGTGCTGATGACACAGCAGGAATGAAACCTCTGTCCCTGAAGCTAAGGTCTGGTTAATATTTCATGGAGTCACTGCTCTTCAGAAGTAACCAAATTAATTCAGTGGCTGCACTGAGATCTGAGAACACACAACTTCCTCACATACACACTTTACAGAGCCCCGGCTCCCTGGGAAAGCTGCTGGAGTTCTGTCAACACAGGGGAGTTACCAGTGGAAGATTCTGTAATGTCATGCTGGTAGTAAACAAAAGTGAGGACCATACTTTGTAGAACATCCCCAGGAAAGCTAATACATCCCACATGGACTCCAGAATCCTGTCAATGGTAGAATTTCAACTTTGAATATTATTTATTTATTTGTTAGTTTGATTTAGGAGCAGTTCCCACTTTTCAGATAAAGTTCTATTTGGAAATCCAGTATATCAAACTGGAAATAGTTCTAAGCTGAATGAAATGGGCTGGGGAGGGTAGAGCTCTGCTTACCTTCCTTGGATCTCATGTCCCCATAGTGGCGCCAACATTTTTGCTGAGTTCTAGGGCTTCATAGAACACAATTTAAAAAGGAATACATATTAACTACTTATATGAAGCTTTCAACAAAATTTTTGGAAGTTTAGAATGAAGATTAGTAAGTATTTTCACATAAATGAAATCAAAGCTAGATAATATTCACCATAATTTTTAAGAAAAGACACATTCCTAATTGTCAACCAACCTGGTATATAGCTGACCTGGGAAAAGTTGTGGAATACAATATATAGAAAAGTTGATTTAACTATTTGAATTGATTCAAGAAATATTTAATAGCATCTTTGACCCACTTGGCATGGACAAATCCTGGGAATATATAGCTTATAGAGCCCAGACTCCATCAGTTTTTATGTACAAAATTGGGTCATATTGATTACATATCTTATAAATCTAAACATTTTTGGACCCACCAGCTTGATTTGCAGAAGTCCACTTGTTTTCTAGAAGATTCTCTCAGATATTGCTAGAAATTCCTTGGGATGCTTTCATGATGACTACCTAGCATATCTGGTTATCTCTGTCTTCCTGCCAGTGTGGTGGAAACTCACATACAGTCCTGAAGGCTTCAAATCACAAAACAGACTACACACATACACACACACACGCACACACACACACACACCTCTATTGTTTAAGTCAAGCATAGTCTATGATGCTAATGAGAATAGGATACACCTTTTTTTTTGTTGGAGTTGCCAGATCATTCTGAGCGTATGTGATCTTGATCCCTCTTAGTCCACAGGGATGTGCCTTCTCTCACTGGCTTTATGCAGAGTTAATTACACAGGCAATTATGAATCCAAAAGGTGAGGGGTAAAGTGTGCCTGGCTTTTGCTTTGCACTTAATGAGAGGGGTGATTGTAGCAGTCAACCCTAGCCCACCGAAGGACGAGGTGCTGGGAAATGGAATGGAGGCTCACGCTCACTTGCCTGCTTCTTCCTGGCTTAGGGTCCCTCTGTGCTTGTACAAAACACACGAGAAACTGTTTCATACAGAAGGGAGGAGAAACCAGAAAGAGGAGGCAAGAGGAAGGCAATGGAAAAAAGAATTACAAAGAAGAAAAAAATGGAGAAAGAAAAGCGTATAGGACATTTTGCAATAAACTGAGAAACAATGAAAATCTAAACCTAAGAGTGGAAGGAATTGAGAAGCGGCTAAAATCTGGGTAAAACCTTGAGATATAACACAGTTCAACTGAAAAGAGCATATAGTTCATAAGCAAAACTTGTCATTGTGATTACATGTTACTGAGTTTTGTGATGTAGTCAAGATGGCAAGAAATTCAAAAGCCTTTTTTTTTTTTGACAGAGAGAGAAGTCTGAGGCTTTTATGAATCCAAGGAGAAGGTTTTCTTCAAGAGTGTTATGAACTGTGGAGTCAATGACTTTCAATGACTTTGTGGCTATAAAACCATCTCGGGTTCCTTGGAGCCTGGCTACTCCAAGAGTAATATGTGGACTAGCAGCATCTGGGAATTTGTTATAAATGCTGAATTTCAGGCCCCACCCCATACCTTCTGAATAGGGCATATTATAGTTTGAGAAACACTGCCATAGAGGATTACAAAGGCAGGAATGCTTTAAAACACATGTGTCCCCTCCAGAAACATGCAAAAAGTATCACAAGCGGAAAGCTCAGGTTTGTGTAACCCACAGGAAAACCCAGCTCAGGAAAAACTAATGTAACATCTGCTAAATATAGTATAGAAATATCTTCCTAACTAGACAGAGTTCCATGACATTCAGCACTAAAGTACAATTTAATAAAGGAGGTTTAAATGCAAAATACGAGAGATTGATGTGCAATGAGATAAATAGCAAAGTATAGTCACAAAGGCAGCATTAACTTGAGCGAAATGATTGTAAGAGAACGCATGACCAGCCACTGTAGCCACAAAACTGCACTAGAACGCATTACTACTGAGAAGAAAAGCAACTCAGATATCACAACTGAATTTTTGAAAAAGAGATCCAGGACCAGAACCTTACCTCTGATTACTGCGTTGTTAATTCCTTATGAAAATAGTTATTTAATTAAAAATTGGCATCTGTATAATAAATAACATAATTAGCTACAGATACATGTAAGTAAACTGCTAAGTAAATCCATGTGTCATTTACCTTCTGGAGTTCCTTTGAATTATAAATTTTTCTTTCCCAAAGGAAGAACCCAATTCATGTGTAGAATTTGGCTAAGTCCTATATTTATTGCTCCTAAAGCAGTGTTTGTTAAACCAAGGTCCCTAGATAGATCACCTGCAGAATCATACGAGAGTGCGTTTTAACAACCAGCCTCCTAGAATCAACTCCAGATAATGATTCATAATCTCTGTGGACCAAGGCTAATAATAGACATACTTAATAAAATGCCTAGGTGATCTTCATTCATTCATTTATTTCAAATATTACACCATGTCTGGCATTGTACAATAATCATTGTGATGCAGGAAATAAAGGAACAGCCGTTCTGTTATAAAGTGATCGGGAGATCAGGAATGCTTCTCTGAGGAGATGAGCCCTAGCTCCTCAGCCCAGATGCAGAGAGAACCCACTTCACTAGTGGCATCTGGCAAGTCCCAAATGAACAGGTGTTGCCTTTGTGGAGTCCCAGAAGCAGGAGTGGTACATTCAGTGATACAAGAGTCAGCTCCAGACATTGTCAATATCAACAGTCATCAGTATAACCATCTGGAACTGGGAAGAACATGGCAAAGCTAGAAGGCATCCAGAATGACTCATCGCTAAGCACATGGCACACTCCATTAGGATACTTAGAACTCTTTCGGGGAAATACAGAGCTAAAGGATCTATACAGCAGGAAGAAAAAGAACAGGAGAAATATGGTTGGTAACTTGATTATGATGCTATTCCTTCCACCCCTTCACTTTCCTTCACTGCCTCTCTGTCCATTCTCCTCACCCAACGCACCCTCTGACACATGGATTTTTAGGAATTCTGAAAATAACTTCTTAAAAATCATGTAATTCCAGGGTAGGAGTGGGCTGTGAGACACCCTATCTAAATATCTGGACATTAAGTTTGTAGACTTATGTCAGCTTTGTATCTCTAGTGAATAGAAACATTTAGTCATAAAATAGCAGCCTTCCCTTGCAAACAGGAGCAAGAAAGCCATAGGGAAGTTTTATCAGTGATGTTTATATCTGCAGCTGCCTAACTAGGAAAAATACTCATGACAAGCATATTAGGAATTTTCAATAATATTTACAGGGAAGTCCATACTGTTACAGATGTATATATGTGGGGGCCAAGGCTCTTGGAACCCTAAAGGTTCACTGAAAAATCACTGACATGAGGCAGAATAGGCATACACATTTATTTGATGTGTATAGATGGGAGCCTTCAGAATGGAGACCAAAAGATACTGAGGAAATTGTCCTATTTTAATGCTTAGGTTTAACAAAGTATGGACAGCTGTGAGGAAAAATGATTGGACAAAAAGGGTATAGCCTAACATTAATAAACTGAGTGGGGAAAGCCAGCAAGGCATGTCTGTCAAGATTCCTTCTGGTCTCTCTGTGCAGCATTTACTTCTTCTGGGTGTAGGGCAGGATCCTCTCTGGGATGGGGGTCTTACGACCTATAGTCAAACAAGGTAGGCCAGATAATGTCTTTATGGCCCATTTTACATAGGGAGGAGGGAAAGTTAGAGTACGATTTTTAGGATTCATGGCTGGCTTTTGGAAAAGAGGTTCTAGTTTGTATGGCCCGCCTCAGGAAAGAGAGATTCTAGTTTCTATATGTATTACTCAGAATCTGCATTAGTCAGTGTTCTCTAAAGGGACAGAACTAATAGGGATAGCTGAATATATGAAGGGGAGTTTATTAGGAGAACTGACTCTCCACTCACATCTTCACAAGATGAAGTCCCACAATAGGCCGTCTGCAAGCTGAGAAGCAAGGAAGCCAGTCACAGTTCCAAAACCTTAAAAGCGGGCAGGCTGATAGTGCAGCCTTCAGTCTGTAATTGAAGGCCCAAGAGGCCTGGCAAACCACTGGCATTAGTCTAAGAGTCTAAAAGCTGAAGAACTCAGAGCCTCATGTTCGAGGGCAGGAAGCATCCAGCACAGGAGAAAGTTGGAGGCCAGAAGACATAGCCAGTCTAGTCCTTCCACATTCTTCTCCCTGCTTTTATCCTAGCCACACTGGCAGCTGGTTAAATGGTGCCCACCCAGATTGACAGTGGGTCTACCTCTCCCACTCTACTGACTCAAATGTTAATCTCCTTTGGCAACACCCTCACAGACACACCCAGGAACAATATTTTGCATCCTTCAGTCCAATCAAGTTGACGCTCAATATTAATCATTACGCTATGGCTAGCCTCAGGGGAAAATGGGCCTGAGAGATGGAGGGCAGAAGGTCAGAGAATAACTTTTGCTTCTGAGGCTGCTGCTTTCATTTTGGGGTATCGTTTTCTGAGCCCCAACATATACAATCTAGAGCTACTTGTAAAAGTGTCAAAATGTATAGCTGAGCTCTCCAAAATCACTTTATACTCAAAATGTAAAGGTTTGTTCAATTGTTAAATATAATAAAATGCATATTTTTCTTTTAATTTTATTTTAGTCAATCATTGTTGAAAGAAACCATTACTCAAAATTGAAGCATAGGTAAAACATGAGTCACAGTGCCTAGCCCCAGAGAGCAAGAAATTTTATAAAAGGGGATAATGTGAATTTATCTATACAGACAGTAAATAACAGAAGCAAAATCACATGAATCAATGAATTAGCTCTATCTCTTTAGTGCCATACTGGGAATATGGTAAGTCAGGGATGAATGGGGAATATGGTTCTAGAAGTAGATGGAATTTGTTAGAAAAGACCATGAGGGAAGATGAAGGAAGAACAAGTTCAGTAATGATATAATATAACTATTAAATGTTCAAGATGATTATGAAGTAGGATCAGAGGCTAAAAATGTCATTCTAAATGGAAAGAATCCCTGCAAAAAAAGGAAGCATAGCATTATCATGAACTGTATAAGAAAGAAACAAACAAAAATTCTGATAGCTGGCAGATGTGGTATTTGAAATGGGGTACAACAGAAAAATGAGAGGATTTAAGTCTGCAGAGAGTATAATTGCATACTAATATTTTATTATGAAGACAGTGACAAAATAATCCAAAAAATGAGTGAGAAAGATTATTCCTCTTGCACTGACACCCAAGTAAGATTATATCATGATATTCTATTGAATAAAAGATAATTCTATTTGGTAATCTGGAAAGAAACCTATGAAAGTCCAAAATGGTTTAATAATTTTTTACAAAAACATGTTAAATGCATGTTGGCTATCGAAAAGACAATCTAAAAGTGACAATAGTAGCAAAGATGTGCATTTAAGTGACCAAATGAGCTGGTAGCTAAATAAATTCAATTTTCTCACTATGAAACATATGACTGAAAAGTGAATAAGCCAGAGGATTTTATATACATACATATATATATATGCACACGGGTGCGTGTGTGTGTGTCTCCATTGACTTAATTTGAAAAAAATATATAATTATATAAGAATTGGGTGCAAATACAATGAAAACCCTACATAATATATCTCAAAATATTTAATACCTATTTAGAATTGCAAGTCTAGATATTTCTTTCTTTCAGAGGCATAGATATGGCCATTGTTCACATATAATTGATTAATTTGTTTCAAAATACTTATGAACTTGAAATTCTTAACTAAATAGCTACTGAAATGGCATGAATTAAACAAAATACAATGGGCAAAACTCTAAATCAAAGACATGGAAATGTAGTTTTATTGTGCTAAACCTTAGACTTGGCACAAAGGGTAACTTTCTGAGAACACTATTTTCAACATTCTAGAATCATGTAACTTCCTGAGAACACTATTTTCAACATTCTAGAATCATTTATAGCAAAAAAAATAATGATGCAATAATTAAATGTATTCAAGACACTATTCTTGAGACAGCTTATATAGAACAGAGAACAATGTGGAGTTATAGTCACATAAGAGATAAGGAACATCTGATACATTCCTCGTGGCTAGAACTGTGGCTTAAGTTTGATGATCTGGAACAAGTTTAGCCCCCATTAAAATTTCCTTCCCTAGTGTGTTGTTATTATTCAACCATGAAGAGTAAGGACCTTAGCAATGCAAGCTTCTTGTTAAAATAGAAACTCTAAGAGGACAAGATTTTTGTTGTTGTTGTTGTTGTTAGCAATTCAGTAGATAAAAGAGTGACTAGCATTCAGTTAGTGCTCAATAAGTGCACAGTGCATGGAAACAGAAAAGGATACAGATTCAGGTTTTATTTAACCGAAAATATTAAGCATACCAGTGACACTGTCAGTTATCCATGAATTTCTTTGTATTTTCTCTTACTATTGTGTTACATTATCAGTCTTCTACACAAAAGTTTCCTGTTTAAGTTACTACTTCCTTTCATTTATTCTAAATGTGTAACTTTTGTGCAACAAGAAGTACCTTTTGTGCAGGAATGCCAAGGATGAAGCAGCAAGAAAGATTACTAGCAATCACAGTTTTCTGCCACTCTTTAAAAATCCCTGGAGTTTCCTTCAACTTCTTCACTAACTTCTTGGATAGCACTTCTCCACCTATGGTTACAAGAGATGCACTAACTCCCACCCTCCGATCCATCAATGGGAGCTAATTCCCACCCCAGGCCAATTGAATCTTTCTGGAGTCTTTGGAGAAGGCCCACGCTTTTTTTTTTTTTTTTTTTTTTTTTTTTTTTTGAGACAGAGTCTCGCTCTGTCCCTCTGGCTGGGGTGCCGTGGCGTGATTTCGGCTCACTGCAACCTCCACCTCCCAGGTTCAAGCGATTCTCCTGCCTCAGCCTCCCAAGTAGCTGGGACTACAGGCACACATGACCACGCCTGGCTAATTTTTGTATTTTCAGCAGAGATGGGTTTCACCATGTTGGCCAGGCTGGTTTCGAACTCCGGACCTCATGATCCACCCGCCTTGGCCTCCCAAAGTGCTGGGATTACAGGCATAAGCCACCATGCCCGGCCAAGCATTTCATTTTTAAAATTCCCTCAGGTTATGTTGTGCATCCAAGGTAGAGAACTGCTGCTTCATTTGACTCATGTTTCTCAAACTTTAGTGTGCAGGTGAATCACCAGGAATCTTTTCAAACTGCAAATGCTAATCCAGTAGGTCTTCATTAAGGGTCTGAAATTCTGCATTTTAAATAAGCTCCAGGTCATTCTGCCGGGGCTGGTATGAACCATATTTAGAGTAACAAAGTATCCTTTAAACTTATTGGGGAAAGGGAGATCCTTTTTACTCCCCATTACTGTGGTCCACAGAGATAGTTACAAGTTTAGCAATTTATTTTTAGCTTATACCTACACACCCCTACTCCAACCCTTTTTGCATATTTCATCTAAGTAGACCCTAATGATGCTTTAGTCTTGGAGTCCAGCTCTATAAAAATTACTTCCACTTGTCTGAGGGAAGGAAGGGAGTAATATTCAAACTCTCTCAGAAGATAAGAGCAAATATTTATCTGTAACGAATGCTCAGAAAAAAATTCAAAAAGTCAATTTTCCATGTTAAAGCAATCTAAAAGTCCCTTCTCAGCCACAGTTTGTTAATGTTGAGGTTCTATCCTATATTCTATAAGATATAGTCCAGAAAAGAAGTCACTGGAGAGCGAAAAATCTTATGAGAGTATATGATACATCGTTTTGAAGAAACAAATGTATGTACTTATAGGAAAACACCCTTCTCCCTTGATCTCTCTATCTCTCTCCCACTACAATCATTTTTAAAGTAAGTTTATAATTTCTCAACTCTGCAGAAAAACAGTTAAAGAGGTTTTTAAGAAAAGCAAAGCCTAAACTCCACCTAGACTAATTGATTCAGTCCCTTGGGATGAGATCCAGGCATCTGTGTTTTCTAAACTCCCCCAATGATGCACACGGAGTGTGGGTTGCAAATCACTAATATAGATGGAGACGAAGGCTATACCAAGGATCTCTGGGTCACTTACATTTTCAGGACTCCAAAAGGAACTGATAACAAAGATTGAAGAGTAGTAGTCTAATTTGGTTTGGCTGTGTCCCCACCGAATTCTCATCTCGAATTGTAATCCCCATAATCCCCACGTGTTGAAGGAAGGACCTGGTGGGAGGTGATTGGATCATGGGGGCAGTTCCCCCATGCTGTTCTCATGATAGTGAGTGAGTTCTCACAAGATCTGATGGTTTTATAAGTGTTTGACAGTACCTCCTTCACACTCTCTCTCACCTGCCACCATGTAAGACGTGTCTGCTCCCCCTTCTGCCATGACTGTAAATTTCCTGAGGCCTCCCCCGCCACATGGAGGAGTCACGCCATGTGACTGTGAGTCAATTAGACTTCTTTCCTTTATAAATTACCCAGTCTTAGGCAGTTCTTTATAGCACTGTGAGAATGGACTAATACATAGTCAAAGTTCAAAAGATACGGAAAATGCTTCAGATAAAACTCAACACTCAATTATGAAATAAAACAAAAAAACTAGTAAGCAAAAAATGAAAGGGAAATTCCTCTAACCTGATTAAATATTCTATCAAAAACTTACAGCAAATATTTTATCTAATGATGAAACTTTAAAAGTATGCCCTTTAAAATAAAAGCATATTAAAGGTGAGCCTATTGCCACCAGTTTGTAACACTGTGCTGAAGGTTCTAGCTAAAGAGGAGGGCAAGGAAAAGCAGGAAGAACAATAATCGGAAAAGAAAATACAAAGACTCATACTATGTGTAGACAATATAATTATGCACATAGAAAATTTCAGAATATTTAGCAAGAACATTTTAAAACTAAAACTTCTAAAAATCAATAGCATTTCTACTCAGCAATAATAACAATAATTATAAAATTTTATGAAAATCTGAAAAAAATACTATTTATAAAAGTACAGAAAAATTGTAGTATTATATAAGGGAATAAAATTCAGTAGTTTAAACAATGAAATGCTGCTATATGTATCAACATGAATAAATCACAAAAATATAATTTAAAAAGTTTTATAAAGTATTCAGAATAATATATTTATTAAAGTTTTCCAGCAAATAAATTAATAGTAGATGTCATTTGTTAATAGCTATGTAACACCAGTAAGTAAAGGCGAGTGAGTAACACCAGTAAGTAAAGGTATACTTGGCCTTCTATATCCATGGGATCTGCATCTGTGAATTCAACCAATTAGGTATTGAAAATATTTGGGGAAAAAAAGAAATAGCTGTGTCCATACTAAACATGTATAGACTTTTTTTCTTTTCACTATTCCATAAACAATACAATATAACAACCATTTACATAACACTTACATTGTATTAGGTATTATGGGGACTCTACAGATGATTGAAAGTATGTGGGGCAATGTGCATAGGTTATATGCAAATACACAATTTTATGTCAGGGACTTGAGCATCCCTAGATTTTGGTATACTCTGAGGGTCCTGGAACCAATCCCCTACGGATACCAAGAGACTACTGTTGAAACAACAACTTCAAGATAACTATTGCCTTATATAAGGGAGGGGAATGAAACAGGAGAGAATAGGAAAGACAGTTTTAAATCATATTTGTAATATTTGATTTCTTAAAAATGCAAAGTAAATAGAAAATCAAAATGTTGCCTTTACTATGAATGTTTATATTACCTAGGCTTTTTGATATGCAGTATATGTTATGATAAGAAAAATTTACAGAATGGTGAGAGACGTATGAGGATAACCATGATCATAGAACATCAGGGAATGTGAGAAAGGAGGGTTTTATGCAAAGTCTATACTGTCAAGGGAGCCATTTGATCGGTGGTTCACAAATTCACTGATTCACTAATAGTCATATAAATAAAGTGGATAAAACTTTAAAAATTTGTATCAGATAGACATGAGTTTGAATTTTAATTTGGCCTCATTTGTCGTGTGGACTTAGTTAATCTTAATTTCACTAAGCTTCCATATTTTCATCTCTAAATCCAAGTAATAATAGCCCTCTCTCACAGGATTATTTTGAAAATCAAATGAGATAATGTATACAAATAATGTATTATAAATATTGGTGACCTACTCATTTGCTCTACCTCTTTGGCCCAGAAGGAGTTGATTTAGTGAAATATCTTTCCAAGAATAATAAGTTCAATTCAGTTGGGATCCCTCTGTGCTTCCAAATAATTTAACAATGTCATTAAGAAAGCAGAGTGTGGGAGAAAGACCTTGGAGTCAGATAAATGGGGCTTCATGTTCAGACTTCTCCACCTTAATGACTTAATTTTCTGTTTTCTTTCCAAGTCTTAAAAAATTGAGATAATAAAACATTTTTCACTAATTTGTTGTTAGTACTGAGTGAGATAAAGGATGCAAGAACAATGAGAACAAAGTTCACCATAAAAGAGTTGTTCCATAAATGTTCACTGTCTTTAGAAAGACAGGAATAATAGGAAACGTGGGAATAAGTCACCAGAACGTGTAATCAAATGCCCAAGTGGGTGTACAGATAAGCGTTCCAGGAAGCAAGAAGGCGCAATGTGTAAGAGTGTAAGATCCACTACCATTTTTATGCTAGGATTATTCCACAGGTGTAATACTTCTCAAGTCTAGGCAAAACTACCTGTTTAAGGAAGCAACAAAATAAAATCTTCCTGTATCTATCAAACAAGTTCTTGAATTTTTGGCTCATTACCATGAGAACCTTCTTCATCAATCTTCTGAAACATGATCCCTTGAGGCTTCATTCTCATGTCTTATCTAATTCAACAATCTAGTTCTGTTATCTTTTCCTATTTTAATCTGGAGCTTTCAAGACATATTTGCCTAAATTTTCGTGCATCATTTGCAAAGCAGAAAATTATTAAATAAGACTCGGCTGCAGACTGTGCATTGGTGCACAATTAGTCTGAATCCTCTGAAAAAGCTGAGATAACCTCTGCGAGAGAGGCTTATCTAGCTTGTTTTTACAAATCGAAAACAAGGTGCTGAACAAGGGTTTATCTCAACCAGGAGAGCTACTTGAACAATTTAGATAACTTTCTATTTGCCAGCCAACTTTCTGTTATCAGGAAATACTATAGCAAGAGGTTGGCCGTGTAAAATATGTGGAAATTTTCAGCATACACTTATATTCCAGCGGGAAAGATGATGTTGTTTAAATAACAGACAAGTGATGAAATGCTATTAAAAGTGTACAAAGTAACTGCCAGTCAAAAAAGCCAGAGCAAGCTGTCACAGATAGGCTCATATATCAACAGCACTGTGACTTTTTGTTTGCTTTTTATCACAGCTTGGTGTATAAAGAGCCATTTACCTGATTGGATATGGGACAGTTGCCATTTTCTTCTTTCCTTTGAAAAGGTGTATTTTGGAGTTGTGTGCCTGATGATGCTCTATAGACAGAGCTTTCTATACAGCGGTGTTTCTAGAAATCTCCAAAAATTCAGAAGATACATTTAGAATCCTTCAAGATCAAAAGCTTCCTGCAAAATTTGAGGGGGTGGAGAGGGACAGAAAATTCAAAGGCTTCAAAGGAAAAAACAAACTTGCTACCAGAGAGTGTTTTGCGAGTGAAACTAATTTTCAGCAGTGGAATCGATTACAAAAATAAAAGTGGCCCATCCCACAAAGAGGGAGGTAGATGGCAAATGCTGTTTCCTCTGCCACACTTTGGCAAGTGGAATCTTGCAGTGTTAGGGAAATATCACAAAAGAATATTACACCGCGCGAGAAAGAAATGTTGAGAAAAGAGGACGAAAGCCTGACAGTGGGAGGAAGCAGATGCATTTGGATGGAACTCGGCAGGAAGTTTAATAACGTGGCCTCAGACCTGGCAACTCCTGAACCATAGGCTTAATCTAGCAATTAATCGAACATTCTAACAGTCACAGGAACAAGACGCTGGAGGAAATTCTGAAAAATAAAAATAAACTGTAAATAATCTTTTGTATGTGGCAAACTGCAGATAGACTAACTATGCATCTGATGGATTTTCATTAAGCAAAGGGAAGCAGTTCCACATGAAACGACACTTTTTTGAAATCAGCTGGCAATGAATTTGGAAAATAAAGATGAACCTCTTGATTTGAATACATTTATGAAATAAGATTGACAAAAATGGAGAAAAGGTATAAAGTACTGGGATACAAAATAGCTAAATCATTTCCAAATTGAAAGTTTGGGATAAATGAAACTTTTAGAGAAACAAACATATACAACTGTGAGACTCACGATATTTATGAAAGAATTTTTATCTGTGAAAAGTCGTGCTAAGTCTCTTGAGCAGGATATAAATTTTTAGCCTGAGTTCACTCCTAGAATTCATGTGTAGCTCAGAAACAGTGTGGACCAAAAGGAAGGGTGTAATCTTAAACAGCTTACTTCATGCTCTGAGACCCAGTTTCACTATCATTGTAAAATGGAAATGATATTGATCTTCTGAGATTGTTGTGATACTAAACAAGAATATTTATAAAGAATTTAGTACTTTCCTGTCATACAGTAGATGCTCAACAACTGGGGTTATCATCACCTTTATTAGGACTTTAACTCACTTCACCCTAAGACCTGGAACACAGGGGATTTCGCTTGAGTTTTAAGGGAAGGACCTATAATTAAACAAATAAGTCTCTCATTTCTAAAGAAAATTAGCCTAGTTCAGTGTCGCCAGTATTAATGCTCACATGTCAACAGGATATAGTGCCATGAAGTGGGAAGCGTATCAAACCAGGGAAAGACTGTAATAGCAGAAAGTCTCTAGACATAACATTCAATATCGTAGATTTACTTGCTGAGAGAATTATCCCCTTTTTTAGTTTTTTGAGTACCTGATTAATATGAGGACCAAGTATCAATGGATGTTAAGGCTGCTTCCATTTTAACACCTCTCTAACACTTACTAATCTCCTCTTAAACAAAGAAAGATCAGACTTCAAGTCCAGATTCCTTACAGGTAAGCATCTCTACTTAAATTTAATAACACTGTTTGTTTTCATAGTATTCATTCTTTTTGTTCCTTTTACAATTCTTTAATTGATACATAATAATTGTTTATATTTATTGGGTACATGTGATATTTTGATACATGCATGCAATGTGTAATGATCAAATCAAGGATTTAGGATATCCATCACCCATATCATTAATCATTTCTTTGTGTTAGGAACATTTCAGCTCCTCTTTTAGCTATTTTGTAATATTTAATGAGTTAACTTGTAGTCACCTTACTGTGCTATCAAAAACTAGAACTGATCCCTTCTATCTAACTATATGGTTGTACCCATTAACCAACCTCCCTTTATCACTCTCACCCCCACTCTTGGCAACCTGTGGTTAACATTATTCTACTCTTTACCTCCATGAGATCATTTTTTTTTGCTTACACATATGCGTGAGAACATACAATATTTGTTTTTGTTTTTCTGTGCCTGGCTTATTTCACTTAACATGTAACCTCCAGTTTCCTACATGTTGTGGCAAAGGACAAGATTTCCTTTTTATGGCTGAATAATATTCTGCTGTGTGTATGTATACCACATTTCCTTTGTCCATTCATCTGCCAGTGGACACTTAGGTTGATTTCTTAACTATTACAGTATTCATTCTTACAACTGTCTTTTATTTATAACAATATATTGCTTTTTCAATTAAAGTAATTAAAGAAAATAAAAAATATTCTACCCAAAATTTACTTCTTTTGAAATATTTTGAGATGGCTTTTCAGAGGGCCTGTAGACAGGAATAGCCCTGAAAAGCTGCCTTGTGTGGAAGAGATTGGCATCAGTAGAGAAAAATCTATAATAGTAAAGTAAATCAGCCAAGCTTTCTCTGAGGCCTTCCCCCTTATCCAGATTTAGGAAAAATTAACTCAACCACAGGCTACCATCTATGCTGAGAGCTGCTACCTATAAGGTTTTATCTACATAGTGAGAACACCTTTACCCTAGGCCTTCCTTTCTCTCTACCTCCCATAAGCTCTCTTTCCACAATCCAATCCCCTATTCTTTCTGTAACCTCAAAATGGTATAAAAGTATCTGTTTTTTTCTTTGTATCTCATGTTTTCTATGACTCCCATACACACATGTAAACATTAAGAAATTTTCTCTTCCTTTTCTATTAATCTGCCTTTTGTCAGTCTATTTTCAGTGAACCTTCAGAGGATGAAGAGTAAGCTTTTCCTTGGCCCCTACATAGTGATAAACAGTGTGATTTTAAAATACATATATGTATGTAAAAAATGTGAACATATGTAAGGAAGAATATTCAGTTAATCATTGTTCAGCTTGTCATTAGTTGTAGGTTCTTGATAAAGTTGCTTAAACTTTCTAAGTCCTACTTCCCTGTTTATAATATGAGATCATTGTACTTATTTCCTAAGGCTTTAAAATGATTAATCTAACCATGTATGTGAAGTGTGTAACAGAATGTTCCAGCCCATAGTAATACGGGCTCAATAAATACTTGCTATGATTTTAGGGAATGCCAATCCTTGAGTAAGTGTGTTCATCATTCCATGAAACCAATCTTCATATTTAACAGTCTGGTTATCCAAATTACCTTCTACTAAAAAAGCAGTAAGGTGAGATTTTTATTTTAAAAAAAAGAAGATGAAACACATACATACAGAGTTCTTAATTATTTCACTCCTGATAACAGATAGAAATGCTTTAAAAATAATGGCAAGGCTGTTCAGTATATCTGAAAAGAGGAATACATAGCTATATGAGATTGATTGAGAATTAAATAAACACCAAGTATCCCAGAAACCATATGATATTTTTCTGGGGTGTACAGAGGTTGAAGAAAGTAAAGAGAGGATGTATTTAAACATTGAAGATAAAGGAAAACAGAGAATAAAAGAAATATTACAACATGACTTATTTTAAAATGTTATACAACTTAGGGTCTTTGGTTGCAAGCAATAGAAACTGACTTTGACTAACATAAGCAAGTTTACATTTTTTGACTCATAGTAGAGAAAGGCTGAAGAACCAGAAATGGAAATGGGTAGGAACAAAGGTGGCTCAGAGGCATGAAATGGGAATAGAATCAAATCAGGAAAGGCTGCTTAGGATGTTAGTATTTGGAGAGGATAGAACTCTATTTTCAGTATTCTTTTCTTTCTGTTAAAATTTCATATTTTCGAAAGAAAGAATCCTCTTAGTCTAGCTCTTGGCAGATATCGCTTCCATGACCAAGAAACACCAAAAAACTTAACAACATTAAAACCCCCATGAGCATGAACTCACTAGGAGAACCTCATGGTAATGTACCTATCAGGGAAAAAATAATTTTAATAAAGGAAATCAAAATTCTGGTGAAATGGAAAAACAGATGCTAAGCAGCCAAGGAAAACGACAAGAAGGATGAGGTCCAGGCCAAAGGCATTTCATCATCAAAAGTATCTTTCCAATAGCCATAGTTCTTGGCTTATATTGAATCCCAAAACACAAATCAAAGACTATGGTGCTATGGAGAAAGAATGGCCCTCTCACATTTGCTAGACATCTTTGGTTTGCTCTTCAAGGCCTCCTTTACCTTTCTCCAACCCTGATCTCACTAAAATAATAATTCTGCATATTAGAAAGCAAAAAGTTAAAGGAAAATTATTAAGGATAATACATTATGACTGAACTTCATTGACACTAAAGATACAAGGTCAGGCACAGTGGCTCATGCCTGTAATCCCAGCACTTTGGGAGGCCGAGAAAGGAGGGTCACGAGGTCAGGAGTTCGAGGCCAGCCTGACCCACATGGTGAAACCCTGTCTCTACTAAAAATACAATTAGCCAGGCATGATGGCATGCACCTGTAATCCCAGCTACTCAGAAGGCTGAGGCAGGAGAATCCCTTGAACCCAGGAAGTGGAAGTTACAGTGAGCCAAGATCGTGCCACTGCACTCCAGCCTGGGCAACAGAGTGAGACTCCATCTCAAAAAAACAAAAGAAAAAAGATACAAATAGAAGTCAAATTTTAACATGCTGAAGTTTGCTCTCTCCCTAATTAAATGGATTTTAATGCGGTGGGCAGGAGGGGAAGAAATGAAGAAGGACCTGGGCACATTATCTTGGAAGAATGCCTACTAAAGGGGCACTAGGCCAATAAAATGAGAGGTAGAGAGGCTCAGACAAACTTCAGAGAACTTGAGAGTCCATTTTTCTGTACTAGATGGAAATAACTAAAACAATGAACAGAAATATGCCACAATGTCCTACTGTTCTATTAATACATAGCTCAATCTCAGATAATCAATGAGATTTGGAGGGAGATTCATTTTTGTTTTCTTTTTTTTTTTAAGACAGTCGAATTCACTATGAGGAAATTTTATGTTGGTAAGATTTCTTATAGGAAGTCTCATTATAGGCAATTTCATGTGATTTTTAAAACTATTTTTAATTCAAATTTCAGTAAAGGTCCTAAACACTGTTGACTAGATAAACCAATTCTGCTAATCTCTCAAATGACAGTGGCTAGACAAGGCAAGACAAGGAGGGAGGTTAAGCCAAGAGCTTTCAATGACAGGAGCAGTGGAGGGAGCAGGTTGTATCAGTCCGTTTTCATGCTGCTGATAAAGACAAACTCAAGACTGAGTAATTTATAAAGAAAACGAGGTTTAATGAACTCACAGTTCCAAGTGGCTGAGGAGACCTCACAATCACGGCAGAGGTGAAAGGCATGTCTTATATGGCAGCAGACAGAAGAGAATGAGAATCAAGCAAAAGGAGTTTCCCCTTGTAAAACCATTAGATTGGCCAGGCGCAGTGGCTCACGCCTGTAATCTCAGCACTTTGGGAGGCCAAGGCGGGCGGATCACGAGGTCAGGAGATCGAGACCATCCTGGCTAACACGGTGAAACCCTATCTCTACTAAAAAAATAGAAAAAAATTAGCCGGGCGTGGTGGCAGGCGCCTGTAGTCCCAGCTACTCGGGAGGCTGAGGCAGGAGAATGGCGTGAACCCAGGAGGCGGAGCTTGCAGTGGGCCAAGATCTCACCACTGCACTCCAGCCTGGGCGACAGGGAGAGACTCGTCTCAAAACAAAAACAAAACAAACAAAAAACCCATCAGATCTTGTGAGACTTATTTGCTGCTACGAGAACATTATGGGGGAAACTGCTCCCATGATTCATTTATCTCCCACCGGCTCCCTCCCACATGTGGGAATTACGGTAGCTGTAATTCAAGATGAGATTTGAGTGGGAACACAGTCAAGCCATATCACAGGTCCACCCCTAAGCTTTGTAAGGAGACCCACATGCCTTATGCCTCATTATTTAAAGTTACAAATCAAGCTAACAAGCTGATAAATTGAATATGTTTATCTGTATGAACTTCTTACCAACTCACAGAATTGATTCAAACTTAGAATGATTGGATTCCTTGGAGTTCCATATCAAAACATGAAAGTGCTGGTGGATACAATTCCTACTCTATTCCTCTGCTTTGTCCCTTCTCTTTATCACCCCGACACCATCCCGAATGGTAAAGGGCTTCATGTACATCTATGTTGTCATGGAGTGAATATTTCTGCCCCCCCACCCCAAATTTATATGTTGAAGCTTTATCATCCCACAAGGTTGTATCTGGAGTAAGGAAGTAATCAATGTCAAATGAGGTCATGAGGGTGTGACCCTGATCCAGTAGGATTAGTGTCCTTATAATAAGAGACACCAGGGTGTGCACTCTCTGTCTCTGAGCAAGCACCAAGGAAAGGCCGTGTAAGGATGTAGTGAGACAGCAGCTATCTGCATGCTAGAAATAGAGGTCTTACCAGAAATCCAGTTGGCTAGATCTTGATCTTGGACTTCCAGCCTCCAGAACTATGAGGAAATAAATTTCTGTTTTTCAAGCCACCCAGTCTATTTTCTTACATCAGCACAAGTAGGCTAACACATATGTGGACACCCCACACTGCACATCCAAGCTCTGTCCACACTTTCTGCTAACAGCCACCCTTTGGTTACCCCTTGCACACAGAAGTGTGCATAGTGGAGACACGGAATGCCATCAAGAAGATAACCTAGGCAGAGAACCATGCAGCCCTTAGTACTCAAATATGGGCTGGAAGAGTAGGCATAGGTTTAGGGTAGGCATGTACCCTTGACTCCAGAGAATTCTTGCCCTACAGAGGAAAGTATTAAGGGACATCTCAAAAATGTGGGGCTAATTCTTAGGCCTTATACCCAGAGACTCAAATTTGATAGATCTGTGATACCTCAGGGAACTGGATGTTTTCTATTCAGAATTTCTGGTGATTCAGATGAGAATCCCCCATTGGAAAACACCATTCTAAAGAGGAAATATTGTGTAGTGGTTAAATGCATGGCTAAATGTGGTTAATTATATTCTGATCTAAAATACCTGTCTTTGAATTCTGCCTCTCTTGGGCAGTAACCATAGAGCTCTATACAAATTACTTAACTAATTTATGCCTAATTTCTTCACTATAAAATGGGATAAATATAAGTATTTCATTCTTATGGTTGTTTGAAGATGAAATAAGTGAGTATATATTAAACATTTATAAATGTGTCAGATAGAGAGTACAAAAATTTCTAAAAATTAGTTGACATTTACTCATATTTAAAATAATTGTAGAATGAGTGTGAAAGGCAAAAAACATATTTATCAAATCAATTAATATATTTTGCCAACACTGGATGGTAAAGATATTTAAACTACTGCCTGATGTAAAGTTTTCGACACATGTGAAATTTAAAATCTTCAATATCTTCTTCCTATATTCATTATCTTTCTCCTCCATTAACTCTCATAATTGAAACTTGGTTTTGAATATGCAATGAAATTGGTCTGCCAAAGGGATAAAGTTGTTTTCTCTACATAGTGTGAAAGTCATTCCATCTCTGCTATGTAAACTCCTATTAGTAAAAGTGCAAAGTCCATGTACACCTTGAAAGATTTCCCACTTGTAGGATTATCAAAATGTCCTGTGAAAGCAGACCTCACTGCGTATTTCCAGCATACTAAATTCCTAATGATTTTTCCCCCATGGAAAAGACATGCTTATTCTTATAGACTAGGAATATGCTTATTCAGGAACAGAACTAAGAAAGTATGCAGGCTAATGAAATAATATTTCAGATCTCACATTTCCATGTGGCAGAACAGGAATAGAAAGAAATCCTACTAAATCTGGTACTGACATTCCCAGATGTGCAGCCATTAACACATGCTAAAACAGGCTTTTAAAAGAGTCTAGGCATTTTTCTCCAAAGAAATATAAAATACCATTCTCTAAAACAGTCCCATAATCCTCTGTCCTCCTTAACTTAGGAGTTATCAAAGCAGCAAGCAATTTTCTGGAACATTGCCACTGACATGAATGTCATAAGTGGAAAAGAAGGAAGACAATGTAAATCAGCATGGTATTTTTATTTCTGTTTTATTTTTTTTTTTGAGTCCTTACAGAACCATGCAATATTGATTTAAGGTAGGATTAGCCCACAGCAGTCCATGCATCAGTGAAGGGTTTAGTTGAACGCCTGTTTATTCATTATTGTTTACTGCCACCCAACATATCTTTTGGGGATGAGGATAGGACTCTGCCAAAAAGCTAGGTGAGAGCAAGCTGTATAAATCCACTCTCCAGCAGTACTGGTAAATTAAATGCATCCCCTGCCTGGCCCAGGGGCACATGCTGGGCTGGAAATGGCTCTTTTGGGAGGTATTGAAGAATGTGATGTCATGAAACTTCTCAAAATGTACTAAAATGAAGTCCAGACATTATCATAATAATTTACATTACCTAGAGTCAGAAGCTATTGATTATTCACAGGAGAATGAAGCCACAAGAACTGTCCCATAAAGGCTTAGGACTCTGCCATACTTATTCATAAATGTTGAATGTAAGATAAGTTTTTATTCCAATTGTGATCAACAATAATTGAAAATACAAAACCATGTTTTCTTAAGAGCTTCTTTGACAAGGTTTCTGAGCTCATCATTCACTCTTCCAGACTACATTGGGTACATAAATAATTATGTGTAAATGTGAAAATGGAAATTTTCCAACATGTTTACATTAGGCATAAAAAATATGTCTTATTCATCATCATATCCCAACTCCTTAGCACATTAGCTGGTCCATAATAGGCTTTTAATTAAACGTTGAACTGAAATAGAATAAACTTCCACTCATTTGTCAAAAACACCATACATTTTTGGGGAAAACACTAGCTCTTGCCTCTATTCTAATTTTCATCAAACCAGTTTTACCATAGGACAGTGTCAATAAATTCCTCAAATGGAAAGTTACAAGAAGGAGTGAGGTCGACTGATTTTATTAATGTCTCCCCTCCAATTGCCTCTTTCTGTGTGTTTGTCTTTTTCATGTAAAATAGTAATCTCCCCAGTTCTGACTCAGAGCCTGGTCATGTGACTTGCTTTTGATAAATAAATATTTATTGTTGACTGCCACCAATTATGTGTGACTGTTTGTTATGCAGCATTATCTAACTCACGGAGGAAGCTAGTTTAGTCTTTTTACATTTTGTCTGTGCACTAAGTCTTCTAGAAGGTAGAATTGATCTTTTTGCTCTAAATCAGGAAAAGAAGGAATTTGGCATCTACTCTACAGAAATTATTCTTGGCTTCCATCTTTTTTGGTAAAGCTCTACCTAATATGTATTATACTCTACATTTCCCTCTTTAGTATTCAGTGCCACACCATCTTTTTTTTTACTCTCAAGATGCCCATGATACTGCTAATAAAAACCACACACACACACGCATCCTACAAGACCATGAACATGAAGTAGGACATTGGTATGATCTGAACGTGTCCACCAAGATCCGTGCATTGGAAAATTAATTCCCAATGCAATAGTGTTGGAAGATGAGGTCTACCGGGAGTTGTTTAGGTTACAAGCACTCTGCCTTCATGAATGAATTCATGCTTCTATGAAAAGGGCCTGCTGCAGAAGGTTTGCTCTCCTCTGCTCTTCTGCCATGTAAGAACACAGCACTCATCCCCTTTTGGCCCTTCCATCTTCCACCATGTGAGGATGCAGCAAGAAGGCACTCACCAGATGCTGGCTCCTTGATCTTGGATTCCCAGCTGACAACCCCTACCACTATATCATTCATTTATCTCTTTATTCATCCAAAATATAGCGGCCTATGATATACAAGACACTGTTATGGATACAGGAGATACATCAATAAGCTAGAAGATATAATCTCTGCCCTCATGCTTCTTATACTTTAATTAAAGAAACAGAAATTAAACCAATAATGCCACAAAATAATAGAATTAATTCATGATTTAATAGAATGGGTAAAAATTTTAAATTATAGGAAAATGGCAGGAATAACTTTTTGAAAAAGTTAAATATAAGATGAGACTTAAGGGATGAAAAGTTGTTAGGCAGAGGTGCCGGACTGTACTCTGTCAACTTGGTTAAGATGGGAAATCTGTTTTCCAAATCCCTTTTTTCTGCATAGTACTGGATTAGAATTGTGGCCTGAGATTTGGAAGGCTGAAGTGAAGCAGCAGTCATATTTTTTGAAGATGGTTATGGGCAAATGCTTTGGTAGACAGATGTTTGTGTGTCTGGCATGTTCTACAATCTCTAGCTCCATCAGTCTACATCTAGCTCTTTTAGTTAGCTAGCTCATTGATCATAGCTACAGACACACCATCATGTGTTTAGCTGTGGACCCAGCCAGATAATAGCTACACAAAGCAAACAGCTTCACGTAACTCCCTCTACAAGCTCCCTCTTAATGGTCCTAAGCTGCTGGATGTGCTTGGCTTCTCAAATTGATCATGACTCCTCTCTGGCCTCCAATTTCTCCTTTTAGACTTTCACTGCCCCATTTCCTCCCACAATTAAGTCATAATTCCTATAATAAATTCATTATGCCATAATATTCATAGACACTCTGCTCCTCTGGTTGAACCCTGATTGGCATGCCAGGAATGGCATGAGCGGGCAAATAAGGATTCTAGGCAGAAGGAACAAGAGTCACAAAACCTCATGGTGGAAAAGAGCTTGATGTGCTTGAGGAACTTAAACAAACCCGTGTTATTGCACTGTCATGTATGAGGAGTGAGAGGTATGAGTCTGGCCTAACAAGGTAAGCAATAGATAGAGCTTTTGGGTTCTCAAAAGCCATAATGAAGATTCTGTATTATATTATAAAGGCAGTAAGAAGATCCTGAATATTTGAAGTAGAAGACTGATATATGATATTCTTGTTTTTTTCTTAAGAAGCATTTGCATTGATTTCAAAAGCTAATAATCATTTTTCTTTTTTATTTCAACTTTTATTTTAGATACAGGGGCTACATATGCAGATCTGGTACATGAGAATATTGTGTGATGGTAAGGTTTGGAGTGCAGGCCTTATCACCCATGTAGTAAGCATAGTACCCAATACATAGTTTTTAAACCTCCCCTCCTCCACCCTATGCTGGTCCACAATGTCTATTGTTCTTATATTTCTGTCCATGTGTGCTCAATGTTTAGCTCCCACTTACAGGTGAGAACATGTGGTATTTGGTTTGCTGTTTCTGCATTAGTTTTCTTAGGCTTATGGCCTCCAACTCCATCTATGTTGCTGCAAATAACATGATTTCATTCTTTTTTATGACTGTGTAGTATTTTGTAGTACATTTGTACTACATTTTTGTATCCAATCTTCCATTGATGGACACCTGCATTGATTCCGTCTTTGCTACTGTGAGTAATGCAGCAATGAACCTATGAGTGCATGTGTCTTTCTGGTAGAATAATTTATTTTCTCTTGGGTATATACCAGTAATTCTGTGAATAACGACATTGGTCATTTGATAGGAATAGCATTGAATCTGTAAATTGCTTTGCATGCTACAGCCTTTTTTACTTTATTAATTCTTGCAATCCATGAACATGGAGTGTTTTTCCATTTATTTATGTCATTTCTGATTTCTTTGAACAGTGTTTTGTAGTTCTCCTTATAGATGTATTTAACCTTCTTAGTTAGCTGTATTCCTAAGTACTTCATTTTTTTGTGGCTATTGTAAGTGATATTCCTTAAGTTTAAAAAATATTTCTCTAGATGCTGAGTGGGGAAAGGACTAGAAAGAAGGAAGAAAGAAAGCAGGTATCTATATGAGATGTATTTGCTTGAGCTACAGAGGTAGGGGGGGTGGAGAAAAGTCATATCAAGAGTTACACTAGCCAAATTTGATCATTTAATATTTGCAGTGAAATACTGATTTATTGATTATAAATTTTATGGAGCTCAAGCATAATCTCACTAAAATTATAACCTGGACATTTCTAAAAGAGGAAAATACTTGTGACTACTGATTTTGCATGCCTCTCAATAATACATATAGTACAAAAAATACAAAAAGTTGTATTTAGTCACCACAGGTAATGATAATAAAATAGTAACATTGATTATATAGTTGGACCTCCATATCTGTGGGTTCTGCATCTGTGGACTAAACCAACTGTGGATTGAAAATATTTGGAAAAAAATGGCTGCCCCAAGAAACCACTTTTTCCTCCTTGGCCTCCTGGCTTGTAATGGGAGGGGCTGCCATGAAGGTCTCTGACATTGCCTGGAGACATTTTCCCCCATGGTCTTCAGGATTAACATTAGACACCTTGCTATTTATGTAAATTTCTGCATTCCACTTGAATTTCTTCCCAGAAGATGGGTTTTTCTTTCTTTCACATAGTCAGGCTGGAAATTTCCAAATTTTTATGCTCTGCTTCCCTTGTAAAACTGAATGCCTTTAATGGTACCCAGGTCACCTCTTGAATGCTTTCCTGCTTAGAAATTTCTTCTGGCAGATACCCTAAATCATTTTTCTCAAGTTCAAAGTTCCACAAATCTCTGGGGTGGGGGCAAAATGTTGCCAGTCTCTTTGCTAAAAATTAACAAGAGTCACCATTACTCCAGTTCCCAACAAGTTCCTCATCTCCATGTGAGACCACCTCAGCCTGGACCTTATTGTCCATATCACTACCAGCATTTGGGGCAAAGCCATTCAATAACTCTCTAGGAAGTTCCAAACTTTCCCACTTTTTCCTGTCTTCTTCTGAGCCCTCCAAACTGTTCCAACCTCTGCCTGTTACCCAGTTCCAAAGTCACTTCCATATTTTCAAGTATCTTTCCATCAACACCCCACTCCTGGTACCAATTTGCTGTATTAGTCCGTTTTCATGCTGCTTATAAAGAGATACCCAAGACTGAGAAGAAAAAGAGATTAAATTGGATTTACAGTTTCGCATGGCTGGGAAGGCCTCAGTATCATGGCAGGAGGCAAAAGGCACTTTTTACATGGTTGCAGCAAGAGAAAATGAGGATGAAGCAGAAGCAGAAAACCCTGAAAAACCCATCAGATTTCATGAGACTTATTGACTACCATGAGAATAGCATGGGAAAACTGGCCCCCATGATTCAATTACCTCCCCCTGGGTCCCTCAATTCTGGGAGATACAATTCAAGTTGAGATTCGGGTGGTTACACAGCCAAACCATATCAGATGGCCTTCATCAGTACCTTCCTATTCTATATTAACTTACTACTCCTCAAATCAAGAGGTGACTATTTTTTCACCTCCCCCTAAATTTAAGTTGGTCTAGTTACTTGCTTTGGTTTATAGAATACGACAGAAGTGAAGCTATGTCAGTCTAGGCCTAGCCTTGGGTGGCAGCTTTCCCCTCTTAAAAACCAGATGCCAGGTAGGAAGTCCAACTACCATGAGACCACTATGCTGTAAGAAAGCACAAGCTAGCTATGTGAAGAAGCCACATAGAGAGAGAAAGAGAGACAGGCACACACATAGAGAGAGGCTCAGCTCAGCCAGCCCCTAGCAATCCTTGCTGAGACTCCAGACATGTGAGTGGCAAAGCCATCTTGGATATTCCAGCCATAGCAGAAGAACTGCCTAGCTGAACCCAACTCAAACACAGGATTGTAAGAAATAATAAACTACTGTTGTTTTAAGACACTAAATTTGGTGGTGGCTCTTTATTGAGAAGAGAAAACTGAGAAAATTTGTATTTATGTAATTTAATTCACACAACACCACCATGAACAGTTACTATAATTATTCATAGTGCACAGATAAGAAAACTGAGGCACTAAAAATTTAAGTTAGCAAATGGCGACAGAGCAAGACTCCGTCTCAAAAAAAAAGAATTTAATCAAGAATTTTAATCAAAAAAAAAATCAAGAATTTTAATCAAATCAAGTCTGGCTCCGGAGTCCTTCCCCTTAACTGCCAGATGCAATTGATATCAATAATGCATTCATGTGACCTGGACAAAGCATTTACAGAGATTATAATGCTATTTTCCAGGGTGTGCCACTCACTTTATTCTTTGTGAATGGTTTCCCTGGATTTGTGCAACTTTCTGCTCTACATGTGCTCAACACAAAAACATTTCTAAGGTTTTTAGCTATGAGACCCATTGAAAATATACAAATAATAATAAAATTTAAAGGTACACTTTGCTCTAAAATCATCTGGGATTGGCCTTTTGGCTGTGTCAATAAGAATTCATCAGAGTGCAAAAAGTGCAGGAAGCAGTGATTTTTTTCTGACCAATGCAACTGCTGAAGTGGAATTTCACTTTTATGCCCTAAGGAAAACACTTAGATTTTATAGCTCCAGAGGCTGTTTAATGGTGTTGCATATGGAACGTCAGGATGTCCATGATTTATGCACTGTAGAAAAAGCTTTTCCAGTTTAACTCAATCTCAAGTTATTCTTTCCACCAAAAGCAACAAGGGTGTAAAATCACCCTGTTAGTGTCACAGCCTGGCAAGGAAATACATTGAGTAAGTTGAGACATGATTCATCCTACCTCCAACCTTTTTAAGGTAAAATCTTGTTTTTAACTGTTATTTATGCCTATAGAAACCATTCCTTCGGTTTTTTTTTTTTTTTAACTTTCAATAGTCTATGTCATATATGTTTGGCCTCCCAAGAAGTCTCAAAATATGTATCAGTGGGATCACTCCTCTTCATTCAATTATTCTAAAACATAAAGACATTTTGTCTGAAATTAAAGTAGTAATGGATTTGGTTTGGATAAGGGTTCATCTTCAAATAGCTGGGATCTAAAAACAAGTACTACCATTGATTTTGTTTTTAATAGCCATCATTTCCCCCTTACTTCCCTTGGGAATAGATTTGAAAGAACTTGAGATTTTCCACTTACATTAGATTGAACCATTCAACTCAGCTCTGTTTTTATGTCTTAAAGCTATCTTGGGGATTACTTTCATGCTATATTAAAATGCTCACTATTAAAACAACAGGTTAGCTTTTTACATTATGATAGGCATACTATGTTTAATAAATATTTATTAATATTTCCCTCTTAGGGAAATTTCAGCGTGTAAAAGAAAATAAAAGCTAGGTATACAAAGACTCTTCTGAAGTACTATTTTGGTAAAAGTTTATTGCATTGGGATCTAAATGTCCCATGCATGACTAACAAATGTAATACTCACGACTCCATGTCAGACACTGAAAAAGCTAAGCAAAAAGAACCTTTTAGAAACAAAGAAGTTGGAGGTAGGTAACATATCCTTATATTGCAATATTTGTGAATCTAGTAGTTTAAAATAATCATAAAAGGGAAAAACATTAACATTTGCTTTAGGATCTTAAAGTGAATCATCTGAAACTAATTTTTGGAAGAGAACTTAAGGATTGAGCTGTTCATACAATTTTTAACACCTCTATTTTCTGTTATAAGTACATTCTTTCTACCTAATAAACCACTATAACCTTCAAATTGTACAGTAAGTGCCCAGAATAGACCTTTGCTGGAGAGGTATGTGTGTGCTTGGATTTGTTAGGTAGTATGTTTGGCAGGGCTTGTTTGATTTTTCCCTTCTAGGAATTCTTCCATTCTGGATAGTCTGATCCAAATTTCACCAAAATTTTTCTGTGAAGCCCTAAACAAGCAGCTTAATATGCTTACATTTTAGTTATTTGAAAAAGGAAAAAAAATAACCTAGTTCACAGTGTTAATTACAGAAATTACCCAAAGAAATTATTTTCCTGCAATCTGAAAAACACAAACCAAATTAGTTCCTACTATTTCTGAAATTTTCAGAACATTTAATTTTGCAGAGCAACTAAGTTCTCATTTGGTCAACTGGTAAAACTGAAGTAACTTATATTTTTCATAATGTAGTTTATATACCAAAAGCATTAGGCCAATAACCAAGTAGATAAATTACTAATATTAAGAGTATGTTATTGAGAGCAACACATGACAAATATAATTATCAAACTTCTTTATCTATCTATGGCATTTTATTTTCATTTAAATTATGTATAACTCCATGGCTATCCTTGTATATTTTCCATTGTTCTATTTTTTCCATCAAAAATATCACATTTGTGTGCACTTGCAATTACTATTTCAGTCACTATTTCAGTTACTAGCATTGCAATTACTATTTCAGTTACTCTGAAATTTAATTCTAAACATGTGCAAATAATATTATAGCCATCATTTACTGAATTAAAGCAGGTTTTCTGCATTTATGACATCTCACAATCCTCCCCTGTAAAGATATTCCTACAAGTACACGGTCAAAACTTAAGTAAGAAGTTACATTCCTTTTAGGACAACAGCTGTACAATTATTCTCTTGCTACATTTCTCTTGTAGGTAGGAATTTTTAATATGATTAATCACACATTCATTTTTTTATTCAGGTTTTTCTTTTTAAAAATGTGCATGTTCTCTTTAAGAAACTATTCATAGTGTCACACAGTAATTAAACCATATATATATGAACACATAAGTTTGGGAATTATTTTTCCTAGGGCTCATGAAGTCCCAGCAGAACTTGCTCTATTATTCTATTGTTAATGAATAAGTAGTGCAACAAGATCAAGAAAAGCTTAAAATGTGTATGTTGAAAGAAGTTGCTGTTAGAAGAGTCCAAATCATGCTTTACAAAAAGCTGACTATTAATTTGTATAGACATCGGTAGAATCCCAGAGGCTATATGAAAATCTCCACAGTGCTTTCTGAGAAAGAGATTTAAGTATAGCAATTATTGCATTGTTTGTGGTTACAGTGCAGTTAACCTCCCTTATGTAGCCTTAGGCATAGATAGAAATTTGACATAGCAAAGATTTTAATGATTTTCTTCCTTTCTTACCTAATATATTTACCTTGATAACTTTATAGTATGGGAACTACAGGCTTTTTTTAAAGTAGAGAAAAGGGGTAATATTGAACATATTTAAGAATCTTTTCAATATGGGTAATACTTAATAAGAATGATGACAACTATAGCAGCAACCAGTGACAATGGATTCTGTCTATAAATAACTCTTCCCCACCAGTTGAATATCAGCCTTGGCACAGGTTCATACTGTCAAAGAAATTTACAGAAACCTGAAAATTTCCATGCTCTGTTCCTTGTGTCTTTGCCTGTAAGTGCATTCCTGATCCCAAGAGCTTAAAGAACTAGATAAAGCATAAATATATACATACATATATACACTTAAAAGGATCAAAGAGGTAAGAAGACAATAAAGAATTACTAAGGTCCGAAGGGAAGGAAAATTGAGGACTGAAGGAAGAAAGTTGATTTGGAATCACTTTTGTCCTAAAAGGATTTGTGGATCCAGGGAAATTACAATATTTGTTTTGATCAGCTTCACAAGTAAGAGGAGACAGAAATTAAGGCCTGGCATGTACAAGGTGGGAAGCTGAACAGAAAACTCAGCCAAGTGGACTGCATTTTGAAGGTAGGGATGTCCCAGAAATAACAGATCTTATCTGCAATTACATTCAAATTTTAATCTCCTATGCTGTCCACAGAAATTTTAAACCTTGAAAATGGATTAAGGCAGTACTAGGAGTAGTAACCACAGACTCCTAGCAAAAATATTAGGAACATTGGTAAAAATTGAACATGGACTGAGTCATAAACCAAGTATCAACAAATACAAACAATTGAAAATCATATAGAGTATGTTCTCAGGCTATAGTTCAATTAAGCTAGAAACTGCTGAAAAGGAATGAACAAAATAAAATGTTTTTTCAAATTAAAGAAAGCTGAAAATGCCAATAACCTTAGAAATGAAGAAATAAACTTCTTAATAACCTAGGGGTAGAGAGAAAATTATAATGAAAATTTAAAAATATTTAAAATTGAAAAATAATGAAAATACTATATATCAAAATATGTCTGCAGATTTAGGCAAAGAAGCATTTAGAAGACTATATATTGTCTAAAATGAATATATGAGAGAAGTATAAAATTGCTAAGAATCATCTCAAGGAGAGAAAAAAGAACAGCAAGAAAACTCAAAGAGTAGGACTAAATAAAAATAAAAGTAAAAATTACTGAATTAGAAAATCACACAATAGAAAAAGTCAACAAAGACAATTTTTTAAATTTCATAGATGAAGATCATCACATTAGAACTAAATATAGGATATTATGAACTGCTTTCAGCCAAGACATCAAAAAATCGAAAAAATAAATAGCTTAAAATCTCAACAAAGTTATTTTTTTCTAAAAGAAGAAAATATTGAATAGCCTTTTAAGTTTTAAAGTAACTGAATCAGTAGTGTAACAATTTTCCTACTAAAAAGGAAAACTATGGGCTTTGACTCAGCATTTTCTATTTGGCACAATGATATTCACTCATTTTTTAAGTCTCTCACATTCCTCAGTGTTTCAGTATCTCTGAGCAATGCAGGGTGCATCATCTTAGATGTATTTCTCTTTTCTCACATCCCATTAAGTGCCTAAATTCTGTTACGTCTATCGTTTAAGTCATTCTTAGATCTTCCCACTTCTCTTTTTCCTAACAGATCGTTGCTTTTAACCTCATTCAGGTGGCCATCATCACTGCTCTCCTGGACGACTGCAAGGGTTCCTGTACAATCTCTGTCTCCTGTATTGTCCACTCTCAAACAAAGCGATACTTCTATAATCAGAGTGATATTTCTAAAACAAAAATTTTATCATGTCTCTTCCCTGATTTTCAAAAAAAAGAAAAGCAGGTAAAAGTTAACAATAAAAAGCTTATCATCTTTCCATTTCCCAAGGGACGTAAAACATCTTTAACATGTTTTTCAAAGATTTTAGGAATACCCTTTACTCCATTCATTGTTCCATCTTCATCTCTCACAATTACTCTCCTTAAATTCTAAGTTTTAAACATCAACATACTTTAACTTTTCTTAATAACCATGATTTATCTTGCCTCTGAATACTTGCGTGTTGTGTTCTTTCTGACTGTAGCTGTCTTCTCCCATGTACTCCTTTTCAGTTGAACAATACTTACTAATCTTTTAAATTTTAGTCTCAACTTTACTTCCTTTGAGAATCCTTCATTTACTTTCCAAGTGGGTTAGAGGTCTTTCCTATGTGTTCACATAACATATTCCAACTTCCAACATAGCACTTCATAGAATGTGTTGAAAATATTTTCTTACTAGTCTGTATTTTCGCACTCGATGGTAATCTCAAAAAGGCTAAAATTATATCTACTTAATATCATAATCTCAGTATTTAGTAGTACATGAAAAGATTGAATCACCCTTAAATCTAGCTAAATTATATTTGACAATAAATGCTCAAAATTTTCAATAAAAAGCAAACACTAAGATTGGTTTTTCAGACTGTAAAATTTCTATTGACCTATCTTAAATTCACTAAATCTGTCTTCTGCCATCTCAAATTTAATATTGATCCTCTCTAGTAAATTACTGAATATGATCTAGCACATTTTTAATTCAAAATACTGCATCATGACAAGTAAATTTTATTATATTAATGCAAGAATAGTTCAGTTTTATAAAATCAACTGACATAATTTGTTACATCTGAAATTACAGTAAAACTAAATAATATCAGTGAAGATTGAAGACACTGTTGATAAAATTTAATGACTAACATTGTTAAAACCTAAGTTATGAGAATATAGAAACCAAATATGATAAACTAAGAACAAATAGTACTCTAAATAGCAAAACATTAAAAGCATTTTAAATTTTCTCTCTCATTAGCAGTTAATATTATTTTGAATATTCTACCAAATACACTAAGAAAAGGATCACAAATATTGCAAGAGATAAAATATTGTATTTTTGCTGATAGCGCAAATGTTCAGATAGAAAACCTACAGAACTCCAGGTAAAACAAAAAAGTCCTCTGAGAATTAACAAGAGACATGGCATGGTTGGTGCATATTTCTTTCCAAAAATTGTCAATAGCTTTTCTCTATATGGACAATAAGCAGTAACAAAAATAAGAAAGATATTTCATTAACCATACTAAAAAACAGAATATTTTTAAGAGTTTTAGGCTAAATTTTTTACTAAAAAATTCTTTATGAAAAACATAATAACGAAAGCTGAATTCGTGGAAAGACATACCATGTTCTTGGATGAGAACATTTCATATGAATTAAATTCAGTTTTCTCAAAATTAACATATATTCAGTGCAATTCTAATTAGAATGCTAATATTACTTAAAATTTTTAAATGAAGGCAATTATATTCAAATTTATATGGCAAATTGAACAACTGAAAATGCCAAAAAATATGAGAAAAACGATGTCAGAGGGACTATTACCACCAGAAACCATAGCATGCTATAAAAACCCCAAAAAAAGTCAATATTTCAAAATAGTCATTTTGAAAGAAATGGGCAAATAAATCAATGCAAAATAATAGAAATGCCAAATAGTTCTCTTGTATATGATAATGTAATATATGGCAACGGCATATTTTAATTCAATGCTTTATTTAATCTAGTACATGTTATTGTTATAACTGGCTAAACATCTGGAAGAAAAAATGTTAAACCTTTATCTCACACTATATGGAAAAATAAATTCCAGATGGATTAAAGGAAATTTTTTTTTAAGTTTTAAAATCAAAGGTTTCTAGTAAACATTAACAACAAAGTAAGTCTTGGATATACCGTCTGAAGACAAAAACCCAGGAGTTATTAAAAATATACATATAGGCCTATTTGACTCTAAAGAATATGACACATTTGAGTACAAGATATATTACAGACACTGAAGTCCTGATATCTTACTTTCCGCAAGCCTGCTCCCTCTCTGTCCTTCCTCATCTCAGTTGATGGCCACCTCATATTTTCATTTGCTCTGGGCAAAAGCCTTAGAGTCATCCTTGACTCTTCTTTCACATCTATCTTCAATAAGTCAGAAAATACAATTTCCTCTACCTCTGAAACAGACATAACTTCTGGCTTCTGACCATGCCGTTCCCACTGCTTTCTCCCTGCTGCAAACCGTCATCCCTTGAGGCCTACACTGCTCCAACAGCCACTTGCAGGCCTCTCCCCCTATTCTGTTTCTTTTTCATCAGGTTCCTGAAATTATCCTTTTTTAAAATTTTATTTATTTTATTTTTTTTGAGACAGAGTCTTGCTGTGTTGCTCAGGCTGGAGTGCAGTGGTGCGATCTCAGCTCACTGCCACCTCTGCCTCCTGGGTTCAAGTGATTCTCTTGCCTCAGCCTCCCGAGTAGATGGGATTACAGGTGCGCACCACCATATCCCGCTAATATTTGTATTTTGTTTTTCTTTTGAGACAGATTCTCATTCTGTAGCCCAGGCTGGAGTGCAATGGCATGATCTTGGCTCACTGCTACCTCTGCCTCCCAGGTCCCAGTTCAAGCAATTCTCCTGCCTCAACCTCCCGAGTATCTGGGATTACAGGCATGCACCACCATGCCCAGCTAATTTTTATATTTTTCGTAGAGACAGGGTTTCACCATGTTGGCCAGGCTGTTCTTGAACTCCTGACCTCATGATCCAACCCCTTCAGCCTCCCAAAGTGCTGGGATTACAGGCATGAGCCAGCACGCCCAGCCTAATATTTGTATTTTTAGTAGAGATGGGGTTTCATCATGTTGCAGGCTGGTCTTGAACTCCTGAACTCAAGTGATACACCTGCCTTGGCATCTCAAAGTGCCAGGATTACAGGCCTGAAATTATCCTTTTAAAACACAACTTAGATCTCATCATTTCTCTACTGTAAATCTTGCAATAGCTGCCCATTTCTCTCAACATAAAAACCAATGTCCTTACCACCACCACCCCCAACCTGGCCCCACACCCCATTCTTTCTCTAACCTCATCTACTATCCTCAGCCTTGGTTCACTCTGCACCTTGATTCACTAATCACAGTGGTGATTCCTCACTGTTTCTCCAACACAGCAGGCCTGCTGCTCCTCCCGTCTGCAATGGTCTTCCTCTGTCATCCACATGGCTTACTCTCACCAGTCTTTTTTTTTTTTTATACTTTAAGTTCTAGGGTACATGTGCACAACGTGCAGGTTTGTTACATATGTATACATGTGCCATGTTGGTGTGCTGCACCCAGTAACTCGTCATTTAATATTAGGTATATCTCCTAATGCTATCCTTCCCCCCTCCCCCCACCCCACTACAGGCCCCGGTGTGTGATGTTCCCCTTCCTGTGTCCAAGTGTTCTCATTGTTCAATTCCCACCTATAAGTGAGAACATGCGGTGTTTGGTTTTTTGTCCTTGCGATAGTTTGCTGAGAATGATGGTTTCCAGCTTCATCCATGTCCCTACAAAGGACATGAACTCATCATTTTTTATGGCTGCATAGTATTCCGTGGTGTATATGTGCCACATTTTCTTAATCCAGTCTATTATTGTTGGACATTTGGGTTGGTTCCAAGTCTTTGCTATTGTGGGTAGTGCCGCAATAAACATACATGTGTATGTGTCTTTATAGCAGCATGTTTTATAATCCTTTGGGTATATACCCAGTAATGGGATAGCTGGGTCAAATGGTATTTCTAGTTCTAGATCCCTGAGGAATCACCACACTGTCTTCTACAATGATTGAACTAGTTTACAGTCCCACTCAGTGTAAAAGTGTTCCTATTTCTCCACATCCCCTCCAGCACCTGTTGTTTCCTGACTTTTTAATGATTGCCATTCTAACTGGTGTGAGATGGTATCTCATTGTGGTTTTGATTTGCATTTCTCTGATGGCCAGTGATGATGAGCATTTTTCCATGTGTCTGTTGTCTGCATAAATGTCTTCTTTTGAGAAGTGTCTGTTCATATCCTTTGCCCACTTTCTGATGGGGTTGTTTTTTCTTGTAAATTTGTTTGAGTTCTTTGTAGATTCTGGATATTAGCCCTTTGTCAGATGCGTAGATTGCAAAAATTTTCTCCCATTCCGTAGGTTGCCTGTTCACTCTGATGGTAGTTTCTTTTGCTGTGCAGAAGCTCTTTAGTTTAATTAGACCCCATTTGTGAATTTTGGCTTTTGTTGCCATTGCTTGTGGTGTTTTAGACATGAAGTCCTTGCCCATGCCTATGTCCTGAATGGTATTGCCTAGGTTTTCTTCTTGGGTTTTTATGGTTTCAGGTCGAACATTTAAGTCTTTAATCAATCTTGAATTAATTTTTGTATAAGGTGTAAGGAAGGGATCCAGTTTCAGCTTTCTACATATGGCTAGCCAGTTTTCCCAGCACCATTTGTTAAATAGGGAATCCTTTCCCCATTTCTTGTTTGTGTCAGGTTTGTCAAAGATCAGATAGTTGTAGATGTGTGGTATTATTTCTGAGGTCTCTGTTGTGTTCCATTGGTCTATATCTCTGTTTTGGTACCAGTATCATGCTGTTTTGGTTACTGTAGCCTTGTAGTATAGTTTGAAGTCAGGTAGCGTGATGTCTCCAGCTTTGTTCCTTTGGCTTAGGATTGAGTTGGCAATGTGGCTTTTTTTTGGTTCCATGTAAACTTTAAAGTAGTTTCTTCCAATTCTGTGAAGAAAGTCATTGGTACCTTGATGGGGATGGCAATGAATCTATACATTACCTTGGGCAGTATGGCCATTTTCATGATATTGATTCTTCCTATCCATAAGCATGGAATGTTCTTCCATTTGTTTGTATCCTCTTTTATTTCATTGAACAGTGGTTTGTAGTTCTCCTTGAAGAGGTCCTTTACATCCCTTGTAAGTTGGATTCCTAGGAATTTTATTCTCTTTGAAGCAATTGTGAATGGGAGTTCACTCATGATTTGGCTCTCTGTTTGTCTGTTATTGGTGTATAACAATGCTTGTGTTCAACATATGCAAATCAATAAACGTAATGCAGCATATAAACAGAACCAAAGACAGAAACAACATGATTATCTCAATAGATGCAGCAAAGGCCTCTGACAAAATTCAACAGTGCTTCATGCTAAAAACTCTCAATAAATTAGGTATTGATGGGACATATCTCAAAATAATAAGAGCTATTTATGACAAACCCACAGCCAATATCATACTGAATGGGCAAAAACTGGAAGCATTCCCTTTGAAAACTGGCACAAGATAGGAATGCCCTCTCTCACCACTCCTATTCAACATAGTGTTGGAAGTTCTGGCCAGGGCAATCAGGCAGGAGAAAGAAATAAAGGGTATTCAATTAGGAAAAGAGGAAGTCAAATTGTCCCTGTTTGCAGATGACATGATTGTATATCTAGAAAACCCCATCGTCTCAGCCCAAAATCTCCTTAAGCTGATAAGCAACTTCAGCAAAGTCTCAGGATACATCTCACCAGTCTTTTAAATATCTGCTCCATGTTACTTTCTCAGCAAGGCCTACCACCTTATTTAAAAGAGCATCGGCCACCCAGCCCCCTTCTTCCTGCTCTATTCTCTTTTTTGTTTTCTTTTTCAATGCTCTCTTTCCTAGAACTTGTCACCTTTTACATACTTTATAATTTAATTATTTGTTATCTTAATTGTTTTTGTTCCCCGCCTCCACCTCCCCCCCCAAAATACAAGCTCCTTTAAGGCAAATATCTTTGTCTGTTTTACAAACTGGTATCTCTAGAACTGTAGAACAGGATCTACCACAAGGTAGGAGCACAAAATAAGTGAATTTTGGTGGGATGAATGAAGAAATGAAAGCTGTATGATATCATAATAACAGTCAATGGACAATAACTTAAGTACATTTATCTGCAGTGCAGATGACTATCAGGTAAGTGATGTTTATGTAGTTTGACCTGATAATGCCATAAATCTATGTATATATATACACATATATATGTATGTGTACATATGTGTGTGTGTGTGTATTTAGCTATATATATATATGTATATATATACATATATATATGTTTAAAAAGAGAGAGACAAACAAGGAGAGAAAAACAACATGGTGATGTGTGATTATTATTTCTTTCATATTTACCTTTTTCTTTTTCTTAATTTTCTTAAATTAGCATGCAACTTCTATAAGTAGGGAGACATAAATATTAACTTTTAAAAATATCTCAGTTGAACATTATCTTCACTAGCAGTGCTTATTTGATCACTCACTCAGATATAAATTTTTGTTTCTCCAACCCATAGCATACCTCCCGGTATTTAAACCACAGCTGTGGACTTTGTTGACCCAACCCTATAGATGGTTAACTCCTGAAGAAAAATATGTAAGCTTGCATTATTTTTGTGAGTCCTTGGTATTCTCTACAGGATTTCACTACATTAAGCAAGTCTCTGTCTCTTAATAACATGTTTTACTTCTCCAGCAGGCGGGCTAGTGCTCTTTTAGAGCTTTCTGCCTGTTTTTAGTGTTTTTTTTTTTTTAATTTTGCAATGTAACTTAATAATATTTATTTTTATATATCCTAATTTTGATCATCGTGTACTCATAAAATCTTGTATTTTCATGTCTTCCCATTATTGTATACATGAGCTATTATGGGTATTTTTGGTGTCATTTAAATAAATCTCTAATTGCCACAATTTGAATTTTATAACAAAAGTAATACATATTCATTGTAGGGGAAAAAACAAACACATTCCCCTTTGAAGGGAAAAATATCACTGTTAACATTTTTGTATATGTTCATTCATATTTTCCTTTCATATTATTAAATATACGTATTTATTTACTACAAAATTAAAATAATAAACCTGATTTCCTACCAATATTATTTATTAGCAAATTTTCCTACACCAGTTAATACATGTCTACAATAGCCTTTTAATGGCTCTATAGTATTCTGTATTATGTTGAACATTAATGTTTTGTCCATTTTTTACTCTTCTGAGCAATGTTGTTTTGTCTATTCTTGCATCTAAATTCTTATATGTATTTTTAATTATATATTTAGAATCAATTCCCACAAATAAAATTATTGATTCCAATGGGCAAGAATGTTTTTTTTCCTGCCTAGTTGCTTGATATTTAGAAGTATTACATCCTATGGTCAATTCCCTCATTTTTCCACCAGTATATTGATAACATATCCTGGTGATTTTTCAACATCTTTGTGGTCTAATTGGAGGTTCATTAACATTTTAGTATTTAGATAATCTTTAGAATGAACAACATTGTTTCTTTTTAATTACTCGAAGTCTAGTTGAAGCAAGTCAGAAAATATCACAATTAGTTTCAACAATTAAATATGGCACATACATATGAAAGAGGTGGTAGTTCCACATTAAGGAGAACTTTGAAATAAATCACAATTACGTGGTGCTGTAAATGTATCCACTAAGTGTAGAAGCACAATTAAGAGTCTAATTATAAGGGAAAATGCGATCACATCCTAAGTAGGAGCCTAAGCCACAAACCTGTTCCTACTTGTGCCATTGTGTTCAAGAAACCCTGAGGCTCTTCTATGTCAATGATTTGAGGAGTTTCCACAAATTTGCCCCAGTTTTATCTCATTCCTCTCTCCTTAATGCCCATTATCTGTCTCATTATCTTCATTAAATTCCCTTTATAAACTTTCTTATTTTTTTAGACCGTATCTCTCCACCTAGGTTGCCCACCCAATTCGCATCAGTCAAAACCTGATAAAAAATATCATCCAAAATTTGACACCTCCTCTAGCATATCTCTCTGATGAAGAAACAAGAGGTGGTTGACAAAAGATTCCTGCTGTCAACCAACTTGTCTTTCGAAAGATCACAATTAAGGAAAATCCTTTCATCCGTTTAACTTATAAACACAATACTTAACCTTTAAAAGCTTCATGCAAGTGTAGAAGACATAAAATGCACAGAAGCAAATGATTCCCACTTTATTTTTAGCCAACGTGAAAATCTATAAACTGGGAAACATTAAGTCTTAATTTGGGGAGGAGGTATAGATGTTTAATGTTCATAGTTAGATAATTTCAAGGAATCAATGGATATTATTCTCACACCCCAGTAGTGTATATGAGGGTTTTTGTTATTTTTGGGAAGATGATAGACAAAGTTGGAGGACAAAGAGAATTTAGTCACCTAAATCTATTTAACTCCATTCATCTCTTTCGCTTTTTATGATAATATCAAGTGACGTAGCCAGTAGCAAAGACTCTATCTTAAAATGTCCTTCCAGTTCTATGGCAGGATATAACATGCCTTTTTCTTTTGGCCACTCAATTTAATTGTTGTCATTTCATTTCTAGTAAAGGGCAAAAACAAAGTTACAGAAGACTGTTACTTTCTACATGGCAACAAAACTTTTCAAATGTCCTCTGATGTGATTTTTTTTTTTCCTAGCACTGTATGCTGACCCATGGCCTTTCCAATAAATTTGGGAAATCCATTTGTTTAGACTAAAGGTAGAAGCTAATTAAACGTTTAAAATTAAATTAGTGTTTATCCATGATACTTCCAAATAGGCTCTAGAAACCCATTGCCATTGTAACAGTCTAATATAAAGTACTTTGATTTATAAGAGCCAAACACCTAAGAGAGAAAGAGCTGAATTTTTGAATTCCAAGAAAATTTGATTTGGAAGGCAGTCATAGTTATACTATAAACTATGATAGAAAAGATTAGAATATAACTCCGAGTTTTTTTTTTTTTTTTACCACAGAGGAAGATGAAATCCTTTTCTGGAATTCTTTTTTTTTTCCTTTTGAGAAACCTGGAGGCAGGAGAAAAGAGAGATTTAGCTATAGGGATGGGTTTCAGAGATGGAACTCCATTAAGAAAAAACTCTGTAATGAGTTGGGAATCATAAAAGAAAATGTCAATAGAAATCACCTAAGTAGTTTGAGGATACAGGAATAGAGGGGAATTTTGCTCCATGTTTCAACAGATCTTTGGAAGGAAGCAGAGACTAGTAACAGAGAGATCACTTCAAATAATAGGATCCTACAAAGAGAAAGTATAGATAGGAAACCAAAATCTATTACCCACATAAGGGGTACAGTTGTAACAGTGTCACTAAAGGCAAATTGGAGGATGGTGAATTGTGTTGGCAAGCACCAGGCCATAACTATGGCAAAAGGACAGAACTGGAAAGACACAGCCTCAGGAAACTTCAGAAGCAGAAGCAGCTAAAACAGAAGCTCTCAAAGACTAGGCCGAATAAGCTTACCTTAAATACCTCAAACAGAGGCTGTTGACAGCCAGAGAGGAACCAGAGGTCTGGTCCTCAAAATGATTTGTATATCATCCACTAAAAAAATTTTTAAAGGCTGCTTATACTCTTGCTCATGTTTAAATTGGCATCCATAATTTTCCATTCGAGCCTTACATAGTTGTAAAATATGTCATTTCTAGTGTGCTATAAATATTGAATTTTAAAATAAACCTGTTATATTGCTCTTTTAAATGAATCAAATGCAATCTAAATACCATAGAGATTTGATATCTGCCATAATCCATCTATAAAACATATATAAACTAGCAAGCTCCTCTTTATCTATCAGAAATTTTAGAATAGAGAGCATCCTCTTTTTGAACTTATATCTTCATTTCAGTTTCGCTATAGAATTTAATGTGATGTAATATGCCCCAAAGCATTTATCAATGTATCATACTTCACTATAACAAAGTATGCATATAAATTGAAATTTCACTTTTTATTTTGACTTTGAGATCATGAAGCTGTAAGTAAAAAAGAATAGAAAGTGTTAGCAATAGAAACCCAGTTAAATTAGGGTATTTCTATATAATGGAATACTATGCAGCTTTAAAAACCCGTAATGATTATATCTATGTCTCACTATATATTAATATAGAACATATCTTAAGGTATGTCAGGAGAAAAAGAAACTATAGAATAATGTGTGAGAAAAAGTAAAACTGGAATTTATAAGTGAAAGCTTGATTTTATAAGCAAAACTTCTGAAACACTAAAAACATTATATTAGTCTGTTTTCACACTGCTATAAAGAACCACCTGAGACTGGGTAATTTATAAAGAAAAGAGGTTTAATAGACTCAAAATTCCACATGGCTGGGGAAGCCTCAGGAAACTTACAGTCATGGCAGAAGGCAAAGGGGAAGCAAGGCGTGTCTTACACGGCAGCAGGGGAGACAGAGAGTAAGGGAGTAACTGCCAAACACTTTTAACCACCAGATCTCAAGAGAACTCACTCGCTATCACAAGAACATCATGGGGGAAACTGCCTCACCTCCTGCCAGGTCCCGCCCTCGACCTGTGGGGATTACAATTCTAGGTGAGATTTGGGTGGAGACACAGAGCCAAACCGTATCAAATGTCAATAGTCATCACCTTTTGGTGGTAGGGTTGGAAAGTAGGCAGATAAAGCAAGGGCAGGAGAAAAATGTTTACTAAATCACAATTCATAAATCTTGAGTTTTGAAAGATGTGAATATTTTTATATATGTTTGCATGTAATTGTTACTAATATATGACAAAACACTTTGAAAATTATAAATTTTCATAAATAATAACTATAAAGGTACATCTCAATGAAAATGCATCACTTAATTAGATAAATGATGCAGGATTTTTCCTGTGTGAATAAATATTACTTATTGCTAGAATGTAGCCAAAATAATTATATTACAATCTTATTTTTAATGGTACAGTTTATTTGCTAAGAAACTTCTATACAATACAAGTAGATGGGAAAAGAAAAAATTTTGTATAGCTATTTCATCATTTTTATTTTTCGTCCTTTCCAAGTTTTATGCCAGAAATCTTATGATGACTATCGTAAAATTAATTTTAACTATCTATCAGATGATAACTAAATTACCTCCTCCCTGTACTTTGTTTAAAGCTAATAACTGGATATCATCTAATTCACAAAATGACTTGTTACCTGGTTATTAGAATCACATACTTTTCAATTTTATAGAAGCACATAAAAATGTTATAAAAAGTTATCAAAAAACTGTTAATGATACCTGTCATTCTTTTACTTTAATTTTATTTTAAAATTAAAATAAAATAAATTTAAATGAAATTTAAAATAAAATAAAAATAAAATTATTGTTAATAACTTTGTCACTACAACATTTTAATTAAATAACTTCAACTTTTCTCACATTTTAAATAAGATTTTTTTTCCAATCTGGGTGTGGAAATTTTATTTAATTTACTTAAGTGTCTGCCATATGATTTAATCAGAACGGCTGATCTTTATTATCAGACTCATTAGCCTAATATGATTACTTTCTACTGGAAAAACATCTAACTTGATATTCCTATTCAGACAAGCATACACATTCTCATCACAATGATCTACTTCTGACTTCTAATTCTAAGATAGACAGATAAGGCACAAACCCTGCCAGAGTTTTGTCATCTGGATGAAATGAGTCACATGGCATTGAGCATTTCTTACCAAAGCTTTCTTTGTGTTGCATTTACTGTATTCTCATTCAGGAGCAATGCATTCTTTGACAATAGTCAAGGAATGGAACAGGCAAAGCTTTGAATCAATAAAAAATCATCCCTCCCCCTGCCTCGCCCTGTGTTTTCTCAATTCAGACCATCCCCATACAGACCAAAGTACATTGTTTCTCCTGTCACTCTGCACTCTTTTAATATAAACATATAAGATATAACCCAATAAAAATACAGCACCCAAAAAGAAAAGAAAGAGAAAAATAACACAAAACGGTGTTCTCGTTAAAGTATGAGTTCAGAGTTCACTCATGTGACCCCTTTTTACTCCTCAGATCTGCTCTGAGCCTCCTTCACTCAGACTTTGGATTCCACGGGACACAATTTGAAAAACATTGAGCTACACTGACTTTTTATGGACCTTAAAATCAAACTTGCAGCAACATTAACATTTAGAATGAAGTTGAGAACCTCAAAAGAATTTTTTTTTTTTTTTTTAATTTTCGAAGTGGCAGATTCGGCACCAAGAGAGATAGTCAGGCAGCCTAGGTTTGAATTGTAGCTTGGGCATTTATGAGTGATATAGGTAACTTGAATAATAAATATATTTAGCAAGTTACTGAACCTCCCTGAATCTCAGTTAAGCCATCTATGATCACCCTGTTTACAGAATTGTTAGAAAAATTAGCAATAATAGATGCCAAGTACCTGATGTGTACTATGTAGCTGATACAAAGTGGGGGCTCAGCAAATAAATATGTGGGGTTTAATAAACTCATGAATTTTTAATTAAGTTAGTTTTAGCAAAGCTCTCTTCTGCATCTCTCTTCAACAAACATACCACACTTTTTAAAGCCTATTTAAATACCCTTATCTTTGGGACAGAGGAGTGGAAAACACGTAAGTGCAGATTTTTGGATAGTCCAACAAAGAAAATAATCCCAAGGCAGATGACTTGGGCCCAAACAGAAGAGAGTGTTGGATCATTTTTACAAACTTCTGATGCTACATCTGATATGTCAGAACACACTGAGTTTGGCGCTACAAGTGAGAAAGAGGTGGATGGTTACCGGGAGACACACTGAAACAAAAGTGAATTCTGATAATATGGAAAGAGAAAGACTACTATAATGTATAACAAAAGGCCATCATTATATTTCCAAACAGGAAAAAGTTTAAACTATTTTCAACATTTTGCACTTAAGAAATAAAGTGAATCATCTTATAAAATGCTATCATCAAAAGTACTTCATTTTTATAAGTTTTGGCTCTTAAGGTATTCAGTTTCTCCTCCAGAAAATCCATTTATGGGTTTATACATTTACTGAAAAGTGATAGGTGGCATTGTAGTATAGTGCTGAAAAGCTGATGTCCTGAAAGCACATTGCCTAATTTCAAATACAGTCAGTAGCGAGTTTAAGCCCTATCTATATCCATCCTTAAGTATGTGACTTTGGGCAAGTTTCTCTTAACCCTGCAAAGGCTTTTACCAGTCTGTACAATGGAGTTAATATTGATAAGTAATTTATAGTTTTGCTGTGAGAAATAAGTGAGCTGATATAAGTAAAATGTTTAGTACACTTCCTGGAACAGTAAAGATTCAGCAAACATAGGACATTATTAGTATGACCACTACTACTGCTGTTACTGTACTTCAGTGATAGTGGCAGTAATTCTAGTACTAGTACTACATGTAAGTATTTCAATTTCAGTCGTTTTAGAAGTTTTACTACTGGTTTCTCAACTATAATACAATTTTCTTTGTAATAGCGTCCATTTATCACTTTTTTAAAAAATCTGTCAAATTCCTAGCAGAGTTCTGAACTTTTAGTAAGTGTCTCGTAACATTTCTTGACTGATTGATATATGTACATTATAGTTCGGTAAATGTGAATTCATTTACATTTTAACTCAACACTTTAAGAAAACACTCAGCTTCACACGTGATATCTCCATTTACTCAACTCTATGTTGCAAACAGCTAATTAGGGATGACATGGCACTGTTTGAGTGTTGGCAGACTATAATCTGTGGATTTTAATACAACTAACTGCCTAATTCATCTATGCTGGTCCACATGCCAAGAAAATATACGCAAATTAAAGGATTTTTTTGGTCAAAGAAAATCAGAAGAATGGACTTGCCAAAATTTTAACTTGAATGGTTTTGATGCTTTTATTTATAGTGAGCTTTATTTATATCATAAATACTAAGAAATAGTATTTTCCACCAGGGATATTCACAGGTATAGCATTAGCCAAGTAAACGTGTCATTAGTTGTTGTAATGTGCTCAACCTTTTTCAAAGTATTATGAAACATTTCTGTTAAAAAATTTGAATTCTGATGTCTAAGCAAATACCATTCTCAATACACAAATTGTCAACTGAAAGCACCCTCTGTAAAGAGATTCAGAAGTAATCAATATACGGTTTCTAAATTAAATTTTTGTTCCTGTCATTATCACTCAGTACAATCAAAATTAGGGAGTATCTACTATATTCTCGAATTTTAACAAAATGGGACAATATGAAATAACATATCTATTCATAGATGTATACATTGCTATATAGCTTACATAAAAGCATGGGAAAACATTTGGTGTGTGTGCGCACAGACCAGATATAAGTACCATAGTTAAATCCACGTAAATTTTCTCTTAAAATCTATATTCAAGTGCACCAATACTATAGTTAAAATTACATAAATGGAATAGATACCATCAATGTTAGGTCATTATGTGTCCAGAATTGGTGGGTTCTTGGTCTCACTGACTTCAAGAATGAAGCTGCAGACCCTTGCGGTGAGTGTTACAGTTCTTAAAGGTGGTGTATCCAGAGTTTGTTCCCACTTCTGATGTTCAGACGTGTTTGGAGTTTCTTCCTTCTGATGGATTCGTGGTCTCACTGGCTTCAGGAGTGAAGCTGCAGACCTTCACAGTGAATGTTACAACTGTTAAGGGGGCACGTCCAGAGTTGTTCATCCCTCCCGCTGAGTTCGTGGTCTTGCTGGCCTCAGGAGTGAAGCTGCAGACCTTCCTGGGGAGTGTTACAGCTCATAAAGTAAGTGTGGATCCAAACAGTGAGCAGCAACAAGACTTACCGCAAACAGCAAAAGAACAAAACTTCCACAGCTGTAAGGGGACCGAGGTGGGTTACCACTGCTGGCTTGGGTAGCCTGCTTTTATTCTTATCTGACCCCACCCACATCCTGCTGATTGGTCCATTTTACAGAGAGCTGATTGGTCCATTTTACAGAGAACTGATTGGTCCGTTTTGACAGGGTGCTGATTGGTGTGTTTACAATCCCTGAGCTAGACATAGAGTGCTGATTGGTGCATTTACAATCCTCTAGCTAGACATAAACGTTCTCCAAGTCCCCACTAGATTAGCTAGACACAGCACTGATTGGTGCATTTACAAACCTTGAGCTAGACAGAGTGCTGATTGGTGCATCCACAATCCTCCAGCTAGACACAAAAGTTCTCGAAGACCCCACCTGACTCAGGAGCCCAGCTGGCTCCGCCTAGTGGATCCCACACAGGGGCCACGGGAGGAGCTGCCTGTCAGTCCTGCACCACGTGCCTGCACACCTCAGCCCTTGGGTGGTGGATGGGATCAGGCGCTCCAGAGCAGGGGGTGGCTCCCGTAAGGGAGACTCCAGCCAAGCGGGAGTCCACGGGAGGGGTGGGGGAGAACTCAAGCATGACAGGCTCAGGTCCCAAGCCCTGCCTCGCAGGGAGGTGGCTGATGCCCAGTGAGAATTCGAGCATGGCACCCGTGGGCTGGCAGTGTTGGGGGACTGGGCGCCCCCTCTGCAGCTGCTGGCCCGGGTGCGAAGCCCCTCACTGCCCAGGGCCTGTGGCGCCAGCCGGCCACTTGGAGTGTGGGGACCGCCAAGCCCATGCCCACCCTTGCGCTGGCCCGTGAGTGCCACGCGCAGCCCAGGTTCCTGCCCGTGCCTCTTCCTCCACATCTCCCTGCAAGCAGAGGGAGTCGGCTCCGGCCTTGGCCAGCCCAGAGAGGGGCTCCTACAGTGCAGCGGTGGGCTGAAGGGCTCCTCAAGCACGGCCAGAGTGGACCCTGTGGCCTGAGGAGGTGCCGAGAGAGAGCGAGGGCTGCTAGCACGTTGTCACCTCTCAATTAGATAGATAGGTTGAGAGGGAGAGAGAGAATAGTTAATAGATTGATGGAGATACAGAGCCAGACTTCAATAGGTAATTTAATTATTATTCATAACAGTCCACTTCCTCATGTCCTCTCTTCACCCTCCTCAAGTTCCTTAATTTTTTTTTATCCTTCTGAATACACTGTGAAGCAATAAATAATCAGGCATATAAATACAGGTTTTGATTGTGTTAATTTTATTATAAACAAAATAGCCCTGGAAAAACTAGCTTAGATTTTTTTAAAAGGGAAAGTGAAAAGAGTAGAAAGGAAATTAATAAAGAAATCAGAAAGATGCAAAAAGAACTAGCACCTGCTTTTCATAAGCTAAAATGAATTATTTGATACAGTGGTAGACATTTATTGCCACTCCAATATGTATTCCACTCTACTTGATCTGTTTAGGTCAATAAATGTATTTAAAGAAAAAAAATCTACTTAAATTTTACAATCATCTTTGCAGCTAGGCTAGGAAAAGCCAAGTCCTGATCAATTAGATGTCAGTGAGAGGGGAGAGGTAAGCAGACAGGAGCTCCCAGGAAGGAGAAAAGGCAAAGAAAGAAGAGACTCAACTGATGTATCGCTTTTCCCTGTTGACCGTATTGCTCCTCCTGCCTAGAATGAAGCTGAAGGCATAGCAGCCATCATGTCCCCACAGCATGATGAGTATAAAGATGGATGCTGCATGGTTAGACTGGCTAATGCCTATTAAAATGCATATACTTTAGAAGGATATTTGTGAAGAAAACAGAGCCTTCTATATATATAAAAATATATATAATTAATAGACATTAGCCAGTCTAATCATTCAGCATCCCACTAAACAAGTTACTTGGATACCATGTGCTCCTTCCCTCCCAAAAAGATGTAAATTCAGGGAGCCTTCTGTGGGTGGGAGACTAAAAACAAATACATTTTAGGCTGCCAAAGGCCTGCATGAAACAATATGATCAGATTACAAGAGTCAGGAAGAATCACCTAGAAATGACTTGTCCTCTCTGAAAATGCTAAACTTAATTTTATAAGTCATAGTACGCTGGCAGAAAACATAATCCACTTTGGCTTGTTTAAGTAGAAATGGCTTTATTACAGCATATTAAGTGGCTTATAGAATTGTTGAGGAGGGTGAAGAAACAAAATTTAATTTGAACTTTCAGAATGACTTTAAGACTATATCACAAATTTGAGCCACTGATATTGAGTTCCAATCCAAAATATGCACTGGGGATGGAAATCCAGTGACATAAATATTTAAGGTGCATTCACCATCAAGACTGTGCAAGTCCCACCGGGTAAGCTCCCCCTTAAATTTAGTAGCCTAGGTTCCTCATGTGCTTCAACCTGGTTCCAATCCTAACGTCTATGAAACTAACATAATGAGAGGGACTGGATTTAGAGCAGACATCAATAGTAGAACTAGAAAATAAAATTAAAAATGGCTAAAACAGTCTCAATGTTGTGTTTGGGGTGAGGGATGGGAGACATCCTTCTAAGTGTTCAATATTTTTTGTTATTGCTCAAAATGTGTGTGTTTTTTTTAAAGTAAGTGTTGTGTATTTTGAGGTTTACAACATGATATTACGGGAGATATATGGATAATAAATTGTTACTAGAATGAAGCAAATTAACATATCTATTATCTCACATGGTTACTTTGTGTGTGACAAAAGCAGCAAAAATCTACTTATTCAACAAAAATCTCTTATACAATATAATTTTATTAACTATAGTCCTTATGTTATATTATAGCATTATTCCTAATATCCAAGATAGGGAAACAACCTAAGTGTCTGTCAACAGAAAAATAGCTAAAGAAAATGTGTGATGTGTGTGTGGGGGGGTGGGGGTATGAAATGTATGGAATATTATTCAATGTTTATTTGTTGCTGTTGTTTGTTTGTTTGTTTAGAGATGGGATCTCATTATATTGCCCAGCCTCGTCTTGAACTCCTGAGCTCAAGAGATCCTTCCACCTCAGCTTCCCAAAGTGCTGGGATTATAGACATGAGCCACTGCACCCTGCCAATTCAACCTTTAAAAAAGAGATTCCGCCGAGTGCCGTGGCTCACGCCTGTAATCCCAGCACTCTGGGAGGCCGAGGTGGGCGGATCACGAGGTCAGGAGATCAAGACCATCCTGGCTAACATGGTGAAACCCCGTCTCTACTAAAAATTACAAAAAATTAGCTGGACATAGTGGCGGGCGCCTGTAGTCCCAGCTACTCGGGAGGCTGAGGCAGGAGAATGGCGTGAACCCAGGAGGCGGAGCTTGCAGTGAGCCCAGATCGCGCCATTACACTCCAGCCTGGGCGACAGAGCGAGACTCCGTCCCCCACCACCCCCCCCAAAAAAAAGAAGAGATTCTACCATTTGCCACAACATGGATAGACCTAGAAAAAATTATAAGTGAAATAAGTCAGATACAGAAAAAAAAATTACTGCATCTCACTTATATGTGGAATCTAAAAAAAAAGGAAAAGGTCAAATATACAGAGATAGAGAATTAAAAAATGGTTACCAGGAGTGAGGGTGGGAGGAGAAAATGGAGAAGTAGTTCAAAGGACATAAAGTAGCAGATGTGTAGGATGAGTAAGACTGCAGATCTAATGTTCAATGTTATTTTTAAGGGAAAAGTTTTGACCACTTTAATCAGTGCCACCGAAGTAACTCAGGCTGTGTGTAGCAAAAGCTCCTGATGACCTGCATCACACCTTCTCAGTCTACAATGCCAAGCCGCTGCTGTTGTGCATAATTCCATGTGATCTCAGACTCACCTGGAACCCGAGGCTTCTCACCTCAAATATGTGCTGTGCACTTCTTGCCCTGGGGCATTCTCAAAAGCCACAGCAGCCAACAAAGGCAGCCTTAAGTGCAGAGTGCTAACCACCCCAGGCGCATTCCTCTACTAAGCAAGAAAAGGAGCTGGTGGATAAATGTTCCAGCCAGAACTTCTCAAACTATTTGTATGAAAAACCAGCTTCCTTTCTCCTTATCTTCCGTCCTTCTTTCCTTCCTTCCTTCCAAGTTTTTAACCCATATGGAACCAATACTATCACTTTTGTAAAATCACACACTTAAATGATGCAGCAATGTCAGATTGCTGTAAGAGATTCTAAAAGCCGACTCTGACTTTCTGAACTTGGTCTTGTGACTGGTGACAAACGTTCTGGGAACAGACACTGGTCCACAGAGTACGCTCTAAGAAGCACTGCTTTCACCTTTGTCCTTCAGGACAGCAATTCAGGAAGGCATTCTTTACACTTCTCAGGAGATTCTGGCCAAAAGAAACGTTGTTTCCCACATTAATATACATTCTTATTTTGACTTTTCCTCCTTCCACGCCTCACTCTCCCAGCTTGTTCACTCCTGCTTCCTGTATCCCCTCCCTCAAATAAGCAACCTGCAACAATAAAGTTCTTGCCTCAGGCTCTGCGTCCTGGGAACCCAAACAGAAACACCAGGATGGCTACAGTTCCGGGATCAGAAGACCGATATGCGGGAAGCTGTGAAATAGAGATAGTGCATCCATGTAAAAAGAGGAACAAAAACTACAAACAGACCATTCTCAAAAGTAACAGGGGAAAGGCTGCTCATCACGTTCCTCACTTCTAAAATGAAGGAAACAAATTATTGACCTTTCCTGGGACTTCTGCACTCTCTTGAGAGTTAGATCAAGATATGAGTCATTTTCATCTGTTATTTCCTATTATTCTCTATTTGTATGTGAAACGGTATGGATAAAAATCTGGTTAGACATATTTACCACAAGAACATGAAAAATCTTATTAAAACCTATAGATCTTGTCATTAATTTATGTTTCTAAACCTCTCTTTGCCTAAATTCTCTCATCTATGACAATGCGTTTGATTTCAGAATAAACGATATACATCTTACTACAACTAAAATAGAATTCAAGTAAAGCATTTGGTAAGTTACGTAGCACAAATTAGGTATTATTAAATAATTATCATTTTCTCTCTCATGACCCTCTTTTTCCACTCATTATGTTCCCGCCACATTGGTTTTCTCCCTGTTTCTCAGCCCCCAAGGTCTTTCCTGGTCCTGTACATGCCTAGAATCTTCTGTACCTTCTAACATCTCACACTCCCCATTAGTGCTAAGTTAACTTATGCTCATCCTTATGTAAGCATACTCATGACTTCTTCAAGGAAGTATTTTTGACACCTTAATCTAAGTCTACCATTAGAGACTTATTCTTCCTTATACTTTTTCTATAACACGCAATTGCAATTCAGAAACTATTTTATTATGTTTTTCTGATTGTCATTCTGTTCCCCATCGTTTTATTGAAGGACCTTGTTCAGTACTTCTTTCTGCCTCATATAATGGCATATAATTTGTACCCACACATTTGTGCTGTGTAGACAGATATTAACATTGGGCTCTTCCTGTCTCCATTTTATTTAAGGCTACATAATGCCTAGATCAAAATTACATTGAAAGTAAGCCCACCTATAAATGTGATTTGCTGGATTAACTAAACAGAACTTGCAAAGTTAGTGTTCTAAGAGAAATTTGTGATTCTTGACTAACAGCCAAATGAATAATCTAAATGGAATATTGGAAGAGAATAGGATGTGGGAAAGAGTTCCTCCTTCTCAGCTTAAGCCTATAAGAAGAGCTTCAAGAACACCCCTGAAATGATTGGTAGGTGTTCCATAAAGTTTGAGGCACACAAGACTGTGGTCTGAAACACACCAGGGAAATCAAACTGCAAGAAGCTGGCTACCAGACTGGGCTGTGTTGGGAGTGTGAATAAATGACTATTTCTTGCAGGACAGAGGGAGAACTGCAAGTTGAGATCCAGGACGTAATCATGTTTACATTCTTTGCAAAAGGACTTCCTAGAGTGATGATGTGACTCTAACAAAAAGGGGAGACCCCTGATACGCAGGTCATAGCGCCTAACTAGAGGAGAGAAATAATCCACATCACAAGAGGTTTGGGTAAATGTTCCAGTGGGAAACGTCTGAGGAGGCAATTAGAGTGTTTTATAAGCGAATATTCCAATGAGATTTTTCCTCTCTCTGGCATCTCCTTCCTACCCTTGCCTAACCTCTAATCCTAGAAGAAACAAGTAGTCTAGTGGTGAGAGGGTGGGAGAGGAAAGAGGAGAAGCTAAAACGGGAAACCTCTCTTTCCAAAACACTGCAGGTTCCAGCCTGAGGCCGATCCTAGCTGAGGAAACATTAATTTCCTATTAAGTTCAGATTTCTAATTTTATATTGGAGTGAAAACAATAGTTACAAAATGTCAAGAGGATTTTTTAATTATGTGCAAGTGACTAGAAATGTCACAAATGTATCTCAAAATTTTATTCAGGATATGAGAAAGAAGAAGTCCAATAGAATGAGTTTTAACAGTTGTAATGGGGTGAAGCTGGAGAGACATTCTTTTCTTTGGAGTTTCTATAAAGTTTATTCATGTATTGCCTCCAGCATCCAAGGAAATTTCTGCCAAGATACTAGCTGAACACACGCTAAAGGAACTGACAGTTAAATGACCATACGTGAGTGAAGTAATCTTTTAACATAATGGTTACCTTTGAATAAATGATAGACTGAGCATAAATAGTCCTGTTATCACATGTACATTTTAACAATTTATTGATGAATAAAGGTACTGCATGGAATTTCAAACGGCAATCAGCTTTTCCTTTGTGCTTTAAAATCATGTAGAAAAGTTAAGTAAATTGATTATTTTGTGTGTGTTATAAAAGATAATAGACTGCTATATTTATGCCACTAATGACACTGAAAATTTGCGAGGCACTAAAATGTATGCTTATAAGCTGAATTAATAACTTGACTAACTTTTGTCTAGTTTATTATCCATGGCATACCACATAGATCTAGAAAAATATTGTAAGCTTCATTAAAGTTTTAAACAATTATGAAATAGCAATACCCACCACATAAATATTTTACGCAACATCTTTAATCACTTCTTTATAATTTATGGAACAGATTGTAAAATCATTACAGATGTGTATTAATAATTAATATGTAATATTATCTCATAAATATATATTATAGATGCATTAAAATGCTTTGCTTGTAAGGTGAATAATAAAGTTTCTTTTATGACTGCTTCATACATTATAGTTTTGTTGTAAACTTGTGTTTCACACTTAGCTTTCCAGGCCAGATGATTGCTATCTCACATTAATTTAAAACTGTGATAACTACCCTTTGGATTATACAGATAATTTCTCTGCAGTATTACTTGTTAGCACTATTTACAAATATTCAAGTTTTCCTTCCAGATACTTGGCAAGATTTCACTTTCCTGCTTCCTTTGAGGATAAGCATGGTCCTGTGACTTTCTTTGCCCAAGAAAGTGGAATCAGTGTTATCACTTCCAAGTGGAAGTTTTAGAGTCCTGTGAGCTTAGAAGCAAATGTCAAGATGTAACGCCTGTCAACCCGGAACTGGGAACTTAGAATTCACGCCCATCCATTTGAGTGAAAAATAAATGCTCTTCTACTTAGAGCAATTTTGACATTGTTTATTGCTGCAGCATAAGCTAGATTAGGAGGCGGCAAACATTTTCTGTAAATGGCCAGATAATAAGTATTTTAATCTTTGCAGGCTATAACGTCTCTATTGCAATTGTGTTCAGAGTTTGTTCCTTCCGGTGGGTTCGTGGTCTTGCAGACTTCAAGAATGAAGCCGCAGACCCTCCCAGTGAGTGTTAACAGTTCTTAAAGGTGGTGCGGACCCAAAGAGTGAGCAGCAGCAAGATTTATTGTGAAGACAGAAAGAACAAAGCTTTCATAGCATGGAAGGGGAACCAAGCAGGTTGCCCCTGCTGGCTGGGGTAGCCAGCTTTTATTTTCTTATTTGTCCCAGCCCATGTCCTGCTGATTGGTCCATTTTACAGGGTGCTGATTGGTCCATTTTACAGAGCAGTGATTGGTTCATTTTACAAACCTCTAGCTAGCTACAGAGGGCTGATTGGTGCATTTTCACAGAGCACTGACTGGTGCATTTTACAAACCTCTTGTAAAACAGAAAAGTTCTCCAAGTCCCCACTGGACCCAGGAAGTCCAGCTGGCTTCATCTCTCACAGTTACTCAGTGCTGCCACTGTAAAGTGAATGCAGCTCTAGCAGGAAAAAAGTAAAGGAATAGGCATTACTGTGTTCCAATAAAACTTTATTTACAAAAACAATTGAAGTTAGTGAATCAGAATTTGTCTATGGAGCCCTAGTTTGCCAATCCCTTGTCTAGTTTATTTGGACATAGTCACACGATGGAGTGATGGAAAGTTCATGAAGATAAACATCAAATCATGTATTTTAATTGATTATCCTGATGTTTTATATTTTAGAATTTAAACTGATACTTCAAAGAAATTTTAAAGTTCTTTGTGGTTTTCATTTTCCATGTATTTTCTAAACAGTATTTATATTTAAATGAGATAAAATATAAACATGTTTTTATATCCTTGAATTGAAATATTCAAATATTTCTCCTTTTGCTTCATCTAAATATAAATATCTTGACAAGGTTTGGGCAACATTGCTTCATATTTCCACTATTCAATTATAGGAAAATAAACTATTGCAATATGTCAGTCTTTAAGTATGGTTGGATGAAGACACAAATACAAACTTGTTTGAATTATCAAAAAACAAAAAAATTTCTCCACCCAAAAAGAAGTGTCTCCATTCTAAAACTCAGTGGTGTTACATAGGTGAGAATATGGCTAGAAATATCAAGGGTGGGTTTATTTCATTTATTTAAACACATAGCTTAAAAACTAAGCTGAGTCCTGCAAAAAAAGCAACATTTTTCTCTACATGCAGGTTTCTTTACACATAAATTGCCAAATTTAAAGTTGGAGATCTATGCAGTGTTGGGATTCCTTTGGACCTGTGCTATAGTGTATATTAACATTTTAACACATAATACTACATCTGCATATATTCACACTTAAACATGTTCTTCACACACAAACACAAGTATATATAGTAAAATGGCTAGAGAGGAGAATATTTGAGACAGCATAATTTCTATCCAAGGGAACTATAATCTCTAAGTGATTTTACTCAAAAAATAACATCTAAATTCTTATTCTTTGTAACTTACAATGATTTTTTTTGTTTTGTGTTGAGACAGGGTCTTGCTCTGTGCCCAAGCTGGAGTGCAGTGGCACGATCACAGCTCACTGCAATCTTGCCCTCCAGGCTCAAGAAATCTTCCCACTTAGTCTCCCAAGCTGCATCACCATGCCTGGCTAATTTTTTATTTTTTGTAGACATGGGTTCTCCCTAATTGAGGGAGTTTGGTTTGAACCAGGTTGGTTTGAACCCCTGAGCTCAAGTGCTCCTCCTGCCTTGGCCTCCAAAAGTGCTGGGATTACAGGCATGAACCATGGCACCTAGCTTACAATTATTTTTATTTTAATAAACTGTATTCATATTCCTCATTCTTTTTTTTTTTTTTTTTTTTTTTTTGAGATGGAGTCTCGCTCTGTCGCCCAGGCTGGAGTGCGGTGGCGCGATCTCGGCTCACTGCAAGCTCCACCTCCCGGGTTCACGGCATTCTCCTACCTCAGCCTCCTGAGTAGCTGGGACTACAGGCGCCCGCCACCATGCCCGGCCAATTTTTTGTATTTTTAGTAGAGAGGGGGTTTCACCATGTTAGCCAGGATGATCTCAATCTCCTGACCTGATCTGCCTGCCTCGGCCTCCCAAAGTGCTGGGATTACAGGCGTGAGCCACCGCACCCGGCTCCTCATTCTTTTTTCAGAGTAACTTCTTCATCAAAATTTAAAATGAAAAAAGTAAAAATGGTAAAGCGTATGTGAAGTATTTGGGTGTTAATGTAATAAATAATTACATATTTCATTGAACTGTAATTTTTGGCTGTTAGCTATTATACCTGTAGTGTCATTATGTTTTATTCTACACAATTCAATGAATGAATTTTTGAAATGGCAAGTTGTGTTAATTCCTTTGGATTCATTACTTTTTTTCATGAAATAGCCTTTCAGCCTTGGCATTATTAGTATAGTGGATTCTTATACTACTAAAGGTGTTGCTGAATTGTCTGGCTTACAAGAATACTCATTTAATTAAAATTTTTTTCCATTCATATATGATTGTTAAAATTAGGTCAAATTATACACCAAATGCATTCCAAAGTTCCTAATTTTCATTCAGGTAGTTTTGAGTAGAGCTTAACAAAAGCATCTCAAAGCATTGAACTTTCTTCCACGATGTGTTTGTGTGTGTGTTTGTGTGTGCGTGTGTGTGTGTGTAAATGTAACCTTCTAAGCATGTAAAATATGCACTTGCTCTGATTTTCCAGGTTCTCCCCGAAAGAAATATTTAGAGTTTGGTACTAAAATCATCAACATTGTGGATTTTAATGGAAATGTTGCCCAGCCTTTCATGTACTGCTCTAAATAATTAAAGATTATAAAATTCTTGGTTTGGTTTTTACCATGTAGATACATTTATTCTACTAACAAGCAGAACATTATATAACATAGCCCAAATTAACAAAATGCAAAGAATATCATCTCAGCAGGAATCCTGGAACATGAAATGGATTTCCATCACTGGAATTTTTGTTACAGCTCATTTGGGTTCTGTCTATATACTGTAGTAGTAACATTTATGTGCCCAATTCTCTGGCTTAATCTTACTGTTTTTCTGTATGAGAGGGGGAAAAGACTCTACAAATAACCTCTGTGTATGAATTACTGTTGTTTTATTTTCTTTTGAAACTTTTCCCCCATGGGCTTGTTTTGTAATTAAAATAATGTTACTCACAGGGAGGTCTTGAGATTTTGCCCCATCTTTTTTATATTTTAGAAAAATGTCTTTGTTTCTGAGTAGTTGAGAAATCCTCATGACTTGGAGTTATATAATTATGTCTTCATTAGAAGAGTTATTAATTTACTTAAAACATAGCATTCTAGATTGGAAAGATAATATGAAAAACTATTATATGTATTCATTTTTAAACTACATGTTCAAATCCATAAAATATCTATTGACTCTCTGCCGTTAAAAAGAGTTAGTTCCCCTACACTTCCTCTTACTTTTCCTCCTAATAGTTCCTGTTTTCATTAATTATATTTTAAAATACAATATAATGTATTTGTGTGTGTGTATTATATAAGTGAAGGCTTATCACTTCACTTCAGTTACCATAATTTCCATAATTCTGTTTTAGCTACTACTTAAATTAATTCAATAAACTCCACTAGTTCAATTTATATGGCTTCTCCTTTTCTGGATTCTTTATTTGATTCATCTCTTTGTTAACAGATGTTGTTGTCAAGTAGTTCTTTTCAAGAAACATACATAGGTTCCTTCTAATCCTTCCACACTTGAAGACATTTGCTTCTTATCCTTTATGTCTGAGGTGCAACAACTGGAAAATTACTGAGGGAAATTTTTCTCCCCTGAAAAATTTATATATGATGCTCTGATATTTTCTGGTATTAAGTACTGCTGTGTAGTTTTGGTAAGTTTAAGTTTTTCCTGTTGACCTATTTTGTTTCATATTGTTTTCTCCATGTATTTCTTTCTTCATTATTAAAGTTGAATAACTTTCCTGGCCTCCTTTTCATCTGCAGATTCAAGTATTCCTTTTTTCAAGAATATTTCCTTAAAGAAAAGTTTACTGTTATCTGTTCTATTTGCTCTGCTATCTTCTTTATCAATCGTAGTTTCCAATTTATCTTCGATATCTTTTTTTTTTTTTTTTTGAGACGGAGTCTTGCTCTGTCTCCCAGGCTGGAGGCTGGAGGGCAGTGGCGCGATCTCGGCTCACTGCAAGCTCCGCCTCCCGAGTTCACACCATTCTCCTGCCTCAGCCTCCCGAGTAGCTGGGACTACAGGCGCCCACCACCACGCCCGGCTAATTTTTTGTATTTTTTAGTAGAGACGGGGTTTCACTGTGTTAGCCAGGATGGTCTTGATCTCCTGACCTTGTGATCCGCCTGCCTCAGCTTCCCAAAGTGCTGGGATTACAGGCATGAGCCACCGGGCCCGGCCCCATATCTTTATCTTCTCTATTACTATTTGCGTATCTTCCTTATTCTAAGCTTTGTTTTATGATCTTGCTGATCTTCACCGTTGTGAAAAATTTATTTTATCGCCATCAAATATTTTCTTCCAGCATTATTTATGTTTCTCTTTCATTTCTTTTCTGAGTTTTGCCACCATTTTCCCCTTTTATTTTCTTTTTTGATTTTTTAAATTGTGTTAACATCATCTTTGAACTCCTGTATCTCTTCTTTGAGCTGTTAATTTGAGGTAAATCACATCACCTACAATTGATTTTAAAACATGGAATATTTCTTGCCAGAATGTTCCTTTTACTCCTTGGATAAATTATTTTATAATTTATATGTTTATTTCTTTTTTGTCTTCTCCACCTTTTCCTTATTTTCATTTCTTCTTTAAAATTTTTATGCTTTGCAGTGTATTGGGTGGCACCCACTAAGAACTACTCTAAGTATTACAAATAGCAGATTTCAGGAAAAAATGTGTTGGAAGAACAGAAGGAGTGAGTAGATGGGTGATTGCAATGCTACATAGAGATCACTAAGTAGAGGAAGCCATTCACACCTGTAGGACTAAAGAGGCAAACAGGAGATAATAGTATTACCTAGAGCCCATAAGTGTGCACACCACTGAAGCTGCTGGAATGACAGTTCTGCCACTACTGTAACTGGAGCTCCCACTGTTGCTGTCAGTCACTCATTGAAGTTGCCCACCACAGTATTTTTGCAAACCCCTTCATTGAAGGAGGACCCAGTCACCTGCAAAATAGCATTTGCCAGAACAAAAATAATTGAAAAAAATATAGTTATTTCTTCTTGCCTTTTCATGTCCTATCAATATCTCTTATTGGAAGATCTTAACTGGAACCCAGCTAACGGGAGTTTATGACATTCTAGTCATTGGAAATACAAGGGAGAATATGGAAGGACAAAGGATGGCTGAGATCCAAAAAGCGAAAGCTGGCATATACAGTATCCATACATAATTTCAGTGCTTGTTCCCTTCTGATTAATGCATATGTTTGATGAGCATAATGTGGGGTTAATTAAGAGATTATAGGCAGATGTACATTGTAGCCATGATGCAGGATTTCAGGATTTTCCTTTTGGAACATTTTCTCACCAAAGCTGCTGCTTCTTTCACCTATATATTTCTTCTGATTTTTTCCTCCAAAGAGGTTAGTGTCTTTCAATTAGGATCACTTCAGTCACAAGCATTTTTGTTTGAAATTTGATCATAACTCCTTCTCCCTCCCTTCCCCATTTTCCTTCTGCAAAAAAGGCTGTCATTGTGGCAGGGAAAACTAGTGTTTACCAAATATCCACATACTTCATCACATCCCCAGTCTCCCTTGCAGATAGGATAAAAGCCACATGGCTCTTTATGGAGACTGAATTGCGAACAGAAGTGATATGCCTCACTTGCCCTGGAAGACCCACTCCTGATGGCAAATATAAAAATGGAAAAGAGTTGTCTGAGCTGTACCAGACTTCATACAAGCAAAACAATCAAGTCACTGATGTCACTGATAGTTTTGTGTTTTTCAATATTAATTGCCTTGACTAGTCAGAGACATTAGAGAGGACATGATAGGTTCACACCACGTAGCTCCTCTTCCAGCTCCATCATTCTTTCTATTCCATAGGCTCCAACTGGGTTTGACAAGAATAATTTTTGTGTATCTCATGAATCACTCACACCCCTGGATTTCATTATTCAAATCCATAAATACATATATACATTTTTTTCAGACAATTTTAGGAAAATATATTTCCTACTCTAGGTTTGAGAAAGATGTGTCAACTTTTAGCAACTTCCATCTTTTACATTCAAATTTAATAATATTATATTATGCAATTATACACTCTAGGTTTTGTTTTGCAATTTGAGCTGTATCCTTGTATCATTGAAATATCATTTTATCCATTTTAACTTTTTATTTGTTTGGAGAAATGTTTTTAGTGAATGTAAATGACAATTTTTTTTTCCACCATTTATTTATAACTCTTCTGAAAGTCCTACTGAAACTTTCCATGCAGTATGGCATAGAATGGACCATGTCAGTTCACACGAATGGCTTTCTTTGCCCCTTTCCCTTTCCACCCTTTCCCAATATAAGCCTCATAGCCAGATGAGGCTAGATAAACAGACACATGACATTCACCCAAACTTATGATAAAATTATGCATAATACTTGGAATAGTTATTTGAGCACATGAATAAACAATAAATACCCTGCAAAAATTGGGGTTTTATATATATACATATATACATACGTATATATATATATATAATTTTTTTTTTTTTGAGGTGGAGTTTCTCTCTTGTTGCCCAGGCTGGAGTGCAATGGCGCTATCTCAGCTCACTGCAACCTCTGTCTCCCCAGTTCAAGCAATTCTCCTGCCTCAGCCTCCCGAGTAGCTGGGATTACAGACATGTGCCACCACACGCAGCTAATTTTGTATTTTTAGTAGAGACGGGGTTTCTCCATGTTGGTCAGGCTGGTCTCAAACTCCTGACCTCAGGTGATCTGCTCGCCTCAGCCTCCCAAAGTGCTGGGATTACAGGCATGAGCCACCACGCCCGGCCCGGTAAAATATATTTTTAACTTTAACTTTCCTTCTGATCTTAAGAGTATTCAAATCTACTATGTTCGTAAACTCTTTGTATAAGACGTGCTCACTGCTCAGAGTCTAACACTCCTTTTCTCCATTTCTAGCTCCTATTTCCTTTTTTAATATAAACACTCTTTTTATTTTTTGGTAGCTTTTAACGAAATATGCAGAGAGAAAATAAAAGACCCCAGGTCTCTATGAACAATTTAACAACAAATAATAACTGTAAACGGGTAAGAGTTGTTTGAACAGCATTTCTCCTCTAGATATAGTGAGTTTCATTTAATCAAATTATGACAAGCCATTTTTTTCCAACGGTTCATTGCTATATCAATGTTATGTAATTACAATTCTAGTGTAATTTTTTTTCGTTTTTGTACAGATTGGATAAAAGATTAAAAGCAGAATGGAAACCTAATAAAACAAGACTCATTAAGAACATATTACTTAGGGAAACTCGCTTTGGCTTATCCATATCTCATTTAGTACTTTGAAATTTTTTACACTAAATATTAAGTATTTTAACTACCACCACTACCACCGACAGACATCCTCATATTTTTTTATCCTCAGCTAAGATTAATTCTAGCCACTTTTCGAGCACCCACTACTGGGGCAATATCAATGAGACAAGCTTCCAAAATGTTCATCTCTTCTCGGCCCAAGATTTCTTTGTCAACACCATCACCCTGTAATTCATCCTGCTCCTACTATTGTTATTACTGTTACTTTTTTTGCTGTTATATCACTACTGTACTACTATTCCTATTGTTATTAAATTCTTTGATGAATTTAGCAAAAGCTGTTCTGGTGAAATGATGGAATAGAACCCAAATCATAGTGGACTGGGAGGCGCTAAAAATTGAGAAAATGATGAACACAAGTAAAAAAATCATTCTTTTGAGAAGATTGGCTGAAAAGGAGAAAAGAGGTATGATGAGCAGCAGCTATGAGGTCCTGTGTGATTGATTTGTGATTATTTTTAAAGTAAAATGTACTTGAGCAGGTTTAAAAATGAGAAGTAGGTGGGGCACAGTGGCTGACACCTGTAATCCCAGCTCTTAGGGAGGCCGAGGTGGGCAAATCACTTGAAGCCAGGAATTTGAGACCAGCCTGGCTAATATAGTGAAACCCATCTCTACTAAAAATACAACTAACTGGGTGTGGTGGCACGTGCCTGTAATCTCAGATACTTGGGAGGCTGAGGCAAGAGAATGGCTTGAACCCGGGAGGTGAATGTTGCAGTGAGCTGAGATTGGACCACTGCACTCCAGCCTGCACTACAAAGGGAGACTCTGTCTCAGAGAAAAAAAAAAAAAAAAAAAAGAAGAGAGAGGATTCCCTTGAGAAAGGGAAGGTGAATATATAGAAGAGAGAAGGGAAGAATAAAAGGTAAAGCTTTTGAAAAGGAAGGAATAAGATGGATCCCATGCTGGGAAGAAGGAATTATCATTAGAAAGAAAAAGTGAAAGCTCTCAGTTTTTTCTAGCCAGGAGAAGGAAAGAATTAACGCAAATGTAGCAATTCTCTAATTTGGCAGAGGTGAGTGGAAGGATTTGCTATAGGAGGTTGTGTTATCTGCTGAAAGTGACAAGGTGGAGGCAGTGCTTAGGGTGTTTAAGGAGGAAGAACAAGGTACAAAAATGGCCATAAAAAGGAGCTAGGCAGATACTTCACCAGAAATAAAAGAGAATAGCCAAGGAGCATCAAAAATTCATTTGAGGCCGGGCACTGTGGCTCACGCCGGTAATCCCAGCACTTTGGGAGGCCGAGGCGGGTGGATAACGAGGTCAGGAGATCGCGACCCTCCTGGCTAACACGGTGAAACCCCGTCTCTACTAAAAATACAAAAAATTAGCCAGGCGTGGTGGCGGGCGCCTGTAGTCCCAGCTACTCGGGAGGCTGAGGCAGGAGAATGGCGTGAACCTGGGAGGTGGAGCTTGCAGTGAGCCCAGATCGCTCCACTGCACTCCAGCCTGGGCGACAGAGCCAGACTCCGTCTCAAAACAAAAGCAAAACAAACAAACAAACAAAAAATTAATTCGAATGCAATGATTGCAAATCAGTAGTGGAACACAGGTGGCCTCTGGTGCGACTTTCTCCAGGACTACTCCAGCACCAGCAATGAGAATTGGCTGTTAGGAAGAATGGGTTTTACTAGGAGGTTTAAAGTAATTAAAAAGGTATTTCTATAATTACAAAGGATTATTAAAATGACAGAGTATAAAACCTCAGCTGGATGATGAGACAAAGAAATGATTGGGAAAAGTAGAGAGATTAACACACTGCAATATCTGAAGAGGTAGATATAACTAAAGTTGTAGAATAGTTCATTCCTGATTATTTAATTAAATAGAAAATGATATTGTCTATGAAGAATGTGGCTGGGTATATAACTTAGACCATCTTTGTAAGGTGCAGGCTATCTGTTTTTATACATGATATATGTTTTTTGAGAGTGAAATTCACAGTTTCACACCAAAGTTTGCATTTGTTTTTGTAAGGAGAAGGCATTAAGGAATTGTTCTTTAAATGTACTAAAATGCGTAGTCTCAAATGCGTATTTCCTAAACAAAAGCATACAGCTATTTGCTGAAGTAATTACTAGTTCAAGCTGGGTGGCCTGATGCTTTTCATCTGAAAGTTACAACCAGCTCTGATTCTGTACATCAAATGAAATTTGGTATGGGTATATACACATACATATGGATAACTAATTAACATTATTTATGAAGCCACTATAGTATGCATTCCTTTATAATAAAAGTCACAATTCACTGTTTTATAGAAGAACAAAAATAAATAAACACAAGGGAGACATTTATCCCCAAGTTTAACTTCTTCGTATAATTTGAAAATGTCCAAGATTACTTTTGTTTTATTTCTAAATACCCATGGGCTTCTTGAATATAGTTAATAATAGTTTTCTGAAAAGTGATTACATTCCTTTAACGGTAATACATGATGGAAGAAAATATCAAATGGAGATTGTGCTATCATGACTCATGAACAGATCATGAAAATATTTAAGATTGTTTGATGGTTTGATAAACTTACTTTTAAAAATAACTAAGGTCCACTCTAAGTTAAATATATTAGCTCTGTTAGAAAGAAAAGCTGAGATGGGATAATAAAAATGAGTCATTTCTAGGTACGTTATGAGACAATTTTACTTTGTATTCTAGTCTATCAGGTACTCCTTACTCAAACATCTGGAAAGCAGCCTAGAAAATTCAACCATAAAGTATTTTGTCTTCTATCAATAGAATGCCTTTGTCCATTAATTTCTGAAGTGATTTCTACACCCATGGAATTTTTGAAAGTAGCAATACATAAAGCAAATGAATGAAATACTGGACACATGTAAAAATCTTTGCTGGGCCAGTTAGCTTTTTACATAATCTGCTAATATTTGAGAGTGTTCAGCAAATATGTAGCTTATGCCTCTGTTCAGTGAACTGGTCTTCACTCAATAATTTGTTTATTTAATGGAAGTCTATTGTTCTTCCTAGCAAATGTAATATATCAAAATAATATTCGTTGAGTCTAGCAAAGCGCCAACCCTCTCTGGACATTAGCCAGTTAGCAGTAACACATGCAACTGGGGAAAATGACTAGAATCACATACGTACACCATTACTGTTGGAAGAAACCTTAGAGATTCTTGGGCTCAACCCATTTATTTTACATAAGAGGAAATTGAAACCTAGAAAAAGTGGCTTGCCAACATTTGTACAAGTACTTATAAACTGGACTAGGACCAGAGCTCAAATCTTGGACTCTACATCCAATAATCTATTTTCCAGCTGACGAACATAGCAGAAAGATGGATATCATTTTTGCAACATGTTAGCTCTATGCAGTCTCATAAAGATAGGTTAATAGCCTCTTCACATACTGGAGAACAAAACTTGGTAATTAGAAGGAACACTACAATAAAGCTTGTTATTTTCCCATTTTTGATAACATCATAGTATCATAAATAAAGAATATAAATGTACAAACTTATAATTCAAATTCATGTAAAACTCTTTTTTAGTCTTTAGTCCTTAGGCTATTCAAGGCATTATGACTACTGGATTATAAATAGACACAGTGGCCAAAAAAAGTATAATGGTTTAAATTACTTTAAACTATTTCATATTGACAAAGATGATACATTTTCATTTTCTGGCTTGAGCAGCCATGAATATAATACCAACTCCATTACATCCATAAGGTATTGAGATGAATTAAGAATGTGCTATATATCTCCTATTAATAGAGTAAATAAGCAAGATTTTAACTTGAGAGTCTGTTGTTATATGTGAGTAAGGAAGTGAACTTCACAGATAACAGTAGGCAAATATTTATGACAATCTATATGTCCTACTTTCTCAACTTTAAGTACAAAATGAGGTCTCATTTTATATAGTAATGTAATTAAAAGAGTTAAGACATCATCCTTGATAACTTTTGGTTCTTCTTGTTGTTACATTTCCTGTGAAGCATTTAACAATTAACTGGAGATGCTTACTAAGTTCTGGTCATTATCAGGGTGTAGAGAGAAACCAGAAAAATCTGGCCACCAGTTCCATATGTTAATGCTGCTCTTAATGTGGCTGCCACATGGCATCTCTCTTGAAAACAGGAGCTGCTATAGCCCTACTACTGGCAAAATCTAAGGCACATTACATCAAAATCAGTGCATCAATTTACTGCAGGCTCTGACCTCTGCTGGACTATTTAATGTCACCTGAGCAAAACTCATCACCAAAACCTAATAGCTCAGAGAAGTCACTTTCAACTGAAAATAAAACAACAACAACAAAAAAGACTGGGTGTCTGAGGAACATACGGTGGTCACACTCTATCACAGTATTTTCTCAGTGAGCAGTTTTTCAGGATGCAGGCAGCAGAGCAACTTGCCCCAGAGATGAGCATAATTCGGTTTCTTCTGGCAACCTATAGGCCTAACCTGCTAATATTAGGGCCCTTGCGATTTACCTCAAACCTTTCCACAAGGTCAGCATGGCTGAAATGGACAAAGTCTTAATTTCAAGCTCAAGACATGCCTGGAGGTAGCATCTCCTCACAAGAAGTTAGGCTTTGGGGTTAAACACAGGCCATTCGTACAGGGGCCTCCCTGGTCCTCTCACCTGCCACCTACACTTATTCATTGCTTTTTCACCCCTCCAGCCTACTCAGAGATATCATTCCCATGCCTCTTTCTTTTCTCTCCCAAATCATTTTATTTTCTCTCCTATTGGATCATTCACAACAATATACATATATAATGTTTCAATTACATTTCTTTTCTTCCCTTCACCCTACTTCCCACTTCATTTACATATCAATTCGTTGGTCCTCCTTTATGGCAAAAAGCATTGTAGATTCAAGACATCGCCATGCAAAGTGTTCTCTATGGTGGCTTAATGTCTATATCACTCCCAACTTTTAAGTGGTTGCCACTTTTAATAACAGTTTTGCTTTCTTTTTAAAAAGAGAAAAAAAGTATAACCCAACCTATTGGTTCCTGTACTATGTAAACTGCAACAAAAAATAATTGTACCCGATAACGTATCCCATGTGAAATGTTTGAAAGAAAAGATTTTAATGAAACTTTTTCTTAAATGGTTGAAAGTTCACAAATAGGCTTATAGGTATTATCTCTGACACGTTCTTGAAAATAAAATGGGCAACAGAGACATGGCATATTTGTCTTTCCCACCACCCTATCAACCCCAAGCTCCATTTGTTTTCATCATTTAATATTAACAAATATTTATTAAGAACCAACTATGTGTTTGACCTTACACTGCCCTCCCCTTATAATGACCTTATAATGTACAAAGGTAGAAAGACATAGCCTCAGTTCTGAAAGATCTCGTAGTCTAAACAAAAATAGGAATGGAAATAGCATTTAAATTAGTTACATACAAAATTTTACGGGAACAAGAAGCTGACATTTGCAGAATGAATAGGCATTGACCAGGCAAGCTAGTAAAGAAGACAGTATTCCAGGCAGAGAGGAGAGCATTTGAAAAGGAGGAAAAAAAAAAAAAAAAAGAGTTGGGCTGAACACAAAACATATAATTTGTTTACTATATCTGGAGTATAAAGCTTAAAGCAGGAATAACCAGGTAAATTTGGAAAAAAAATATGGACCATATTTTGACAGCCTTCTATGCTATACTAGTTTAGGTTCTATCAGGTAAGCCAGTCATTCAAAAATGGACAAAAGTTCTAGGAAGAAAATAGGAGAACCACATGGGAATTCTTTTCCAAATACACATGGTTACCATATGTATTTTGAAAAATGTCTCAGGTGATTGATACAGCATTTCTTCCTTTCCACTTGATTTTAAAAATCACTGCTATGGATTATTGATAGCCACTGATGCATTTTGAGCAAGTAAATTAATAAAGAGATTTGCCTACTTTAAAGATGTATAAGACCCCTATGGAAATTTGGTGTTACTTCTTGCCCAATGCCCACCATGGAACCATTTTACCACAATAAACATAAATCTGTCCATATTAAACAAAAATGGACATATTTTGCATAAAATTTCATAGGGAAGAACAAAAATACTTTTCTTCATGCAGTAGAAACTTGATGAATATTTCACATTAAATATCTCTATTCTGCCGGGCACAGTGGCTCACACCTGTAATCCTAGCACTTTGAGAGGCCAAGGTGGGTGGATTGCCCAAGCTCAGGAGTTCAAGACCAGCCTGGGCAACATGGTGAAACCCTGTCTCTACTAAAATACAAAAAATTAGCCAGGCGTGGTGGCACAAGCCTGTAATCGCAACTATTCGGGAGGCTGAGGCACGAGAATTGCTTGAACCCAGGAGGCAGAGGTTGCAGTGAGTCCAGATCATGCCACTGCACTCCAGCCTGGGCGACAGAGCCAGACTCTTTCTCCAAATAAATAAATAAATAAATATCTCTATTCTGAACTGCCATTTTTTCATTCTTCCTCTTTCTATTTTTCTAGCTTTTAAAAACAAGTCCCCTCTATCATTCTGAGCAATTTAAGTTTTTACCCTCAAAGTTGCACATCCCATTCAGAAAAACAAAAGCCCAGTCATTTATTTATTTTTTTTCAATCACTTCCCTTACTGTGGAAGCAGTTTATAAAATTAATCAATCCTCTTAGAATAATGGGTTCTAAATGGTGGAAATTTCAAAAAATATTTTTATATGTATTAGAATCATCAGAATAACATTCGTTCATTCATTTCATGAATGTCTTGAGTACCTACTATATGCCAGCCTATCTTAATTCATAGTTACTAATCTAGTTATATGCCTTGCCATTACTATTTATCTCTCTAAGTCTTAAGAATGTATTCCTGTCAGTGAAAGAAATCATAAAAATACACAAACTTTTTTCAATTAGGGAAGTACTGTACTGTGGTTTTCTTTTTCTTTCTTTTTTTTTTTTTTTTGAGACTCGCTCTGTCACCCAGGCTGGAGTGCAGTGGTGCGATCTCAGCTCACTGTAATCTCCGCCTTCCAGGTTCAAGTGATTCTCCTATCTCAGCCTCCTGAGCAGCTGAGATTACAGGCACATGCCACCATGCCTGGTTAATTTTTTGTATTTTTAGTAGAGACAGGGTTTCACCAATGTTGGCTAGGCTGATCTTAAACTCCTGACCTCAGGTGATCTGCCTGTCTCAGCCTCCCAAAGTGCTGGGATTACAGGTGTGAGCCACTGCGCCCAGCTTGTATTGTGATTTTCTGAAAAAGCTTTTTCAAAGAATAGTCTTGGCCTTTGCATATTTTATTCTAATTTTGTTATATTGAGACTTCCATTGTCTAATGCTCTTCTACTATCCTGCTTAGAGATAGGAAATGAAATGGATATCCGTCTTGCCCTGTAATTCTGTCAGACAAATAACAGACTTCCCCATTAGTTATATACGGCCTTAACAAATTACTTTTTTAGAAAAAGAATTTATTTCTGCACATAGGGAAAGTTATCAAATAAAAAGGCAATTTCTATTTACATAATTCTTATAATTATTTTACATTTCCAAAGTATAACTTTATAAGCATAGCAAAGGGAAGACTTCTATCTAGTTGTATCTTCTCAACCAAGAACAGGTGGTTGAAATTCTGCTCATGCTCTGTTTCAAAATGTTGCACTGCCATTTTTGAAACTAATTTGGTGAGCCTCAGTGTAAGCTATATAGAGAAATTGCATTTACTCTGAACTATTTCCCGGTGAAACTGTTTAGCCCTCCAACCATACAAAATTAAAGGAGGACATTGAATTACTCCCCACTCAAATCTAAAGTTCCACTTCGGAATGTTTCCCTAATAAATGTATCAATCTGAAGAATTCCATGTTAATATCTTTTATTTGTCTAAGACAAATATTTGAATAATATATCAAAACTATCTATCCTTAAGACAAAGCATGCTGTGTAAGCACTCCTTTCAGAAACAGAGTTCTTTGTTTTGTTTTGTTTTGTTTTGTTTTGAGACGGAGTCTCCCTCTGTTGCCCAGACTGGAGTGCAGTGGCACAATCTCCACTCACTTCAACCTCTGCCTCCTGGGTTCAAGCGACTCTCCTGCCTCAGGCTCCAGAGTAGCTGGGATTACAGATGCCTGCCATGAATACTGGCTAATTTTTATATTTTCAGTAGAGATGAGGTTTCACCATGTTGGCCAGGCTGGGCTCGAACTCCTGGGCTCAAGTGATCTGCCTGCCTGGGCCTCTCAAAGTGAGACACAGAGCATTTTAATACAGTTGTTTATTTTTTGCATGCGATCCAATTCTGTATGAAGTAGCAGCTTTGACTAATAAGCAACTATTTCAAGAAAATACAATATTTAAAACTAGATATTTTATGCCAGATTTCTTTTTGTTGTTGTTAAAATATTACACAAAAGGCAGATATTTTAAAGGATAATTGAATTTACTTCCACTAAACAAATAAAGAAGATTAAGGAAGAGAAGCTAAAGATTTTCACTAAAATGCCTTAGGATCCATTGTGTACTTTTCCCTCCTTAATCAGTAGGCATATGTATGGCAGGGGTTGAAAGAGATTATTCAAAATTCATTTTAAAGAAAAATACCTAATTGGGCATGTGAATGGCTTTATTAAGTACTCTAAACCATTATCTTTTTCTGTGAAATATACTTGTAGTGTGTGTAAGTTTGCCAGATTTAGCAAATAAAATTACAAGATGTCCAGTTAAATTTTAATTTCAGATAAACAGATAATTTTTAGTGTTAAGTATACACAGTGAAATATTTGGGACATACATATATTAAATAATTATTTGCTACAAACTGTATTTTATCTGGCAATTCTACATACAAGGCAGCTAACAGAATAAAGCATTGGGTCTTTAAAGAGAAATAATTGGCTAAAATGCAAACCTTATGCTACTTTGATGTTTGCTGAGTCACTTATAAATTGAGAACCCATTCCTCAAAGGTCCTGGCAGAAGGTGTTTGTGATTAATTTAAAAAATTTGGATCTAGACAGCTGAGTGTTCTCATGCCTCATGAAATTTGAACAACTAGGTACTTGTTTTAAACTCAAAACATTGGCTCACTAGGAAAATCTGGTAGGTTTAATCTCATGGTCTTCTTTCTCTGTTGTGATTTATTCATTACCACACTTCCTCTGAGTGCTATTGGAGAAAATTCAGTTCAAATGGCAGTGTTGAATTAATTTACCTATTTAATTTTCCAAAACCCCCAGCCACTTTACACATTGTCCCTTATACATCTGATAGTCTTTTGTTCTGTGCCTTAGCATAGCTCATTCTATTTCTTTCTCCTGCAATGTCTTCCACTTGCTGATATAAGTAGTGAAACTTTACAGAGTTTAGGATCCCCTACTCCATCAAGCCTTTCCAGTCACTTCAGTTAACAGTGATTTTCTCTGTTTTTCATTCTTCTAGCACTTTATCATATTCTGAAATAAAGACTTAAAACTCGGGAAGGTACAAATACGTCTGGATCCACATACATGCATACACAAACTGGTACACCCCACTAAAGATAGTTTAATATCCCTCTTTTATTTTCGTCTCACCTGGGTGGTTTGCAGACAGAGCAACAATAAAGTATGCTGAGCTTTGACAAAATCAGGAAGGAAAGGAACGAGGATGTCACAAAGTATTATGGTGGATTATATGTGGGTTTCCTTTGAGGTTCTTTGACAACTACATGTAAAATATTTGAGTTATTTTTGGCTATAGGACTACGTTTTCTTTATTGCAACACTACTCTAAGATTGTACCAAACAGGCGCCCACATCTATAAGATTACATTCCGTTAACAACCCAGTAATAGCTTATAGATAAATTGTCTTGACAGTATCTTAATGGAAAGGACTATCCTAAGCGCTCTACATGATCAATTTTATTTAATATCTGAGATAATTGAATGAAGCATATTTTATAACTATTTTGAAATGAGACAAATGAGAGTCAAAGTGTTTTCATAAATTTCCCGAAGTCACATAGCACTTCAGATTAATTCAGGAAAAATGCACAGAGAGAGCTTCCTGTAACTCCAGCACTGAGCTAGATCTTTGGCATCAAAAATAGAAGAAGAAGGAGGAGAAGAAGAAGAAGAAAAAGGGGAAAGAGGAGATGAGGAGGAGGATAGAGTTCTTGACCTCCTATATATTATAGTCTGTTAAGAATAATATATCTGCAAATAAAATAATATAATAATATATAATATTATATAAAGATTATAAGTAAAAGAGATAAAACGATTCATTTTATGTGAGATAAGGAGAAAAAGGGGAACAGTAAAATGTTCTAAAGGTGTCTCAAAACAATAATTTGAAAAAATCCATTAATATGCAAAGTGGTAAGCACATGTGTGTATGTAAAGGTTTTTGATTGTGAAACCAAATGACATGTTGGTGACACTACAAATAGCTCAGTAAAATAAAGTTGGAAAATACACGAAGAACCTCATATTCATGTAAATGACCTTGAGTTGTATCATAGACAAGATGGGGAACATAATACCTTGTTATTCAAAATTAAGTCAAAATTCCTTCATTTAAAGTTTAAACTCTTAAGTCTAATAGTCAAAGCTTTGAAGAAACTGGCCCATATTGACCTTTAAACCTTTATATTTAACTACGTCTACAAATATTTTTCTCCAAAAATACCGGTCTATTCTTTCTTTCACAAAATATGCAATGAATGCTTCTCTCTCTGTTTTTGCCATCGTTTGTTGATATACTTAGAATTTGTGCATGCACATGTGCAGAGTTCTCCATTAAAGCTTTACTTAAATCTCTCCTTCTCTATGAAAACATTTCTATTATATAGTGGAATAATGGAGATGTCTTCATAATAGTCTATTAAAACATGGTTTCAACAACTAATACTAGGAGTCCTCTTAGGAAAGGAACTATTTTCATTTAAGAACATACCTCGGCCGGGTACGGTGGCTCATGCCTGTAATCCTAACACTTTGGGAGTCCAAAGCGGGCAGATTGCCTGAGCTCAGGAGTTCGAGACCAGCCTGGGTAACAAGGTGAAACCCCATCTCTACTAAAATACAAAAGAAATTAGCCAGGCATGGCGGCGTGCATCTGTAGTCCCAGCTACTCAGGAGGCTGAGGCAGGAGAATTGCTTCAACCCAGGAGGCCAAAGTTGCAGTGAGCTGAGATTGCGCCACTGCACTCCAGCCTGAACGACAGAGGAAGACTTCGTCTCTCCAAAAGAACAAACAAACAAAGAAACAAACAAGAAATCATACCTCAATGAGCTCCTTGGCAATAAGGATGAAACTCTGTGGCCAGGCATGGTGGCTCACACCTGTAATCCCAACACTATGGGAGGCGGAGGCGGGCGGATCACCTGAGGTCAGGAGTTGGAGACCAGCCTGGCCAACGCGGTGAAACCCCCTATCTACTAAAAATACAAAAATTAGCTAAGCGTGGTGGTACATGCCTATAGTCCCAGCTACCCAGGAGGCTGAGGCAGGAGAATTGCATGAACCCAGGAGATGGAGGCTGCAGTGAGCCGAGACTACCCCACTGCACTCCAGCCTGGGCAACAGAGCAAGATTCAGTCTCAAAAAAAAAAAAAAAAAAAAAAAAAGAGCATGAGTGAATGAGAGAGCAAGAGACAAAATCTTACTGGCTCCTCCCACACCCTTTTGAGAAGTCTTTAATGTCTTCTCCAGTCTTATAATAATTTCTCCCATGTGCTCCAGGGTTCTCTAGGCTAGCATATGGCAGAACATTCATTAACTGTATTCTAATGACCAGCTGACATGTGCAACCACACTCCCCACTAGAGAGCAGGACGAGGACTCTGAGGGCAGGAACTATACCATGATTTCTATTGTTCCTATAGTGCCCAGTACATAATACAGATGCTTTAAAGATGACCAGTGAAAGAATAAACAAAATAAACACACCAAGGCAGAAAACTGTTTTATGATCACGTCTACTAGCATAGTGGAGAATCACTAATTACTTGAAAACAACAAAGTAACTTGAAAACATTAAGAGGGCTTTGAAATTAGCTATCTAACTTCCTTAGAGAGTTCATATGGCAGGCAAATGTCATATTACCAATGAAAACCTTGTCATAAAGGAGAGTTAATGACCCCGGTTGACATAAATAGGTCATGAAGGCAAATTAACTTTGAATCACTGTAGTTGTTTGCGACTGGACTGGGACCATCTCTAAAATTGTATCTGGGACAATAAGATGCTAAAGATGTCACCAAGTTGGACTTTAGGTAGCAGAGGGATAATCAGATATAGACTGTGTTCTGAACTTTAAGTGACACCAGACATCCACAGAGATCGGTAATAGGCAGAAAGTCGAAAGTACTCAGATAAATCGTCCCTTATCTCTTTAAGATTTTCATCAAAGCAGCCAGAGTCCCAGTCTGGCTAGATAAATGTGATAATTATTTCTAATGGTCTGTAAATAATAAAAGCAAGGAATGTTAAGTGTTTTTTAAAAACTTTCAAAGAATCATTCTATCAATCCTTATTAGACTTTAGAGTTTCATCTCTTTCATTTATAAAATAATTCATTGATTCATTTATCCAATATATATTGAATAACTACTATGCCATCAGGCACTAACTGCCAGACATACGATGTTGAACAACACATACTTGGTCCCTACCCTCACCAAGCTTCCAATCTAGGATGAAAGATATACTGGACAAGTAAATGGAAATGTGGTGGACAATTTTAAAGGAGCAATGCAGAGGACTTGGAGAGCTTAGGAGAATGTGATCTAACTTTGCATTTTATTTCCATTTTAGAGAAAGAAAATAGGGTGAATATCAATTGGAAATGCAGCTGGCCTACCCAAGGTAAGTTGAGGGGAAATTATACTTAATATATGTTACTTTGCTGTCATAAACTTTAAAGGTAGAAAACAAAAAAAAGCAAAACAAAAAACTGTTCTCGTCCCCATGTGGATAACTTAGTCTGAGAAGGTTTAGAAGAAAAGGGACATGTAGGTCGACTTTAAGAGCCCCCACACCCTTAGTTAATAGCTGGAAAAAAAAAAAAGACAATGTGATGAGGCCGGTCGCGGTGGCTCACGCCTGTAATCCTAGCACTTTGGGAGGCTGAGGCAGGCAGATCATATGAGGTCAGGGGTTCGAGACCAGCCTGGCCAGCATGGCAAAACCCAGACTCTACTAAAAATACAAAAATTAGCTGTGCGTGGTGGTGCATGCCTGTAATCCCAGCTACTCAGGAGGCTGAGGCAGGAGAATAGCTTGAACCTGGAAGATGGAGGTTGCAGTGAGCCGAGATAGTGCCACTGCACTCCAGCCTAGGTGACAGAGTAAGACTCTGTCTCAAAAAAAAAAAAGAAAAAAGAATTAATGTGATGATATGATCAGCCCCACGATTACATAGCGCATAAATAGCAAGGGCTAGGACTCAAATCCAAGTGTTAAGGTCTCTGAAAAGATTTTCCCAGTATACTTCCACCCTGTACTATACAACAGAGAGGAAAGGCAACAAGTTATCCTCCAAGACTACCTTTTTTCTTATCTCACTATTTTTTTTTTTTTTTTTTTTCAGATATTTATGGCAGGGGAGTGGTCATAGTTTTAATATTCCAGAATTTTCCAAAGACAGTGAGGATATAAAGGCTTTAAGACAAGGGACCCTCAAAAGAAGAACAGAACCCCAGTATATGAAAATAGACTGGTGAAAAGAAAAAATCCTCCTTTAGGCAGGAGAACAAAAGGTCAGCTCCTCATTCTTTTCCAGCTCTTCTGACCAGTAGTGGCATAGAGGAGTGCCAGGGAGTGGGAGTGGAAGAGCTAAAGCTCCCTCATAATGTCTACTATAGCCCTCTTCAGGATCTGTTAATAGGAAACTGAGTCCGGTTACTCAAAAGCAATTTCCAAGACAAGTTCTCTGGCACCGTTCCCTTTCTGCACCATGTACTTTCAACTCCACTGCTTCCTTAGGACACTGCTCTTTGGAAATTCTGGATCACCCAAGCCTGCAGCAGAGGTGAGTGCTAGTTCACTGGATGACTTTTGTCATCATCTACCTCATATTTTGCACCTGTGGAGGCCTTCCTTTGATTGACCACTCAGTCACTGGCTGCTTGATTCTTCACCCCCAATGACCTCCATTGGTGACCCGGACTCCACTTCCCAGCAACTAAAGGAAATAAAGGTTACCAGTTTAAAGAAGGGAGTTTCTTCGACACTGAGTACCAGAGGTTTTGTTCAGTCCACATGCAGTGGGGAAGTCTAGGGGTCTTTTGTTCCTGGATTTAATATTTAACCTTTCGTTAATCTCTCTTCCCTTAATGGGCTTTAACATTTTCCCTTTGATCTCTTGGCTTCCTTTTTTGTTTGGGAAGGGGAGCCCCCTTCTGCCCATGCAATCCAGCACCCCTTTTTAGCGCTTCCCCTTTGGCCTCAACAGCAGCTCCATAAGGTATTGGCACCTCTTCAGCAACGTCTCCGTGAGACTGTTGCCATTATACTTGTCACCTTCCTGATTAACACCTCCAGCATTCATCCCCATTTTTTTAGTACTTGTGAGAGCTTTGTTCCAAGAAGAGAGTTACGCTTTTGTGAAATTTCTCCCCAAAGCCTACTTTACTGACCATCTTTCACCACATTTCCTTTAACAGCAAGAACTATTCATCCAATAGAAATTCAGATGAGAAAATCATATGAAACCTCCACTTTAGGCACTTTGAGGAACTAAGTAAATTATTTCAGACCATAAAGCATTACCTGGTACACTGAAGCAAAACTGTAAAAGCTGAACCTTCATTAACTGCTACTTCTTTTGTCACAAAGTGTTTTCACAGACATTATTTAAAAACCCTGTGAGGCAGACAAGCTACAGAATAGGAGGAAACCAAGACTCAGAACATTTGGGTGACTTACCAGTCTAAGGCTAATATGGCCATATAAATTACTAAATAACTGAAATACAGCAATGGCAATTAGTAAATAGCTGTTGCCTTGAGAACCCTGGGTGCTTCCCCCAACTTCTTCCCTGGTCTTTCCCCTGGGACCCTTCAGTCCTTCCACAAGGCCTGGCACAATGTGGTGAACTGTGTCCAACAGTTAATTGATTGTCAACATCTAGTATGTACCCACTGTTAAACGTGTAATATCAACCTAGGACCACTTGAAGCTAAATTTTCAGCTTTTTAAGGAGACAGGTAGATGGAAATCACATTTACAACGTAAATTCCAGCGACAAATCTCTATGAATGGAAATTTGTAATTATGAATTTTCACTTTTTTCCTGCTTCTGCCAGAGTCAAGGTTGAAATACACAAATGTGCACAGTCCTTCTGCTATATAAGGGGTTTTGTTTCGGAAAAATATGTCATTCTTTGGTGTCCCAATTTTATGTAAGACTTACCTTGCTATCGCCTGCTCAACTTGTGGCTCAGAAAGCTGCTCAACTCTCAGCTTTGTGTCCTGTCCTCCAGTAATAGATGTCTATTACAACGCAGGCTCCAGACCACCAGCAATTGGAGTTGCCTTCAAGCACATGTCAGATCTAGCGTGTGCTTACACATCTGGATTCGAACATGTCTGGCCACTGATTATTTCCTTTACTGCTCGTTCAGCCATGCTTTTCATAAAACTTAATATTTAATCCAGAATTTTTCAGGTGTTTGATACTGAAAGAGCTTTCTCTGAATAGCAGGTCTTCTGTAATGCCAGCAACAGAAGTCTTTGTCCCATTATTTGTTATTCTGTCCTTTATTGGCTGCAGGACATGCCACGTATAAATCTTCAGGAAAAATGAACTTGCAAAATTGGCATAGAGGAGCGGAGTTACATTTCACGATAGTGTATGGAAATGGATGCAAGGGGTGCGCGGAGGCACAGAAGGCAGTGAAGTCACTGAAATGGCAGTCATCTGGAAAAGATGATATGAGCATAAGCCAGACACATGGATTTAAGCAAATCAAGTTTACACATTTATTAACTAAGATTTTCTTTAGAATAAGAGAGGCCTTTTTTAAAAGTTAGAGCAGCAGCTGCCATGAGAATTCTAGTAAAAGTACATTGCAGCAAGGGGAGACCGTGGCGGGCTTCAAGCCAAAACAGATTGGGAACCACCAGTACAGAGGAAAAATGCATTCATCTCATTTAGAAAAATGGGACTGTTTGATTTTCTCCTTTGTGCCAAGGAGTCCATGTCTCCTCTGGGGCCAAAAGAGAGACAATCTCTGCAGCTCCATCCACAGTCACCTTTCCAGACAGATTTTTTCTCAGCAGAAGGGATAGATTCAGCTCCAGCTGCAAGGTATTCTATTTACCTGCCTGCAAAGATGTTTGTTAAGGCAGAATTTCATGCTCTGTAAGAGTGGGACCATCTCCTAAAGAATGGAGTTAAAGCAATTTTATGAAGAAATCATCTCAATCAATAGGTTGATATCAAATATATTGGAAAAAACAAACACCAATAAGCAATAAGAAGACAATTGCACAAAAATATCTGGTGTATATAACACAAATACTGCATCTGAATACTACTCCATGCTAAGAGTTTTCTCAAGCAAAAGGAAAAAAGACCCTTAAAGGTGACGTAGCTAACATTGTCTATTATAGGATGAATTCTAGTGCATCAGGAGAGATAAATTCATAGTAATTCATTCATCCAAAAAATATTTATTGAGCTCCCCAAATGTGCCCATCAATGTTCTAACAAATTATTTAATGAGCAAAAAACAAATTACTATAGCTGATAAGTAATATATTTTATTATAGGTCTTTGATGATTTCTAATCATTTTTCTGCCCCTATATTTTACCACTTTTCTTTCTGGGAGTTCCCAGGGCTTTTGCCCTTCCCTCTCCTGGATATATGTGTGCCTTTGTGGATACTGTGGCCAAGAATAGTTTCGACAAGGTCCCTAATCCAACATGGAACTGTATGGAGGAGAAAGACCTCTACCCAGCTCGTATGGATTGGCCTTTGTGCCTGTGAGCTTACATTCTCCCAAAGAAGATGATTCAGGATAACTATTCTGGCACATTATCTCATTAGGCCTCCTGATACTAAATGAAGAAGGCAGTTGAAAAATAACACTCCATTTCACAAGAGAGAAATCTGGGGCATGCAGAGGTTAAATAACTTCTCTAAATCAAACAGCCAGCAATTGTGCCTGAGACATGGACAGAGATCTTTAAAATTCACATCACATTCTCCATCCCTTACATTGCACTGACTTTAGATTAAGTTTAAAAAATTCTGACAAAAATCAAGGATCTACAAAAAGGAAAATATAAATATTGAATAGAGTTGCTATTTCAGAATATTGCTAAAATTTGGATTATGTTGATTATAACTCAAGATTGCAAAAAAGTTAATCATCCACATATAAATATGTTTTATAAAATGAATCCTTGTTTTATTGATTAGGTAAAGCCGTAAGATATATTTTTAAAAGGTTTACATTCCAGAAGGCTCTTTTTCTCCTAATACTGATATATGTAACACACAAAAGTCCCAGAAACTGTTTCACAATATTATGTTGCTATCTGAGGTTTTAAAATCCAAATTTGGAAAATAAAATGCATTAAAAATAACAGAGGGAAACACATTTGTAAATAACCTGGAAACATGAAGAAAAGAGATCAGGCTGAAACTGAATATCCAGCTGTGTAAACACATTTAGATACTTTAAAAAACTCTCAAATTGATGGTATTCATAGGGCCTTCCCAGTGCCAAAATCATATACTTCACATTAATTCTTCTGTGATTCCACATCCTTTCCACACTGCATCAGTCTAAACTGTCTAGTTCAGATGGAACCACTCGAATTCCATGAATGTTTTTGTTTAATCAAGTGAACACTGTAAACTGTTGTTCTTGGTCATACACTCTACTCTTAAATAAAAATAAGATTTTTGAAGATGAAAGATCGAGGTGCAGGTGTTAAATATTTGCAAATTTCTCCATTACTCCCAGAGATCTGAAACACAAGTGGAGAAGTGGGGCCTTCATTAGATTCTGTTCAGAAAAAAAGTACTAAATTTTGGTATTTGAGTGGGAAATGATTTCCTATTAAAAAAAAATGATTACTATTGAGACATCCCAGAAGAATCCTTTAATACATCGAAAGTCAATAACAGTTCTAGCCACATGTTGAAATGTGTCTTTCAATTAAATGAAATTAATGGTATAAAGAACCCAAACAGTGCCTAGCATTACAGTAAGGGTTAATTTAAATCTTTATTGCAACCTTTATAATGATGGTGGAAACACTTTTTTAAATGAAATTGATTACAAAGCAAATTCACATCTGAGTTCCAACAGATGCAACTACTTTAATGAATCCAACACCTCTCTAACCCATCACCCAACTTTCGTCAACAGGGAAGGGTCAGATGAATGCTAACCCATCAAATCCAGGAGTCTTATTTGCAAATTGCACCAACTTGATTTTGGACCTTAATTAGTTGGCTTAAAACTACATTATTGATGCTAAATATAGTTGAAGTCACAGTGTAGATTTACCACAAAGGTTGTGATTATGAAGCCTTATTTTACATATTTCTGATCTTATGATCCATTAGGTCCATCCTGGTATATTAAACAAATGTACTCCACAAAAATAATCATTTTCTTGATCACACTAAGATAAAATTGCAAGATTTAGCAAACAAAAATTTACAATGCCTAGTTAAATTTTAATTTTGGTGTTTATTATTATTGTTTATTTATTTATTTTGGAGTTTGGGTTTCACTCCATCACCCAGGCTAAAGTGCAGTGTCACCATCATAGCTCACTGTAACCTCAAACTCCTGGGCTCAAGGGACCCTCCTGCCTAATCCTCCCTGCTAGCTGGGATTACCAGCATGACCCATCACATTTGGCTTAGTGTTTATCATTATTCAGCAAATTTTTTTTTTGTATAAATGTGTCCCACGTGTATGGGATATACTTATACTAAAGCATTATTCATTGTGTGTTGAAAATTCAAATCTGAGCATGTGTATACTGTATTTTTTCTATTATTTTACATTCAGGGGTACATGTACAGGTTTGCTACACAGGTAAACTTGTGTCATGCGGGTTTGTTGTACAGATTATTTCATCACCCTGGTGTTAATCCTAGTATCCCTTAGTTATTTTACCTGATCCTCTTGTTTCCTTCTACCTTCCACCCTCAGGTAGGCCCCAATGTCTGTCATTCCTCTCTATGTGTCTATGCATTCTCATCATTTAGCTCCCACTTAAAAATGAGAACATGTGGTATTTGGTTCTGTTCCTGCATTAGTTTGTTGGGGATAATGGTCTCCAGCTCCATCCATGTTCCTGCAATGGACATGATCTCATTCTTTTTTATGACTATATATTATTCTATGATATACATGTACCACATTTTCTTTATCCAATCTGTCATTTGATTTGGATGTCAGATGGGCATTTAAGTTGATTTCATGACTTTTCTATTGTGAATAGTGCTGCAATAAACATACATGTGCATATATCTTTATAGTAGAATGATTTATATTCCTTTGAGTATATACCCAGTTATGGAATTGCTGAGTCGAATGGTAGTTCTGTTCTTAGTTCTTTGAGGAATTGCCACACTGCCTTCCACAATGGTCGAACTAATTTACACTTCTCCCAGCAGTGTATAAGTGTTCCCTTTTCTATGCAACAGATTCTTTGCCAAATCTGTTATTTTTTTTATTTTTCGTAATAGCCATTCTGACTGCTATGAGATGATATCTCATTGTGGTTTTGGTTTGCATTTCTCTAATAATCAGTGATGTTGAGTTTTTTTAATATGCTTGTTGGCCACATGTATGTCTTCTTTTGAAAAGTGTCTGTTCCTTTCCTTTTCCCGCCTTTTAATGGGATTGTTTGCTTTTTTTCTTGTAAATTTGTTTAAGGTACTTATAGATACTGAAGATTTGACCTTTGTCAGATGCATAGTTTGCAAAAATTTTCTCCCATTCTGTAGTTTGTCTGTTTACTCTGTTCATAGTTTCTTTTACTGTGCAGAAGCTGTTTAGTTTAATTAGATCCCATTTTTCAATTTTTGCTTTTGTTGTGATTATTTTTGGCATCTTCGTCACGAAATCTTTGCCTGTTCCTATGTCTAGAATGGTATTGTCTAAATTGTCTTCCAGGGTTTGTATAGTTTTGAGTTCTACATTAAGTCTTTAATCCATCTTGAGTTGATTTTGTATATGGTATAAGGAAGGGGTTCAGTTTCAGTCTTCTGCATATGGCTAGCCTGTTATCTCAGCACCATTAATTGAATAGGGAATCATTCCCCCATTACTTGTGTTTGTTAGCTTTGTATAAGATCAAATGGTTGTAGTTATGCAGCCTTATTTCTGGGCTCCCTAGTCTGTTCTATTGGCCTATGTGTCTGTTTTTGTACTGCTACCATGCTGTTTTGATTACTATAGCCCTGTAGTATAGTTTGAAGTCAGGTAGCATGATGCTTCCAGCTTTGTTCTATTTGCTTAGGACTGCCTTGGCTATTTGGGCTCTATTTTGGTTCTGTATAAATTTTAAAATAGTTTTTTTCTAGTTCTGAGAAGAATGTCACTGGTAGTTTGGTAGGAATAGCATTGATTCTATAAATTGCTTTGGGCAATTTGGCCATTTTAATGTTATTTATTATTCCTATCCATGAGCATGGAATGTTTTTCCATTTGTTTGTGTTATCTCTAATTTCTTTGAGCAGTGTTTTGTAGTTCTCATTGTAGAGATCTTTCACCTCCATGATTAGCTATATTCCTAGGTATCTTATACTTTTTGTGGAAATTGTGAATGGGATTGTATTCCTGATTTGGCCCTTAGCTTGACTCTTGTTAGTGTATAGAAATGCTAGCAATTTTTATATGTGGATTTTGTATCCTGAGACTTTGCTGAAGTTTTTTGTCAGCTTAAGGAGTTTTGGGCTGAGACTATGGAGTTTTCTAGATAGAGGATAATGTCATCTGCAAACAGGGATAGTTTGACTTCTTCTTTTCCTATTTGGATGCCCTTTCTTTCTTTCTCTTGACCTATTGCTCTGGCCAGGACTTCCAATTCTTGTTGAATAGGAGTGGTGAGAGAGAGCATGGTTGTCTTGTGTCAGTTTTCAAGGGGAATGCTTCCAGCTTTTGCCCATAAGTACAATGTTGGCTGTGGAGTTGCCATTGATGGCTCTTATTATTTTGAGGTTTGTTGCTTCAGTGCCCATTTTATTGAGAGTTTTTAACATGAAGGGATGTTGAATTTTATTGAAAGACTTTTCTGCATCTATTGAGATACTCATATCATTTTTGTCTTTAGTTCTGTATTTTATCTGACAACCCTGCTCAAAGGCATCACAATAACCAATACTAATATCTGTAAAGATTGTAAAATGCTGGGCTGAATCTGTTGATTCCAGACTTATATTTTCTTAAATTGATCAAAACTCAGCTTACTTCCCTGTCATTTCAGATATGTGATCAAAGTGGAGTGTTGGATGATTAGGTGAGTACCTTTTGGTCAAGGCTAGTAAATACATTTTTAAAATTTAATTTTAATTTCAAAGATTAAAGATTTCTTGTAAACTGTTAAGCCTTTAAATATGCTGCTTTAGAGATAATTTTAAGATCATTATTTTATAGAAAAAATAGTATTAATAAAGTATCTTCATCTTCTTAAAGGCACAAAAACTATTCACTGTAATTTTTTAAGAAAATAAGAGAGGGAGGGCAAGAATCTTCACATGGTAATGGTATTGATGCAATAGAAATCTCAAAGTTTATGCCAGATCCAAGGGCAGATGGTTACTGAAAGTTAGGTTAGTTGCATTTGTTTATCTCCATATGTCTTACTACAAATATATATTTACATATATAAGTATTCAATTTTCCTTCAGATACTAAGATTTGGAATATCTATTATTTTTAAAAATGTGTAACTTACATATAACTATAACTCATGTTGAGATAGCTGGGTCCATGTTATTTAAAGCTCTTTACTTAAGAAATAGCATTCTAAACTAGGAAAACAAAACACATTAGACATTATACATGAGAAGATATCATAATTATTAAATGTAATAGGCAGAAAGAGTCAAGAAATACAGTTTATCAAACATATTTTCCAGCAAAAAAAAAAAAAGTGTTATATCCACAACTAACTCAAGCGTGTGTTATCAAGTGAGTTACTCACGCCTAATCCCATGGTACCCACACTGAAGCTTTATGAAATGCAGGTCACCACTGTCCGCTTGGATCAGGGGTCCCCAGCCCCCGGACTGTGGCCCAGTACCAGTCTGTGGCGTGTTAGGAACCAGGCCATGCAGCAAGAGGTGGGTAAGCACTACCGCCTGAGCTCCGCTTCCTGTCAGATCAGCGGCGGCATTAGATTCTCACAGGAGCATGAACCCTATTAACTGTGCATGCAAAGGATCTAGGTTGTGTGCTCCTTATGAGAATCTAACTAATGCCTGATGATCTGAGATGGAACAGTTTTATCCTGAAACCATCCCCCCAACCTCCTATTCCGTGGAAAACTTGTCTTCCATGAAACCAGTCCCTAGTGCTGAAAAGGCTGGGGACTGCTGCCTTAGAGAATGGAAGAGGGAATAACTCACCCAGCAGCACTCATCTCCTAGTGATCAAGGGTGATCACATGGGTGTTAACACAACCACACATACATGTTTTTTAACCACGTGTATTGTATGTGGTGGTTTTAAATCAAATCCTAGGTCTTTAGACACATATTTCATATATTTCAAATTCAGATGATTGTGCCCAATAATATGAGTTGGACTAAGTAGGTGATTATTTAAAAACTTTTCAAATTATAATTCTATAACAAATGCATAAATAGTGTACTTAATCAGAGAAATTTAAAAAATTCAACTGAGTATCTTTTTCATTTCTAAAACAATGTGCAAATTGATTTAACAAACTTAAACTCTTCATTCTAAAGCTATGGAATATTAGAAATGGTTCAAGTTAGAAAATATTTTCAATTTTATAAAAATAATAATTTTCATAAAAATTGTAATACTTTATAATAATTCCCAAATCTGCAACTTTCATAGAAATTAGAAGACATGTTAGCATGTAGATAGAAGCTTGTGCCTAAAAGATTAAATATCAACTCTGAGTGTAATGATGAACTGATGAGTGTTTGCATTTAAAGGCAAATCCATGTTCTTCAGTAAGATTAGAGAAAACACAGGGTCAAGTAGAGATAGTGACTTTCTCTAATAAAAGTTATGATATTTATTATTAAACATTATCATAACAATAAAACAAGGCTAACAATTCAGAATACTTAGTATCTGCCAATAATTTTACATTATTCAGTTACTCCTCACAGCAACTAATGTAGAAACTTTCTGCCTGTTTTCCACATAAGGACATCAAAATTCAGAGCTATATCAGACACTCTTTTCGCACAATTCCAAATCCTCTCCCATCTCCCTCTACCCTACTTGTCTGCTCTTGGTCCCTCACTATATTCCATCCACTCCTGCAGGGATCTGTTTTAGAAAGGTTTTGACCAGCTTCATACAGCACCTCCCTTCAGGCTTCTAACCTTTGAGCTTGTCCAGGATTATAACGGGACCCATCAGAATTCACTGGTACTCACACTATGACAGCACACATGCACGAGGAGTTAATGTCCATAGAGTCACACTTGACCAGTGGGGAAAAGAGCTTTCTGACATACATTTTATAAGACTCCATTGAGGGTCCCCACTGATTAAGCCTTATTTGGTGGGCCACTGGGTAACACATGCTCACGTGAATGGCTATTGATTACTTGCATGTTTTGTTCCAAATTCTCATAAGGAATGCCTATTTTTTTTGTACATAATAATAATAATAATAGAAAATTTCAGATAGTGCTCTACTCTTACCGCCACCATCCCCAACATCACCTGCGCATAGAACATAACATTTCACATCTCTTAGACTAAACAGAACAACTTCCCTTGCTGACCCACCTTTATTTCCTACTCTAGCCCCAAGTTATCCTTTGAATGTCAATGACAATAAGCAACTTATAAATTTTGCATTTTAACGTTGCACAAGTTAGCTCAGGCATTTGCATAATTCTCCTCCTTCCATATTCCTCTCTTCTTCCCCCAATTACTTTCTTAGTAATGGGTGGTTTCATGTAATGGCATGCTCAACTCCCAGAGGAGAGATCCCCCTGTTAAACAACATCCCCTAACACTTCAGGAAGCAGAATAGGATAGTGAGCAAAACAATTAACCAGGAGTTTAGACAGCTGAGTTGCAGCCCTGTTTCTGCTTCTAACTATGCATTTGACTTTGGAGAAGTAATCTGAACTCCCTAATTTGCCAAAATTTGTTCAACCTGCAGCTTTGCTTCAAGAAGCAATAGAGTCTTTATCACTTAAAAATTGCCTTTAGAAAGTGGTAAGCAAATTGGTAGATCCAATTTCTCACTGATTTTTTTCCCCATCTCAAATTTATATCAGCAATAGCTAGAAAATCATAGAAAAAAAATTGAACATATGTTATCAAGCTTGTTTTCAGCAAAACAAAAATATAAAAGTACGGGAAAAATGATTATATAATTGCAGTATTCCTCTAAAAATTTGAAAATATTTATCAAATAATTCATATTTTCTAATGACTTTTAATTTGCCAGTTTACAAAGGCAGTTTCATTTGCAAACTGGTAGATGCAACCTGCTCAAGTAAACAAAAAAAAAATCTCAAGGGCAATTAAAATATAATAAAATCAATTTTTATGTTTAATGTATTTTTTAGTTCAAATGTAATTGGTTTTTGAACTACATAATAAATATTGCTATTTTTAAATCCAAATATTTTGTGCTGTTTCATTGTTTTTAAGTAATCCTTGATAATTTCACAGGGTCACTGGTTTATTCAAAGTATTTTAAATTAAATTATTATTTTTTTTGAGATGGAGTCTTATTCTGTTGCCCAGGCTGTGATGCAGAGGTGCAATCATAGCTCACTGCAGCTTCAAACTCCTGGGCTCAGGCAATCTTCCTGCCTCAGCCTCCCAAGTAGTTGGGATTACAGGTGCACACCACTGTGCCCAGTGTAAAAAATATTTTTAAATCCATATATATAGTAGTGGCGCCAAGATGGCTGAATAGCAACAGCTCCAGTCAGTAGCTCCCAGCATGAATGACGCAGAAGACGGGTGATTTCTGCATTTCCAACTGTGGTACCGGGTTCATCTCACTGGGGCTTGCCAGACAAGTGGGTGCAGCCCTCGGAGCAGGGCGGGGCATTGCCTCACCCGGGAAGTGTAAGGGGTCAGGGAATTCCCTTTCCTAGCAAAGGGAAGCCGCCATGACAGACGGCACCTGGAAAATCGGGACACTCCCACCCTAATACTGCGCTTTTCCAACGGCCTTAGCAAATGGCACACTGGGAGATTATACCCCGCACCTGGCTTGGAGGGTCCCACACCCACAGAGCCTTGCTCACTGCTAACCCAGCAGTCTGAGATTGAACTGCAAAGTGGCAGTGAGGCTGGGGGAGAGGAGTCCGCCATTGCTGAGGCTTGAGTAGGTAAACAAAGCGGCCAGGAAGCTGGAACGGGGTGGAGCCCACCACAGCATGAGGAGGCCTGCCTGTCTCTGTAGACTCCACCTCTAGGGGCAGGACATACCTGAACAAAAGGCAGCAGAAACTTCTGCAGACTTAAACGTCCCTGGGTGACAGCTTTGAAGAGAGTAGTGGTTCTCCCAGCACAGAGTTTGAGATCTAAGAACGGACAGACTGCCTCCTCAAGTGGCTCCCTGACCCCGGGGAAGCCTAATTTGGAGACACCTCCCAGTAGGGGGCGACTGACACCTCATAAGGCTGGGTGCCCCTCTGAGATGACGCTTCCAGAGGAAGGATTAAGCAGCAACATCTGCCGTTCTGCAGCCTCCGCTGGTGATATCCAGGCAAACAGGGTCTGGAGTGGACCTCCAGCAAACTCCAACAGACCTGCAGCTGAGCGTCCTGACTGTTAGAAGGAAAGCTAACAAACAGAAAGGACATCCACACCAAAACCCCATCTGTACGTCACCATCATCAAAGACCAAAGGTAGATAAAACCACAAAGATGGGGAGAAACCAGAGCAGAAAAGCTGAAAATTCTAAAAATCAGAGCGCCTCTTCTCCAAAGGAATGCAGCTCCTTGCCAGCAACGGAACAAAGATGGATGGAGAATGACTTTGACAAGTCAAGAGAAGAAGGCTTCAGACAATCGGTAATAACAAACTTCTCCAAGCTAAAGGAGGATGTTCGAACCCATCGCAAAGATGCTAAAAACCTTGAAAAAAGAGTAGATGAATGGCTAACTGGAATAACCAGTGTAGAGAAGTCCTTAAATGACCTGATGGAGCTGAAAACCATGGCACGAGAACTACTTGATGCATGCACAAGCTTCAGTAGCCCATTTGATCAAATGGAAGAAAGGGTATCAGTGATGGACGATCAAATGAATGAAATGAAGTGAGAAGAGAAGTTTAGAGAAAAAAGAATAAAAAGAAACGAACAAAGCCTCCAAGAAATATGGGACTATGTGAAAAGACCAAATCTACGTCTGATTGGTGTACCTGAAAGCGACGGGGAGAATGGAAGAAAGTTGGAAAACACTATTCAGCATATCATCCAGGAGAACTTCCCCAACCTACCGAGGCAGGCCAACATTCATATTCAGGAAATACAGAGAACGCCAAAAAGATACTCCTCGAGAAGAGCAACTCCAAGACACATAATTGTGAGATTCACCAAAGTTGAAATGAAGGAAAAAATGTTAAGGGCAGCCAGAGAGAAAGGTCAGGTTACCCACAAAGGGAAGCCCATCAGACTAACAGCAGATCTCTCAGCAGAAACTCTACAAGCCAGAAGAGAGTGGGGGCCAATATTCAATATTATTAAAGAAAAGAATTTTCAACCCAGAATTTCATATCCAGCCAAACTAAGCTTTATAAGTGATGGAGAAATAAAATACTTTACAGACAAACAAATGCTGAGAGATTTTGTCACCACCAGGCCTGCCTTAAAAGAGCTTCTGAAGGAAGCACTAAACATGGAAAGGAACAATGGGTACCAGCCACTGCAAAAACATGCCAAATTGTAAAGATCATTGATACTAGGAAGAAACTGCATCAACTAATGAGCAAAATAACCAGCTAACATCATAATGACAGGATCAAATTCACACATAACATTATTAACCTTAAATGTAAATGGGCTAAACGCTCCAATTAAAGGACACAGACTGGCAAATTGGATAGAGTCAAGATCCATTGGTGTGCTGTATTCAGGAGATCCACCTCACATGCAGAGACACACATAGGCTCAAAATAAAGGGATGGAGGAAGATCTACCAAGCAAATGGAAAACAAAAAAAAGCAGGGGTTGCAATCCTAGTCTCTGATAAAATAGACTTTAAACCAACAAAGTCTGAGACAAAGAAGACCGTTACATAATGAGACAAAGAAGGCCATTACATAATGGTAAAGGGATCAATGCAACAAGAAGAGCTAACTATCCTAAATATATATGCACCCAATACAGGAGCACCCAGATTCATAAAGCAAGTCCTGAGAGACCTAAAAAGAGACTTAGACTCCCAAAAAATAATAATGGGAGACTTTAACACCCCACTGTCAACATTAGACAGATTAACGAAACAGAAAGTTAACAAGGATATCCAGGAATTGAACTCAGCTCTGCACCAAGCAGAACTAACAGACATCTACAGAACTCTCCACCCCAAAACAACAAAATTTACATTCTTCTCAGCACCACGTTACATTTATTCGAAAATTGACCACATAGTTGGAAGTAAAGCACTCCTCAGCAAACGTAAAAGAACAGAAATTATAACAAACTGTCACTCAGACCACAGGGCAATCAAACTAGAACTCAGGATTAAGAAACTCACTCAAAACTGCTCAACTACATGGAAATTGAACAACCTGCTCCTGAATGCCTACTGGGTACATAACGAAATGAAGGCAGAAATAAAGATGTTCTTTGAAACCAATGAGAACAAAGACACAACATACCAGAATCTCTGGGACACAGTCAAAGCAGTGTGTAGAGGGAAATTTATAGCACTAAATGCCCACAAGAGAAAGCAGGAAAGATCCAAAATTGACACCCTAACATCACAATTAAAAGAACTAGAAAAGCAAGAGCAAACACATTCAAAAGTTAGCAGAAGGCAAGAAATAACTAAGATCAGAGCAGAACTGAAGGACATAGAGACATAAAAAATCCTTCAAAAAATCAATGAATCCAGGAGCTGGTTTTTTGAAAAGATCAACAAAATTGATAGACCACTAGCAAGACTAATAAAGAAGAAAAGAGAGAAGAATCAAATAGATGTAATAAAAAATGATAAGGGGGATATCACCACCAATCCCACAGAAATACAAACTACCATCAGAGAATACTATAAACACCTCTGTGCAAATAAACTAGAAAATCTAGAAGAAATGGATAAATTCCTGGACACATACGCCCTCCCAAGACTAAACCAGGAAGAAGTTGTATCCCTGAATAGACCAATAACAGGTTCTGAAATTGAGGCAATAATTAATAGCCTACCAACCAAAAAAAGTCCAGGACCAGATGGATTCACAGCCGAATTCTACCAGAGGTACAAAGAGGAGCTGGTTCCATTCCTTTTGAAACTATTCCAATCAATAGAAAAAGAAGGAATCCTCCCTAATTCATTTTATGAGGCCAACATCATCCTGATACCAAAACCTGGCAGAGACACAATAAAAAAAAGAGAATTTTACACCAATATCCCTGGTGAAGGTTGACAAAAAAATCCTCAGTAAAATACTGGCCAACAGAATCCAGCAGCACATCAAAAAGCTTATCCACCACGATCAAGTTGGCTTCATCCCTGGGATGCAAGGCTGGTTCAACATATGCAAATCAATAAACATAATCCAGCATATAAACAGATCCAAAGACAAAAACCACATGAGTATCTCAATAGATGCAGAAAAGGCCTTTGACAAAATTCAACAGCCCTTCATGCTAAAAACCCTCAATAAACTAGGTGTTGATGGGATGTATCTCAAAATAATAAGAGCTATTTATGACAAACCCACAGCCAATATCATACTGAATGGGCAAAACCTGGAAGTATTCCCTTTGAAAACTGGCACAAGACAGGGATACCCCCTGTCACCACTCGTATTCAACATAGTGTTGTAACACTTAGTGTTTGCTAAGTTCTAAGGGGTAAATAAATAGCTGTGAACAAGAAGAAGAACAGAAAGTCTCTGCCTTCACAGAGCTTATATTATCATGGAGGGAAAGAAACAACAATAATAACAAACAAAAAGTGAAGCATATTGATATGGTTTGGCTGTGCCTCCACCCATATCTCATCTTAAATTGTAGCTCCCACAATCCCCACGTGTCATGGGAGGGACCCAGTGGGAGATAACTGAGTAATGGGGATAGGTTTTCCCATGCTGTTCTCATGATAGTGAATAAGTCTCACCGGATCTGATGGTTTCATAAAGGGGAGTTCCCCTGCACATGCTCTCTTGCCTGCCACCATGTAAGATGTGCCTTTGCTTCTTTTTTGCCTTCCTGCATGATCATGACACCTCCCCAGCCACGTGGAAATGTGAGTCCATTAAACTTCTTTTCTTTATAAATTACCCAGTCTCGGGTATGTCTTTATTAGCAGCATGAGAACAGACTAATTCGCATATCATATATCAAATGTTGATAGATGCCATAAAGGAAAACCAAATAGAAAGACTGGGGAGAGTAGTGGGGTGATAAAAAAGAACACTAAAAGGATCATATTTGAACAAAGACTTGAAGTGGGTAAGGAATTAGCAAGGGCAATAACCCTGAGATAGAAGTGTCCCTGGCTTACAGAAAAGTCTGATATGGCTAAAGCAGATTGAGCAAATGAGGAGATTAGCAAGAGATGAAGCCAGTGAAGGAATTAGGCATCATATCAAGGGTGCCCTATTGGTGGTAGTAAGTGTATTAGTTGTCTATTGCTGCATAACGAATTACCCCAGAACTTAACAACTTGACACATAAATATATATTATCTAAAAAGATTCTGTGGGTCCGAAATCCAGGGAGCATTTAGCTGGGTGCATTATCTCAAGTTCTCTCAGAGTGTTGCAGTCAGGCATCCGTTGAGGCTGCAGCCATCTAAAGACTTGACTAGGACTGGAGGGTCCATTTCCAGGTTGGCTCACTCACATGCTTCGCAACTCGTTGCTGGCGCTTCTTAGGAGGTCCCAGTTCCTCACCACATTGACTTCCCCACGGGGATGCAGTTGCATCTTCACAACATGGCAGCTACCTTTCTTAGAGAATATGATATAAGAGATCATGAGGCAGAAGCTACTATGTCTTTTATGCCCTGTTCTCAGGAGTTGCAGACCTTCGTTTCTGCAATGTGCTATTGGTGACATAGATCAGCCTTATTCAGTATGAGAGAAGGCTACACAAGGGCATACATATCAGGAGACAAGAATCATTGAGGGCCATATTATAGGCCACTACACAAGTAAGAAATTTGGACTTACTTTGAATGAGATAGAAAGTTATCAGAAGATTTTGAGCATAGTTTTGGCACACTTAACTTTTAAAAGGATTACTGCGGTTGCTGGGTTGAAAATAGACAGTAGTGGGGCAAGGGTGGAACCCAGGAGATCAGTTAGGAGGTTATTACAATAATCCCAGCAAAAATGCCAGACTAGATAAGGATCAGAATTAGAAGGCTGAAAGTAATAAGAAATGGTCATATTTGGAATCTGGAGATGTTTGGAAGACAGATCTGATAAGATTTGTTGATGAGTTTTATGTAGGCTGTAAAAAAAAAAAAAAGTTGAAGATGAACCATGATTTTTAACCTGAGCAACCAGAAATACGTTTATTACATGGAAATGTTTGTTGGTTGTTAGGAGGGTACAGAGATTGGCTAACTACCCAAGATAGGGAAGTCAGAAAAGTCCTCCAGGAGGAGATGTCTGGATTTAATAGCTATATCGAAGTTAGCCAGGCTAAGAAAAGAGAGAAGAGAACTAGAGGCAACAGAACAGCATAAATAATGGCAAAGAAGCAAAAAGTATTACTGTGTGTGTACAAAGAAATAAAGTAATTCTATGCTTCCAGGATACCTACTACAAAGTATTTGGTGGGAAAATCTGTGATTTGAAGTGTATCTTTTCCATTTGTTCAATTAAAAATTATTTTATTTATTACACACCTGCTCGGTACCAGACACGGATAGCTGCAGACGGTACAATGATAAACAATGATGTTATTTCAGAATAGGGTGTTGACAGCAGGGCTAAGGTGATTAGATCTAATGAAAAGGTAATTCAAGGGCTTTTTAAAAATGGAAAAGGATACATAGATGTTGGCCTTGGTAGCTCCAGAATTTCTTTAAAAAGAAATTTTAGAAATGTGGATAGAAAGAACTTACCTTGATACATTTTTGCCTAACTAGAACACCATTTTACTTAGTGGTATATATATATACCACTATATATATATAGTGGTATATATATAATATATACATATATGTATATATATTATATATAGTATATATATATTTTATACATATTATATATTATATATAATATATACATATATTATACATATATTTATATATAATATATGTGTATATTTATGTGTATATTTATATATATATTTATATATATATATATGAATATATGGTTTGAGGGAAGGATGACGTATAATACTGGGAGGCCAAATAACTTCCAACCCCATCTTGGAGTAACCATTGGGTTTCTGACTTGTACAACTGGGTAGATGCTGATGCCATTTAGTGAGGCAGTGCATTTGGAAGAGGGTAGCCTGGGGTTTATGGGAGATCATGAATTAGATTTAGCATAGAAGAAAGGTCAACATATAGCCCTTGAATATTTTGTAAATAATTACTGGTTAAGTACAAAGAACCTATAATGTTTTAGAGTATTATGAAATAAACACACTCAATACCTGATAAAATAACACTATATGACACTACTATTTGGTTAAATAAACTTTTATTCACATATAGAAAAAAGCAAACTGACTTGTGCTTTGAGGATGGGTTGTGTGGTATATGTCTTCTCCATAGGTGAACCTGAAAGTACTGATTTACTTTTAAGAAAGCATATGCTTCCCACATATCCAATAACAGTTATGGATTTGTAATAATTCACCATCGGTTTTCCCTAGCCATCTTTTTTTTTTTTTTGAGACGGAGTCTCACTGTGTCACCCAGGCTGGAGTGCAGTGGCACGATCTCGGCTCACTGCAAGCTCCACCTCCCAGGTTCACACCATTCTCCTGTCTCAGCCTCCCGAGTAGCTGGGACTACAGGCACCCACCACCGTGCCCGGCTAATTTTTTGTATTTTTAGTAGAGATGGGGTTTCACCATGTTAGCAAGGATGGTCTCAATCTCCTGACCTCGTGATCTGCCTGCCTCGGCCTCCCAAAGTGCTGGGATTACAGGCGTGAGCCACCGCACCTGGCCTAGCCATTGTTATATTTGCAGAAGTGATACTTCAGAAAAATTCTCAGGCCATGGTCAGAATATAATTAACTTGGGTGTTGCTAAAATGTTGAACTGCTCATTTGCTCATTTCTTTTTTCTTTCTTTTTTTTTTTTGAGACAGAGTCTCACTTTGTCACCCAGACTAGAGTTCAGTGACATGATCTCAGCTCACTGCAAACTCTGCCGCCCAGATTCAAGTGATTCTCCTGCCTCAGCCTCCCGAGTAGCTGGGATTACAGGTGCCTGCCACTGCACCCGGCTAATTTTTGAGTTTTAGTAGAGACGAGGTTTCACCATGTTGGCCAGGCTGGTCTTGAACTCCTGACCTAGAGATCCACCTGCCTCAGCCTCCCAAAGTCCTGGGATTACAGGCATGAGCCACCACACCCGGCCTGAACTGCTCATTTCTTTTTTATTGCCACTTGCTACTACAGATCTGGGACCCTTGGGATTTGTCATCTCTTCTAGCAGAACATGTAAAAGCTGTCTAATGAAAGCAAAAATCTAATATGAAATAGTATAATTTTGTCCAGAAAGAAATTAGTGTTTGCTATCAGAGAAAATTCATTTGCTATGCTTCCTTCTACCCAATAAAGGAGGTAGATCTTGGATCCTGGAGACGCTTGTATTTGCTGGTTGTTTCCAAAATTAAGTGAAGGATGTGGGATTACAAGATTAGTAGAGCCTATGAAATTAAGTTACTCTGCATAAGGGAAAGAGTAGGATTTAAAAAAAGGTGTCTGGAGATAGGAGACTTTTCAAGTCTATAGGTATAAAGAGGAGGAGGGTCCAGAAGAAGCCAAAGCTGAAGCTTATTTTGGGAAAAATACAATGAGAGAGAATTTTGGAGTGAAATGCTATGTGCTTGGTGGAGTAAAATCTCTTTGGTCTTTGCTACAAATTCTTCAGTAAAATTTCAATTCTAGTGCCTTTTGGAATCAATTTTTCTTTTTTGAGGGAATAAAGTGTTTACTCCTGCTCCAACAAAGTTTTGCATGAGCAACAACAGCCCAGAGCCTGCCCCTGGGTCCAGCCCACATCTCAGTCCTTGTCTTTATTTGCCCCAGAGAACCTTTTCCTGCTTTCCAGTCTCTCTGCTTAGAAGTTGAATTCTTTTTACCTCTTTTTTTCCCTCTCTCTTTCTGAATTCTTGATTCCTGGTACCCATCTGCCTGAGTTTCTCCCCTAAACCTCTCCTACTCCTAGATAGCCAAGCTCCTCTCCTTTCTTCACCTAACTCCCTGGAATTCATATTTCCTGTTCCCAAAATAATGTTCTCAGCTCTCATCCACACCTTGTACTTAACAGACCGCTTGCAATTCAGTATGGCTTCCTGGCTCTTTGTGATCTGTGAGCCTGCTCCTTTCTATCCTAGAAGCAGATCTAAACAAAGCAACTTAGAAGATTTGCTACTGGATAAAGTGTTTTCACAGTAGTAACATCATAATTATATTGTATGTCTTGCTACTATTATATTACTATTACCTAACATTATTATAGACAGCATTTGTTGGGCTCTTATGTCAGCACTAAGCTAAACAATCTGCAAGCATTCTGTCACTTAATTTTAAAAATACTCTAGGAGGTTAGTATTATTAGCACTATTTATGCATAAGGAACTCAAAGCCCAGAGTGGTGAAGTAATTTGCCTGAAGTGAGAAAGCAGATGCAGTGTTCCAACCCAGGTGTGCTAATCCCAGACTACAATTAACCATTGTCATATACTAACCTATATTTAGCCATCTTTAAGACTGAAAAGTTTTAATAAATAATATTTACATTACGATATCAAATACAAAAAAGCAGCACATGTTGTGTTCTGCTTTAACAAGGTAAAAGAACAATCATACAAACAGGATTGGAGGGACTTGCAATATTGTAGAAGAATTTCTCAATAAATTGAAAAATAAGCTTACATATTCTTTTTGTGAGAAAATCCAAAAAGCTAAAACTGAGCCACATGGGTAAAATATAAAAAGTTAAAAACAGACATTCATAATTCAGGTTGTCAGCTTTCAAAAATTTCATATTAGACTGGGTATTGTAAACTATACCATGATGTCTTACAAGATCATTAAAAAAAAGTTTTGATGACCAGGGAAAAAGTGAAGTACATTTGAGTATAGTCAGCAGAATGAGAAAAACTGAGATCAGGAAAAAAAAAAAAAAAAGAGAGAGAGAGAGAGAAGAAGGAGGAAGGAGGAGGGGGAGTTTATCTTGAAGCTTTTAAGTTCAGGGAAGCCTGGGGAAAATTGCTGCAGAAACATGATTAATAGTGACAAATTGACATCATTGATTATGAAATTAATGGAAGTAGGAAGAGCCTGTCTCTGAGCTTTTATCCAAAGATTTCAAATGTTTTAAAAGAGTCCCATGGTCAATTCTTTCAAAAGAGACTGATAAATTGAACATAATAAAAGCACAGATCAAGACCCTGTCAGCCAACATTCTGGGATCATTATGTTCTCCCCGAAGGATGGCCTCTCCACCCTGATAGAAGCCTAAAAGCTGACAGCCACAAAATATTATACTGCTTCTAATGATCCCAAGGATGATTCAGCTCAGCTTCCAACCCACCTTCCCAGTAATTTTCTGTGCAAAGAGGAAGTTAGCTTGGCAATAAATAACCTATTTGCCCATAGTCAGGGAAGACTATTTGACAACCAGATGAATAGAGACTATTTTGAAAATAGAGGAAAAATTACCCTTCACCGAGAATAGACTGATAAATGAGATGCTCACACTGGTCTCCGTTAACCATTTAAAATGTAAGAACAGCATGGATAGATCAGTTAGTGGTTAGACATAATCTTCAAACCATCTGTAGCATCAGGCTCTGAAAAATCCATGAGGCACCACAAAACAAAAGGTAAAGAAAGGTATGCGTGGCACAAGGAGAACAGTTGGCATTAATGAAGCCCAGTTTGAAACACTGGGCTGGTAAGATTTCTCTTTGTTTTTCAATCCAGCATAACTACTTGGCTAAATAATTATAGTTCAAAGAGGATGTCTTTTTTTTTTTTTTTTTTTTTAAAGCTCAAGTTAAACCTCAGTTACAATGAAGCAGAGCAAAACTTGAAATTCAGGTTAACCCACTGTTGCTCTTCATTGGATCTCAGCTTGAGAGACAGTCCTAAGCCATCTGGCCAGGAGGAGTGAAGAATAAGGTAGTGTGAGAAACATTGGTTTTGGGGGACTCTTTTGGGAAAAAGACAACCTATTTTGGAAGCCTAGAAGTCTATGGCTAATAAACCAGAACAATACATATTTTGCAATTTAAAGTCAGTTTAGTAAAGTTCCTTTCAACCTTCAGGTTGGGAAACAGATAAAACCTATTGTAGGTTTTCTGCTTATCAGAAGAGATTCCCACTGACTGTGCATACAACCTGTCCTGTATCTATTAGCCACCGATGGATTTAGTTTGTCTAGGGTTCTATAAATGTATCTGAAAGTATTGTCAGTGTGCTGGACTCACACAGAAGAATTTGAGTGAGTCCAAATTAAGAGTAGGCAAAGAAACTTATTGCAAAGCGGAAGTACACTCTGGGAGGCAGAGCAGGCTGCCCAAAGGGAGAGACAGCCCCCAGTGCCTTACGAGGAATCCCTTTATTGGAACTGTACATACATATTTATAAAATACAGGTGGGGTCAGGTATGCAAAGGTAGAGCTGCAGTTGCCACATGTGCTCAGCATCTACGTGTTCTAACATGTACCACACGTATCATGAGCATATAAAATCTCAACCTAAGGGGTGTGTTTTTTACTATTAAAATGAGGAAAGGGTAAGTATCAGCTGAAGCTTGAGCCTAGCTGTGCATGTGGGACCCTAATAAGTCCCTAGCTCCCCTAAGGCAGAAATTAAATTCTTTTTACCTTGTATTTTTTTCTGAATTCTTGATCCCTGGTACCCATCGGCCTGAGTTTCTAACTAACAGCTTCTTGGGGTTTTGGTGCTGATTGGCTGGAGAGTAGGGAAACAACAACAGGAACAAGGGGTTCTTGTTCTCTTTCCCAGGCCATAGCGGCTATCAGGAACTTGTAGCCATCTGGGGGTCAGCTGGTATCCTGTAGGACCACTTACCTTGCAAAAAACATTAGGTACTGACGCAGCAGGGTGCAAGGGACGTAAAAGGAGCCCACAGGACTTCACACAAGGGGATAATGCAGTGTTGCATTCTCACCTTACTTATCTTGCCTCAGAAGATCTGGTTTTATGACATGGGAAAGGAAGACTCTATTCAGAGTATGTGGGTAGCCACACACTCCATAATGCTCTCGAAGAAGCGCCATAATGGTCTTGAAGAGATCTAAAATATGAGTGCATTTAATTAAGGGACATAATGACCCTCACTATAGCAAAGCATTTTATAATGAGGCATTGATGAATAATATAATTGTTAGCAAAAATGATGAGACACATTATCCTTACAAACAATACCAGGCAGGAGAGTGAGGATTGTTTAAAATTTCCCTCCATCCCTGTAATTCTCTTCTACCCAGCCACCCCTGACCCAGCCCGCTCACACACACAGCACTGCAACCTATGATTTAAGGTTATTGGAAAGCAAGAATCTGAACTTTTGCGTGAAAGGAATAGAAAGAAAATGTTAATGTTTTTTAAGAAAGAAAAAGATCTGATTCTTATCACTATTGATGAGAGCATACATTGGAATAGACTTTCTAGGGTCAATCTGGCAGCATTTATAAAAATTTAAAATGTGCTTATTCTTTGACCCAATAATTCTACTTCTAAAATTCTAACCTAGAGGAATAGTTGCAGGTGTGCACAAACGCATGGATGATACTTATTTTGTATTGCTTATTAAGTAGAAAAATTGGATGCAAACTAAATATCTATCAATAGGGTATTAAATTATGATTAATTCTCATGATAGAATACTATGTAATGATTTAAATGAATAAAGAGAATTGTATGTTTTGATATTTGACTATCTCCAAGACATATTATTACATAGAAAATAAATAAAAAAGAAAAATGCATATATATGCAGATTATATATAAAATATGTATATAGAGTCATCCTTCAGTATCCTCAGGAGATTGGTTCAAGAATCCCCAGAGGGGAAAGGGGTGGTGGCTCACGCCTGTAATCCCAGCACTCTGGGAGGCCAAGGCAGGTGGATCACGAGGTCAGGAGATCGAGACCATCCTGGCTAACACGGTGAAACCCCATCTCTACTAAAAAATAAAAAAAATTAGCGGAGTGTAGTGGTGGATGCCTGTAGTCTCAGCTACTCGGGAGGCTGAGGTAGAAGAATGGCATGAACCCAGGAGGCGGAGCTTGCAGTGAGCTGAGATCGCGCCACTGCACTCCAGCCTGGGCGACAGAGGGAGACTCCATCTCAAAAAACAAAAAAAGAATCCCCAGAGGATACCAAAATCCACAGATGCTCAAATTCCTTATATAATATGGTTTAGTATTTGCATATAACCTACACACATTCTCTCGTATACTTTATGTCATCTCTAGATTGCTTATAATACCTAAAAAAATGTGAATGTTATGTAAATAGCTGTTATACTACATTGGTTTTTTACTGGTATTCTTGTTGTTGTATTATTATTCTTTTTAAAGAAATATTTTTTAAATATTTCTTTATGTTTAAGAAATATTTTTTAAATATTTCTTTATGTTTAAGAAATATTTTTTAAATATTTCTTTATGTTTAAGAAATATTTTTTAAATATTTCTTTATGTTTAAGAAATATTTTGAGAAATAAAAATGCGTCATTTTTTAAAGATATATTTTCTATCTGCAGTTGGTTGAACCTGTGGATGTGGAACCCAGACACAAACGGCCAACTCTATATGTCACACTATGATTAAAATATATGTTTACATTTACATGCACATTATATTTATATATATATATAAATATATTTACCAAGATAAGTAAAAGCATGTTATTCGTGGTGACTTCCAAAGAGGAAGATGAGTTTTTTTTGTTTGTTTTTTTGAGACAGAGTCTCACTCTGGCGCCCAGGCTGCAGTGCAGTGGCACGATCTCGGCTCACTGCAAGCTCCGCCTCCCGGGTTCACGCCATTCTCCTGCCTCAGCCTCCTGAGTAGCTGGGACTACAGGCACCTGCCACCACACTCGGCTAATTTTTTGGTATTTTTAGTAGACATGGGGTTTCAGTGTGTTAGCAAGGATGGTCTTGATCTCCTGACCTCGTGATCCGCCCACCTGGGCCTCCCAAAGTGCTGGGATTACAGGCCTGAGGAAAATGAGTTTAGAAGGAGGAGGTAAAGAGAGACTTAAAAAAAAAAGTTATGTGTCTATATTATTTAAATATTTTAAAACAACTGTATAAAATTAAAAAGTGAAATATTTTTAAATAAAACATCAAATAATACTCTTGAAAAAGAGAACAGGACCTACTGAGGATAACCTGGGGTATGCAGCGTATTAAACAACACCAGAATCCCCGTAGATGACATCATGTCTAGCATAGTCAAGTGGTGGCTCTGCTTTGCTTGGTCTTTACTCTGGGACTAAGACTGACAAAACGCCTCCATCAGGAATACTGCTGTTTATTGCAATGGAGAAAAAGGATGTCTTGGGCATGCCTCACATACCCCCATAATTCACTGACCACGGCAAGTCACATGGCCATGCCCCAGTTCAACAGGACAAGGGTGAAGCATCCCATAGGATGCGCCACAAGGGAGGGTGTCCAACAAACTTTGAACAAACTTTGTAATGTAGCACACAGCACCGTGAGATAAAAGTAGCTTCTGCTTCTTCCCTTTTCTACTTCTTAAATATGTACATAACTGACTTCACTCAAACCCCAGCACTCTACTCCAATCAGTAAATACTCCTCTTCTCTCATCCCCTCCCTTTGCCCTCTCTTCTCCTTCTAGTCCTCTTTCTCTCCCTTTCTTCATTTTTCTCTCTCTGTCTGTCCTGTCTCTTTCTGTCTCAGCCTCTCTCTGTGTGTGTTCTTTCAGATAGATCCAGAAATGTAAAGGACAACTTAAATAACCTTCTCTGCTAAAAACTCTTGTTTGCTACTTTGCATATGTGATAAGTTAAGGATTTTGAAGTGAAGAGATTATTCTCAATTATTCAGGTGGACCCAATAAAATCACAAACGTTGTTTAAAAGGAAGAAGGAGGTGGGAGAGTCTGAGAAGGTGTTATGACTGAAGCAAGGGTCACAGACAGATAGAGATTTAAAGATGCTCCACTGCCGGCTTTGAAAATGGAGAAACAGGCCATGAGCTAAGGAATAGAGGCAGCCTCTAGGAACTAGAAAAGTCAAGGAAACAAAATGTCCCCTAGAGCCTCCAGAGGGAATGTGGCATGGTGACACATTGACCACTATTAGGGTTCTCCAGAGAAACAGAACGATAGGATGGCTGGAGTGATAGATGACAGACAGACATAGATAGATAGATGATAGATAGATGATAGATAGATAGATAGATAGATAGATAGATAGATAGATAGATAGACAGATAGGTAGATAGATGGGATTTATCAGGGGAAGTGCCTCATGTAATTTTGGAGGCTGGGAAGTCCCGCAATAGGCTGACTGCAACCTGGAGACCCTGGTCTGCAAATAGCATAGCTCAGCTCAGATTCTAAGGCCTCAGAAGCAGGTAAGCTGATGGTGTAACTCTCAGTCTGGGGCTGGAGGTCTAAGAACCCAGGTGGCTGCTGGTGTAAGTCCTGGAGTCCAAAAGCTAGAGAGCCTGGAGTTCTGATGTCCAAAGACAGGAGAACAATGTATCCTAGCTCCAGGAGAGTGACAAAAATCCCCTTTTTGTACTATCAAAGGCCCCAGCTATTAGGTGGCGTCTGCCCACGTTGAGGGTGGATCTTCCCCACTCAGTCCACTGACACACATGCCAGTCTCTTCTGGAAACACCTCCCAGGCACACTCAGAAGTATTGTTTTACCAATTCTCTAAGTATTCCTTAATCCAGTTAAGTTGACAACTAAAATTAACCATCATACCTAGTGAGACTAACTTCAGAATTCTGAGCTTCAGAACTATAAAATAATATATTTGTGTTGCTTTAAGCCACAAAATTTATGGCAATTTCTTACAGCAGCAATAGGAAACTAAAATACTTGCTTTGACAGTTAGGAGTAATATTCAACTGTTAATAACAGAACTGGATACAGTGAAGTAAACACAAAAGAAGTCTCCCCCCTCATATTAAAAACATCTGAAATTTGGTAGCTCAGAGCTTTACCAGTGCCTCCTCTAAGTTATCAGGGACCCCCTAAGCTCCTCTTAGCTCTGACTCTGCCTCCTGTGATTCTATATGACCTCAAGATGACCAGGTCAGGTCCAGCTACTGCATTCACATTTTAGACAGCAGAAAGAAGAAAGAGAAGAAGAAATGCTCATTCTCATAGTTTAAGAGCTTTTCTGGAAGTCACACACAATATGTCTGCTAGCGGAAAGGGGTCCTGATCCAAGCCCCAAGAGAGGGTTCTTGGGTGTAGCGCAAGAAACAATTCGGGATGAGTCCATAGAATAAAGTGAAAGCAAGTTTATTAAGAAAGTAAAAGAATAAAGAATGGCTACTCCGTAGGTAGAGTGGCAGCATGGGCTGCTTAACTGAATATGCTTATAGTTATATCTTGATTATATGGTAAACAAGGGTGGATTATCCATGAGTTTTCCAGGAAAGGGGATGGTTAATTCCTGGAACTGAGGATTCCTCCCTTTTTTAGACCGTATAGGGTAACATCCTGATATTGCTATGACATTTGTAAACCATTACGGTGCTGGTGGGAGTGTCTTTTAGCATGCTAATACATTATAATTACCTTATAAGGAGCAATGAGGACAACCAGATGTCACTTTTGTTGCCATCTTGGTTTTGGCAGGTTTTGGCTGCCCTCTTTACAGCATCCTGTTTTATCACAGGGTCTCTGTGGCCTGTATCATCTTGTACTGACATCCTATCTCATCCTGTGACTAAGAATGCCTAACCTCCTGGGAACACAGCCCTGTAGCTATCAGCCTTATTTTACCCAGCCCCTGTTCAAGATGGAGTCATTCTTTTTTTTTTTTTTAATTATACTTTAAGTTTTAGAGTATGTGTGCACAACGTGCAGGTTAGTTACATATGTATACATGTGCCATGTTGGTGTGCTGCACCCAGTAACTCGTCTTTTGACATTAGGTATATCTCCAAATGCTATCCCTCCCCCCTCACCCTATCCCACAACAGGCCCCGGTGTGTGATGTTCCCCTTCCTGTGTCCATGTGTTCTCATTGTTCAATTCCCACCTATGAGTGAGAACATGTGGTGTTTGGTTTTTTGTCCTTGCGATAGTTTGCTGAGAATGATGGTTTCCAGCTTCATCCATGTCCCTACAAAGGACATGAACTCATCCATTTTTATGGCTGCATAGTATTCCATGTTGTATATATGCCACATTTTCTTAATCCAGTCTATGATTGTTGGACATCTGGGTTGGTTCCAAGTCTTTGCTATTGTGAATAGTGCCGCAATAAACATACTGCCCAAGGTAATTTATAGATTCAATGCCATCCCCATCAAGCTACCAATGACTTTCTTCACAGAATTGCAAAAAAACTGCTTTAAAGTTCATATGGAACCAAAAAAGAGCCCACATTGCTAAGTCAATCCTAAGCCAAAAGAACAAAGCTGGAGGCATCACGCTACCCAACTTCAAACTATACTACAAGGCTACAATAACCAAAACAGCATGGTACTGATACCAAAACAGACATATACACCAATGGAACAGAACAGAGCCCTCAGAAATAATGCCGCATATCTACAACCATCTGATCTTTGACAAACCTGATAAAAACAAGAAATTGGAAATGACTCCCTATTTAATAAATGGTGCTGGGAAAACTGGCTAGCCATATGTAGAAAGCTGAAACTGGATCCCTTCCTTACACCTTATACAAGTTGGAGTCATTCTTGTTCAAATGCCTCTGACATGTCCACACCATCTCATTGGTCAGCTTGTAGGCATATGAATACACCTAACTTTGAGTTTAAAATGCACTTTTTCAAGTGGATACATTGTCCAATGTCTCTGAACTACAGACTCATATATTTATCCTCCTACTTAGTATGTCCACTGGATGTCTAATAGGCATTTATCTCAAAAGCAATATTTCAAAACCAGACTCCTCTTTTTACCTCCTAAACCAGCTTCTTCCACAATCTTCTGCATCTCAAAAAATGACAAGCCTATTATTACAGTAATCATTCCAGACTTGAAACCTTGGAAATGTCCTCAAATCCTTGCTTCCTCTATAAACTCACAGCTAATCCATCTGAAAATCCTGTCTGTACTATCTTCAAAATATATCTAGAAGGAAACTACTTCTAAGTACCTTTGTTGTTACCACCATTGCCTAAGCACATCCTTTCATGCCTAGATTATTCAAGAGCTTTCTGTCTGGGTCCTTTGCTTAGGGCTTACCCATCTATAGTCAATTTCTACAACTAGTCAGAGTGCCCCTTTTTAAAACAAAGCCAGCCCATGACCGCTGTTAGCCGAATGTCCTCAAGAGCTTCAGATTTCTGTAAGAGTAAATTCCAATTGCCTTAATGGTCTGACACCCACCTACCCCACTTCTCTGGCCTCATCGTCTGCAATTACTTCCCTCTCTTTCTGGTCCAGCCATAGCATCTTCCTTGCTGTTCCTCAGATTTTCCAGTCACACACACACATCCTCATAACACACTTCCTAACCACTTTCAAACCTTCATTCACAGGTCATTTTTTTTTTCAGTAATGCCTTTCTTAACTACTCTATTTAAAAAACATTCTCTCCATCTCCAGAATTTCCTACCCCTCTTCTCTAATTTGTTTTCCTTCACAGCTCTTATTACCATCTGACATATTTTGTATTTAGCTAATTTATTTATCTAATTTGCTGCTTCTGGTATAAAATAAGTTCTAAGTGAACAGAAGTTATTTGTTCCATTCCCCTGCATATACTTGGTATCTAGAACAGTGCCTGGCTCCTCATGGGCCATCATTTATATACATGAAAGGGGAAGATGTATATTGTGAGCCAACTAGCAATCTCTGCCATAGGGTTTTATTCAGTTGATGTAGGCACATGGTCACACTAAGCCACAATTAACACCAGGAGTGTTATCTTTTTATAATCTCCCCCAGTGATTTTCATATGCAGCCACATTTGAGAGCCATTATTTAAAAGAATAAGGATTATTTGGTTGCTTTCCATTCAACAATATCAGTGTCTAGAAGAGTTTCTATTTCTCTCACCGTTGCCTCTTTCTCTATATAGAGAATCTTTGGGTAGCAAAACCAATGAGGTTAGGAATAGAAGTTGGGGATGGAGGTGGAGCCTGTTGAAAGAGCTTTAAAGGAATGTCATTAGCCTAAATCAATCTCAGCAGAGTATTTAGCTACGGAAATTATGAGCCATGATGACCTGTGACGACAAGCCATGATATTTCTGCTTCTACCTTTTCCTTTGTGCTAATTATCTTACATCTGAAGCAGGACCACTATTACCTGGAAAGCATGATGATCTGATTTTCATTTACCCTAACTTATTTTTTTTTTTCATCAAACCCCTGTACTCTGGGTTTTTGGAATTTGTGTTGCAGAGAAAAGATTAAAGAAGTAGTTCAAAAGACTAAGAACTATGCTCTATGCACAGGACGCAGCCCATCTACTCTGCTCTTCCACAACATGAGCTTTCTGTGTTGAAGAATTATACCTCTACATGACTTCTGAAAATGGGCTTTTTCTTACACTAACTATCTTAAAGGCAACAGAGATGATTATCTATTGCAGCGGTCCCCAACCTTTACGGAACCAGGGGCCAGTTTTGTGGAAGATAATTTTTCCATGGACTGGGGTCAGGGGGTGGTAGTTTGGGGATGCTTCAAGCTCATTACATTTATTGCACACTTTATTTCTATGTTATTAAATTGTAATAATTGTAATATGTAATGAAATAATTATACAGCTCACCATAATGTAGAATCAGTGGGAGTCCTGATTGCCAGATGGACTAGGCAGTCCCATCTAGGGGTGATGGGAGACAGTGATAAATCATCAGGCATTAGATTCTCATAAGGAGCACACAACCTAGATCCCTCACATTCATTGTTCACTATAGGATTTGCCCTCCTCTGATTTGTGCTCCTCTGAGAATCTAATGCTGTCACATTAGATGTGACAGGAGGCAGCGCTAAGAAGGTAATGTGAGCAATGAGGAGCAGCTATAAATACAGATGAAGCTTTGCTCACTTGCCAGCCACTCGCCTCCTGCTGTGTGGCCTGGTCCTAGCAGGCCATGGAACAATGCCAGTCTGTGGCCCAGGGGTTGGGGACCCTTGATCTATTGCACTGGAAGCACAATACAAGTAAATAGTAAAAAGCTATTTTCTTTAGTTTCTTAAAATTTAATGTTTAAAACTCTTTTATGAATAATGGGAAATACAGAATGTTATTCTTTAGTTTAATGTTATTAAATATTTCCTGTTAAAATTAAATTTCTTTGCTATCAGAAATGCATTTCTTATCATGTACAGCAGTTATAAATTTCAGTCAACAAATTCAGATAATACCATTTTGTTTTCTGATGATGATCTAATATAAACTCTCATCTTGCTGGTATGACATAAAAATTTAGTCTTAGTTATTTGGGGTTTCTACTTTCCTCAGGCTTCAAAGGTTTTGGGCATTTACACTGTACCCAAAGCATTTGGTCAGAAGAATTCACAAGCTCCTCAGGTCTGCAGGCCACCTCTACTAAAAGATACTTCCTAAAGACACCCAAGTAATCCCACTTCCTCCCAGCCCTGTTAAAGCATGAAAATATCTGAGAAGCTGTCCATGTAGCCCTTTTCCTAGACGTACCGCACAACCAAACCCTTTGCGAGGTCTTAACAGTGCTCCTGGAGTCTTCTGGGCTCAGATGTGCATACAGGGTTCCTCCTTCCAGGTTTCTCTGATGTGTTGCCTCTGAATACCTCTGCTTCATCTCTCTTCCATGCAGGGCAGACAAATTTATTCTTTTGCTTGTTTCAAAGGCATCAAGCAAAATCTCTCTAATAGATTGACACTTTCAGAAGCCCTGAAGACACTATTTTTTTTTCTACTTCTTGACATGTTGGTTTTTATTCCCTAAGGCAATGAACTCTCTATCTGCTTGAAGAGGATGAAGGGCAAAGAAGTACAGGACAGAAAAACCTTCATACTTCAAAATGTTATCTTACTTAAAATGGATATGGTAAAGCTTTCAAATAAAGTATTTTTTCTGCATGATTTTGACTGGTAAAGTGCTTTTCAGCACTGGTTTGGCATCTAAATATGGTTTACCCATGTTTTAATTCCTCAAAAATGTATTTTTTATTGTATTTCATCTAACTATTTTGAGTATCTAATAAATGTTTGTTGAATTGGAATGCAGAATCATTTCACATACTCTAAAACCAAAAATCAAAGAAGAAAAGATGTAAGACTGAAAAATCCAGATGTCATAACAGATAGGTAAGTTAAGTAAAATTTGTACTTAACTCTCAATTATTTAGTAGGTAAATATCTATATTATTTGATGATGAATTCAAATGGTCAGGGGAATGGCATACTTTTCATATCAATATAGACTAGACTGAAAAGACATAAAATTCTGTCTACTATGACTTAGCAAAATGGGTCACCATTTTCTAAATTGATTTGCTTCAGAGATTGCAGATGTGTAGGGAAATAAGGATTCCATAGTGAAACAAGCTTGAGAAATGTTGCATATTATACTTTGGAAATTTAAAGTGTAAATTAGCATATCTGAAGCCTCTGTAGGAGCAATGAGAGAAATCTTCCTCCTTCACCCTCTGAAAGTTCACTAAAAATGAACTGACAAAAGACAGATTAATAAAAGAAAAAGGCATATGAATTTATTTTAACATGCATAACATGAGGGAATAGCAGAAGAATGATTACTCAATAACTCACTGAGGTCCAGATGCTTGTATACCCTTCTTTATAGGGAAAGGGGAGATGAGAAGTGTAAGAATAATTACTTTTTAGGGGGGAAAGAATGGATCCATGTTCAGACAATTGTTTGTAAATGATCATTTTGGGGAATTAAGTGAGATCTAAGAATAGACAAAAGTTTGTCTCGGCTCCAGGATAGGTGTTTAATTTTTTTTATTTATTCATGTTATTCATTTATTTATTTTTTAATTTTGAGATGGAGTCTCTCTCTGTTGCCCAGGCCGGAGTGCGATGGCACAATCTCGGCTCACTGCAACCTCTGCCTTCTAGGTTCAAGCGATTCTCCTGCCTCAGCCTCCGGAGTAGCTGGGACTACAGGCTAATTTTTGTATTTTTAGGAGAGACACCCAGCTAATTTTTGTATTTTTAGTAGAGATGGTGTTTCACCACGTTGGCCGGGATGATCTCGGTCTCCTGACCTCGTGATCTGCCCGCCTTGGCCTCCCAAAGTGCTGGGATTGCAGGCATGAAGGTGTTTAATTTTTAGTATCTTCTTCTGTGATATGAATTTAATCTTCTCTGGTTAATGACATTTCAGAAAAGGGTTGAAAAGCAACTGTGTTTCTCTTTGGTGTGTCTGGTTTCCAGGTAGATGAGAGAGCTTCAGAGAAGAGCATCATCCAGTGCTTTGGGAAAGAAAGGATTGACAAACAATGACAGGGGTGGGAAAAGGGATCAGAGAGACCTTGAGTCTGCTTCTTTAGTTTAACATGTCAAAGCACCATATTTCAGGGTATCATTTTCTGAGCCCCAGCATTCCCCGAACTGAAACATCCCTAGGAGTTTTACACACCAAAAGCTGAGTTGTTGGCCATAGAAAGAAAAATCCATGTAGTAGTTGTGTGACAAATGATCTTAATAAATAAGTCTCTCATTCCTGGGAATAGGTGAGTCCAATTAAACAACTGTGTCTCATTTTGGAAGATGGCATTGCAGATGGGTTCTCAAGGCTAGGTCTCTACATATAATGCAGTCAAATAGGTCTTTAACAAGAGGCATTTCTATAGAAACAGAAAAAAACCAAAAGTTAATGTTTCAACCAGCCTATAAGCTAGTTTCTTTCGAGTCTGAAGGGCAGTCAGCTAAGAAGGTTAGTGGCGTTCTGGTAGATTTTTCTGGTTTGCATGTACAATGTTCGCCCATATATAATCTGTTGTGGTAATTTTTCCTTAAAGCCAATTTGACTACTTTAGGCAGCAGGAAAAGAGAAGTTTAATTTTTGTGATTCCAAGTCAGAAGGACAAGAGAAAAAAGAAATTAAAATGTTAGTTTTGAGATTCACAGTCAGGTATTAGAGGAAACCATAAAAAATAAAGATCCAGTTCAAATTGCATGTAAAGAATAAAATCTCAAAAACAATGAGCTGGAATCTAATAAGAGGTGTACTATAGGTTTTCTTGTGAAACATAACTATTCTCTCTCCAGTCCCCCATTTCTACTAAAGATCAATTTACTTGCAAAATAAGTTTTAATCTTATTATAATTCACCTGATTATTTGCATAAAGTGCTTCAAGAATAGTGATTTCTCATAAGGCTTTTTTTTTTTTTTTTAAGTTGGCTTAGCTGGAATTTTTCACAAGGAATCTAAAATCAGACTTTTTAAAACAGCCTGTCAAGGTTAAGGAGCCAGGCCAAGGACTGTCATCAGACTGTGTCTAATACCTGTACGAGTTTGGTGAATACCCCTCTGCTTGAGGGACCCAAAATATCTTGAGGTTCTTGGGCCTGCCAAGAAGTGACATCCTTTACCCACCTGTAAGGCAATTATGTGAACCATGTATTTAAGGTATCAGGACAGTTTCTCAAGGAGATTTCTGTCAACTCCAAAAAAGTCAAAGTCATTTCCTCAAAGGAGTCCCAACACTTCTGAGGTGTTCTTCTGCATAAAAGAAAACTGTTTAACTTACTTCTTCTCAAACTTATTTGAGCATATATATGTATATATATGCATATATATGTAATGTTAGATATATTATATGTACATGATACTATATCTATTATAATATTCCTCTGATCATGCAGTATAACAAAAGTATTCTGTTTAAAAAATATAAAATATTTGGGGTAATTCAATTTTAAGTCCATAGTATTTGGTTATCTTCTATTTCTTTTCTTAATTGTTCTTTGGTAACTTATCTCTACCACAATGAATTTTTAAATGAAGAGACTGATGGTTAAATATTCGATGGAGAAAGTGGTGTGCACACCAGTACAATGTTGAAAGAAGTAGCAAGAGCAAATAGCCTTGTCTTGTTTCTGATCTTAGTGGGGAAAGACTTCAGTCTTATTTTACCATTAATTATGATAAAAGCTATGGGTTTTCCATGGATGCCTTTTATAAGGTTGATGAAGTTGCCTTCTCTTTCTAGGTTTTGGAGTGTTTTTGTCATGAAGAAGTGACTAACATTGTCAAAAGCTTTTTGTGAATCTACTGAGATAATCACGTGAATTTTGCCCTTTATTCCATTGAAGGTATTACATTCAATCTGATATGCTTTGGCTGTGTCCCCACCCAAATCTCATCTTGAATTCCCATGTATTGTGGGAGGGACCTGGTAAGAGGTCATTGAATCATAGGGGCAGTTCTTTCTTGTGCTGTTCTTGTAATAGTGAATAAGTCTCATGAGAACTGATGGTTTTAAAAAGGGAAGTTTCCCCACACAAGCTCTCTCTTTGCCTGCTGTCATCCATGTAAGACGTGACTTGTTCCTCCTTGCCTTCCACCACGACTGTGAGGCCTCCCTAGCCACTTGGAACTGTAAGTCCATTAAACCTCTTTCTTTTGTAAATTGCCCAGTCTCGGGTATGTCTTTATCAGCAGTGTGGAAACAGACTAATACATAATCAAATACATTAAGTGTATTACATTGATTCATTTCTATATTTTGAACTACCACTGCATTTCTGAAATAAATCCTCCCTTGGTCATAGTTGCAACAGACTCTTCACTGATCTGACTTCCTCCTATCTTGAATGCCATCTAGCTATCCTACTATTAGTGGTATCTTTGTAAAGTGAAAATATGATCTAGTCACATTCTTTGCTTAAACTTCCTTCATTTCTCTTTATTGCCTTTGATAGAAATCCCAAAGTCAGCATGGCGTTGGCTACCCCTTGATGTTACCTACCAGGATCTCCAGCCTGATGACCCACCACTTCCACCCTCTAAACACTATGAACTACATGTCATTCTTAATCTACACAACATTTGTTTCCATGTTCATACCTCTGCACATTTCCACCTAGAATGGTTTTCGCCATCTCTGTCCAGTGAACTCTTAGTGATGTATCAAACCTGGTTTTAGTTGTATGCTCCTCCCAGAAGCTATTTTTGATATTCACTCCCCCAATATGGAATAAATTCCTGTCCTAAGTACTTGTCAGTTCATTTGAGTCATAGTATTTATTGTGCCAAATTAAGATGATTTTTTTTCTTTTTTGAGACAGAGTCTAACTCTGTTGCCCAGGCTGGAGTGCAGTGGCTTGATCTCAGCTCACTGCGACCTCTGCATCAGGGGTTCAAGTGATTCTCTTGCCTCAGCCTCCCCAGTAGCTGGGATTACAGGCGCCTGCCACCATGCCCGGCTAATTTTTGTATTTTTAGTAGAGATGAGGTTTCACCATGTTGGCCAAGTTGGTTACAAACTCCTGACCTCAAATGATCTACCCACCTCAGCCTCCCAAAGTGCTGGGATTACAGGCGTGAGCCACCGTGCCCGGCCTAAGATGATTTTTATATGTGGATGTTTCTGAAGTAGACTGAGCTCCTCATGGAAAGTATCGTGTCCCAGCAATCTGCGTATTTCTGGTGCCTACTACAGGCCCAGACCATAAAATTTGTTGATGTTTACTACCTGACTGTATTAATATATACAATGGAAGAATGATTATACAGTTTACTTTGAAGATTTACAAAACCCCCATATATTTATCATCAATTTTATCACCTCCATGGGAATTCCCTGTAGCATTTACCACAATCCTAAGTGAGTATTTGTGTGTGATATATTTAACATTAAATCTCCCATGAAGGGGATAGTGTTTTGTTCACCACTATATCCCCAGAACTTAGCATAGTGTCTTTATATAAGAAGCCCTCAATAAATACTTGTTGAATGTACAAATGAATAAATGACCTACTAATGAAAAATTCTAATCAAAATTTCCTATTAATATATATCACACTTGAAGGAAGTAAAATATTAACCAATACCTTTATAGCAGTTTTTCCTCCACAGATTACTTGGCCTCAGAAGAGTTGAGGTTTCAAAATCACTTAGTTTGACCTGAAACTGGAATAATCTAATTTCCCATCATGCATTTGCTCTTCACATAGATAATGAATATAACTTACTTCATGTCCTGTTCCAAGATATTTGTCTAAGATATCTCTCAATTGTATGATATAGGTATAACTGCTGTGAGAATCATTGCCACCTTGAATATTTCTAGTTGGTGTCTCTTTTGAGCATGGGGTAAGACTGCACTTCTTTGACTTTGAACCGATCCGGCCAATGAATTTGAGTATAAGTGATGTAGGTCACTTCTGGATGAATACACTTGCTTGAGTGAGACCCTCCTGGGCTCTTTCTCCTCCAGCATAGCAACTGGCAACATCCAGATAGTGACTGCTATGTCCACGTATGTCCTTGAGCCAGACTGAAATGAAGCTGATTGCCCAGCCAATCTGAGATGAGCATGTAGTGTTAGCAAGAAACATCCTCTGTTTTTAATAAAATTAAGATGTGAGGGTTTTTATTGCAGCAGAATCCAGATCCTCATGATAGATCAAATTATCACCCCCATTTAGAGATGAGGAAACTGAGGTAGATAGTAGGCAACTGAATTGCTTCTGTCATATTACCAGTGAGCAGTAGAAGTGGGATTCCAGTCAGGCAATCTGCCCCCAGCATCTGCACTCTCACCCCTCTGCTGCACTGTTCTACACTGACATTAGCCATCTTCTGGCAGTGACACTTTTCCTCCTGCACGGAGAAACACACAGCTGCATGCATTCAAAATGAGAAGTGGATAATAATATAAAGAACCTGTTTAATAGGGCCAAACCTCAGAGAACCATTTTTCTCTCCTGATTGAGTACTCTGTCATTTTAATGGGACAATCATAGTTTCACAAATCATTTAGTTAAGACAATTTCTGGGATAATTACCTTGTCAGTTAAATTTAAAAATATTGAAATTAAGGTTGAAGTTGGAAAATTATTCACAGGTTTTCTTTCTCCTTGTTTTATAAAACCACCAATAATATCCAGAAATACATGAATACTCTGATACTGTAAACCTGAGATCAAATGCAGTATAATCAATTTTTCACAGTGGTTAAAAAGGCCCATGGAGAAAAGCATGTTCCAGCTGACTACAGAGTCAGAGACTTATTATTATGATACAAAGTGACTTTAGTATATTTACCAAAGTAAATTATTCAATAAATTAGAACAAAATCCTTGATATTTTTAAATGACTCTTTTTGGTGCTTGTAACATTAATTCACATAAAGTGTTTATAATTAAATACTGAGCTTTTTACCATAGAAACAAATGGCAAGAAAGGACATTAAGCTGCTGGTGTCCTTACTTTCCCTGCAGTAGAGCAACATAACCTGTAAACCTTCAGGGAGAGCCTAGGGCTGCATGGTCTGATGCAGTAGCCATTAGCTACTTGAACTTATTTAATGTAAAGAAAATAAAAAAAAAAGTTGCTCAGTCACATTAGCCACATTTCAAGCGTGGCTCTCACATAGGAAGGTAGACTATTTCAATACTACGTGAGTGAAAAGATCGGTGTGTGCCAGGAAGTCCAGAGGAGGGGAATTTTCAGCACCCTATTCAGGGAAATCATGTTAAGAGGTAATTTCTGATCTTAGCCTCAGCACTTTAGTAATGAGAAAGATAGGCAAATAAATGTGGGGAGGGCATTCAAATCAGAGGAAACAGTACAAGTAATGATACAGATGTGAGAAGTCCTTGATGTGTTTGTGAAATTAGAACCAGCTTAGTTTTGCCTGGGAGTAATGAGTGATGAAGCTGTCAAGGTCAACGGGGGCCAGTCATTGAAGTCTTTCCTATGCAAAACCACTTGTGTTTTATTCTGTAAACTAAGCAGGAAGCATGAAGGTCTTGATGTAGGTGAATAGCAAGGTCAGATTTGCATTTTATAAAGTTCACGTGGAAGCTATGTAGAAGCTATTTCCAAGTCTGCCACGACAATGGGATGGCCATGCCCTGAAGAAAGATGCCTCAAATGGGGCAGAGCTAAGGGATGCAGAGAGTAGGTGGCAGATTAGAAAACTGCTTAGCAAGTAAAATGAGCAGGGCTTCTTCCAAGATTGGACACAGGGGTGAGAAAAAAGGAGACAGCTAGGAATGTTCCCTGGTTTTTACGATGCAGTAATGTTACCTAGTGACATAATTTATTATAGGAGAAGACATATAGTTTTCATGATACAGGTAATCAAAAATGTCTTTTGACAAACAAATCAATTTTTGATGAAAGAAATAGAAAATTATGTTTAAAAACTGACAAATAGCAAATTTTCCCCAGTCAATAAAACTTAAGGATTGTCTGTAAGTCATACTTTTTTTGTTGCCATATACAGATTGTAGATGGACTTCAGAAGGACTTTTCTTTAAAACATATCCATATCATTTCAACAGGGAAAGGCATGTTACAGGATTTCTGTTGATTTTGAAGTAGCTAGTCTTAGTCCATCTGTGCTGCTGTAAGAAAATACTATAGACTGGGTGGCTATGATAGACATCTATTTCTCATAGCTCTGGCAGGCGGGAAGTCTAACATTAAGACACTGGCAGACTCAGTGTCTGGTGAGGGCCTACTTCCTGGTTCATCAATGGCCATCTTTTCTTTGGGTCCTTCCACCATGGAAGGACCCAAAGAAAAGATGGCCATTGATGAACCAGGAAGTAGGCGGCACTATTCACAATAGCAAAGACTTGGAACCAACCCAGATGTCCAACAATGATAGACTGGATTAAGAAAATGTGGCACATATGCACCATGGAATACTATGCAGCCATAAAAAAGGATGAGTTCATGTCCTTTGTAGGGACATGGATGGAGCTGGAAACCATCATTCTCAGCAAACTATTGCAAGGACAAAAAACCAAACACCACATATTCTCACTCATAGGTGGGAATTGAACATTCAGAACACTTGGACACAAGAAGGGGAACATCACACAATGGGGCCTGTCATGGGGTGGGAAGAGGGGGGAGGGATGCATTAGGAGATATACCTAATGCAAATGACGAGTTAATGGGTGCAGCACACCAACATGGCACATGTATACATATGTAACAAACCTGCACGTTGTGCACATGTACCCTGGAACTTAAAGTATTAAAAAAAAAAAAAAAAAGAACGGACTTGGATTTGGCAGTTTCTATTTTAGTGATATAGATTGTTCACCTGTATTTCCAGCCCTTCGTTAAATACAGCCAGTCCTTGAGCCTTCATGATTTAATCAATAAGTATTTATTCAGTGGCTAATATGTTTAAAATAATTTCAGTAAATACTAAGTTTTAAAAACAGAAAGCTATTCCTAGAGTTTCATTCTCAAAATAATTCCCAAAAGTTATTCTTTTGTTAAAACCTCTTTTCACAGTAAACATTTTCAGAGCTGTTAACAAATGATCTCATTGAATCTAAAAAAATGTTTACTGAATATGCACTATTACTGGATCCAGTGTTATAAATTAAGAACAAAGAAGAAATGAACTCTGTCCTTATTGATTGTAAGCAATAAAGTCATTCTAATATATGTTTACCTCCTCTTCCCTTCCCTGCCCTCTTCTGATAGATATAAAAATGTTTTCTGAAATAGACCAAAGGCAAGTTGTTGGAGAAGAAATTCATCTACAAGTAGTATCTGTATCGTCAGTATCTTATTTTAAAAATAATGACTTGAATTATAGAGATAAATAATGGGTAGGGGAGTTATTTTGTTGTGATTTCCTAAAAATAAATCTAGTAAATATCCTTTGCCCAAAGGTGAATTTTTGGTACACTTCATGATGTTTTGAAAGAGAGGGAAGCTATAGTAATTCATAAATCTTGAATGAGAGCAGAAAAGCTTCTTCAAAATGGAAAAAAAGACATTTATGTTTCCCTATAAATGTACTTTGAATATCCTAGCTTTTAAATCTTCATTTTTTTCCTCATTCTTATAGCTGAGCATATGCAAGAAGTAGTGATAATTTTTGAATAATCTGGTAATTTTATTGTGGTGAGTTTTATTTCAGTTATGTCTGGCAAATAAAATTCATTCACTATTTTCTTCAAAATAGTACATTCATGTTGTTTTATATAACTGTCATTCATGACACTTAGCAGTTTACAGGAAGAAGTAACTTTCATTTTTAGAAGTGAAAGCTATGGAAAGTTGCAAAAAGTTTAATACTTTTTCAGATTCTTCTATATTTTATTAAGAAAAAAATCACCAAATTTGGAAATAAGGCAAAAACGCTGACCTCTTGACCTTTCAATGTCACACTAAGCATCATCTAAAACATTTTTATCTTAAGGGATATTCTACTCTCTATAAGAATATACCTATTATATTTTATATCTCTGTAAAGTTATCTTGTAGAAAACTTTTCAGACACAGATGATCTTATGTCCATAGTGGAGGTAAACAGTTTCTATCTAGCAGTAACGATAATTCAAAAGATTAGGATCATTATTTCCCAGCAGGATATAAACTATCTTGCATCTAATTTAGCAATCTAATTTCTGTATTCTTTTTGAATCTTTCTTTTTTTTTTGTTTTGAACCAGCTTTGCCATGTTGCACGTTTCCTCATAAGTGGGTTAATTACAAATTTTCCATGAGCTCACTTTCCCTGTGAGAATTATATTGTTGCATTTATGTCGTTTTTATGTAAGAATTACATTTTTTCCATTTTGAGAGTTATATTTCAACAATCTAAAAATTAAATAATGATCTAGTTATTTTATTTACCACCAAAACCATTGTGATGGTACACTATACATAAGGATACCGTATATAAAGATGTAACCCCTGAGCAAGCGAATTTTTAGAAATGTTTATGGATAAGGCCAAATTGACTTAGTCATCTTAGGAAATAGGAGATTAATAGATGCCTAGAAGATGCAGTACTCAACTCTTCGTACAGAATAATCTGCATAGGACTCTTAAAGGGCCAGCATTGGCTCTTGAATTTATAGTAAGATAGTAACATTTGAATTTATAGTAAGATAGTAAGACAGCATTGCTTGTTCTGGTTGTCTGCTTTTATAAACTCTGTATGTTTATTGACAAATGGCTGCTGGTTATATGATAACTGATTTGGCACAATGCAAAGTAACACCATTTATTTCTATTAAAAACAAATGTATAAACAAACATCTTTTGGGGGAAAACATAATGTAAAAAAAGAAAATAAAGAATCTCTTTGATGATTGCTTGAATCCTAGTTCATTACTGGTACTGAAAATTTTGATGTTATGAGACCTGTTGATAAAACTTTTCCAAGATTTCCATTACAACTGCCCCCTGAATAGAAGTCATCATGTTAAAACAACTTGTAAAATTGTGGTCTTTGTTGTTGTTGTTGTTGTTATTTTTCATGTCTTCCTCCCAGACCAAAGAAATTTAAAACATAATCCAAAGTATTAATGCTTATAATATTATTGATTTTTATCTTATCAGTCCATCTTAAAATGATCAATTATTTAAAATCATCATGAAAAGTGGTATGTGCCAATAAGCAGTACTATTTTTCGGTGGGTGTTTATACATTTAACAAATATTAAAATATATTTCTGTATGACATAATATCTTATGAGTTTAACTATCAACAGAGCTTCATTTTAGTGCTTGTCTTGAAAAAATAAGTATTTGTTGACTATAAAACATTTTAGAGTTTGTTTTCAATGTTCAGTTGGTTGGAGCAGGAAGGCCAAATGGAGGAAGTTTTAGTGCTTTCATACTTGAGTTAGGGTGAGCACAGCTTGGGACGGAAACATTAAGGACGGGACTACTGTAAAAGACATGCTCATCTTTCTAATCAATTAAGGAAATGATAATTTATCTACCCTCAGTTCGTTAGAGTGAGGACATTTATTTGAATTAAAGGACATGCTCCTGGAAGTTGTGTTTGTACCAAACTTTAGTTTAATAAAATAATGTTTAAAATGCCCATGAAATGGATCAGCAAGAATCCAATGTCTTCAAAAGGGAATGACAATCCATTTCTTCTTGGACACTAAATTTCTAGTGAGATAACAGTGCTTGAAAGCAAATTAGATGGCTTAGGCCACAAAGGCATTAAGTGAGAAAGGCTTCCCTAGGCTATTGCTGCGGACAACTTAACACCAAAGTAAAGCTTCACTGTTGTCTTTAAATATGGGACTGTCAGAGAAATCATCACCAGCTGGCACTAGTTCTGAAAAACAGATTTTTTTTCTTTTTTTTTTTTTACTGCTTTTGAGAATATTGAAGTTTCAATTGCTGTCATGGGTCAGTAATGTAAGAATAACAGACAACATACCCGAATTGTGTTTTTCAGTTACAATAAACATTTGCCACTGACGATGAGGTGACTTATCTTCACTTCATGTTTACAAGCATGCAGAAAGTAAGATTGCTGGGTTACAATTTAAGGATTAACACATGATAGGAAAAACTACAGGAATTTCCTTCTCTAAAAATTATGTGGCTCATTGAGGTTCACTTGAATTAGGCTTTAAAGTTTTGATTTTAAATTTATTAGATATCTTTAGCACCTTCTTAGAAGTTACTACAACTAATAAAATAACAAAGGCTTTCCACTAAATATATTATCCCATTTTTGAAAGTATCAGTGGTAATAATACACGTATTTCTCCAAAAATTCCGATGGAATTATATTAAGATAATGGGAAGATTTTCTGTCAAGAGTACTACAATATTTAATTCAACAACTGAAGTTCAGAAAATACCCCTAAATGAGAAAACATTATAACAAGGCAATCTTATAACTTCATTGCCTGCACATCTGTGAAAACATCAAGTGTAGGTACAAAATTTAACTTTCTTTTGTGTCTTCTATTGCTCTTGCCCAGTTCTGAGTCCAGAATCAGTACTCAACAGACATGAATGAAGTCACTCAAAAAACCAACCACAAGGAGCACTCAGTAAAAACCTGCATTTTATAGGGTGCATCTTCAGGAATTTATAAGATGATATTAAGAGAAACTGGGAATACTATACTTCCTATGGTGGTCTTTATTAGCACAACAAAAGTGCCTGCTGTCTTTTTAAAAATATAAGAAAATGAGAAATAATATTTTGAAATAACTAAACAAAATGAATAGTTGGGGCAGATTTTTATAGAAGCAATTTTTAAAATGAGATTCAAATACCAGCTTTAGTCAAGTGGGAGTTTTTCAACTTTATCCAAATATTCAAATGCCGTTGGATATAAACAAACAGTGTCAACTTATTTATTGTATAAATTACCTAAGTTCTTAATGGAATACTTGGGGTTCTAAAAGGAGTAATAAACTGAACAGTAGTGGCACAATAAAAAATATTTTATCACAAAAACAGCTTTTGGAGATCCCACCATCACATCCATGCATGTACCAACATCCCTGTCCATGCAGTCTGCTTTGGCAATTTTGGTTATGAACATGAACTATTTCTTTCTTTTCTAAAGTCATCTTCTGCACTTGGGTCTTAGATCCTATCTTCTTTCACCTGTTCACCTATTAAAGAACATCACTCCCACTATTTCATCCTCTCTCTTCTGTTAGATTAATACAGTCCTCCCTACTGCATCATCCTCCTTAGCAAAGAAACATGTTCTTGTTTCACCCATACTAAATGAAAACAAAAAGAAGAACAAGAACTTTCTATTAATTCAACATCTCTTGCCAGTTATTACCTCATTTTTCTGGTCCCCTTTACAGCAAAGCTCCCCCAAATGTTTTCATACTTAGTTCTCCAATTCCTTCTTCCTACTCGCTCTTAAATTTATTCTATTAGGCTCTCACACCCATTTCTCCACCAAAACTACTCTCATTAATATCACTATTGACCAGGGCCAGCTTCGTGGGCATGCAATATTCTCTTCTTAGTTCACCCCACCCTCTGTAGTTGCACAGAGGCCATTCCTTACAATGGCCCTGAGTTTTGTTGAATGTCCTCTCACCATCTTGATATTCTTAATCCTTGAACAAGGGGACTTCAAATTTTCATTTTGCTGTGGGCCCCGCAAATTATATAGCTCCCTTTTCATATCAGTGACCTTCATGTTGCTAAAGCCAATGGCCAATCCACTACATGTATTTGCTATGGTTTGGATATTTGTCCCCTTCAAACCTCATGTTGAAATTTGATCCCCAAACATTGGTGGTGGGCCTGATGGGAAATGTTTGAATTATGGGGATGGGTCCCTCATGAACAGATTAATGCCCTCCTTTAAGGGTGAGTGAGATCTTACTTCATTAATTCCTACAAGAGAACACTGTTAGAATGAGCCTGGCACCTGCCCCTCTCTCTCTCTGATTTTCTCTCTTAGCATGTGATCTCTGCACACATTGGGCTCCCCTTTGCCTTCTGCCATGAGTGGAAGCAGGCTGAGGCCCTCACCAGAAGCTGAGCAGATGCCAGCACCATGCTTCTTGTATATCTTGCATAACTGTGAGCTAACTAAACCTCTTCGCTTTATAAATTACCCAGTCTCAGGTATTCTTTTATAGCAACACAAAACAGACTAAGACAGTATCGTACTTGACTTATCAATAGCAGATTTTTTTAAGATAAATTACTCCCTCCTTCTTGATATAGTTCTGTTTACTTGGCTTCTAATATACTTTACTCCTTTTTCTTTCTATCTCAGAGACTCCCCTTCAGGTTTGTTGAGTCTCCTGGTTTCCCACATTTACAAATTTGGACCCATTTTTCCTTCCATTTACTTCGCTAGATGATCTCAGCCAATCTCAGAGTTCTAAATACCATCTATAAGCTAATGATTAACTCCCAACTCCCTCTTCAGCTCCAACAGTCTACTTGACCTTTCTATTTGGATCTTAAATGTAGCATGCCCAAAATGTAACTCCTTTTCTTTCCTACACCAAATCTGATCTACCAATAATCTTCCCCTTTGTTTACAGCAGATACTCTTCCTGTTGCTCAGGCTAGAAATCTTGGAATAATTCTTGACCCTTCTGTTTTTTCACACCCCATATCTAGGCAATCTAGTTTGTTCTACCTTCAAAATGTTATCTGAAATTTAAATTACTTTCTCTACTTCTCATCTCTTACAGAGATTACTGAATTAGCCTCCTCCCTGGTCTCCTGGCTTCTATCCTTGTCTCCTCACATCTCATGATTTACTTTAAGCATAGTAGGGAATGGTCCCATTAAAACATAAATCACGTAACACTCCTGTGCTGAAACACTAAATTACTCCCCTACTTCAGACAGAATAAAAGCTATAGTCTTTAAAGTGGTCTACAGTGTTTCTAAATGGTCTCGCTTCTTCCCACCTTGTCTCTGTGTGCATTTTAAAATACTTTTTCTTTCCTTTACCTGGCCACGCTGTATTGGTCTTCTTGATATTCTTCCAATTTACTAGGTACACTCTTTCACCTTAGGACCTATTCTCTTTGTTCCCTCTTTTAAGTCTTGGCTCAAACGAAACCTACTGTTTAGCCTATTGAATATGGTTCCATTCACCCCACCTTGCCTTAATGCTACTTTATTTTTTCTCCAGAACATTTATCACTCTCTAACATGTAATGTTATTAATATATTTGCTTATTTTGTACATATGTTTATTGTCTGACTTTCTTCCATATAGCCAGGGGTTTGGGTCTGTTTTCTTTCATTGATCTATCCCAAATGTCTGGACTAGAGCCCAGCACATAGTAAATACTCAGTTAAAATCTGTTGACCAAATGGACATTGTTTAATGAAGCCTGGGTTTGTACTATATAGTATGACCAATGAATAACAAAATAACGGCAATGCTGATTTCACTAGAGGGAAAAAATCATCAAGGTAATTGTAAAAAACATAATTATAGAAAATATACCATCATGATGATAACAATTCATGCTTTGCAAAATCACCGCTATATATGTATTCTTTTAAAGATACATCAATTACATTGAGTAGTACCTACTATGTAGAAAGAAAATATCTAAGGAAATTTAAGCTCTGAAGAAAATACTGTCAGTTCTATGTTATATTAACTTTAAAAACTAGTGTGTAATCATGGTGATGGCAGGCTTTGCTTTCACATCAGAGGTGGTACATGTTCTGAGAAAGTCTGTGATGTATTCATGGGTTTGGGTTCATAAATATCCCTGGGAAACTGCTTACAGTTTAGTGCTTGTGTAGTTTTAACTTGGAAATTAACTTTCTATTTATGGAAATAACTTAAGTAATTTCTATTATATTTGTTAATGTTTTCTGCTTGTTATTATTAAGCCGTAAGTTGAGAGAAGAACCAGCTGTTGCTTCATGTAAGTATTTTATATAAATACTACATTTATGAAAGATGGTCTTAGGACTACTGACATCCTGAATACATTAGATAACAGTATTATAAAACTAGAAATAAGATTTCATTATAAAATTTCTTATTTTGTATACAAATTGTTTTTTAATTCATTAATATGATCAACTCTGACATGAAAAACTCCTTCCTTCTATCTATTGTTCTATTTAGTTTTCTATCCCTGGCATTGTCACTCTAAAATATGACTTGGAGAGGACTGACTATAAGGGCATCTTGGGCATTGGCAAATATTAATTCCAGCTACTTTTGATAGTTTTTGACATTTCTTTGTTCATGAAAGGGCAAATTTGTTCATATCAGTATGTTTTAAAAACAACACAACTGTACTTGAGGTTACAAAGATGAAGAACAGAAGTACAAAGTAATTTGCGGTATGCTGAAAAAATAGGATTTATTTCTCTTCTGTGCCAATGTTCTTAGTCTTGAGCAAATTTGGCTCTGAAGGAATCAGACAGCTGCTACAACCGTGATTCTGTTGGGCTTCCTGGTAGAGCTGGAGACAGACTGCAACCCAAGACAAAACCCAGAGGAAAAACAACTAACCTCAGCCATTTGCCCAATTTCCACCTTGCTAGTTATCAGAGTTCACTATTGTTTAAGCTCCAGGGGTCATACTATGGCAATCTACTGGTGGAATTTATTCTGAGCAAGTGTTTTGTTCAGCTTGCAGTATTAAAACAAAAAAGTAAGTAACTAACATTTAAAACTTAGGGAGATTTCATACAATAAAATTCCCTTTGTCCAGTTTTTATTAAAAACTGAAAATCTGGCAAACGGAAGTTAAGCATTCTCCCTTCACAAATGCTTAGGGCTGAAGAAAGACTACCTTTATACGTGTGGAATGAGCTCTCCAGTTCCCAAAGTCTCTACCCAGCTGGCTGTATCCATGGAGGCTACTTGCCTATTCCTTTGTGTCCTTGTATGTTCCTTTTCTGGACCCCTGCTCCGTCCACACAGAGATGGAAGACCCAGAGGTGAGAGCAGAGTGACAATGATGACTCACTCACTTCTCTCCCCGCAAACAAGGGTAAATAGCTGATGGCTACATATTCCTCCTCTAATGGGGTTCTGACAGTCCTGGGTGAGATCATGTGTATTCTTTATCTGAAGGGTGGTCCTTGACACAAGAATCAAGTTCTACTTAAGGAAGTATATCACATTAAATGTTATTATTACACTCTTATCTAGAGAACATTGCCTCCAGCTGCAAAGCAAGGGCATTGCCATTATGAAAGCCCCTCAAAGACTCTCTGCTATTTTCAAAACATGGAAAGAAAAAGGGAAAAAAGAAAAAAAAATAATAATTAGAAGGATTTGTTCCTTAATTTGGGCTCCCAAAAATGAGAAATGAAGATTGTATAATGAGGGGAGATACTAATTATTTTAAACTCTCCAAGCAAATCTTCTGAAGCAATCAATTATTTATATACTTTATGTTCTGTCTTTTTGTATTTTTCCTTCTGGTTAAAAACATGCAGGTGAGTCTTGCCAACGTCCTTTCCTATCTGGATCTGTTCTGCCTCATTTCTCTTTCAAAGTCATCTTTCAGGGAACTTGCCCTGATTAATTTGATTTTAACCAAACAAATAAGATATTTGATATATTAATTTAAACTTTTTGAGATGATTGATTAGGAATTGCATCATGTTCACATGAGTATACCGAATTCAAAGTTAAACTTCATAAGCAGGAGTTTTTACACATCGTAACATAATCATTACCCAATACTCGACACTCAATATTTGATACTCAACTGAATGTTTTTGAAATAAACACATTTTTATGTTATCTCTCTGGAGAAAGTAGTATATATCTTTTTACACAAAATATATCAGTGAGAGAGTGTTTGTTTAAGAAAAAAAATCAAAGCACAACAAGTTGAGAGAGTCCAGGCTTTATCAATATAAGTAATAATTTTTTAGAATGGTGATTTGATTTCACCATTTCAATTCAGCAGAGCCTGTATATATATATATATATATATATATATATATATATATATATATATATATATATATTACAATGATCTGTATTTCCTATTGCTAGAAGGATGAAAGTGAATCCATATAAACCATACCAACGCCGTTATGTGTAACTGGTGGTAAAACTTTATTATTCAAGTTTAGATGTAACAGACATCTTTGCTGCCTGAAGATTGTTTGCATAAGAAATACACCAAGAACATGTTTGTGAGTAGAAATGAACATGCACTATGAAAACAAAATAAAATAAAACGAAAAAATTTCATGTGTTGTAAGAACAGAACTATTATAGCCAACATTCTAGTATTCAAATCAGGACTACAAATTGAATTCTTTTTCTTAGCAACATGAAATCATTCCATATGAAAGACATTTTCTGCTGGTGAATATTGCTGTAAGTTAAATTTTACATTGGCATTTTGAGATGTTCCCCCCTCATGCCTCCCCCAAAGTTTTCCATGTGGTTGTCAAATAGTCCGCCCTAAGGAATTTGGCGTTTATTATTGTGATATTTGCCTTATTGGTAGCCATTAAGAAACTATGATTTTATCAGCCTAGTAATAGTTTTGCATCTTCATAGTCAACACTATTGGCTGCCTAGTTGATATTTACAGCTCGTCTTTAAGAAAAATGACCCCAACCTTTCCTGGCCTTTGGGAACTGACAGTTTAAATAACCCCCTTGGCCACATAATAATACTTGGCACTCCTATGGTGCCTTTCAACCAAGGATCTCAAAGTGCTTTACAAACAAGTACTACATTACCATTATTATTATTAATAATATTATTAATACATATATTTTTCAATTTTACAGCTGAGGAACCTGAGGCACAAAAAGAAAAAGTGATATGCTGCAGTTTATATGTTGGGAAAAAAAAAAAAAAAAAAAACAGGGGAAAACCAGAATTGAGTTTTGGGACTCTATGCTCTAGAAGGACAATTTTCTCTGATAAAAGCTAAACATTATTTCCACGGTAAAGTTATTCCTGCTTTTCTCCGGTGTAGGACAGAGTGAAGCTTACAGCTCTCCCTTTCCTTTCAAGAGAACACATGAATGTACATTGTCTAGTTTCTCACGTGTGGATTACTCTTGAATTTCACATTTTCTTCATGTGACATACTTGACATACTTCTGCCCTAGCATATTCCAGAAGTTCTAATTACTGCAATTAACTGGGATGCTTTCTAAGCAACTGCAGCACTATCAGGAACATGTGAGCCCACTGTCTATGAAACAGTACTGAAAAACCAAAAGGAAGTGCTCTGCAAAGAATCCATGCCTCTGCCCTTGGCCGTCTTTCTTTGGGAAAATAACAATGCCCTCCAAAGTCCCGACGGGCGTCCTTCTATCTTCTTCTCATTTGCAGTTGCCTGCTGATAGAATTCCACCTAACAGTACCTACCTTTGATTAGAATATTTAGTTTGATACTCAGGTTGCATTTCAATTCCTCAATTTTCTCTTGTGCCTTGGACAGTCAGCAAGCTTTCACCTTACTGGCTCACCAAAGACGACTTGATCTTTTTTTCTTTTTTTTTTTTTGCCATGGCTCTCAAACCAAAGACAGTAGCTAAAGTTGACCTCCTCTCAACTTAAGGCAAAAGGCTGGCATACAGCACAGAAGCAGACCACCAGCTTCTTTACTCCACATTTCCACCACTGGATGGCAGATATTCCCCCTCTAGAAATGCATTAATTTTATTTACTAAACAGGGCAGCAGTTCACAGGTCTCAAGACCGGTCACTTTGTGATGTTTTGCAGCCACACAACAGGAGGCTAATAATTATTTTAATAGCCATACTGAGACTCTTCAGTTTATTAAGAAAAATGTATTTCCTCAGGCATTTTAAAATATATATACATTTAATATTTTTGGAGCTGTATTTGCATTGGATCATAATAGATTATGTGCACATGTGCAATTATAAACATAATGTGCTACCACAGGCTTCAACAAAGAGCTGTTAAAGATACTTTTTTCCCTTCTCATTAATATTACCTTAGAAAAGAATCCCCATGCTTGTTTTATAAAAATCTACCTTCACTAAAACAGAACAGTTTAGAACAGAACATCACTATCTTAAAAGTTGATTAAAAAAAATCTCAATATGTCATGTAGAGAGAATTGGGCATACTCTTTTCCTTTTGAACTACAGAGTTATCAATTAGAGCTCTGTCCTTTTCTCATATACTTGGAGTCATGTAGTGTCTCTCTCAATCCACAACGTTCTGAGATGGGTTGGCTCTTTATGATTTTTCTATCCCAAACAACAGAATGAATACAGAGGTGAGTGATGAGAGAAAGAGTGAGAAAAGGAAGAATGAGAACGCATGAGCTGGTCCTGGCCTAAAGTTTGATCCAAAGCTCAATTTAGAATATAGACAAATAATTTTAAAATATTTTCAGTTTTTAAATGGCACACAATTTTAGCTGGCACATCATTTTCATCACAGGGGAAGCCTTTTCCAAGAGAGAAAATTCCTAAATCATCATGAAATTCCTCATTAAAAAAAGTTCCGTACCATAATAGCTCGTTTAAAATCACAATTTAAGATAAAATAATTCAGAAATCTTAAATTAAAAAAATAAATTTTATAATATATCTTGAGAGATGGAATAAAGGCTTTAATATGTCAAAAAAGGAGTGTTTAGTGTTATAATAAATTTTTGTCTCTTTCAAAAAAGCCCAACCTCTTCTCCACCAAAATATGTATAATAATGAAAGCAAAAAATGAAAATAAAATTATCAATAATAAAGAAGTATGGAATAAGATCTATCGTGTCAACGCTATCCAAAAATATTCTACTAAAAAGTAGACTGACCATAAATATTCCAAGAATAGTGATATGTATTTTCCAATGCTAGTCGTTACTACTATGTCTGTCTGAGAAAAAAAAAAAATTGAATGAAAATAAAAAGGCATACATGCCAAAAATAAAGAACCTATTTGTGTCCGACACACTAGAGAAATTGCTTAATGAGTAGTTTTGCCCAAAAAGTAATACTTGTCATATTGCCCAAGTTAACCAAACTTCTGGTGTTTTGCTGATTTAAGCAGTCCACATAGATAATGTTGCTTAAGGATTGCCACGATGCATTCTGTTATTCTTTTTACTAAGAAAATTAAATATTGTTGTTTGGGGGAATCTCCTCTCTTTTTTAGATCTTTAATTGTCACCTCTCAAGTCTGGCTATACATTTTGAGATGCATCCATCAAAATTCCTAAGGAAGATAAATTACATCACATAATTTGAATGTCAAAGCTCCTCATTCCACTTCTTTATTTCAGTTTATGTGAATATTAGAGCTACGCGACAGGTGAGATCAGAATAAGGCCCGTTAACAATGAAACTGAAGCAGAGGACTTAGTCCTGATTTCTGTCTCTTGCTTTCTCTTTTCTCTTTTTTTAATATGCAAACAAAAAAATGCAAAAATGAAAATGACAACACAACATCAGAAAGACATTTTTTTAACTTCATTCGCTACAACAGTCACGAACTGGTTGAACTCTACCTGCCATCCAACTTTAAGAAACGAAGACCCGGCACTGTGAAAAAGAAACAAAACCCAAACAAAACAATGATACAAAGCAACTGCGAATTAATGTAAAAATGGAGTGCAAATGCGACTACAGAATGCAAAAAAAAATCAGCGTTGCAGATTCCAGCAACACTTATCAAAATAATTTCTGAAATGTTTCATATGAAACATAGACAAAGCAATAAAAAGAGGATATATGTTTATCATCTTAAGCATAACAATGTGAGTTAAGAGCTTAAAAATTAAAAAAAAAAAAGTACTTGGAATGAATAAGTGCTACCCTTTTTTTCCTAAGTAGGCATAAAAATATTTTCATTTCCTTCTTGTTTTCCATACCATTATAGCAAGAACTTTCATTTGTTTCATGTTACCGTTTACAACTTTAATGCACACACACACACACAAAAGGATATCTACTGCAATAGAAATAGTTGCTTCATTACCTTGTTTGCTACATTTGCAAATGTAAACAGCTAGGCAGAGCCAGAACTGACTCTAATGCATGATGGAATATCTTTGTTGCATACGTACACTGTAGAAAATAATTATTCAATATGTCAGGCACCATTATTTGAAATGTAATACATTAATATTTACTAGAAAAATAAGTTTTTTTTTTCCTATTTGTTCTCCCAACTTCTTTAATGAAATAAGTTAATCTGACAGTGCATCCAGTAGCTTGTAATATCTTCTACATCTCCGTGGCAAAAAATAAACTACTGGTTGGGACAATATAATGCAAATTATTAAAGTCAGTCCTTGTACATACATCCTTGTAGCAAGCATTGAGGCTCGACTAACAGCACCTTTAACCAATTATTTAATGTTCAGTTATTTAGCCCTATTTCCCTGAGCAGTTATGCTGAGGAGCTTTCCCTTCATGGATAGTTTTTACAAAGCCTTAAGTATTAAAAGTTCTATGAGGACATACTTCTAAGAATCCTATTTAATGCTACTTAACTAAATCTGTATACATTTAATGAAGGGATTGGCTGGTACATATACCAACTGTCAGTCTGTGGTAACGTAACCTTAGACGCTGCCTGACCACAAAGTTTGGAAATTATATTTAACCAAAAGAAAATAAATAAATACAGCAGGTTACCTTGTGAAGAAATGCCATGTGTTCTAAACAAATTAAACCCACGGTCTGACATTTGTATCCATCTATGCTTTTGAATTGAGGGGATTCCTTTAGTTATAATGTGCCAAGTGAGATTAGTAACCAACAGGAGGCTTAGAAAAGCAAATCCATACTGGTTCATCACACACAAGAAAGAAATACCTGGCTAAAATGAAATCACTACAGAAGCATCGAGGACATTGTTTTTTAAAATGGGTACATGTGTGGACAAAATGAATCTAAACCGCAAACAAAAGGACTACTGAGTATTTGAACATCTAAAGGACAAAAATATCAGAGAGGGTGTGCATGTGTATGTACAGGCAGGGCTGGGTAAAAACAGCGTGCCACCATCTGTCATGTTGCTTGCTGCACTCTAACCAAGCCTAACCACAGCTCGCATTTCTAGGTCAAAATCTGAAACATGGCCAATGAGAGAAGACTAAATTGAGAGGGCGCCATTTTTCTTTCATTGCCCTGGACCTTCAATTTCTCCTCCTCTGCCTAGGGTTTCATGATCATTATAAATTTAGGCAACAATTTATGGGTTTTGGAACAAATGGTCCAATGGCCAGTCCAGTACTGCTTTAGTATAATAATATGTAAACCCTTTCAAATTCTAGACAGTTTTGGTCTCTTTCTTTATAAATATATTAATTCTAGTCTGGTGATATCTCTTATGGATTATTTCCCCAGTACATATTAGCCAAGATGGTTTTGACTTAACAGGTTTTAAAAAGTGATTGTTTACCATCTTCCATTCTTTCTCATTGACCATTTATCTCACTTTTTAATCTTGGTAACCTACTCATCAAAAGAAAGAATAACAAAAGAAGGGAATTTCATGTTGGATAAGGCAGGCTCTATGAAGTATTTTTTTAATAGGTCTTCATAAGACATTACAAGCTATTGAATTCCCATCAAGAAAACCTATTTCTATTTAATTGTGCTAAGTGCTAAGGTTTTACTCTTTAGGTTTTCCATTTTTTTCCACTTGTGCATTGTTCCTATGCAGGCCCCTCTGGATATGTGTTGTGAAGTCATATTTGTCCGTGCAAAGATGCTGGCATATGCTGCACTGGAAAGGTCCACTGTCACCATGGCAACTCATATGCAAAGCATACATCACTTCATCCAGAAAGACAATGCCACAGTGCACACATTTTGTTGAAAGTTCATCTTGAGTACTTCTATCAACTTTCTCTGTTTTTACTACATTCAAGGGACCTTCATTTTTTACATTTGGTGGTGCCTTCGTTTTCTCCTTGGAGGCACCGTTTGCAGTTGGCCCAGGTCTGGAATGCTTGATCGCCAAATCTAGAGGAATGTCATTGTCTGATCCAACAGCTGAAAAATGAGGAGGCAGATTGAAGGTGGGATAAGGCACATAGTTTTGGCAAGGATTTGGTAGGCCAGGCACGTGACTCAAGTAGTGCGGATTCCCAGGAACGGAGAGCTTATATTTACTCCAGAACCGCAGCCAATCAGCTTCACTCTGGAAGTCATTATGTACAAAGGGAAGTCCAAAAAGTGGGTACTGGTACTTTTCAATAGGGCTGCCTGGTGGTGAATAATTTGGGTGTTTCGCAGGTCTCATGTACTTTTCTATAGGACTGCCTCTCTCAGAACTTCCTTTCCCTTCAGATACGGATGAACTATTTCCTGGATCTCCAGTACTTTCCTGAGGACTTTTTATCTGAATGTGCAAAGGTTGCATCCTTTTGTGAATATCCAGAGTTTGGCTGACCAGGACTGGCTGCTGAGCAGAATGGCTTTTAGTCAATGAACCCTGGGCTTCGTATTTACTTAGGCTGGGGAGTGGAATTTCTCTCTGGTGACTTTCAGTTAGATGATCTTCTGACCTCCTCTCTAACGGGCTTCCATTGACTTGCTCCTCATTGCTGCCCCTCTGCTGTTTGTTGAGCTGCTCAGCCTGAAGTGCCTCTGGGTTAAGGCGCTTTCTTGTTCTCCTCCTAATAATCTGCTCACCGTTGTTTTGTTTAATGATGTTTAAAGGCCTGGGAGTCTGCAGAGAACACATACAATACATAAAAGGAAAACATTAAAAAATACATTAAAATGCATTAAAAATTCCTCACAAATATAAACCATGCTTAAGTTCAAAGCAGGGATAGGCTTTCTGCTGTAGATTTACTAAATCTCCTCCTTTTGCCCTAAGCAGGATCAGAGGAAGTAACCAAAGTGCACTATTTTAGCCTAATTAAATCATGTCCATCTTTGCAGGGGGGACTGAAAACTTTAATCTACTTGAAAATAACCTTTCCAGATGCAACAGATTTTGAGATTGCATCATTTAGTGATGAAACGGTGTAGAAAGTCACTTGAAGAGATGTGATTTTTCTGAAATTTTTTTTCAATTTTTGAGTTGTGCACTAAAATGCCAGCATATAAGAGTAACACAGGAGATACATATTGTTAACAGTGGAAAAATTACACATTGCTACAGACAGAATAAGTTTATATGTTGAAGCCCTAAACCACAGTGTGACTGTGTCTGGAGACAGGGTCCTTAGTAGGAAATTAAAGTTAAATGAGGTTGTTAAGGGTGGGGCCCTAATCCAATGGGGCTGTGGCCTTATGAGAAGAGGAAGAGAAAGAGATCTCTCTCCACTATGTGAGGGCACAGATAGAAGGTGGCTTAGTAAGGAAGACAGCCCTCCTCAGAATCCAACTATGCTGGAACCTGATCTCAGATTTCTAGCCTTCAGAATGTGAAAACATAAATGTCGGCTGTTTAAAGCTGCTCAGTTTATGGTATTTTGTTATGGAAACCTAAGCAACAAATACATGCGTGCTTCTAAATAATTGCAAATGTGGATATAAAATATTAATATCAGAGCATAAATAATCAAAGATAAACTGACAGAATTGTGAGGAAAGATATCAGGTCATCAAAGCAATAGAGAGGGATTTTTTTTTTCTTCTCATTTCTACTTCTCTCTCATTAATAATATTTTATATTTGTGATCTAAGATTTTACTTGTTAATAGTGAAGCATTAGTTTTGTGTTGAAAATCTAAATTCATGTGTAGCTTTGGTTTAAATATCTGATCTGTCATTCTACTCTTTACTTAAAGTAAGTGCTAACTTTCATTCAGCTTAAGTATTTTGTTTAGCTTAAACGTTACATGATTGGTATTTATGGACATGTTCAACAGGTATTTATATAATATGACTTAAATCCATGGATAAGACTATAATAAAAACTTTACTTGCAGTTGGAGCTCTTTGATGTATAAAATCAAAGGAATCAGTTTGATAAATTAATGCGTATTTATAGGTTAAAAATTTAGGGTAATCTTTAAATGGGCTAAAGTCTGATTTTTCTAAAAGATTACTGAAATCAGAAAATAATTTCCACATAAAACATGACTATAAATATAATTTATAAATTTAACTTTATAAATTATACATTATGTGTATATAATGTATAATTTTATAAATTATAAAATTTTAAATATAAACATAAATATTCATAAACATGTTATAATAATATAAATATAATATAAATTTAAAAAAACATAAATATAAGTGTAATTTGTAAATTATTCCTAGAAGTGATACACTTGAATGAAAGGGAGTACCTCTTGTATCTTAAATAAGTACAACTATAAATCCTTTTTGGAACATTTCTGTTGTTACAAACATACTTCCAAGTGAAGAAAGATAACACAGTTGTTATTGACAATTCATTGTTAGTTTAAGAAAGAAAATGCAACATAGCTTAGTTATGCCATGTGCATTTCTTTTGCTCAGAATATCCAGGTTTACAAAGAGTTCATATTAGCATTATAAACATATGCATTATTTAATCTATACACTGTAAAGAACCTGAAATTTGCATAAATTCCTTTTTTAAACTGTCATAACTTTTGTGTCAGTTTTTGACACAAAATGTGAACATAACCTTTATGTATTTCAATGTATGGTTTTTTAAAAAACCTGAAAACTGAAAACATCTTACCTCTGGAGAGATGAATATTAAAATAATTTTTAGAAAATAGTTTAGTTTATATCTCAGTGGTTAAGTTCCCATAATCTGGCAGAGCAGTATTTTAATTAATTTTTGCCCTATGATTGGCCAGACTTCAATTAAAATCATTAATGTCAGTTCCCATTAAATAGAAACTTATTGCTATGCTTAAATGGTGAAGGTTAAAAAAAATAAGTTGGTATGTGGTGGGGGGTGGAATCTTTCTACTTGCTACATGCTAATAACTAAGGTTTTTACAGTTTACTGCCAATTAGTAGTGTTAGCAGCATGCATTTTTTAAAGAGTGCTTCTAATGGTCCATATATGAGAACATTTTGTCTAAAAGTGTATTCCCTGTAGCCATAATGTATTCACTGGCTTGTGCTAAGAGCTATGGTAAAACGCCAAACGAAATGAAAAAGGCACAGGGAAATAAATTTTTGTTTACTAAATGGGGGATGCCTATTTTAAAGTCAGCTCTTGTCAGCAGATGAACTTGCTAAACTAAAAAAAAAAATCCTTCAGTAAGTCAAATCCATATTCAGATGGAGGATTTGTGAGTTTTAATTTTATTACAGAATTCTAACTAAAATTTGAGGAAAAGTAATTCAAAGAACCTCCGTGAGCCAAAGCCAGCTGGAGATCTTAAAAGACAAAGTATCTTTGCACCTTACTCTACCCTGGTGTGTGTGCTATTCAGAACTTCAGATACCTCATTGAAATACCCACTGAAGGCCCTGGGGAGATTCATGTGATATTCTCTGATCCTAATTCAGTTCAGAACTGTCCTTCCGAATGTGCCCCTCCAGCCCCTAAAGCGGTCAAGATAACACTTGTGAATTCCGAAGGTAAACTAGAAAACACGAATTCTTTCCCTGACTTATATTTTATACTGAACATGACCGAGTCCTTTTTCATTTTTTAAAACGTTTTGCATATTTCTGAAACTTCTAAAAATTTTCTCCTTTTTACCTAAAATAATTTCATTGAATTCTGATAACCATTAGTTCAACTATCTGCTGTGAAGTTCCCAGAAATCAATCATTTTCCTCTTTTATATCAAAAGAAGCATAATGCATTACTAATGACCTCAAACCTATCTCCCCATCACATCTAAGCCCCCTTCACCATAAATCACATGTGCACTCAAAGTGACTGTATTAAAACAACCCTGCGGGGGCAGGCACTGCAAGCCAGGGAATGGGACTTATCACACCACAGACCAGGCCAACACTGCTTTATAAAGCTTTTCCTGAAAGAGTGGAACAAGTTCTTACCGAGTGAAGCTTCTGGTAGAGGCCACACGCGTTGCATACATATCCGCCATTTGCATTCTTTCGCCAGAGAGAGGTCTTTGTGGTCAGGCAATTGGCACAAAAAACACCGGAGCCTCTACGCCTCTGAAACAGGGGAAAAAAACCAAGGTCAGAGGTGAGTCACATGATCAGTGGAGTTAGACCAAATCAACCCAGGAGTTTTGTCTTTAAACTAGCAACAATGACAGTATAAAACCACACTGCCCATAATGAGGTCAGGTTCAATTGTGTTTAATAGGCACCACTGATTTTCATTATAATTAACCCTACAGTGATGGATGAGGTGTGTGGAACACCAAAGGCTTTTCACAGAAACAGCTTTAACTTTTTGAACTTTGGGTTTTATGGCTTTAATGATGGCTCCTAAATGCTGAACCCTAAAATATACCTTTTAAAAGTGTCAAAACATACGTCAAAAAGACAGAACATGGCAATATGTTTAATACACTTTGGAAAGGAGGAGCACATGCTACCTGAGCTTTAAAATATAGTCAAGTTTGGAATAAATGTAAATCATTTAAAATTAAACTTGATTTGTGTGTTTTTGTATGTCATTCATGTAACGTAAGTATTACGAGAATATAAGACACTCAATTCTGGTCTTTCGTTTGCAATTGTAAAATCTGAAAGATTCCTCTATTCCTCAAACGTGAGAGGGTTTGTAGAAACTTCAGCCAATTAAAAGTACAGTATTACTAATGAGAACCCTTATGAGGTGCCCACTTAAGTTAGGCAACATAGACCCTTCAATGGCTATTTATTTATTTTATTTGACTTAGACTTGGAAATCACAAGGGTTTCCAAATACAAATTGATTCTAGTGGCCTGAGTTTTGTAATCAACAGGTTAAAAATAACCTAAGAATATTTAAAACTAGATAATTAGTATTGCTTGTTCCATTCTTGCTATCAAGTAATGATTCCATTAAACTTCTCACTTAAACAAAAGTCAGGCTGTGTTTGTAGGCACAAATACTAACAGGCAGGAAATGGAATTCTCTTGCTGAAAAAAAAAAAGAAAAAAAAAGACAGCCTGAATTGCAGTTCAGCTCTCCTTTCTCTAGGAAGCAAAGCCTTTAATGATAAAATATGCGTGTTAGATAAGGAGTGGAAAAAGTCTTGCTGGAACCTAATTTTATTATAAATTAAATATTACATGTGCCATAAGTCAAAATTTCAGGGATTCATAAAATTTAGGCAATTTATTTAACTCAAGTCCATACTGTAGAAGAGTGGTATCCCTGCCAAGAAAATACAATGGTTATAATTGTACTCTGATACATTTCAAATGGAAAGCTTTCTGCAGACATAATTTTGGCTTCAAGACTGGAACACTTTCTTGGCATTGAAAGGGCATTTGATTCATCGGGTGTTTCACAATGTATCACTAAAAAGACCTGGTGAGCAGCCAGTTCCCTATAGGGTAATTTTTCCATCCAGATGCAAGTGCTATCAGAGGCTCTCGTCAGCTAAACTAATTATGATCTTGCAATTGCTGATGCCTGCTCACTCTAACATTCGACATCCTCCATTAATCATCAATACAAGGAAAATGAATGAAACGTAAAGAAATGAGGGCTGGTAAGCTGCACAGCCATAAAAATCTGAAATGAGAGCAATAACTTAACAAGATTGGGGGAATGTTTTTAGTGAGCACAAAGTCAGGCTAACAATTGCCCTTTTAAACCAAGAACACGATTTCATTAGTGTAGCAGGTTGTGCTACTTTAGGTGATGTAATAAAAACTAGATTTCCAAAGATAATCTCTGGCTCCCCTTTTTCTACTTCCCCCCACCCGACTCTGGACCAGGAATGTATCATGAGTTTCTAAGTCTCAATAACATTGCAATAGCAAATGTTGGGTGTCAGTCTGCAAGTCCCAGTGAAGGCCTACTGCAAAAGTGGACTGCTGCTTCCCCCAAAATCAATGAACTATTAGAAGTTGTGTTTATCAAACATTTTGGGGACTCCCTTTGTGCAAAGTAAGCTGGGAGCCTAGTTAAGTTATAATTGTGAAACTTTCCTGGGGCTATCCTGTCATTTTCCTAGATCTAAATAACATGTTTGCAAATAAACACCAACTTGGTCCACACAAGGGCAATGTAAATGTCCATTTGGAAATTAACCCACATATATGGCTGAGGCTCAAATGTGAATGTGTAACCATTCACTCCAGCCTGCTGTTCTTTCCTTATGCCCTGGGTGCTTGACACACCATGCCAAAGTGGGTGTAATCCTGATTTCAGTGAGTGTTTCAACCCTTGCACAATTTGGTGCTTAATTCTCTTGCAAAGAAAATGCCTTTCATTAGTTAGAGGGAAAATCCTGAAATTACAGCACTAGTTTCCAAAAGCATAGCTTGCTTTAAAAGGAGCACTTAGACTCCAATATAGTTTGCTATATTTTAGGTAAACCATATCACATTTTAAATATATCAGGAGTACTTTGAATACACTTATTCAGAGTCAGTAGAGCTTGGAGGTTAATAATCAGATTTAGGTGCCAGAACACTGATATTCAAAACCTGTCTCTGTCATTTGCCAGGTACAACACTGGGCAAGTCACTTAATCTTTCAATGCTTAAAGTTCTCTGATCTTTACAGTGTGAGCTACTGTGATTCTTTTTTTTTTTTTTTTGAGACAGAGTCTCACTCACCCAGGCTGGAGTGCAATGGCACACGATCTTGGCTCACTGCAACCTCCACCTCCCGGGTTCAAGCAATTCTCCTGCCTCAGCCTCCCGAGTAGCTGGGATTACAGGCATGCGCCACCATGACCGGCTAATTTTCTATTTTTTAGTAGAGATGGGGTTTCTCTGTGTTGGTCAGGCTGGTCTCAAACTCCCAATCTCAAGTGATCTGCCCGCCTCGGCCTCCCAAAGTGCTGGGATTACAGGCATAAGCCACCATGCCCCGCTACTGTGATTCTTATGTAGATTAATAGATGCAATTAAAACGGTGCCAGGGATGTAGTAAGTGCTCAAATCCTATTTGCCAAGAGGATTCAACTGTGATTTCTTTTGTATGAGAAAAATATTTTGTTAGTTTTCAGCCCTTGAATCTTGTTATTGAATATTTGAGAGATGCTTAAAGCATATGGTTGGATATTGTTCAATGTGTTTCTTTCATACCAATCTTATCAAATATGAGAATGGAAAGTTGAGTCAGAGTGAAATATCTAGGTGTTCGCACCTAGAATTCAATAGGAGCAAGCTTGCATGGGGGTGGAGAGTGGGAGGTAGGTGAGAAATTCTTTCACACATGAAGTTACCTCCCATCTAAACAAATTTAGTACTTTGGTAAGCCTAGTCGAACCTTATTTTTGGTGCAATTAAAATTTCTGGAAGTAGCAGAGAAGGTGGGAGAAGTGGGTAGTGTCCTGAGCTGTGTCACTACAGAACCACATCTTTCTAAAACACCATACAGATGCGAGCCCTGACCTGGTCACACTGTGTACAATGTAACCTGGCAGGACACAGTAAGGGATTTCCTTTGAAGTTATCAACATCCTTAGCCCAATCAAGGACAGGGAAGCAGCCTGTTACCAAAGGAACGCAGAGTAGAAGCCTCCTGTGCCCTATTTTCAAAAACAAAGCTTGGCTTTAACTTAAAGAAAAAGAAAAGCACTAACGATCTTATTTCATTCATACTTTATCCTGCATGGCAGTTTTAAAATACTTTGTCACTCTCCTTTGCAGTAAGCCTATTAAGGACAGAAATCCTGTTTCCTAATCGTCACTGAACATTCTAAGGAATAAGCACCTAGGACAGTGCTCTGTTAGGCTAAACATTAAGAAAGTTGAAAATAATCCTGCCTGCTATTTCTATCGTTATTTTTAGAAAAAAAAAATATTTTAGGAAAAAAAGTAGTGTTTGTTTTCTTAAAATCCCTTTTAAATGTCGTCCATTCAGGCTGACAAATTAATCTGGAGTTGGGCAGAGATGGTTGATGATATAGAAGACACATTCAAGAAAATTCATTGTCCACTCCTACTTTCCACACTTTTTTTTTTTTTTTGAGATGGAGCGTTGCTCTGTTGCCCAGGCTGGAGGGCAGTGGCGCGATCTCGGCCCACTGCCACCTCCGCCTCCCGGGTTCAAGTGATTCTCTTGTCTCAGCTTCCAGAGTAGCTGGGATTACAGACGCCCGCCACCATGCCTGGCTAATTCTTGTATTTTTAGTGGGGTCGGGTTTCACCACGTTGACCAGCCTGGTCTCCAACTCCTGACCTCAGGTGATCCACCGGCCTCTGCCTCCCAAAGTGCTGGGATTACAGGTGTGAGCCACCGCACCCAGCCCCACATGTATTTTTGAGAAGGAGCTGATGCCAGGTACTTGCTAAGTGCTGGGGGCAGCTCTCTTTTATCTTTAACATTACAGTCACAAATTGCTGATGGTTCTATCTGTGTCTGTTTATGTTTAAATAATAAATTTCTCCTTTTCCCACAAGCTGTCTTAAGAGACAATAATTTGTACCTCCATCACCTCGTGCCTGAGAGGGAAGAATTATGGGTCATATGGATAAGATCAGTGCTGGGAGGGAAAAAGGATAGGAATAAGTAGCTAGCCGATAACACCAATTGGCATTCCTGAGGGGCATATATAGCACAAAACTTTCTCTCCTCTCAGACTGAGGGAAGACTGCTCACTCACACATGTAAAGCCGCAAAGAGTAGCTGCAATCTCTGCCCCTGAACTTCTCTAAGTTCACCTTCCACATCTACGTGGTTTGAACAGAGGGCAAGAGTGAAGGAGGATTGGCTGAAAACCCAAAGCTACATGAGGCAGCTCAACTAAAAATTGCTACAGAAAAAATTCTGGAATCAACAATTCGAGAAAATGATTGTTTGCTTTTCTTTTAATGCTTTGAGCAGTACAATTTAGGTTGCATTTGTGTTGTCTCCAGGCCATTTCCGTTGGCTGGTAATTTCCTATGTGAAAAAGGATGAATAATGGTACAAACAGTTAACTGCAAGGAGTTTCGAAGCCAGTGATTGCCTGGCAAATGCTTTTCAGTGATAACTGGCCTGTCTTTTGAGCACTTGATCCCTTTCGGTATTTCAAATATTATAGCCACAATACTGATTTTCACAGCAGCAATGTAGGTGATGGATCTGAACAATCATCCAAATAGATATAGAAAATGACATACCTAACTTTTAATATGAATACCCTTTAAATCCAGTGTAATTTTTTCCTCCCCTTTAGAGTAAACCAATAAGTATAATGACTAAGTATTTAAAACAAACAAACAAACAAACAAAACACAACACCTTTTGTCTTTAGGTTCACGGCTAACACCAACATGCGGGTAACAATAGTTGAAATTTTCTCTAAGTTTCCAATTTAAGTTTTGCTTTTGGGAGACTTAAATCTTCAGTCAGCTATATAACATTGATAAATAGCTGAGCCTTGGCATACATGTTAGGAAACCCAGATATGACTTAAGACATTTTTTTTTAAATTTTAAATTGGGTCGGCTGTTTTTATTCCTTATTTTATTTTATTATTTGAAGACCAGCCAAATATAAAAATTTTAAGGTTTCCAAATCTCCAAATTTTGAAAAGGAACTGATTTCATCTGATTAATATGAAGTAAATTTGATTGAATGATTTATTAAAGTGGCTTAACATTTACAGACATGGATATTCATCTTCAAGATATTAAAGGTTTCCATTGGTGAAGGAATTTGTGAAGAAATGATCTTTTACAATAATTTTCTATGAATAAGAACCATACTGAAACCATGTAATTACATAACAAGCCCTGATAGGCAGAATATTTACTCACATTTTTTATGGTTTTATATCTTAGCCATTTTAAATCGAATCAATCTGAAATCTGATTTATATAATGTTAGTATGAATATACCTCAAATATTTTTAACTCTTTAAATATTTTCTGTGTTTATCTGATTATATCAAAAAGTCTTTGCAACATTCATGTTAGCGAAATGCATAGATGGTTATGAGCAAAGCTTCTGGTACGATTTCACAGTAATACAATTTCAGTGGTAAATTAAGTCAATTAAGTTCTGGGAGTAATTATTGCGTGTCCACCATGTGCCTGGCACTGTGCTACAAGCCAGGGTCACAGCGTGAGACAAACATGGTCTGTAATCTTGCAGATTTTCCAGTGGAATCTTCTAAAAACATACTAATTATGGAGCTAAAGCAACACAAACAGAAATTGTTCATGAACATTGACAGCTGAAATCATGTGAATTACGTGGAAACTTTCCTGAAGATACCAAAGTATTGCCCATTCATAAATCTCATTTAGAGGCTAAAAGTTACCTAATAATCAGAGGGGTTACTTCCTGTGCTCCTTTGTAAAAACGTGTAACAGTTTAAGTCACTTCAGAAACAAATTAATACTTGCTTATTTTCACATTAGTAATAATGTCCTATCAATCACATTGTTCTATTAATTACCAATAGAGTTGACATGACTTAATGTGTTCATGACTGTCAGATATGTAGTTGATATTCAATAATTGTTGATATTCCATAATTCAATAAGTGTTGAATATTATTTTATTCTTATCTCTATCATGCGCCACTAGGAGACATCGAAGGCCATGTCCCTCCCCTCTTCCCCTCCAAAATAGAATTAACCAGCTGTTGACTACACACCAGTAGACCCTATGGAATATACTGAATTCAGGAGCTAAAACAACTTAAAAATAGATGGTGGTTTGCAATAAACACCTTTAGATTAATAGCCAGACTCTTACCAGGAGCACAGGCTGGCCAACAATTGAACAAGACCAGGGAAAGCACTCTGCCAACAGAAAGCAATAGTTTACCAATATCCTGGCCAACTTTTGTTTCAAATAAAATTGTGAAGAATCCGTTGAAATGGGCTGTACTGCATGTCTTTGCCTGCTTTAAAACAGTCCTCTTTGCCCTCAGATTTCTTGCCAAAAAACTGAAGGGACTCTATCAGGTTCAGCCAAGCACCCATCTTATAATCACCATAGAGCTTGGAAACAAAACCTGTTTACCCTGCTTATTAAATTCACTTCCTCAACACATCAGCAATGATAATGGAGACCAGTGTAAACTAAACTGGCATCTCTGGCTAAGAGCAATAGAACAGTTTTTGTTCCAGGACATGAGGCAATACATACTCCAGTAATCATACCTTGCACTGAGATATGAATGCACCTAAGACTTATCCCACTGACAATGTCGCCACATAGGGAGCTACCCGATATATCAGGTAATGCTGCTGTGCTAAACACATTAGCTCCATCTCTTCTGAGATGTAACTGGTGATTCTCAGAGTGAAAGAGCAGAAAATCACTATTTCCCCATGTATATCCCACTCTTTATTCATACAGATTCTTTACATCTCAAGGTTTTAGAAATTTATCACACAGATATAAAACCTATTACACAGATCTGAGGACCCCATCTCCCTTCTTTAACTAACCCCATATTTGGTAGCTAACCCTGTATTTGGTAAAGGAGCAAACCAAACACCCTGTGTCATAATGAAATTACATAATAGAATCAGAATTGGAAAAACCCAGATTTCTGGAGTTCTAACCACGCTGTTTCTGTAATAATGTTCTGCCTTTACAGCAAATATGCATTTGGACAGCTAAAAATATGGTTGAAAATTTATGTCTGCACTGTCTTTTTTTTCATTCCACGTGAAAGTCATTATTGTTAAAAGAACTACTCAAGTCTCTCAGAGCTTCTATTTTTGCCATCCTGTATGTGTTTTCACCCTTCCTTCAGCTACAACAATGGCTGGAAAGTAGCTCTATGGGGACTTTCTTCTATGCCAGTGCCAAAATCTGACACTGGAAGGAAAAAAATACTAAAAGGCCTTTTGGAGGCACAGTTAAACAATTTTAGCACCTCTTAAACTTCAGTGTGACAGCACAAGAGTTGATTCTTCTAATAAATTTGTTGCATATTTTATTTATATAATATATTTAATAAGCAGATTTATTCTGGGATAGGTTCATATTCTAAAAATAAAAATATCAGCGATGAAGACCTTTCTAGAAAAGTCCTAAAAGCCAAAAGTCTCAGCTTCTAGGCATTTAATTAGAGAGTCAGATACAGTTATTAATATTTCATGTATTACACCTTTTTAGGGCTGCCTTTATAATATATAATGGTTATTTTGGGAAAAAACAGAAAAAAAATCAATAATTCTTTTCATAGTATCTAACATAATAACTGGTTTATGAAGTGTTGCCACCCTCGAGGCAGCTATATACAATTCAGTGGTTCCTCGATGGTTTCTCACACTCTTGGGGATCATACAATCTTTTGGTGAAATGTATGACACTCTCCAGAAAAAAATAAAGTGTAAAATATTTACAAATAACTTTAACATGGTCAAAAGCATGTCCCTCACAAAATGTATCCAAAGATTTCCTGTGGATTTGAGTGCCGACTGATCCAGATCCCAAGGTTAAGAACTCCTAACACATATTATCCCAGTTCAGATTTACGGTGAATTACTAATTACTATTACTCTCCTTTTATTGATGAAGTACAAAACTGACAATAGTTCTTTGACTTATCTAGCATCAAAGAACACATTCTGGTCTCTAAGTCTAGGCAATATGACAGGATCATATTCTAAAAAGCATTTTTGGCCAGGCGTGGTAGCTCATGCCTGTAATCCCAGTGCTTTGGGAGGTCAAGGTGGGAGGATTGCTTGAGGCTAGGAGCTTGAGATCAACCAAGGCAAACACAGCAAGAACGTGTCTCTACAAAAAGTTAAAAAAAAAATTAGTTGGGTGTGGTGGTATGCATCTATAATCTGAGCTACTCTGGAGGCTGAGGAGAGAGGATGGTTTGAGCCCAGGGGTTCTAGACTGTAGTGAGCTATAATCATGTCACTGTACTCCAGCCTGGGCAACAGAGCGAGACACTGTCTCTAAAATAGATAAATAGAAAATTAATTAAATAAAAAAGAATTTTTGAATCAACTATTTAATAGAATACTCTTGTTTGACTATCTTTGTCCCTTTTTAAATAATCATCATTGCACATATGTTTGCAGGATAACATATGATAGGCCTAGTCTCATTATCTGATATCCTCAGAATGATCCTAAGAGGCAAGTATTATTATCATTATTATTATTATTCCCTCCACTTTATAGATGAGAAAACTGAGGCTTAGAAGCAATTTGCAACTGCTGAATAGTAGGGCTAAGATATAAACCCAGGTTGCCCTCACTTCAAAGCCACAGTGAACCATGTTTCAGGCCTTATTACTAAAGAGGAGATTGGGGAATTTTTACCAAAAATATTACACCATATCCTGGCCTTAAAGAACGCTTATCTCTTCAAACCACCCAATAACAGCTGATTGAAATTATGCAAGTTTTGAGGTACCAGAAAGAAATGAGTCATCCTTCATCAGATATGGCAACGAGCTGTTTTGAGGTCGACAGACACAGTCATAGCCAGAGGAACAGAGCACTTGGCTGATGGAGGGGGCAGTGCTGGGGAGGGGGGAGGGGTGCAGTACATGTGTTTTGATCCTGCTGTGTCAAAAAAAATAAAAAAAGTATGTGAAACAGGCCGCTGCTTAAAAGCAGAAGTTGGTGACACCACTGACTTAGCCTCTCATAGCGCCTGCTACATGGGAGGTTAGCTGTGAATGAAAGTCTCTCTTTGCTTTTGCAGAAGACTTGGCTAGAGTTGGGGCAAGAAAAATGGTGCTGGGGTTTTGACATGCTCTGTAAACACACATGTTCAGGTAACAATTTACTAGATTTCTTTTATATATGTGTATGTTCCAAGGCAGAGACCTTTTGTGATATTTGGTATCATTTTTATTCAAGATAAATTACTGGCAGTTCTGAAAGGTGAGGTTATTTTACCAAATTCCTCAAGAATCAGATAATATAAAAATATTTTAAATAATGTCTGCTTAAAAACTCCCCCACTATTATATATAAAACTTCATGTTCTTCATCTATCTATGAAGCTTACTATTATACTTCTCATATGTGATATACTTTTGCATTTCATCACAGAAGAGTAATGACAAAAATACTCCTAACTCTAAACATTTTTTATAGGCTATCCAATTGAGAGTATTCAGTACAAGTCAGATGTTAAAACGCAGCCTTGAGTCTGCTCAGCAGAAAGATGGCAACCACTGCTTATTTTAATGTAAACAACAAAAACATACGGGAATACATGAGTTAAATATACAGAGGTTCAAAACAGTTAAAAGAGTTAATGACAAACTATGAATGTGTCCACAAAAAGAGCCTGACACCAAATATGCAATTTGGATTAAATACTTCACAGACTATCTCGGGAATACCTCTGGGACCACGCAATTCTGTCTGACTTTTAGAAACACGGGGAATGGGGCAGTGGGAGACTAAAAAAAAATGAACCTGAATTTCATTTATTTTTGACACTATAAATCATTAAAAATATTCTCTCTCATTTAATTCAATTTTGTATGTCCTCAGGACGGGTAAAATCATAGGTATTTACGGACACCTTTCCAATGATTAAAACAAGCACTTAATGTTATGTCATTATTCAAATGAAAGATTTGTCTTTAAATAAGAGCTCTGTGACCACTATTGGTGAAACCGACCATGAGCAGATAATTTCATGATAGAGGTACTGTGCAGGCAGGGAAACTGAGCTGATTTCTAAAGTTTTAATAACATGATTTTTAAAAGACGAAGTGGAATTATGAATTTCCTTAACAATAATGATGTAATTTTGTAATAACTGAAATCTTTCACGGGAAAACTACCTCTTCAATAACTCACCCAGTCAATTACACAGGAAAGTCCTATAATAGGCTGTCCCTACTCCCTGCCCCGTCAAATAGCTCACGTACACGACTTCCTTTTCAATTACCAACTTGTCTGCAGTACCATCTGTAAAAACGAACACATACCTTATGCTGCCAGTTTTTGCTTTTGCACGTCCATTAGTGGGACTGGCTGCAGCTGCTCAAGAAGAAAGCAGTGATTGTCTTTGTTATGTATACATACGTAAAAATTCTCTCTTCAGTACCACCAGATTAGCTCAAGGTAATACATTGTCTTGGGTAGGAAACTGCACTCATACGAGCCTTACTCGCACCCGGCTCTCTCTGTGATCTGGAGTTTATTAATCACACTATATCGCATACCAAAGTAAGAACTACCTCATCGCATCAAGCATTCTGGAGAGTGCCCCTCAGTCATCCGTACCAAAAGGAACAGTTAAAGCTGTTTCTCACTTTGACATTTTGTACATCGAGCAGAATATCAGGAAACCAAAACCGAGACCTGGCAGCCCAACTTGAGACACAAAACTCCTGGTGAGTGAGATTTTATTTCATGAGAAGGGCTCTGAAAATATAACACTAACTTTTCAACAACTTTATTTTCCCCTGCCTTATGTTTATATTCTTTTTCTGTTGGCATTATTTTTCCTCTAGATGAACACACTGAATTGGTCACACAATCTCGGCAAAAGACGTAAATAAATTATAGCAAGAAATTACCCACAATTATTTTTTAAAGTGATCTGTGTTAAAGAAATGTCATTTCTCCCTATTGTGAAGTAATATAGATTTTTTAAAGGAAAAGAAAAAAATTACCAAGCTCTTAAAGATATTTTGAAAAAGGATTCATAGTGTAGCTGAAATTTAAAACACATACAAAAAATGAAAAGCAAACAAAAATGCTTAGTTGTGACTTACCCTTTGCTATTTCACATTTACAAATTTACCCCAAATGTATCAAAACTACTCTTCATCATAAGAGGAACTTTGTGACAAGGTACAAACTTAACTGTTGGAGCATTCGAATGTTAGTTTTGCCTCGGCTTTTCATATCTTGAATTGTCTTAAATCACAAAATAGTCCTACTTTCTCTGTATAGGTATAGGAGACAGACTGCTGGATTCCAATTATTTTCATGTGCAAGTCACACAGGGGAAAGGAGGCTCTTGAAGAAGGACCTACTTTTTCCTTTAATCTTTATATTATCAGTGCTTTGCATATAGTGGGCATTTAATTAGTGATAGCTTAATTGAATTGACCTCTAGCAGAAGAGATGCTACTGCCACTTTGGAGTGTGTGTGTGTGTGTGTGTGTACACATACAAGCATTATGCTTTAAGCATACCTTTATTCATGAAATATGAAGGACAGCCATTGTTACAGAAACTAGAACTTAGATTGAAAACAGTTTCACTTTTGTGAAATGCAAAAGAAAATTAATAAATTCTGGGCCATGTTTAGGCCCAGGAGAGGAGAGGAAAGGAACAGTCCCTGCTTGTCTGAGCTAATGAGCAATTTGCAAAATGTGTAGAAATGGCATACGTTGGTTATGTATATACATGTACATACAAACATATATACATACATACACTCACGTAAATGAATGGAATCATTTTCAGCACTACCATGTAGTGAGACATCACTAGTTGTCTTTATTTTCATTAAAGCAATATCATATTTTATAAGTGGGATTAAAACACCAACAATGTTGTCAAGAAATTCCATGAGTTTCTTACATAGTGGAGAATAAATATAATTGGTTATATGTTAATTTTATATTAAAAAACTGAAAAAAAAATGAAGCAATAGAGTACCTAGGAGAATGCTGTAAATGTCAGCCTTATAATTATTTACTTTAGTAGGAGGAAAATAAGACACTGATAACTTATGATTAATTTTTATTGCCAACTTATTTTTATTACTATGTTGGAGTTCTCTCAATTCACATACATACTCAGTTAACATAAACATAATGATGTATGTGAGACTATGGAATGTCATGTTTGACATATATGAGGCATTCAGAGATCATTAAATTTTTTCTTTCTCTCTTAATTTCAGAAGAGATTGAATAATTCAATAGACATTAGATTTTAAAGATATTGAAAACTGAATACACTTTTGGCACTTATATACAAGTGTATAACTCAATATCTATGTTAATGTGCATATGCACAAAACTTATACAAAGCGCCTCATATTTATTTTTACAACATGAGAAAATGTATTAATGGTGACCCTAAAACTCCCTTATATAAGAAACTGTCTTTTAAAGAGTTTATTACATCAATGACACATTTAAAAATATATGAATACATCTCTCCTCTCTTTCTTTCCTATTCTCTCCTTTTGACTGCATTCTAAAAGATCTTTAAGGATTACATTACATAACTCTGGTGGTGACTTCCTCCATTTTAAAGATACATATTTCTCACACACAAACTAAGTTGAAATTTGAGGAAGGAAATCAGGGTCCTTTCTAGAACATAAAGGAACACATTGTAGATCACATTCCCTCATGCATGTTTTATTACTTATTTCTAGCTGCAGGTAGCTTTCTTCTTTCATATAGTGTAGCCACATAGATTACACGCACAAAATATAAAAATAGATATTTGATTCCTAGATTATAAATAAAGTTGACTCACTTGGGTTTATACAGACCCAGACATAGAAACTTTGCTAATTTTGAGCAAATTTTGGGTGGTAGCTGCACATTTATATCCATAAATTTTATTCCATTTGGAATTTGACTAACATTGGCTACTTTATAAATATATATGCATGCATTTATAGTTAATACACACACAAACATACATTTATAATATGTATAGGCATATACACATATATTCCTTAGCTTTTCAAAAAAAGTAGCTTCAAGGTCCTCTAGTTTAATATATTTAAAAAATTCAGAGGCTAATGCTCTTATCTTTTAAAATGTCAACTTGAAAAAAATGGAAGTCATACTTCTCTCCCAAGATAAGGAGTTATATCTGACTTAGATAATTTTTTCTGTAAATAAAATAAATATAAAAATATAATGGCAGAATCAGTAAATCAATGACACTTCAAGGACCCAGCAGTAGGATTAAACGAAGAATTTATTTATGCATAATTTTAAAACACGTGCAGTTACTACGTGCTTCAAAATGTTTGTACTCTTTGAAAGAAATGTAAGGTGGCTAGATTTTACATAGGCCATCCTCTTTCCACCAATTGTTTACAATTTATTTTATCTATAATTTTATTTAAAAGTCCACAATTTTATTTAATTAACTTGTGTAGATATACACACATACACCAAATGTGTGTGTGAATACAGACATATAATTTTTATTCATATTTGTATTTTTTTAAATTTATTTTTTAAATGCATTCCAAATGAAAGCAGTAATTCAAAAATAAACAGAATGGACTGATTAGTATCAAACTAACATTGAACTCAATTCACATTAAAAACATTTAGGTACAGAAAAGTGTGCCTGCTATATAAAAGTAATAACTTTTAAAGAAGTAGAAAATCACCATTAGCAGAGGTTTAGTTAGTCAATCTAGTGCAGGATAAAAATGTAGTGCAGGATAAAAAAATAGATTTGTGTAAGTTTACAAATTTCAGAAAATGACCAAATTACTCCACTTATCTCATTAACTTGACCTCTTTCAGGATTTGACCTTCCTAATAGATTTGTTTTATAAGATATGACATTGTGAACAGCTGTGCTATTCTTTCTTGAACTTGACTTTTTTTTTTTCTTAATGATGAAAATAGGCTGAATTTACTAACGCATGTGTATTCTTTGGTAAAAGTGGGGGAAGGGAGGAATCAGAAATGGAAAAATAATGTGAGTTCCTATCTGAGCAAGTCATTTTGAAACTCAGAGAAGACACTCAAGTATTACAAACATTTGTGGCCAGTTAAGAAGTGATATAGAAAGAATTTGAAAATATCACCATAAAGTTTGTTAATATAAAGAGGTACGATTATTCAAATGGGAAAGCAATCGGGATCAGAATATTTGAATGTTCTGATTTTTAAACTCCCAATCACAGAGTGGATGCCATTATATACCCATTGGAAACTGCAAAATGTTCGGCCTGTTAGTAAGGCCCTTTCCAGGTTTTTACTTTTGAAAAAAAACATAAATCAGGATTAAGATAGTCAATTTCAAGGGAAAAATTCTCTAAGTTTCTTACAGAACACAAAAACTTGCAGGCATATTGGGAATTTTAATATATCCTAAAAATATCTTTAGATAAATAGATAATATTTAGTATTGCAACTAAATAATATTTAGTTTGATTTAATCTGAATTATGGTTTTATTCAGAATTCTCTCTTAATGGTAAAAGCAGTACTGAATTTATAAATGAAGTACAAAGGGAGAAAACAAATGTTTAAGTCATGATTTCTACCGCTACTCAATTCAGTATCAAGTTTAATCTTGTAGAGGTAGTTATGTTTAATTGTTATTATCCTACTTTGGCTCCACAAGGCTTCTTGACTTATAATGCAAGAAAGTACTTCAGACAAGTAATAAATTGTAGCACAGTACTAAACGTACATATGAAAGCCATTGTTAATTTCAATTACACTCTTAATACATTAATTATCTGTTTATCTGATGACTGCTTCTGATGGGTCCACCATTTTCCAACATCTCAAATACACTGTTCTTTTTACAAGAGGTGGAGGCATTTGCCGGGGAAAAATCAGACAACTTTGTTTCCAGTGTCTCTGGGATAATTGTTACCTTTCTCCTTTTCAACTTTAAAAGAAAGCAGTGTCTATTTTGCTCAGGGCAGCTGTTTAAAGCGCCTGCTGTCAGAATCTTTTCACCTGAGTAGATTTAGGATTATTTAAAAATGATTATTGTATCACACTAAGCTTTCTACTGCTGTTAATAAGTGAATATGCAAAAGGCCATACGCTGCATGATAATTAGCCCAGGATATCCATTCAGACTACCTTGGTGTGTATGTATATACATAAACATGTATTTTACATAGGTGATTACAAATGGTTTGACTTAATACAAAAGTTAGACAAATATTTTACGTAGAATGTAACATCTATTGGTAGTCTGAGATATAATAACAATTATTAAAATACTTGGCCTTATATTTATAGATCTGAAATTCATATTTCAAAACAAATACATTCTGAAAACAATATTCATTTAAAACAGAGAGACTTCTGGAAGTTGATCCATGCTATTAACTTTATTGTGCTATGCAATATGTTATTGTAACATAATCCCTGAATATTAGCAAAGAGGTTTTACTTTAATAGTCTAACAGCATCATTCATACCAAATTACTGTAACAACAGCAATATCCTTACATTTTATAAAAAGTTACCTTTATCACTTAAGGTTCATAAAATTGATTAAAATCAATATTCAGAAAATATAATTGAGTTCATGGTTTAAATGATTGGAATTCCTTTTATTAGAGAAATAGTCATTTTTAACTTGGCAATATTGGTGTGATTCGCCCTTGGAATTACAGTTAAAATGCATTTTGGTCCTAGCCATAAACATTGGTTTCTTTTAGCTGCCTTCTAAGTTGATTTAGATTTTCCGTAGCAACAAATGCATAGCATTCTCTGCCCCTCTATTTCTTTGAATGCTTATAACCTGTCGAAATGTTCTTGGCTTTTAAAGGTAGCAGACAGGAAAGGAATAAACTTATAACCCAAATGCCTGATATTTAATCAATAAGGAAGAGTTTTATCCTTTAGGGATTTACTACCTTACTTATAAACTCTGCCTCCTCTTCTCTCTTAGGAAAAGAGTCTGCTTCCCACAAAATCCAAAACCTTTCATCACTATAACACATCGAAGAACATAAGAAATGTGCTCTTATTTACTTATTTATTATAAATTATTGATCTATTAACAGCATTTAATACAAGTGCTAATCAGTTTCTATTAAACAAAGATGACAAGGCCTCCGAGTTTATACTTATGTTTCTACTTCTAAAGCTTCTCAGTGGTTTATATTCAAAATAGTTATTATATTCTCCATCAATCAATTTATTGACCTATCTATCTAGCTAGCTACTGAAGTTCTCACAGTAATAGAAGATCTACTTTCCTGGATGTCAATCGCATTTCTGGAAAGAGGCAAACTTAATCAGAGTAATGTTGATGAATAAGGTGGCAGAACAACCTTGGTAGCACCCAAGGGTGATAATGAAATACATAACCATTAATATGGCATGAGTGACTGATCGAAATCAGAACCAGTGCTGGCTGCAGTGAAGGAAGAGGATTCTAAAGACTCCCCATGAGGCACATGCTATCCCTTTACTGCTGGATGGCAGCAGTTCCCACGAGGTCCTCAGGGAAGAGGTGGGGTACTCGGGGCTGGCAGGATCCATAGGGGACTCACGGTGGGCTGGTTCATGGGAATTGAAGTGATCTGACTGGGTTCAATTGATTCCCTGTAGTGTCACTTTAAGTAAAAATCAGATGTAACTAACAAAGCACTGGTGTGATCTCAGGGCTTAGAAACTAGTGCTGATCATTATTCTAGAGAGTTACTACAATGTTCTTTCCAAAGTCAGCAAAACCAGAATAAATTAGCAGCTTCCTCAGGTGGTGGTTTTGAAAATCTACACTCACTTGATATAAGTTCTGGTATGTTTATTTATAAACGTCTTATTACTTTAAATTATCGCCTCATGGAAGAAAAGTCCAGTGCCTTTGAAGTGTTTATAATTTTGAGGGGAAGTAAGGTAAATATACATGAAGCAATTAAGAGAACGATGCAAGAAAGCAGACATGTCTCGATACTAGGATTTTTTTTGATTCTTATACTTCTAAATGCTACAACAAATGAGAAATCACACACACACACACACACACACACACACACACACACACACACACATTCAGCTAAGGAGCCCATGCAAATAGGTGGTGAGACTCAAATAAGCCTTTAATCATTACTCATAACTCTATCTTTTATTTTTCTTCAGTTGTGTGTGGCAGAAAATACAACTCACATTGTATGACTATGAAGGAAATCTTCTGACTCATGCAACTGAAAATCTGGGAAAAACTCTGACTTTAGGCATATTTTGGCCGGGATTCAAGTGATACCCTGAGAGCACCATTTTTCTTCCTCTGGAGTATGCTTCCTCTACACAGACCCCAGTCTCAGTCAGACAGGCCCGGATGGTAAAATGGCCACATATCTAGTATTTTATGCTCTTTTAAACAAGTCACGTGGAAAATACTAAGTGCACTTTCTTGAGAGGTCAAACCAATGTCCTCAAATAGGGTCTTGTTGGGCAAACTTGGGTCATGTCCCTGCCCCACCATGGCCAGGTGAATAGAATTCCCACACTGGCTCTGGTGTACAGCAGTTTCTAAAACTTATTATTATTGTTTTAGAGACAGGAGTCTTCTGTGCTGCCCAGGCTAGCCTTGAACTCCTGGTCTCAAGAGATCCTCCTGCCTCAGCTTCCTGAGTAGCTGGACTATGGGCGTGTACCACTGCACTTGGCTAAGTTTCTCAAACTCTCATCTGTGTTACAAATTACCCTGGGATCTTGTCAAAATGCAGATTTTTATTTATTGATCTGGGATAGGATCTCAGATCTGGCATGTCTAGTAAGCTCCCAGTTTGAGTAACAAGAATGTAAGGCACACAATTTGGCTTTGAATCTAGGGCAAAATCAGCTTCACCTGAACTAGATGAACTAAAAATGAAGGAGTGTAGATTCTTAAGACAAAATAAAGGAATGGTACCAGAAGTAAAGCAGTAAAAAATAAAAAAAAAGTCAATACATTTCATAGATACAGACGTATACATATTTCTTTTCAGTCTTCTACAAGTTATCTGTCCAAAAGAGGAGTCTTTTATAAGTAGAGCATTGGATAGTACTGCTGACCACATTTGAGTAGTCCATCCGTGCCATCTAGTATTTACTTTGGTTTGAATAATCCTTGAAAGAGTCCATCATTATCTACACTTCTCATGTAACTGTTTTGACAAAATCAATCCAGGACATTTTCTTTTAGTTTTTTACAAAAGCCACACTATGAGGAAGTAGTATAATGGTCACTATACTGCTGAAGAGTCTGTTTAGAAGAACTTGGCAAACCTTTAATGGGCACAAAAAGCAGGGATACCCCCATGACGGGTGCCATGGTCCACTATTTGAGATGCCATCACTGCCATTTCCTTAGTTCACAATGAGCATACAGGATATGCTGGAAGGTTCACAATAAAAGCCCTTGTGGCCAGCTCATAGGAGAATCCTCCTGAAAGTTTATCTGTACTTGAAAGGCCACTAGAGCTCTTCAGTTGTCACAATGATGACAAAGGTAGCATTGGATTCTTTTCTGAATGCATGTATTTACTATCCTGGGTCAAATATCAAAAAGTATTTAATAGGCTAATAATTGTTCCCATTGGCACATACGTCAAAAAATAAATAATTGACAAAAGTGTCATCCTTGTCTTCTAGAAAGGCTGAATGTCTACACGAACAAGAAGGAAGTTTTTGCCATCTTTTATATGAAGTAGCTAAATAGGATTGGGGGGGCAGGGGAAAGGTACCATTTCCAGTACTATGTCTAGCCCTATCTCATATTTATTGTAAATATTAAATTTACTATTAATGTCAACTCTTGCTGTCTTCACATCCTTAAGGAGTTGGTGTACTCCTGTTTTGGTTTGTCTGGGATACAGGTCGGAGTCATAGAGATCGTGAGACTACTTTCTATATTCTTTCTCCAGAAAAGAAAAGCCAGGAGTTTTATTTTCCTCTATAAACCAAAGGCATCTTATAATCTAGCAAGCGAATCTCATATGTGTTTTATGAGGTTATTAAGGCTAAAATACCAAAACATGGCATTTTTTTTCTACATTTAAATGAAAGCAAGTCAATACCATCAACACATACACAAGAGTCAAATTTAAAAAAATAGGAAACTGCAAGGTTCACTTACTCCCTAAAGCATGTAAACCTAGTACCATATAGTTTTATAGGCACAGGACTGCATAAGCATCAAGGCCATGGCACACTAAATGAGACAACCCTGTGATATTTACCTGTAATTCATGTATTCTTTCATTCATTTTAAATGCCATTCATTGAGTATCTGCCCTGGGCCCAGCACCATGTTGGATGCTCTACCTGTAAAAGGCATAACTAGGCACACAATGGTAAAAGACATGACCCAAGGTCTCAAGTTGCTCAGCAATTATCAGGGAAGCCACATAAGCAAAGACCTGATAGGTGCTCTAATAAAGTCATTTTCTAGGTTCTGCTTCAGAGGAAAATAAAAGAAGAGCAACTGGTCAATCATGATGAAGGGTCATGAATATGAAGCACATAGAATGCCTCTACCTCTGCCAGTCACATGGTTGGTGTTCAGTAACCTAGTTTCCTCCTTCTTTCTTTATATATTTAGATACAGGGAGGGGGAAATCAGAGAGCATAAACAACAAATGATCTCTAATATCTCTTCTAGATCTAGGATTTAAAGAATAATTCATCTTTCTCCAGATGGTCTATAGTAACCTCATCGGCTTTGAGATTTACATTTTCTGCCTCCCTCCCTCTCCCTGCCCCTCCTGCCTTCCTTCTCCCTCTCCCTCCCTTGTTCCATTCCCCTTTTCTGCTTTGTTTCATTCTTTTTCCATTTATCATTTACAGACTGCCTAAGTTCCAGTCACTATACACTGAAATTCTAAGGAAAATTGTAAATTCACAGTAAAGCAAGCATTAGATTTATTCCTTTTGCTAGGCTGCGAAAATAAAGCACCTGAGGATCATAGATGACGAGGACCTTGCTGGCTTCAGTCATGCATTTTTCTATAAACCAGTGTGGAGTCTACTCACCTGTTCTATCCCTGGGACATGGGGTAGTGGCGGTAATTCTTACAAGATAGTGATTTGCTGTGATTTTCACTTCCTGGCATAGCACAGTGAGAAGTGCAGTGGGGCTGGGAGTTTAGAGACCTACACTCTAGTGTGGTCCTACCTGGGACTATTTTTTGACTAGAACAAGCTAATTGATTCTTTCTTTCATTTATTTACACCTGCTTTAGAAAAGGGGCGGTATGATCTCTGCACTGTCGTTTACAGTGATGCTAAAAGGATAACAGTTAGAGCTTGTGAAACTGACATGGAAGTAAAAATCATGTTACAAAGTCAAGGGATTTAAAAGAGGATTACATGGACAGACATTGAGCTAGTGGACATGGCAGAGACAAATAAAGCAAAGTCATTATGAAGTCATTAGTTTTTCAACCAGGCTGTAAGTTATTTTCCATACTATCCTCTAGGACAAATGTGGTTAACTATGTAATGTTCTTCAGGTTTTTACAAAGTTTATTTTTAAAGTAAATCACTGGTAAAACTAAAATTTATTTTAATAGTGAAAAAGTTACATTTAAAGAGCACAGTTTTTCCTCATTAGCCACAGGGGACATTTTGTACCCTGTTTACATTATTATTAGCACTTTGCAGCTAACAAGCAACTTTTAAATACTGTTCTGGAACAGCTGTAAAACTAAACCTTCCAGCCGTTTGTCCCTTCTGCTGAATATCCAGAAATGCAGTGTTATGACATGCAAGAACATCACCCTAACTTCCTTTAAACCGAGAAAGCTCAGGATGGTAGAAAATGAATTGAATCAACAAGAATCCTCTCCTTTACTGTATACAGTGTCTCACTCTCTGATTAGAGCCCATGGCACATTGCAGAGACAGCAACAGCTGTTTTCTGTCTTTTCATTCCCTTCTTCTATTAATGTTATTTCAATTGTGTTATGGGCTGCACTTTAGATCTAAAAAGAAACATTGAGTTTTATTTGAATGTTTAAATGATTAATGGCCCTCTAGTGCAGTTGTCCTCTCATAATTGCCACAGAGTTTGCTGCAATTTAGTTTAAAAATCCAGACCTCTGTGTACTACGGAAAGCAAACGCTAGCTTGGGAATTGGTCACAATGATGAAAATTCATTTTTTAAAATGCATTTATTTCCTAGTCATCTATGTGGGCGATTTCTTAAATTTTTACGTACACCAAGTCCAAGAAAAGTCTGAAAAACTTATTCTGGAAGAACCAAGGTATTGCCACATCATTCGGGAGTTAATGGCTAGGTGCATGCCTGAGAAGTAGAAAATGTAAGGAGAGAGAGGCTCACGCCAATAGGAAGACCGACTGGCTGAGACAAGCCTCCCTGTTCTTCAAAGGGAATTCTTGCATTTCATCTGAGAGCAGCACACAGCTGTACACTGAATGGGAAGGAAGTAGTTATGTGCTCCTCTCATGTCATCAGGAAAAGGTGCCTGTAAGTTGTAACAGGACCATGTGGGTCTTACATTCTTCTTTTTGATACAGCTAATATCCTCATGTCCCAGTGAAAGGACAGCAGCCTCTGTAAAATATCTAACTCCTAAAAATATAGATGTTTACATTTCTATAATGGAAAATGTCCTGGTGTTTCCTTGCCAAGGTTTCAGCAATAAGTCTTATAATAAGTTTGTGTTGCTCTCCTTTCTTTTTATAAAATACAAAATACATTACAGAATAAAGATTCAAAGGCATTTGCAGAGTATATACAGTAAGACATGAAGAATGGGAAGCAGGATGAAAACTGACATTATCAAACCACAATGCCTGAAAGTTACCTAGATAGTACTGTCATTTTGTTGCGTTTTTCTTTTGAAGTCTGCTGGCTAAAATGTTTTCCGACTTTTGGCCAATTTTGGGCCACACTGAATGTTAAATAAACTATTATTTAATCAAATACAGGCATATTAGTCTCACTCCTGCTGACAACTTCAATTAGAATATTTTTGCTTTGCTAAAAAAAAACCTCATGATCTTTAAACTGTTAAGGCCTCTGAACAACATCTGGTAACAATTTTTGATATATCCAACCATCAAACTTCTATCTCCATGAAGTGGTTTATTCAAGATTTGTTTTAATTAGGCCGCCTTTCTAACTTCACATAGCTTTCAAAAGGCAGAATCACTCAGATGTTTTAAGTTGTAAATACACCGAAAGGTTCAGAGGCTGTAATTAGAGCTTCACTAAGGTGGACTATTTATGTTTATTAGCCAGATAACTAGGTTAATTCAGTTGCCTCTTAAACAAGGACAATAAACTATTTCTAGTTTTAGCACATGGGTTTTTAATTTTATAAAACTTACGGCGCTCTTAACACCTTACTCTACTCACATCAAAAACAGTTTTGGTGCATCCTTTCCATAGGAGCTCACATACGAAATACATATTTCTGTACTTGGCTAGGCTCAGTTCAGTTCTGAAAGTTTTCCATTTAAATTTAATCTAGAGAAGACAAGATCGGGAAGAGTAGCATATACTTGAACAATGAGTATAAAATTAAATCTTTTTGTAGATTCCTTTTCCTAAAGTGTCTCCCTTCCGTCAACCACAGCATTCTGTAAGATGCTGTTTTAGTAAGAAATCATGCTTAGTTTAGGTGTTCATTTTGTAATATATTTGCCTCTACATAAACCTTTGGGAGTATAAAAATCTCCACTCATTTATTTGCATCGCAGGCACAGATTAAAGGCAAAAAGTAATGTGGAAACTTAAACTATTTATTTTATGAGGTAACTATTTTAGAATCCACTGGGAAAATAATGAAAAATGGCCTCATTATCCCTCTTTTTTGGTGAACCAGACTTTATTCTACCATGATAGGTCTCCCAATTGAGAGTGAGAGAGAGAGAGAGAGAGAGAGAGAGAGAGAGTGTGTGTGTGTGTGTGTGTGTGTGTGCAGGTTGGAGGTGGGATGGTAGCCTCTGGCTTTTCTCCACAAGTTTTTGATGTTATTCCCTTTGAAGCACCAGCATAACTTTATAGTTTTTTATTATTACAAAACTTCTTCACAAATACAGGGGTTTCTCACCATGGTTCACAAAGCTTAAGAATGTTGGATCCCTGATACTTTAGCTTTTCTGGGTAAAACTGAGTAAAAATTATTGTTGTAAAGTTCATTATTTAGTCTACATGATGTAGTGCATGTAGATATTTAGGAGTCCTTGGAGAATGGACTTTGAATGTCATATATAGATTCGCTGGTATTATAGAAACAGCCAACTTCTCTAAGTACATGACACAGTGTGGGCCACAACAAACACTTTTACCCACTGATTTTCTGAAGGAAAAAATACATTTAATTTTCTATTTTTGCTTGCAGGAATATGGAAGAAAGGTAAGCATGAATTGTCACCTAAAATTGGAAACTGCAGTGAGGTTGATACTACTTTGGAAAATTCTCTAATTCTGTCTATGGCAATAAATAGGGGGCTGCACTAATACATATATAATGTACATACATACTTTCTTCTTGCTGGCGAACAGAGGTCCATATCTGGGTAGCAAGCATCCAAGTATGGTGCGTGTGTGTGTGTGTGTGTGTGTGTGTGTGTATGTGTGTGTGCATGTGTGTGTTTGGGGGAAGGAAGGGGTTACACAGCATAGTGCAAAATGAGAATTTAAGTTATCAACATTTAAAAATTGGGTGATTTGACTGGGCGCAGGGGCTCACGCCTGTAATTCCAGCACTTTGGGATGCTGAGGCGGGCGGATCATTTGAAGTCAGGAGTTTGAGACCAGCCTGACCAACATGGTGAAACCCTGTCTCTACTAAAAAAAAAAGGCCAGGCGCGGTGGCTCACGCCGGTAATCCCAGCACTTTGGGAGACTGGGGCGGGTGGATCACGACGTCAGGAGATCGAGATCATCCTGGCTAACACGGTGAAAACCCATCTCTACTAAAAAAAATACAAAAAAAATTAGCCGGACGTGGTGGCGGGCGCCTGTAGTCCCAGCTGCCAGAGAGGCTGAGGCAGGAGAATGGCGTGAACTTGGGAGGCGGAGCTTGCAGCGAGCCGAGATCTTGCCACTGCACTCCAGCCTGTGTGACAGAGCGAGACTCCATCTCAAAAAAAAAGAAAAAGGAAAAAAAAATAGCTGGACGTGGTGGCATATTCCTGTAGTCCCAGCTACTTGGGAGGCTGAGGCAGGACAATCGCTTGAACCCAGAAGGCAAAGGCTGCAGTGAGCTGACATCATGCCACTGCACTCCAGCCTGGGTGACAGAGTGAGACTGTCTCCTTGAAAAGAAAAGAAGTGGGTGATTTGACATAAAAATCTATACTTTCTAGGTTTTGTTGACAGTTATAATGTCTCATATTACTAGGTTCATTTTCTCACATGGCAAGACATAGCTGAGGTGCCTGTGACTGCCTCCTTTAGAAGGTGTATTCCTCACTCCACAAACCTCTTGGCCTTGACATTTGCACAATCTGCTCGGTTCTCATCAGCATTAATTTTGCTAAAATAACCTTCAAGTCCTTTGATATTAATTATCCTAAGCCTTTCTGTCTTTACTGCCTTGGTAGTCTGGAGGTAGTGGAGCCTGCTGGTCTGGGTTCAAATCCTGCCTATGACACTAACTAGCCATGTGACCTTGGGCAGGTTGATTAGACTCTCCTCAATGCAATGTCTTCATCTGTATAAGCATATAATAATGACATCCACCTAGCAGGCTGGGGTGAGGACTAAAGGAATTAATTCAGTGATTGGATAACATTAAGTACTCAATAAATATTGGTTATGATCGTTCCATTTCAGAAATCCATCCTTTCCTCAAACTCAAACTCAGCAATCCCACACCTCCTGTGACTGGCTGACACCAACATTTGGATGAGCATATAAAATGTATCTCAGTGTCTAATATATCTATAAACAAATACTTCAACTTGAGTATTTTGTCACCTTTCTAAAAACATAGATTTACAATGTATTCAATATAGATCTAAAATGAAGATCTCACCTCTCCCCAAACATTTAAAGATCCCCATTATTTAGAGAAAAGCAACCTAGGGCTCTCACTCCTTCGCCATGTAGTTTATCATTAGCATCTTATCTTCCACTAAGGTCCCCCATCCTTACCCCTTTGATCCCTCTACATGGGATCACATGCCAGCTACAAAGACTGTGTACTTGCCAGTTTTTATAAGGAATGTGATTTCTTACCATCATGTCTGGTGTCCAACATGGTACATACAATAGAACAGGTGCTCTGATAAGGAATGTGATTTCTTACCATCATGTCTGGTGTCCAACATGGTACATACAATAGAACAGGTGCTCTGATAAGGAATGTGATTTCTTACCATCATGTCTGGTGTCCAACATGGTACATACAATAGAACAGGTGCTCAATACATTTTCGTTAAATAAATAAATGAAGAGTGAATCCAACTGATGTACGTTCTTCCTATCCATCTTTTTAGGTCCAGGTCAAAGTACTTCTTTTAGCTCCTCAAGATATCTCTGTCTGTCTTCAATCTGTTCATTTCATTTTATTGGTAGTTCTAACATTTTCAAAGTATACCTTTTTCTACAATGTTTATAAACTTGACTATATCTCCCACTAACCTATGAGCTTCTAGAGGGCAAAGAGCACCCTTTTTTGGGGGAGTCTCCCCAGTATGTCTTTCAAATCATCAGTCCTCAATTAATAAAATGAATTGTGTCTCATCATCTCAAAACTCAACAATTTTTTTAAATGGTATTTTCCAACAAAGATGATTTTCTTCCCCTTTTCATCATTCAGTGTGACTCCACCATCCTGAAATTGGCACCAACTTCCTCCACCATATCCAATTAGTCACCAAGTCCTGTAGATTGTTTCTAGTATTGAGGTTTTCCTTCTATGAGGGGATAGCTCCTTGCACTTGTGTCTTTGTTTTCCAATCCACCAATGATATCATTTCTAGGTTAAATTTCTGAAGACAACCTAATTATATCATGTCTTCGTTTATAACTTTCATCTTTTCACAACTCAGTGGATAAATTCCAAAATCCTTTGTGCCACATTCATAAGGCTCTTCATAACCTAGATTCCTCAATTACCCATCACCCTTCTCTGAACCCTCCCAGTCAAACTAGTTTATTCTAAGTTCCCTCAAACAGACCTCATACACTCCCAGCTCAGTGCACTTCATACATTCTTCTCTCCCCTCCTCTCAACTGTCAGAAACCTGTGTAAACTTCACAGCTCAGCTCAAGACTCCACGTTCCATGAAACTTTATATGCTACAATTTTGTTTCCAGGGCTTCTTCTTAAGAAGCTTCAGGCAACTTGCTTTATGTCTACTATGCTTTCCAAGCCTACCTCGTCAGCTAAACCTTTTATGCTGTCTTCCTACTTATCATTTTCTGCAACATCCCCAAAACCTTTCTTTAGTGAGTTCTGTTGAAGAATTTCACTATTCTTACCATACATCTTGAGTTACATTCCTTTTTAAGTTGGTCCAGAGATGTTAAAACTAAATTATACCCCAATTCCTCTTTCACTTGAGGAAACAAAAGAGTCAATGAGGTAAAACAAGTGTTTGTTACTGTATGAGATCGCAAATTCGGAGAGGCAGGAAACTATGACTCTTAATTGCCTAAAAAAACTTTGTTCACTAACAAAATGAGAAGAATTAAATGACTCAATATATAAATTTAAGAAAAACAGGCACACTAACTTGAAGACAATTTTCTTTCATTTTCTTTCAAGACATGGCTTTAATAAAAGGCTAAAATCGCAGAAGGTGAGATAGAGTAGGCAACGAAAAATTACTAAGGTAATACCTTATTGTTGTACTGTCACAGCAATGTAAAAAAACTTACCTATAAATATCAATGCATAAGGGTTTTAACATAAAATGTAACACGCCCGTCAAAATTTCTGCAGGACACATTTATAGAAGTATACTTAAATATATGATGAATATATTTATTATGAAGTTTTTTTCCCAGTAAATTCAATTCTTTCCTGTATAACTCTTTTTTCCCCCTTTCGAACACTGATCACTTTTTAAGTCTGAGTTTGGATAAAAGGACTGTGAAATGCACCATTTTGGCTTGCACACATTTAGATTTCATGATAAGGCAGGTACGGCTATATGGACTGCTGTTTGTTTTGACTTTGCAAAGTGTTTCTTTGTAGAGTTCATTCAAAATGTAAGGATGTTTCCAGCAGAAACATTTAAAACACTCAGATAAGTGTTTTCAAGCTTTTTGAAACATCATCTACATAAAAAGGAATGTGCTGTGTATGTATTACTTCTATTTATTACTCTTCGCTTCCACCATCAAAAAAATATTTTTTTTTCCTGTCAGACAAAAAAAAAAAAACCAACCCAAAAACTGTTTCTTCCCCTGATCTCACACTTTTCACCTGCACCAGCTGCTTCCAATTACCTGCTTCCACCTGCAGGACCTTGTCTAGTATTGAGATTGGTTCCTGTTTCAAAACAACCACCAAAAGTGACCTGGGCCTGAGGCAGAAGGCTGCTTCAGTTAGGAGCAAGAATCTTGCATCAATTTAGTTTCCTGCTTGTTGTTCCTCTAAAATTCTTAGTTCTCCACTCTTGGCCTGGTTTCTGATCACTTGTATTTTTCCATCCCTGATAGGCACATCTTCCTGATTACAGTCTACCATGCATTCTCGCTCTATCCATGGCTATTCTAGAATCCTCGAATGTTAGAGCTAAAGAATTTATAGATAACAATCATGAACCCAGAAAAGTTATGGGGATTACAAAATCTGACAGACTGACTTATACATTGGGCATTATTCAATTGGAGTCACCAATTCAGACTTCCTTTCTGCTCTATTCTGACGTCTTTTTATGTTTCTAGTTGAGTCTCCTTAGCAGTTTTCAGTGCTTAGCCTTGTTCTAATATGATGATATTTGGGATGACACATTTCCTGGTCTACAATACTGTTTTTCAAAGGTGAGGGTGACCCATATGCCACCCTCATCAGAATAACCCAGGAGTACTTGTTTACAAATATGTTTCTTTTGCCCTACTCCAAGACCCGGTGAATCAGAATCACTATAGTTATAAGTTCCAGGAACCTGTATTTTTAGCCATTTTTAGCAGGGTCTCCTGTAGTGAGTCTCAGACATGCTCAAGTTTGAGAGTCACTTCCAGTCTTTTAGCTCCAGCTGTACTATGGCCTTCTGGGTTCTGCTACATCTTCTTTATCAAAGCTACTGACTATACCTTTGCCCTATCCTTGCTCCAAAGGAGCTTAGTCATGTGATTGAAACAAGAGACAAAGCGGAGTTGCTCAAATTTGCTACTGAATGTATTTAAAAGTAATAAAATTTCATATGTAAGAACACTGTTAAGCAATTCAGACAGATTTTCCACCTATGTGTCACTTAATTTGATTTTTTCTTTAATCCTACAAAACAAAAATAAAAATTATCTCCTTTATGTGTTTTAGAAGCTTATAGGCTAATGAGCTTTTGAGCAAAAGATATAAGATATAAAAGTTATAATAGACTTAAAAACAATAAAACATTATGTCCAGATGTAAATGTGAGTACAAACAATTACCAACCAAATCCAGTTGGTATTCCTATTGAATTAAATCAGCCTAGTTTCTTTTTGGAGGAAAAAACTTCAGTTACACTTTAGAAAGAGTTTGATGCTTTTAGAATGTCATATTTTTATATATATATAATATGAAATGTCAGCAATACCATTCAAAAATAATTCAGCAGATTAAAAAATACAAGTATTTTAACTGTTAACTTTTGTGATTAAATACTTAAAAAAACCCAAAACTTATGTTCAGTGTCACCTACTATGAAATCACTGTACAGAGATCTAGGTCCATTCTTTTACTTTCATAACTGTTGTGAAAGTTAAAGTGCATTAAACCTTTGAAAATAGAAATGAAAATGTCTCAACTTTCTAAATCACATAAAAGAGAATACATTTTATGCTTGCTTAGTAAGCCTCTGATGTCTTTTCCTTTCAATTATACTAAATTACTGACTTGCCATGATGACTAACATAAAAGGACCATGCAAAATCCTGTTCACATACCAAAGAAGATATATAGATTCAATATAATAAAGTGCAAATAATTTTCATTTTTGTAAACTAAACAACAACAACAACACTTGTGAGTATTATCTTAGCCATCCTCCAAATCTTTGTTCAGGAAGACTGCAAACAGACATCAGGTTCACAGAATTTCATTAGTAATTTATTCTTTTCTACTGACCACATTGCTCGTATTGTTTTAGACATTTTCATTATTCTTGTGATGTTTGAGAAATGACAAAATTCGAGAAGAGGAATCTTACAAAGATACAGCATGGCACAAAAGCTATATGGATAATTGCCTTCACAAATGTAGTTCAGCTCTCATCTCTCCTAATTAGCCTCATTACCATACTTTAAGAGAGACTAGCAGTCACTCAAGACTCTGTTCTTTTCTGTCAGAACGAGTGCTGACAGCCAAATGGACAACATATGGAAAAGAGCTCTCTTTCCGGCTATTCTTTCATGCTTTAGGCCTTTGGTCAAAAACGCAGGCCACAGAAGGGTTCCCAAACTCCATCCTCAAATAGGTGTCTCTAATTCCGAGATAGACAATGCACTTGAAATGCATTCATCTCTCACTTTATCACAACTTTGAGAGGCTGGTCACTCATTTCAAGTATGTTCTATAGGAACTGACCATTTTCTAAAATAACTTAAAAAGTATAAGCATACTAATTCTACTAGACAACTTTATTTTTCGGACCATCACCATTAAACAACTATAACAAAACTCTGACTCCTGGATATTTGATGTTATTAGTTTGCCCTTGACAAAATCATAATGTCTCCTGAAACTCCTTCTTAGAGGCCAAATATAAAACTTCGTCGATCATCTTTTGAAAGTGAGTTTTAAATATTAATTGTTAATAATGTCAAGCAATCCTGATTCAACGTAACTGTCAATACAGACCCCTTTGCTGTAGGAAAAACACTTGGAACCACATATATTCTACTTTCTAATGAATTTCCTTTTTAAAAATAATATTTGTTGATTTAAAAGAAGGATCTAACCTATTATAATATTTGAAAAGGTCATTATTTGATTATATTAGTCACAATTATTACAATATGACTAATTTCCTCTGTTATAAAGAAAGGAAAATATTTCAGTTACTTTAGCTGAAATAATTTTAAGTTACAACTTAACTATTAAGAACTTCTCTATTCTAGGTCCATTTGTATATGCAATCACAGATATCTTTCTTTTTCCTGATCACTTTTCCAGTTCTCTAAAAAAAAAGATTTTTGCTAGATTTTATTTTGCTTTTGCTGTGCAAAACCTATGATGCAATCTCAATGGCAACAAAATCAGGGAAATGGATTTTCTGCACTTTGCAGTTTGGGGAAACTAACAGTCCATTCAGCGTGACTGAAAAATACCCTGAAGGCCAATATTTACTAAGCATGGCACACACACAGGAGCCTTGTTAAAAATCCACAACAAATCTCTCATTGCAAACAAATCCAAAGGCTTCAGAGCTTCTGCAACTGTCTGAGTAATGTTGATTCTGACAGCAGAAAGCTGCTTTCTTACTAATCCAGCAGCTAGCTAGAGGTCTGTTGGCCCCACACCAAAATTTCATGATTTCTTCTCCATATTCTCTGCAACATATTCCTTTTGTAACAATCTACAGAGATGAAGAGCATAATATTAAGGTGAGGTTTTCTTATCTGCCTGTTTAATATTCAAATGAGATTGGTAAACACCAACTAGCTATTTAACCTGATCAGTCCAATAATGGCATACATAATTAATGCTGGGTTCCCATCAGACTGCTGGAAGAGAAATAATGGTCAGAAGCATTCCCAAATAACAGGAAATACTTTGAGCTTCACACATAACACTTTAAAATGCATGTTGCCTTCTCTTGGAGATGCCAAAGTAATATGTGATTTAACACACACACACACACACACACACACACACACAGACATACACACACAGAGGAAAATACTTGGAAGAGGAAAAAAGTGAGGGAATTTCTTGCATAAACAAATTAGAGTATATAGGAACGTGATGCAACTACACACAGTCACATCCTGTGCAGAGCCATGAGGCTGTGTGTAACGGAGAATTAGGAGAAGTACTATTCCAGAGTTTTCTTACAAAAACCTGATTAAAAATTTAAGTAAGTTATTTCTGAAATTTATTTCTTGCACCCACCTATGCAGCCTGGGAAACATCTGTTCTGATCGTGATATGGAGCCAGAAAGTGAATTCCAAACCCAATGAGATTAGACAGTCCATACTCAGAGTCCTTCTGTGTCCGCAGGAGCTGCTCTGAATGGCACAGGCCTCACCGACCATCTTAAATGCTTTGAACATGCTTTTCATTCTTCACGCTATTTAACTTTCAAATGCCTTACATTCCATTTCCAAAAATTAGATAATACAATAAAGCGCCAATGATTTTGTGAGGACCACTTAAACGAAATCACTAGCTAATGCGCTGACTCTTTTTTTAAAAAAAAAAAACTTTTAACCCTGAACTGGGAGTAACAGTCCACATGGTTTTCTTTTCTACCTCTCCTTTTTATAAATTTAGAATCTTGTGGCCTGGGAAGGTCTGCGTCAGGAACTTCTTTCTTCCCCAGATTTAGGAACTGTAACTCATGTGACACCCATACATCCCTGAACACCACATATACATGAAAAAAACCCCAGCAGTGAAAAGTGGTTCCACACACATGTGCCTCATTCTTGCCTCTTCCTCAATAAAAACAAATTAACAGCAGAGCCTTGGGACAGCGTTTTAGTGTTCACACCTTACAAAAATTTCATAGATCCATAATGCATCCTTTTGGGAACATAACAAGTTATATATGTTTGAGACCATTACGAAAACCCACAGAACAACAAAGAGAGCCATCAGAATTCTGATGACATATTACACATATTACAGATAAAATTTTTCCTGTTACCCCAAAAGTGTACAAAAGGGTGGTTAGAGTGAACAAGGACTCCTAGCATTCGGCAAATTCTTCCCCTTGCCTATTCTTCTTCACATCTTTACTTTTAATGTTATTTACAAAGATGACGTGACATAATATAATAATGCAAAGAAGGTAAAACCTGTATATTCATGTTGATTGCTATATTAGATGTGCAGTGCTCTACTTAAAAGAATGGCGCCCTATAGCTAAATGTGTGGCATGCTGTGTTCCTACCACTTCTGAATATCGGAAAATCCAAATGTGGCTATATACACACAAATGTATTCTTATTCACTACTCATTCCTCATTCATTCAACATTCATTCTCTCTTTTTTTTTTCAATGAGTATTTTCTACGTACCAGACATTGTGCTAGGTTCATCATCTTGCATTTTAAATGACAGAAGGGGATATAAAAGGAAGAAAAGTGACTTATCTCATGCACTGATACCAAATTTCAAACAGGAATGGAACTGATGAACACATGAAAGAAACAGACTGCAAAAAATGCAACCCCTTTCGCCAATAAACACTAGATCATTTAAGGGAAGTCCCTCAAGAGTTACTGCTTCCTGATTGATGTAATCCTAACCACAGCCTGTGGTCCAAAAATTGCCAATCAATCATGTATACATTACAGGAAAAATTGGGTTAACATGTCTTTATGCTGGTGCTTCAATGACGTTCTGTTCAACCCTGGCACAAGATACCCTTTGCAGAAAAATCAGCCTGGTGGGGTATCGTTCGTTTGTTTTCACCTCACCATTTTGTTATGATGTATAGGCAATGAGCCTCATGTGGCCTTCCTAATCTGAAAATGAGCCAAGAGAAAGAACGTGCTCAGAAGTGTTGAAAGAAAGGCCCATTCTCTGCCCAGGGAATTGCATCTAATACAGGAAATGAACACAAGTTTGCTGTAAGCTGTCCAGCTTCTGAATCAGCTGTTCCCCACTCCGACTCCTACTCCCTCCCCAACCCCCACTTCTAAAACTTAAGCGCTAAAGGCCAATATTAAAGTTTTGAAAAATGTGTTTTCCCCTTCTTCTCCTATGTTCTCTCAAAGCTGTGTAAATCTAACTTGAATGGTAAGCGGCTTTATTTTAACAAGTGTGAGTTATCAGAGTTCGCATATCAAATTAAACCCAATGAATTCTGGACTTGTTTTAAATTTCAAGCCAGAGGCCCTAACTCCCTGCATTTCACTTGGCGGCTGGCCAGACTTAGTAATAAAGTGCTAAGCAGAAGACAGGAAATACTAGAGAAGTCGAACAATGTTATGACAATGTTTATAACTTTTACAGTCAAGCCTGGCTGCACATCTGCACAACATCAGACTCTGGTCAGACCCGCAGAGAGGAAACCATTCCTTAGCTGGCAGCGTTTTGCTACAGCCAGATGTTATCATTTTACTGGTATCTTTTCACCAAACAAAAAAAAATATATTATGTATTATATATTTACATTTCTGAGAAGGAAATGGGGGGGTCTCTTGTTTGAAAGAAATGGTATGTCAAATTAATTCTGTCCCATAATTGATTTATTCTGACAGATATAAGACAGTTTGCAGACAATGGCATCTTTCTCTTTGATGTGATAACGTTCAAACTGCTTTGTTGTAGAGCGGGGCAAAGGCTTGTTTGATGCCATTAACTGAAATACAAAGGAACTTCCAAGTACCGCAGCCTTGGGATGCTTGGATAAGACTCAGATGCCTGTAAAATTAGGCAGTCACCTGACAAGTATTTATATAAATGAGATGACATTAGTGGTGTTTCCTCGAGCACAGATGTAACATAAGAATTTATCATTTTAGTTGAAACTGAGAAAACGAATGTCTCTTTTACCTAAATCATTTCAAGAGCCTGACATATAAAATGTCGCATCACCATTAATAACGCTCTAGATATATCAATGTGGAAACAGATTTTTAACTAACCTAGGCTAATATCAAACAGAGCAAAATCAAAAAAGCTCAGTGAGCATTTGTGAAACAGTATAGTAATAAAATAATTTTGCTTGTCCTCCACTTTCAATTTTTTTTTTTTTGAGATGGGTTCTCACTCTGTTGCCCAGGATGGAGTACAGTGGCGCGATCTCGGCTCACTGCAACCTCCGCCTCCTGGGTTCAAGCAATTCTCTGCCTCAGCCTCCAGAGTAGCTGGGATTACAGATGCCCACCACCACATCCAGCTACCTTTTGTATTTTTAGTAGAGACGGGGTTTCACCATCTTGGCCGGGCTGGTCTTGAACTTCTGACCTTGTGATCTGCCCTCCTCGGCCTCCCAAAGTGCTGGGATTACAGGTGTGAGCCACCGCGCCCAGCCCATCTCCAATATTTTTAAACCTAAAGTTGGATAGAGTCAGCTGAGCGTTTACTGACAAACATATGTACACAATCATGCAAACAAAATTCTGTCCACAATAGTGAATCCATGTCTCAATGTGCTAACAGAAGTGTATGCATTTGCACGAGTGTGTACATGTGAGTATGTGTGTGTTTGCATATGTATGTGTAGATATCTCAGTGTACCTGTTCTCCACCTGCCTTCAGACAGTTCATCACATGTCTCAGATAAAGATGAAAACAAGCTCAAAATGTGAAACACATTGTTGTCTTGACATCCTGGGAAAGCCACTTAAATCTATCAGCAATAACTACTAGAGAAACTCATGAAAATGAACATGGTTTCCGAAACACCTTCAAAGAGTCATGCATCTACTGCAGCACCAGTTATAAGACTATCCACTTCTAAAGTACCCAAACTGTAATCAGGCAATTGATTTGGATGAATTAGAGTATATAAAATGTACAAATTGCTGTTGACACAGATAAAATTTTGTTGTGGTGTATACATTTGGTCTTGCCCACGGTGACACACTTGAAGCCTTTGGATGAGAGAAAACTTTACTTGTAAGGAAATGTATTCATGTGGTCATTCAACTTCAGTGAAGCTGAAATAGGTTGTTTAATCTAGTGGTCTCCACACTCCTATTTATTAGTCTCCACTTGGCTGCTTTCAAAAAGTAGATAAATGCCTGAGTTTCATCCCCAGGTCGGCAACTCTATGATGGTGCCCTGGAAATTATAGGGTAGTGGGGTCTACTTATCTACTTTTTAACCTCCCTACACCCCACAATTTTACAGTGTATGTGCACATTTATGCTAGCCTGAGACATACCTCACAGTATGTCTTGTTGGGGCCATCAGTGTCCTCCATGCTGGCTATTCAATACCGTATTTTGAGTATCACCCTGGATACAGCCATTCAAATAGGCTAGCCTAAGAAAATTCAAATAGTTTTCTGGTAATGTTTTGAATTATCCTACTTGTACTACTGTACTTCCATGCTATGATTGTTTGTCTTTTAAAGCTTTTCAAGTTTTTTGGCTTTTAAGCAAAATAAGCTCCACTATGTATAAGTTGTTTTGACATATTTAATTCCACAAGAGAATTTGAACCACTATTTCTTTCATCAGCATTCACACTACTGCAATGATAGAATGCTCTATTACTTAATTTTTTTCCTCTGAGCCAAAGATACTGATGCTTGATTAATCTCAATCTGATGTAGCCAACAGTGATATTATTATCACTATATATGATGGATTGAATTATTTGTAAATCCTATAACACTCTATTGGTTGGAAGCCTGCTGAGTTAAATTTTATTATGTCATTTTCATGAAATTCATAGAATTATTTTGAAATATAGAGCTCTTTCAACAAAGAGCTCTATATAACAGAATATAAGTACATTAAAAGATCCTGCTTTCCAAAAATTGTTACAATGCATGAAATGTAAATTTTTCATGGTACAAAGGTTTCATTTTAAAACTCTGTAAACTTTTAAAATGTATTCCCATTCCTCAAATTTTTCATAGTAATTCATTACTAGATTGTTGACAGAGATATATGTGAGGTCTCTGTAAGCCTTAGGCTTCCAGATACCATGTGGATTTTGTTTTTCTTTTTATAAACTTCTGTGATATTCTGATTAAATTAAACACCCTCACTTGCTGCCCAAGTTCCTTTGTGTTTTCAAAGAGTTTGAGGATTCATTACTAACTAAATAATGCAAAATATCTGCTGATATTGTCACATTACCTTCCTTGTACTTTAAGGTGTAAGTGTTCTCATTGCTCAGTTCTCTAATAGCCTATCTTAACAGGCACATATTGCCACAAAGGCAAAAGAAATGTAAATAACTGTGTAAAATCTCAGGTTGTAGCACTGCCTGCAACATGGTTTAATTTCACATGAGATGTGTACCTCCGTAAGACATTTTGTCCAGTTTACTTGAGTGATTACTATTTAGTAATAGGAGTTCACGTACTTAATGTTTGCTAGGGTTTAGCATGTATTACCTAATAATGGAAGCTATAATTTGTGAGTGCACGATAATTTCTAGTTTGTCTACATGATTTCTGTGGTTCTGCATGAGTGTCCAATGTTTGTATTTAAAGAGCAAATGAAACTGCTAGGGGAGAAGGTCTGATAGAAGTCTAAGGATTTAGACTCATGCACTGAGTCCACTGGACTCACGCAGTTAAGACAGTTTTAGGGAATCCAGGGTGTACATCAATGCGTTATTCACAAATTTAAACAGGTAATACTGAACTCATTTTCTAGATTTTGAAACAGAGCTGAAAGACTCAATAATATACCTAGTAAGAGGCCACAACTGGCTTCAAACCTGGGACTTTTTTCCTTTTTCCTCCAAAGACAGAATTTTTTTTTTCTATGCCATATGGCTTTTTTCTTTTTCTTTCTTTCTTTCTTTCTTTTTTTTTTTTTTTTTGAGACAGAGTCTTGTGGAGTCTTGCTCTGTCGCCCAGGCTGGAGTGCAGTGGTGTGATCTCAGCTCACTGCAAGCTCCACCTCCTGGGTTCACACCATTCTCCTGCCTCAGCCTCCCAAGTAGCTGGGACTACAGGCGCCCGCCACTATGCCCAGCTAATTTTTTGTATTTTTAGTAGAGACAGGGTTTCACCGTGTTAGCCAGGATGGTCTCGATCTCCTGACCTCATGATCCGCCCGCCTAGGCCTCCCAAAGTGCTGGGATTACAGGTGTGATAGGTGTGAGCCACGGTGCCTGGCCATGGCTTCTTTCTAAAAGAAGAAAATACTTTCTTATACAACATACAAAATATAGATAAAGTATTTTTATAAATAATTGCAGTTTTTTTCTATTAGGTATCCTGTGCAACGAAGTGTGGAATATAAAGTGGAGAAGTAAAAATTAGGTAAATTACGCAACGTGTCAAGAACCTCTGTATACATCCTATTCTATGTTACGTGACCCTGAATTATTTGCTTTAAATTCTCTGGGTGTTCCCTACTGCTTTGGAATTTTTAGCCCCTTTCTTTCTTGATGATTCAGATTTGACATTGCTTTTTTTCCTCAATTCTTACTCTGACCTGCAACCTGAATTGTACACTAAAAAATTAACATATAAAATATTGCTAACTTTTAAGATATATCTTCTATATATAATATCGATTTTACATGATATAATGTTACTATTATAGGACCCAAGGATTAAGTAACAGAATAAATATACTTTAGAAATTAAGTGAATTTAACATCTTGTACCAACTACTCACTTTGGCAAAGATCACCTTAAGACTTGTACATTGGAAAAATTTCTGGACTATTTCTCAGTATATTTATGTACAAGCAAACCATAAAGAAATACATAAAGAAATACTAAGAAAATATATGGCTTTTCTATTTTACTCCCCCCCAAAAACATAAAGGAACATGTATAGGCATGCTTCTTCTTTTTTTGATATGATAAAATCCTCACCATTTTAGACCATCTGGGGTTCAAAATTTATTAAGAAATTTGCTAAAGAGAATGACTTAGCAAAATCCTAATTATAAAATATATAGAAATATATATTTTCAAGAATTGTGTTGTTCAAATCTGTGCAATCCAGCTTCCACTAATGAGAAAACTAATTTGCTCATTTAATAACTGCTTCCTGAGGGCCTATGAGCTAAGGACAGGGCAGGGAACAAATTAGACAACATTTTTTGTTTATAGTCAAGTGAGGTACAAAATGCTCCATTCAAATGATGTGGTTTAGAAAAAAGAATGCATAAAATATAATTATCCTATCAGAGCCACAACGAAAGAAAGTGTGGTGTGCACCAAAAACAGTTTTGATAAAAAGAAGTGGTTAATTTAGACTGATTAGAAAAAGTATAGGAAGCGTTGTCTGTCCAAAGATGAATAAGCAAAATATGGTATATACATACAATAGAATATTATACAGCCTTAAAAATGAAAAAATATCCAACATACGCTACAACATGGATGAACCTTGAGGACATCATTATGTTAAGTGAAATAAGGCAGTCACAGAAAGACAAGTATATAGGATTCCACTTATATGAGGTAGTTAGAGTAGTCAAAATCATAGAGATAGAGAAGAAGGGTGGTTTTCAGGTGCTGAAGGGAGGAGGGAATGGGGAGTTATTGTTTAATGGGTTCAGAGTTTCAGTTTTAGAAGATCAGAGTTCTGGAGATGGATGGTGGTGATGGTTGCACAACATTAGGAATGTATTTCATACCACTGAGTTGTACACTTCAAAATTAAAATGGTACATTTTATGTGATGTGTATTTCACCACAATAAAAAATAATAAATTAAAAAATATAGGTAGCTTTACTTTAAAGGTTAAAAAAGCAAAACAAAAACAAAATCCTAAACGACCACTAACGCTGGACCCAATTCAACATTTACAAAGGTGGAAATGGTGACAAGATGAATTTAGTGATTGGCAGAGCTGGAGGAACAGTAAGATGGGCACCTAGGTGGGTGGGCAGGTGTGCTGACTGGCACAGCAAGAAAGCTGGTATTAACTGCTTTAAGTGAGGAGAGAAATTAATGAGTTTTGAGTTGGATATTCTGTCTGTGTGTTAGGTGTAGACATCTGCAGGAAGTGTGGAATATAAATTGGAGAAGTAAAAATTGCAGTCCCTTTAAGAAGTCTATGAGGTTCTGATGACTAAGCAGGGACAATGAAAAGGCCAAAATGAGGGAGGGGGGTCGAATTCAAGAGAAATTTTGACACTTGCATATGACTTTTAAGTTCCTTTTCAATCCTGACTTCCAATGACTGCATGTGAGGAAATGGAAGCGGGCAGTCAAAGATGGGATTCCCGAGGGATACGATTTGGTAGATAACAGAATGACTCACAGGAGGTTGTGTTCTTAGATTGTTTATGGTGTTCCCAAAATAGAGGCACCATTGAGCTGCTCAGAAAAACTGTTTTGTAAATGGGGTATGGTATATATGAATCTAAATCTCTCTTAAGTGAGTATTTAGTCAAGTTTAAAGGACATGCCATCCTTTTAATCATCTTAATAGACATAAACATACTGAATCATATAATTAATAACAATTTGAAGTGACCAATTAAATCAAATGGACAAAGTCCAGGTCCTGCGAGCAGCTGTGGTGTCATTCAGGGCGACTTCTGTGGGTCTCATTTGTAAAAAGACAGGTTTGGATGCATCCTACTGATGGCCCTTTTAGTCTCAATGGGCTATGATTCTGTGAATAATTTTGCTATACTTTAAATGTAACAATCCCCTTTTAAGAAAATCAAGCAGATGTGACTGAGAACAAGTGTAATGATTTGTTTACCAAACATGTAGGCAGCACCTGCTAGTATGGCGTCCAGCACCAGGGAAATGTATTAACACAGAACACAGAATCAGCATGGCAGGCTACTGTATTCCATGAATAAACCACTGGGGCATGCCGTGTTCATAGAGAAGGCTCAGAATTGTGTTCTTCTGTGTCTTTCTGCTTCAATAGGAAAACAAAACTGAAAATATTTGTTGTAATTAGCTTTCATTTATTTGCATCCAAGTTAATATTCTGCAGTACATTTTGAAATTCTTAAGATCAAGACTTCAAAAAATCACTCATTGCATATATGATTAAATAGCTATTTTGTCTTTCCAAAATAACTATCCACAATAACTTTTAACTAAAAAAAATAAATTTTGTTCACGTCTTGGAGGTTGTAAAAGTTACCTTTTCTTAGCCAGGCGTGGTGGCTCATGCCTGTAATCCCAGCACTTTGGGAGGCCAAGGCAGGCAGATCACGAGGTCAGGAGATCAAGACCATCCTGGCTAACACGGTGAAACCCCGTCTCTACTAAAAATACAAAAAAATTAGCTTGGCATGGAGGCAGGTGCCTGTAAATCCCAGCTACAGAAGAATGGTGTGAACCCGGGAGGCGGAGCTTGCAGTGAGCAGAGATCGCGCCACTGCACTCCAGCCCAGGCAACAGAGCAAGACTCTGTCTCAAATAATAATAATAATAATAATAATGATGTTACCTTTTCTTTTTTAACCAAGTCATATTTAAAGACAGCTTGCAGTGCACTATCTTACATTTTCTGAAGTTCCAATTGTTGATATTTCTAAGATAGCTCCTCATTTACCTAAGTTTTGAGCCACTCTTGAAACAGGAAGGATATCACCAGAATCACATGAGGCTGAGAAAATTGAGTAATTTTCAGGTTTGTAGAATGACAAAGTTAAATGAGAAAGTTAGTGAGATAATAAAACGATGATCCCTAAAGACTATTAGACTGCTGATTTAGTGATCTTTTAAGTGGAACTGCCTGCCTGAATTTTTAAATTGTGAACATGTGCTTAGGTGTGCAGAGTTCTCATTTCTTTTAATGTAGTTAGTTACACTATGAAATCCCTATACATTACTCTGATTGTTTCCCATATGTAGAACATAATCAAATTCAGACCACTGAAGTTATCCACATGTCTCTCAAGCTTGGATTTTGCCAGAATGTTGAGTTATACAAATGGATATCTAAGTCTTTTTTGTAGACCAGTGGAGTAAAGGAAAATTGTCCAAAAGGTTGGCCCAACACATAATAACATTGTTTAAAATGATACATATGTAATATGAAATTATGTATGTAATACATATATAATAATATACTTCGATAACACACTAGTGAATTCTTGTCAAGGACAATATTAACTGCTCATTAAAGATTAATTGTTTTCAGGCTTACTATTAAGTTACCAGAAAGACATTGCTTAGGGAGGAATCTCTCTCTTTTTTGTTACTGATATATCTCAAGTGCCAAAATAGTGACTTACACATAGTGTTCAATAAATGTTCAGTATATTAATAAATGAGTTTCAAATAATCCATCCTGTAACACAATCACCTGCTCAGTAAAATTTATTACCCAGATTGCAGACTGAAAAAGTTTTCTTTTTCTGAAATGTTAGTATTTTAGTTTACCCAGTACATCAAGTCACACACACACACACACCCCACATTAAAAATCTGATAGCTTATTTAAAGTTTAATGAAAAGCCCATATATCAGATTAAGATTGATATTTGAATCCTAACATCAAGTTTCTCTGGAGTTAAAACAAAAAATCAGGGTTTTTTTCCTATATAATCTTGGGATTTATAAAACCCCTGAATAATAGATAAATATTTTATTTTTATTTTCAGATAATAAATGTATTGAAAATTATACTTACAAAAATAATAAAATAATTTTAGGGCAAAATTTTGCAACTAGATTACAGTGGCATCAGATCTGAAGTGAAATCATAAAAGCAGTCACTGACATGATCTAGAAACTTAACTGTTTTTTTCTTAGAGTGAAGCCTTATAACCAAGACCATGCGATTCAATTAAGACTCAGAACTGCTTTTCTTTAATCAAACGTCTAAGAAGTAGTTTGGACGACTAACCAAACTTTCCTCCTTGCCAAAACCTTTGTAGCATGCATTCATTCAAGCAACAGCCAACCATGTATTGATCACATACTATATTCTAATCTTTGGGCATACTCATGAATAAGAAACAATGCCTCATATTAGAATGAATTTATCTCACAGTTCAAGCTCAACTATGTTACAAATAATTAAAATATGGCCAAGTAACTATAGCTACAGAAGTATTTACAAGGCCCCACAATAGCATAGTCACTAACAGTTTTGCCTGAGAGCTTCACGCAAGGTTTCACAGTCTCACAAACATGACAGTGATAAGGTTAACAAGTAGTCTGGCAGAATCACCTCTGCATGTCATACAATATAATGAAAAATCTGGGAATTGTAGGTAATAATAGTCATCATACAAATGTTATTTATTAAGAACTCTCTGTGTACCAGGCACTGTGCTAACTGCTTTGTATGTTTTAAGGGTAGATAGATGACAGATGGAAAGATAAATAGACAAGGATAGATAGATAGATAGATAGATAGATAGATAGATAGATAGATAGATAGACAGATACATACATACATACATACATACATACATACATACATACCCACACAAGTAGGTAGATATTTGACAGAGGTAATAGACAAATGATAGATAGATAGACCATCAATTACCTCTTTTGTTGAAGCAATCAATAGTTTGCATTATAATTATCTGTTTACTTAGATGCCTTCCCTCTAAAGACACTGAATCCCTTGTGGAAACTGTCTTATTCACCCATGTGTCCCCAGCAACAACTAAATTTCCTTCCCCATGGTAGGCATTCCATAAAGGTTTCTTGAACTAATGAACACCTGAACTAACTATGTTTGTGGCATCTCTTAAGTCAATTAATATTTCTGTGCCTCAGATTTCTTCAATTTAGTTGGTTTCTAAAGGCCTTTTAAGTTGAAACATATTATGAAGTTTTCTTTCTGAGTTCTACATTGAGAAACTAATTTCTAAAAACCTCATCTAGGAGTAAAAATCAGACTATTTTTGTTTCAAGCTAAGATTAAAGGCTGTCTTTGATTGCCTATACATCCAGTTCTATTTTACTTTCCTTAAATTTTTAAAATTGGGAATTATTTTGAAGACAAATAAAAATAATATAACGAAAGTAAAATCTAACAAATTCCAACCTTAAAAAAAGAACAAACAACACAAGTACAAACAAACCAAACCCAGAACCAATGAGTGGAAGCTTCCTGTTTACCTATCTTCAACACCTTTCATCTTTCTACTTTCCAACAGGTAGCTACTAACCAAAATTTAACGTATATCATTCTTGTGTCAACAGAGCAAGGCTTATGGCCAGAAATGAATGAAATTCATAATGAAGGTATTCTGAGGAAATATGATCTTACTCTCAAAGTCTCAACAATACCCTGGGTGATAACAACTGGCTCTCAAGGAACAAGATAGCTCCCAAGCAACTCCAGTGCCCAGGAAAGATGGTGAAGAGATCTTTGCAGACAATCTATCAGTTACTGGGGCAGAAAAATCATTGTGACTAGTCATCTTCATACGATAGCTTAAACCAACAGACTGAGAATTTATAGTGTAGCGAAGGGCAGTCTAATGCAGTAGTTACTTGGATCCACTCTTGCTGTTTTGTGACCCTGGGCAATCCAGTTAACCTCCCCCATATATTAGCTTTCTAATGTATAAAATGGAGATGACAATGGTATCTACCTCATTGAATGGTGCAAATTAAGCAAATTCATGAATGTAAGATGCTTAGAGGACATCCGACACATGAGTGCAGGACAAATGTTGGCTTTTATTCAATTCTAGGTCCACAAACAAAACTTTACAAAATAAAGAGGTTTTTGTTGTTTTTCTTTTCTCTCTCTCTCTCTCTCTTTTTTTTTTTTTTTTCATCATCTCAAGAAATCAAAGGCATGCACCTGGAAAAAGAAAACACACTTTTGAAGTCTTCTAATCACTAGGGCTCTGTATTTTGTTGCAGTCCTATAGTGTGGGTATTTAAAGAATAAGGCCAGGCAACTCTGTCTCTAGTCTTTGTTCATTCATTTGATGCGTCCTTGAGCACCTTACTAAGCACCAGTCAATGTTGTGGACAATGGGGATATAGCATGATGAAGCCAGAAAGGATACTGCCAAAAAGGCATACATTAAACTCATAATTACACCCAAATTTACCAAATACAGGATCCTTCTTTGCTACCACAAAATTCTTAATGGCTTTAAGTCTCAACTTTCTCATCTGTAAACTAAGGGCAATAACAGCTGCTCCTTCTGTATGTTGCTGTGAGAGGAAATAAAATCGTCTTTATAACAAAACTTTGTGAGAGCTGAAAAAGTGTTTGAATAAATGCATTCATGATATTAACACTTCCATTTGGCTGCTGAGATAGGTTCACTTAGAAGTATTCATAAATCTATCAAGGTAGGGAATGAATCATGAATCACGTCACAGAGCTTAGGTGGAAACTTATTCCGTGACTACGATTCCTCTTAGGTGTACTGAACATAAGCTCTCCTAAAAACAAAGCCTGTACATAAAAATTAAATTTAGTATAAGCAATTTGAAAACTGAAGAAAAGAAATGTTCACCCTTTTCTGAGATATTTATTTTATCCTCAGAGAAAGAATGAAATAAAATGCAATGTCTTTTGCCACTCTCCTCATAAATTCTGTCTGTCTAAATTCCTAGACACAACAATGACAGAATTCATGTAAATATACCTAACCTGAGAGGTCAGATTTGGGGACCTCATGGAGTGGTGCATGGGAGTCTGCCCAGCTGCTGACCACACTCAGTGAGTGTATGAAACCAAATATCCATCCATGACCGGTCAACATGGAAACCCTCATTGAAGAAATAACTACTTTGCTAAAGGAGCAGGTTATTTCAAGTATTTCATTGATTTCAGCTCTCAAGTATTCAACAATTTTTAATTTTAAAACAAATTTAAATTTAAAAATAATTTAATAAATTAATATTTTGAAAGAGAATGCTCCCAGCTTGCATATGAAATTTCAGTTTTCCTTATTTCAGAGGGCACACCTTTCCTTAGTAGAAATGTAGTGTTAACCACAGCTTATAAAGTACATGTTTTAGATTTGTTTCAAAGCTAGTATTTTAATAAAATATATAATATAAAATAACTAATATAACACTGAAATAAATTACATCCATCTTCCTACAAAGTAGTTTATAGCTTAATGTGAAATATCTCTCTCCCCAATTCCCACTTTAAATATTGAAATTGCTTGCACATGCTCAGTGCTTCACATTCTTACCTCTTAGTAGTTAGTACTTAGCTGTTGTTTATTATAAAAAAACAAAATCACCAAATAGCTGTCTTGATTTTTTTTTGCATTTCAAAGTCAGCTAATTAATTTCCAATAAATAAAACAGTGAAAGCCTAGTAATAGAGCACAGATTTTCCTACTTTTAAGTAAATTTCTTGCTTTTCATTGCACTGAAATATTATTTTATCCAACTGCTTTGTCCACCCTGGCAATCAGTATAACTAGAGTGATATTATTTCCCTGTTTGATTTTATACAATGGTAGGCCATTGGATCAAGTGTTCTGTGACCTGTTTATCGTTGCTTATTCCTGGATAGAATTCAGTAGAGAAAATTCAGAAACTATAATGATGGACTTACATCAAACTATTGCACTCAAACTATTTAGGAAACTGTCTGAAGTCTGAGAGTGTAGTTCATTATTTGTGCTTGTCTCACAAGGGCACAATATTCTATGTCATTTTTTATATCATAGAAAAGGTTAGGTTTGAAAACTTAGCATTACAAATGTCACATTTACTTCCAGTAGGAAATGTGCAACAATATGTGACAAAACTGAATAAAATGTTGAAACATGTTTTCCTTTTGTTTTACTTTACTCATTTTTGTAATACAACACTGGTTACTGGAAAATGCCTTACAGCTTTATTCAAAACACATGTTCAAAGATTTGAATGAAAAAACTTCGACTCTCTCTGGAACATCTAACCGATACATCATTTGTGTGCCTTAAATTTTTTCTTACTGTCAGGAACACTTTTATGTCTTTAAGATTTATTTAAACTAGGTTATTATATAATGAAGCTTGTCAGATCATAGGAACAAAGTCAAACAAGATGTGCTATATCAAAGTATAACATTTAACATATAGATTTAAGTATACATATCAAGTACAACGCAATCAAGCAAAGTTTAATCTGAAAATGCAAATGCTTCAGATTATTAAAGCCACATCTGTCCTTTGAAGCACAATTTAGATTGTTTATCAAAAAGCTATGTGTAATTATTCTCTCCCACCCTAGACTTTGTAACAACAGATTTCTTAAGAACATTTCAATTTCACTTCAGAGTTGGGATTTTAAATACTTAACCACCAAAGGACACGAGAACACAAACGGAAAATTAAAAATCTTTACAATGTATTCTATTATAATTGCTGTTTTGTTGGTGAATCAGGGTAATATTTCAAAAAGCATTACTCCGAGTTTTAGGAAGAAATTCCCAATGCTTTTAGAAATCAATTCCACATAGTTCTAGCATCAAAAATGTGTCCTTAAACATATTATTACAATTTTTCATATAAAGCTTTATATTACATTTCACTCTCTGCCTTGGCCAACAGGAAACATCAAAGGCAACATTTTAGGTAGTAAAGAGAAATTCCAAAACACTAGGGACAGAGCTTTGAATTTTAAGTACTTGAAGTTCCCAGGCCTTAAATTTATATAAAAAATAAGTAAGTCTGTTGTATTCTCTTATGTACGTTCATTGACCTATAAAATTCTCTTAAATACACCCATTGGTCTATCCATTGAAAAGATACATATACTGTCCTAGGTAATATTATTAAGTCTGAACACTTGAGAAGGAACTGAATCACTGCACTATTATCCTAGAGCAGACCTAATTTCTGTGCAAAAGTATGATCTTTCATTTTATCCATAAGAACTGAATATGACAGAAATGCTGGGCTCTCATTTACAAAATCCACTTAAATATGAGGGCTCATTTTAGCTTATAACAGCTCACATCTATTATAATCTCAGAAAGCAGCAATAACTTGTAAAATTAATTGGAGTCTCTGTTATCTATAGGAAAATTTAAAATTAAATATGTATTTTAAAAAACAATAAAAGAGAGGCTTATTGAACTTGAAAGTAGAGATTCACTGCTTGTCAATCTAGATCATGAAGGATTCCTGTACAAATGCAGGTAGTAACAAGGTCACGGTAGCTCAAACTCTGCTTGTGCATTCAAATTCAATCCAGAAACCTCCAACTGCTAAAACCATAAACGTTCTATATATTATCGCCTCAATATTTTACATTTAATGTATCAATTATAATCCGGCTTCAGTAATCAACATGGGAGAGAAGGAAAGTGGTGGCTAAAAAAACTTCAGCTTAACTTAAAACAATTTTTTCAAATGGATTAACTCATTCCTCTCTGATGCCATAGGCGAAGCAAACAAAAAACTGGATGATAGCACTAATTATATATTTTTTAAAGAAACTGGTATCAACAGTTTGACTGAAAGGTTAAAGGGGAAACATAATTCTATAATATCATAAACTCTGTCATAGCATATTCAGAAAAGGAAATTGTTGACAAATGTAATTGAGGCAAGTGCTTTATTTCCTTTCCCTAAATGTAGAGAGAGCTTGATTGTATTTCTGAAACTTTAATGCAAACTCTACAGTAAAGTGAAGAAGGGCTTGGAATGAAACACAGTATAGTTTCTCCATGAGAAACAATTAGTATGCCGAAGAGCTTATGTCGAAGGAAACTTCTGAAATCACAAAGCCCATTAAGACACAAACTGGCTGTGGATCTAGAAATACTAGGGATTTCAGGGTAAGGAGGGAGCAGGATAAAAGAGAAGGGGGGCGGGGCAAAGAGCTCAATTAACACACAGCCATTTGAGTAGGGACTGCTCTTTTCATGTCCCTCCCATTTTACAAATGCCCAGAGGCATTTCTGCAGTGGAACACCTTTGCAAATTCTAAAAATAAAGCAATAAACTTTAACTCCTCAACTTTCATAATATTTTGACAGATTCTCCCAACTTTAATTTCCTTTTTGTAATGGTAGTGTGATTTGCATTATGTTACATTGCTTCATTTTGCCATTAAAAAAAAAAAGTTAATCTCAAGAGAACTGCTCTGGAAATTATGCGCTACTTTAATAGACATCCCCTCAGAATGGAATAAAAATAATTTTCTCTTTGTAATCTTATCCTGTAATGGTTGGTACGATCTCACCATAGGCCTGTTTTGGAAGCAAGGTTTGAATTTTCTTAAAGAAATTTTGAATGTTATTCTTAGAACAGCTTCTTGTTTCTCACAAAAATCATTTATGTAAAGGGAAGGAGCACACTGATTTATTTAAAATTTGGGGAAATTGCGAACCAAAAAAAAAATGCATTCCAATTTACAAGTTACTTGATTCTGTCATATGAAGTGGCAGTGTCCTTTTCCTTTCCTGCTTAAAAAAGCAGCTCTGGCCTGTGGAAGGCAAGTGGCAAATGTAAGCTTTATGGCAAAACCCACTCAATGATTTAAAAATGCTCCAGGAACACTGTGTTGGAAAGAAATCAGTGGTACTGAGGTGTGAATGGAGGATGCTCTTTAAAGGAAGCAATTTGACCTTTTGTTAAAAAAAAAAAAAAAGTCAGTATCTCTATTTTGCCTTTTGTACCCAAATAAAGCTCATTTATTCTGAACTTTTCTGTGATTTGAATTTCTACCTATTAGGCTTTCCTATATTGCGATATGAGTGTCCAGGAGCCAGGACAGAGAATAAGACACATTTTTTAAAAAGGGATAGGCTAGAAGGATAGCACTGGAAATGACATTAACAGACATAAGGGGAATAACATGGAATGTGATAGCTAGCAAGCTATAAAGTCACTAAGGGGGATGAGACTGACGTTCAATAGGATAAGAAAGCAGTCCTGAACATAAAATTTCTTATCACTACTCTTAGCTCACTGTGTAAATAACCCCACACTTCTAGTACACCTCAAACTTCTCTGCTATCTAAGGAAGGAGTATAATCATTTCTCCCCAGGTTGATCATAACCTGAGCTTCTTCCTATGACTGCAAGAAAATCTCCATAACCTTGGGCACAACAGAGATGTTACCCAAGAGTAGTCCTGCTGTACGACATCAATTAGAATGACTGAGGCAGCCTCCTCCACAGCCTTTGTTTTCTAGATTTTTCGTGCCTACAGAAATTCCCCATGAAGATTCCACTATTCCACACTTCACTGATAAGGAATGACAAACTAGAGCACTGCTTTTGTTTCTGAGTTTCAATTTCCGAAATACGAATAGCATAGTAATGTATGTAACTGTAACTCATCAAGTTCTATATATTTTTTAATTCATATTTTTAAATAGTGAATTTTCAATTATCTTCAAAGGATCATATGCCCTACAGTTTATTTCTGACAAATCATCTGTTTTATTATTTCTGACATCCTTACCTATTCTGCTTAATTAAATGATTTATTTACATAAACGGGATATTTGCTTAATCTAATCCAGGATTTTAAGAGGGAGAAATGCTTTAGGAATAAAAATAATTTCCCTTGCATATATGAACAAACAAATAGTACTTCTGTGTGAAGGTTGATAAAAATTAACTCCCAGAATAAAGTGGAAGCAAAACTGATGAGAGGGACAGGATGGAAAAAGTAGGCAGTTTCCAGCCTTTTGTGAGTCACATATTAACTCTGTGGTTACCGTGTCTCAAGAATTTTCAGGTTACAGATACTCTCCAATGAACAATTAAAACCCTTGCCAAAGCCAAATGTAAACGACTTTGAAAAAAGTTTTATACTCCTCAATGGCAGACACACACACAAAAAACCTGAAGAGTAGAACAGAGTGACTAATTCACCAGCACAGCATTTCGAGAAACAAGTGAACTGCTTGTTATACTGATGTTTTCTCCAATCCTCCACAAAGCATATATGCACACAGGAAGCAATTATAAGCTACAGAACTCATAATACATTTTGAAAAAGGGATATACATAGTACATTACTTGTTTGCCTAAAAGCCATCAGAATTTAAGGCCAGGCATGGTGGCTCACTCCTGTAATCCCCACACTTTGGGGAACTGAGGACAAGAGATCATATGAGGCCAGGAGTTTGAGACCAGTCTGGGCAACATAGATAAACCCCTGTCTCTACAAAACTAATTTAAAAATATCCAGGCATGGTGGTACACACCTGTGGTACCAGCTACTTCGTAGGCTCAACCAGAGGATTGCTTGAGCCTGGGAGGTTGAGGCTGCAGTAAGCCATTATCTTGTCACTGCATTCCAGTCTGGGTGACAGAGTAAGACCCTGTCTCAAAACAAAAACAAAAACAAAAACATACACACACACATGCTGAACCAAACAAAACTCCCAATTGACAAGATGAAACAGTGTGAAGTGGCCTAAGATTCTTATTCACAGTTGCATAACAGGCTCCTTGATCTGCAATATGTTTGGCAGCAATAGCATGAACAGATACTGTGCAAGTTACAAATTAACTAGAACATCATTAACTGGTGCTAAGAAGACAGAACCTGGTGTTATCTTTAGTAAATGGGTAAATAAGGAATTTTTTTTTGAGCTATGGCTTTGCCATAATGCCACAATGAATGAGCCACAATCATATAATTGCTTCTTCTCAAAGAATATTCAATGGGCTACAGTCAGGTTTTTTTGTTTTTGTTTTTTTTGAGATGGAGTCTGGCTCTGTCACCCAGGCTCGAGTGCAGTGGCGTGATCCCAGCTCACTGCAACTTCCACCTCCCGGGTTCAAGTGATTCTCCTGCCTCAGCCTCCCAAGTAGCTGGAAGCTCCCAAGTAGCTTCCACCAGATACCCTAAATCAGGCTTCCGCCACCAAACCTGGCTAATTTTTGTATTTTTAGTAGAGACGGGGTTTCACCATGTTGGCCAGGCTGGTCTTGAACTCCTGAACTCAGGTGATCTGCCCACTTTAGCCTCCCAAAGTGCTGGGATTACAAGGGTGAGCCACCGTGCCCAGCCTGGTTTGTTTTTTTAAAACCAACCACTATGCCATATCAATGCTACCCATTGACTACAGTCCAGCTTGTTTGAAAGTGTCTGGAAAAGTAAATCTCTCAATTAATTTCATAAAAGGCTATTACTGAAATCAGCATGAATATTTCCATGTCCAGCCTTGGATATGCTTTGGTCTTTGACAGCTTGACTATCTCTATGATTGGGCAACAAGGACAGGGTTTTAAAGGACAATGTCTTTTTACTCTTTGCTTCTCTAGCCACAAGGAATACTAACTTCAAGAACTTCCTAAGCACTTCTCTTTGATGCATTTGCCTTTTTTATTGTTTTAGCAGAATTATTAGCCTTTCTACTCTCAGGGTAGAACATTCTATGAATCAGAGGACTTCAATCATACTTGCTTTATACTTAATGTCCTTTCTAGTCTTTGACTAAGACATTGAAATAAGAAATAATGCAATGCACAATCAAAATAATTCTATGCAAGATCTGATAGCTATCAGAATTTGAAAATATGAAATGCTGTTTGCTTATCCTTGTATTCCATTTATTTAAAACATTTGGTGCATGTTTTTACATATTAAGAACATAATTATATATATTAGCATATAATTTCATAAAAGATCATTGCCTATCTTACCTTATTGTTGCCTTATTTGTGAATGTTATGTATATAACAGGAATAACAAGTACTTGTGTATCATTAGAATCAGACATTAGTTTGGTTTAAAAAATAAGTCCTTTTGTTTCATCTGGTCAATACAGTTTTATTAAAGGCTAATCATTTAAGGTATTTTAATCTTAGCCGCAGAAATGGAAGAATCTTTCTATAAAATATACCTGTAGCAGTATATAATATTTAAGAACAACAAAAGGTAAACAAATGTAACCAAATGGATAAAGGGGGCTGCAAAATTAAAGTTAGAAACTAACATATCAATGATTCATATTCTCTATGCCACAAGACATGAAAAAAACATTAGTTTTTACTACTCTGTATTCTGGGGACATTCCTTTAAGATTGCATTTAAGATGATTTTAGAGACAATAAGCATTTCTTTAGATGGAGTTGATATTTAGTTTCTAACTTTTCAGAGTTTATTTCTAGGCATAGAGTCTTTAACTGTGGGTAGCACTTATCTGTACAACATAGTGTTCTGCTTCTGTGATTAACGCAAATATCACGTAAAGATGGAGCTGATGTGAGCCAGGGTCTAGAGCCCTCAAAGGCACTAATGTATTTGTTTGCAGAGTGTGATGCAATTTCATGGGGAATCAGGTCAATCCAACTTTTCAGCACCTATCTACCTCCTCCTCAGGCTGTAGGGTATTGTATTAGTCCATTCTTGTGCTGCTATACAGAAGCGCCTGAGATTGGGTAATTTATAAAGATCAGAGGTTTAATTGACTCAAAGTTTCACAGGGCTGGGGAGGCCTCAAGAAACTTACAATTGTGGAAGAAGGGGAAGCGAACATATCCTTCTTCACATGATGCCAGGAAGGAGAAGTGACAAGCAAAGAGGGAAAAGCCGCTTATAAAGCCATCAGATATCTTGTGAGAACTCACTTACTATCATGAGAACAGCAGCATTGGGGTAACCGCCCCCATGATTCAATTACCTCCCACTGGGTCCCTCCCAGGACATGTGAAGATTATGGGAAGTATAATTCAAAATGAGATTTGGGCAGGGATATAGCCATACCATATCATTCTGCCCTGACCCCTCCCAAATCTCATGCCCTCACATTTCAAAACACAATCATGACTTCCCAACAGTTCCCCAATGTCTTATCCAGCATTAACCCAAAAGTCCAAGTCCAAAGTCTCATCTGAAACAAGGCAAGTCCCTTCTGCCTACAAGCCTGTAAAATCAAAAGCAAGCTAGTTACTTCCTAGATACAATGGAGGTGTAGCCATTGGGTATATACACGTGTTCAAAATGGAAGAAATTGGCCAAAACAAAATTACAGGCCCCATGCAAGTCCGAAATCCACTAGGGCAGCCAAATATCAATGCTCTGAAATGATCTCTTTTGACTCCATGTGTCACAAGTAGGTCATGCTGATGCAAGAGGTGGGCTCCCATGGCCTTGGGCAGCTCCACCCCTGTGGTTTGCAGGGTACAGCTCTGCTCCCAGCTGCCTTCATGGTCTGGCACTGAGTGTCTGCAGTTTTTCTAGGCAACTGGTGCAAGCTGTCAGTGGATCTACCATTCTGGGGTCTAGAGGACGATGGCCTTTTTCTCACAGCTCCACTAGGCAGCCTCATTGGGGAACTCTTTGTGGGGGGGCTCCTACCGCACATTTCCCTTCTGCATTGCCCTAGCAGAGGTTCTCAATGAGGGCTCAACCACTGCAGAAAACATGTGCCTGAACATCCATGCATTTCCACACATCCTCTGTAATCTAGGCCAATGTTCCCAAACCTCAATTCTTGACTTCTGTGAACCTTCAGGCCCAACACCACGTGGAAGCCACCAAGTCTTGGGGCTTGCACCCTCTGAAGCAACAGCCTGAGCTCTAAGTTGGCCCCTTTAAGCCACAGCTGAAACACAGGTCAGCAAGTCTTGAGACTGCACAAAGCAGCAAGGCCCTGGGTCCAGCCCAGGAAACCATTTTTTCTTCCTAGGCCTCTGGGCCTGTGATGGAGGGGCTGCTGTGAAGGCCTCTGACATACCCTGGAGACATTTTCCCCATTGTCTCAGCAATTAAAATTTGCCTCCTTGTTACTTATGCAAATTTCTGCAGGAGGCTTGAATTTCCCCTCAGAAAATTGGTTTTCCTTTTGTATTGCATTGTCAGGCTGCAAATTTTCTGAACTTTTATGCTCTCTTCCCTTTTAAACATAAGTGCCAATTCCAAACCATGTCTTTGTGACTACATAAAACTGAATGCTTTTAACAACACCCAAGTCACCTCTTGAATGCTTTGCTGCTTAGAAATTTCTTCCACCAGATACCCTAAATCATCTCTCTCAAGGTCAAAGTTCCACAGATCTCTAGGGCTGGGGCAAATGCCACCAGTCTCTTTGCTAAAACACAGCAAGAGTCACCCTTATTCCAATTCCCAACAAGTTCCTCATCTCCATCTGAGATCAGCTAAGCCTGGACTTCATTGTCCATATCACTATCAGCATGTTACTCAAAGCCATTCAACAAGTCTCTAGGAAGTTCCAAAGTTTCCCACATCTTCCTGTCTTCTGAGCCTTCCAAACTGTTCCAACCTCTGCCTGTTACCCAGTTCCAAAGTTTCTTCCACATTTTTCAGTGTCTTTACAGCAGTGCCCCACTCTACTGGTACCAATTTACTGTATTAGTCCATTCTCATATTGTTATAAAGAACTGCCCAAGACTGGGCAATTTATAAAGGAAAGGGGATTAATTGACTCATAGTTCCACATGGCTGGGAAGGCCTTGGGAAACTTATAATCCTGGTGGAAGGGGAAGAAAACATGTTCTTCTTCCCATGATGGCGGGAAGGAGAAGTGCCAAGCAAAGAGGGAAATGCCCCTTATAAAACTATCAGATCTCATGAGAATTCACTCACTATCATGAGAACAGCAGCATGAGGGTAACCACTCCTATGATTCAATTACCTCCCACCAGGTCCCTCCCATGAGACTTGGGGATTATGGGAACTGCAATTTAAGATGAGATTTGAGTGAGGACACAGCCAAACCATATCAGGCATGCACTACACATCAGTTTCCCTGTCAAAAAGCAGTTATTATTATTTTTTCTCCATGTTTTTTCATATATTCAGAAGAGTAGGGAAGAAGAAACAAAAAGCAAAGCATCCTTAATTAAAGCATTCAAGATGATAGCTGATCTTTCACTTGTGTTGACCAAATGGCTTATGCTTATTTCAATCACTGCCATCTATCAGTCTTAATTAGCATCTATCCAATAAAACACTTCACTTCTGAAATATATTAATTACTGTTTTATGTCTTTGGTTCCTATTATCCTAGCTGTACAACCACAACCATAAAAACATGGCATTTTCCAGCACAAAGGGATAGTATATGTTATGTATGATTTATGTAAGTTTCATTAACATTTAGAGGAGTGGTCTGGAATAAGCTGCTGTTCTCTGACTTTATGCCCTAAGGAGTTCTTCAGTTTTCGGCACTAGAATCAAGTCTTTCTTAGTGAGACAATGATGAAAAGCTTTCTGCTATGGGAATTTCAAAATCATTCATGTTATAAGTGGCAAATCCAAATAAAAAAAGAAGACTCTAGGTTTAGATGAAATACTCTGCTCTATACATTTTCTAACCACAGAAACCAGGGAACATTCCTTTTTGTAGTATTTGTGAGTAATGCAGGGAATTTAGAGTCATTTATTTCCCTGCTAGCATTTAAATGAATAATTTTAGATCATTTTAATAATCTGATAATGTGAAGTGCTGTAAATGGCAGAGTTTTCTGTTATATTTACTGATAATTGTTCACTTGGATTGTCAAGATCATAGTGTTAGAACCTCAGAAGTTTTGTTATTTAACTTTGTTTAGGACTATAAAAAAAATTCACTGAGACCATGAGAAAATTCTCTGGGATGGATGGATGGATGGATGGATAAAATAAAAGGGTAAATGGAAAACTTTCTAGAGAAAAAAAATTCACAGCACTTTGCAAGCTCTTTCTAGCAATGATACTATTATAGAACTGGGTTATGCACTTTACTTCTCTCATATTGTAGCTTAAATTTTTTTCTTGTTCCACTGTCAGTGAGATGAGAGAACAGATTACTGTTCTGTAAGAGTAGTGAAAGTGTCTGTATTTAAAAGTGGGCAGAAGTGAGTAATATTATGTTCAATGGTGTTGCAAACTAACCAGAATTGAATTACACTTATTAAAATATTCAGAAAAAAATTATTTCTGTTATTTACACATGGAATATAAGGCAAATTTCGGTTTCAAATGTACAAAATGTAAAGAAGTAAAAACAAATTGGAGAGGGCAGGTGGGAATATTTTAAAAGCTGTGCAAGTGGATTTAAAACTCTACTTAAGAGACTAGAGATAAATATTCTGTTTGCTCACAAGTTATAAAAGTAGCAAACCATGATGGTGCAGGCTTCTCCCATCAGTAAGAAAAGAGAAAAAAATTATGGGTTCCCAGAATCAAGAAGACATTAAAATTAAGTGTAGAATGAACTTTCTTTCTTCCTGAACAAAAATATGGAAAGCTAAGGATGATAATATTTACTGCAGGACTTTTAAGCTCTAAGTGCATAAAACAGAGGATTAAGTGAAAAACCAGGTTCATAAAATGCATTAGTGTTATTTTAAAAGAATGCCATAGCAAAAGTCATTATTTTATAAACTTTTCTTGCCATAAAACACACATCTAGTTATGTACTGGTTATAAAGTTATAATGAAGGTGAATAACTTCTAGGGATGATGGAAGGTAATTTTACTATATATTTTTGAATCACAGTTATATATATATATATATATATATATATATATATATATATTTGTTATCAGGAACAAAATTATACTCAGACATGCTTCTTTCACATTTTCCTTCCTTGTAAAACCTGGATCACTTGCTACTGCAATTAGTTGATGCCAATTTGAAATTCTTCTTGGAAACTATCATAACTGTGTAAGCACCTTTAATTTACTGCACAGAAAAACGGAAGCCATTTAAGTTTCACGAAAATTGAAAAGAAAGCAGTTCAGTCTCAGTAAATGTATGGTAATATGCTGAATACAATTTTTTTAAAGAAATGTTAATCTGAGATTCCATTATTTCATTTAATAGTACAGAAAGCTTATTAAGCTAAGAATAATTATACTAAATAGTAAACCACAGACATAAACTTTAGCAGTGCTATCTCGTTTAGCAGTGCTATCTCGACGATTACAATTTAATACCAGGAATGTATCATGTAATGAATGCATATTGAAGATAGTCCATGTAAGGCTTCATACTATCAATTACAAAACAAAAGTAGTCTCCCATTTCACTCCTATGTGGGAGGAGTTCTACATCCATCACATTTTCCACATTTACCATCTGTGATAAGTTCTAGCTCAATAAACTTGAAGTTCAATAAACTTGAAGCACAGAAAGTAAGCAACAAAGAACAAAAGAAAACAGCAAACTAAATTGTAAATTATCAAATATACAACATGCTTTACCAAAAAGAGGTGTTCAGAAAATATACTTTCTTTTTTTTTTTTTTTTTTTTTTTTTTTTTTTGAGACGGAGTCTCGCTCTGTCGCCCAGGCTGGAGTGCAGTGGCGGGATCTCGGCTCACTGCAAGCTCCGCCTCCCGGGTTCACGCCATTCTCCTGCCTCAGCCTCCCAAGTAGCTGGGACTACAGGCGCCCGCCACTACGCCCGGCTAATTTTTTTGTATTTTTAGTAGAGACGGGGTTTCACCGTTTTAGCCGGGATGGTCTCGATCTCCTGACCTCGTGATCCGCCCGCCTCGGCCTCCCAAAGTGCTGGGATTACAGGCGTGAGCCACCGCGCCCGGCCCAGAAAATATACTTTCTATTTGTTTAAGTGCAAGTAAAATCAGCATAAAATGTTGAACCTGACTCATAAGTAACTATAAAGCAATTGTTGGTAATATTGAGCTCAAATTGGGACTAGTAATTAGCAAAACAAACTATCAGAGAGGGAGTTATTTCCCTAGGAAGCATGGCTTCAGGCTCCCACTCCTGAAGTTCGGCCAACTAATCAACCTTCTATTCAACATATAGCCTGTGGCTCGCCTTTTGCCTCAGAGCATCTATTTTTGAAGAAAATCATATTGTAACAAACAAGTAATTCTGATTGAAAATGCAAGGCAGAGCTAGGAGGAAATTTGGTTTCTGCCTAACCAGCAAGCAGCTCTTGGTTTATATAGACTTTGCAATTTTAGGTCCTCAATATTTGCACAAAATTATGAATTTTTATAAATGTTTGAATCTCAAAAGGACCAACATGATCAAGCAAAAGACAGAACCATAAAAATATTCAGAGCCACAACTGATACAACCATGCTTTTGATTTCCAAAGGCTTAACAAGGAATAAAGAATATCGCCCTCCAATTCTGAAAATGCACTTAACACTCATATATAATTACTTATTCTCTATCTCCTTCGTATGTCTGCATTTCTCAAAAACAACAATAATTATAGCCATTATCTAAAAATCATATCATAAATTACACTTCAATTTTATAGCCTTCATTACAGAAACACAGTTAATAACACGAGGTTGGTTGGCACAGTATCCTCTTCATCCACATCCTATCATTTAAAAAAGTGGGAATAAAAAAATTTGAAACATTTGAATGAATTAAGTGAGAAATGTGACACAGAAATACCTGTGTGTTATCACTTCTAGATATGGAATTAGAAAAAAAGTAATATAATATGAGAGAACATGACACTTGGAAGAATAATACATTTATAATAAACAAATATGTCATAGACAGAAAGTGACAAGAGCATAAGAAATGTATTTTTTCAGCATAAAACAATTATAGGTGTGCCAGTAGTACCAATGTCCTATTGTAATATTTAAGGATACATGCACCATTAGCTCTGGACTAGCAGGGTTCCTTCACAACTGGTAGAGGCTCTCAAGTGTCTAGAAGTGCTCCTGTATCTTTACCTTCTACCACAGCATCTTGTAGGAATTTCTAAACTATTATCCCATGATTTCTTCACAGCTGATTAGAAACTCCAACAGAAGAGCAAATTGGAAACTCCAGCACAGAGGTGAATTTCCAATTTCCAACACAGTTCAGTATGGTCAATACACTAAACCTTCTCCAGCTTAGACTCATAATGTTAGAACCAGGTCATGTCTTTGAGGTGTAAAATAACCTCTATCAGCTCCATAGTAGTAAGTTCCATTAGTACAAAGGCTCTTGTGTTCATCTCTGTATCCTTAGTTGGCTACATCACATAGGAAACACTCAAAAAGACAACAGGATCTTAAAATACAGACTGTTTCTTCAATCTACATTCTTTTTTTTTTTCATTTAATTTCATCTCATGTCAATAGCTAGATCCATCCACATTGTCCTTTTTTAAGTGTGCATGCTTTTCCATGCCATGGTATATTATAGTGTGTTCAGCAAATCCCATGCTATCACATATCTCAATTGCTTCCAATCTTCCTCCCTCCCTTTCTCTCTTCCATTCTCCTCCCTTTCTCCCTTTCCTTCCTCTAATACAATCAATACTGTGATGAACATCCAAGTGTTTGATATTCCTTTTAACAAAATTACTACAAGTGGTCCTGATAGATTTCTGGCAAACAAAGTATGCTGATTTAAAATTCTGATCTATATTGCCAAATAGATGCCTCAAAAGATACAGCAATTTACATCAAAGTACTCACTAGCCTACACCTATGCAATGTGATATAGAAAGATAGAGTTTCATTTTCATTCAAATTTATATTCCTTTTCTCAATAGTGATGTTGAAATTCACATAATATGCTTATCGGAGATACGTATTTCTTCATTTTTGAGCTGTATTGACTCAGTTTTAGTGACATAACTCAATTTTTTCAAAAAACAATTTTAAACACATAGTAAATTGAATCATAAAACCTATAAGTATTACTAGCCTTTTAACATTGTTTGATTTCCCCATGCTTGCTTGTGGGTGGAGCAGTTAAATTTTCAACATGAGCACAAAGGATACGTTAGAAAATTCTACTTTAAAAATATTATTCAAGGCCGGGCACAGTGGCTCATGCCTGTAATCCCAGCACTTTGGGAGGTCGAGGCAGGTGGATCACTTGAGGTCAGGAGTTTGAGACCAGCCCGGCCAACATGGTGAAACCCCATCTGTCCTAAAAATACAAAAATTAGCCAGGTGTGGTGGCAGGTGCCTGTAATCCCAGCTACTTGGGTGGCTGAAGCAGAAGAATTGCTTGAACCTGGGAGGAGAAGCCTGCAGTGAGCCGAGATCACGCCACTGCACTCCAGCTTGGGCGAGAGTGAGACTTGATCTCAAAAAAAAAAAGTATATATATATGTATATATGTATATAAATGTATATATGTATATATGTGTATATATGTGTAGATGTGTATATATGTATGTGTATATATGTATATAAATGTATATATGTATATATGTGTATATATGTATATAAATGTATACATGTATATATGTGTATATATGTATATATATGTATATATGTATTTACATATTATTCAGCTAACTTAATAAACAGTTTTGAACATATACTATGCACAAGCCACGAGTATTTTGGGGGGAAAAATAATAAATCAGGCATAATTTCCTGGCATGCCTTTATGTTTTCCAGTTACCTTAAAAAATCATTAAACAATAAGTACAACACTTTACACAGTCAATAAATTTGTTATTAAAATAACAATTGTCAGTTAAACAAATATTAATTGAACACTTCGTCAAAACTATGATTGAATTAAACATTTATCATGCTCTTACGTAACTTGTAGTCTGGTACAGGAGGCAACAACAGGAAAGACATTAACTACAATTCAAGTGAAAAATTATTAAGTGAGTTAAAGATTACTTTGAGTTGGAAAGTTTCCATAGACAAAATGTATCTGACCAGAAGCTGATAGATACAAGCAATATATAGTGGTTTGCACAGTGAAAAAATAAAATAAAATGAAACAAAACTTATTTTCCCTATAACTTAATCCCAAGAATGGGGCTGATCAGTGGGAAAAAACAAGTCCCTCACCCACCAAACAAAACAAAGCAAAACAAAACAAAACAAAGATTTGTCTGATAATTTCTTAAGGCATTTGGGTATTTTATAAAATTTTGTATCTAAATATTCCCCTTTTCATACGAATATGTCTATATTTAACAGCATTAATAACATAACAGTCTATATTTAACAGACAGCTAGGACATTAATAATACATCAACAGAATAAATAAGTAGCAAAGGAAAGTTCTTAAACAGAAAGCAATAATGTGTAAAAGGTTTTGCTTTTAATAAATAAAGCCAGAATGATCAATGACAACATGACGTAAACCTCAAATATATTTCTTAGAAGATTCTCTCCACATCATTTGATCACAGCATCAGAAAGTCCTCAGAAGAGTGTTATATTTTTAAAAAGGACCAGATAGCTTCACAATTCCCAGGTAGTAAAATGGTTTTTTACTTCCCAATGAAGCAGAGGCGAGGCACATTAGAGGTGGGAGAATACAGCAGAGTTCACAGGGAGTGAATCATATTCATATGTATATACTCTAATGGCATAGTATTTGCTTTAATTTGCTTTAAATTTCAAAGGTGTTCAGGGATTTTCTTCTGTTCATACTGAAGATGACTGTGAAAGTCAGACAGATTAAAATTAAGCACAAATCCCAATTCCATTTAGAAGTTTGTGTTCTCAGAAATTCACTTTACCTCTCTGAGCTTCTCTGCCTAATCTATAGCTTTCAACAGGGAGATGAAATGAAATACCATACAAAACACCTAGCAGAGTGTCCAACATAAATGAAGCACCCAGTAATGGTAGTTATTATTATTTAGAAGTTTAAATATAAGTAAAGAAATCAACATTAAAATGGCTGGCTGGCAGAGTTTCTGTACTCTTTTATTATAGAGTTTACAGGAGATAATGTCAGTTGTAATTTATGCTATGAAATGGACTAATTTATGCACAGAAGAATAAATGTTAATAAGGCATGAGAAACCTGATGCCTTCTTAGGTATGTGGAATTTTTATCTGGGTAAAGATTGATTTTTATTGTCCTCATTTTAAGCTACCATAGGTCAGAAATATATCTGGAAGGCTATATCAAATCTCTTAATGTGTAACCTCTCGAAAAATGCATGCATGCAAAGAATGCATATATTATATTCAGGGCCATTTTTCGGCATACATATATCTCTATTTTTAAGCCCTTTCATTAACAAGTTTTAAAATAGAAAGCTTCTTTTAAAAGGTTTCTTTCTACAAATGATAATACTTGAATTGATGAACCTCTTCTGAAGTGCCAATCTAGCATAATTAGTTAACAGGACTTGCTGTTGTGTAATTTTTCATGCTAATGATTTGATTCAATATGAACACTAAATTTACGTGCATGTCAGCCATTAAAATAAGTCGACAGAATTATTAGCATTGGTTAGAAAGTAGGTTGACTAGAAAATATTTAAATATACTTTAGGAGAAAATATTAAATGCCCTTCTTTTTACCATTATAGAGAGAAAGTATTAGGTTGCATTTATATTTTAGAATTTGTTATTTGCCTTTTCTTTCCTGTAAATATGCTGTTTATCTTTCTACAAGCCCATTTTCAAGTAAAAGTGATGAAATATGCAGAAAAATGTAACGGTTTGGCAAATAAGATATACACAGATTTGACTTGTTTGCCCGTTTACAGATCAGATATTTCAGGTTTATAAATAGCTGTTGTAAAGGCTGGTTGCCACCAAAAATTAATGAAATTAAGAAGCAAACGCAAACTAGCCAAGTACTATTCATCAAATGCATTGAGTTTAAATTTCAAACTGTCTCAAAACTTTTGTAGTGCTAACAAACAGAGGTTATAACTTGGCTTATAGATCCCTCACTTTACTATAAAAATCAACCCCCCCCCACTCTTCTGCAACAAAACCCATACAGAGTAATTATATTTTTTACTTGTCCTTAACTATCACAAGGGCTTAGAATATGATGGAAGTGAAGTGATATTGTTTCATGATTCAAACACTAGAGAGCCTCATCTAACTGTACCAGATCATCAAAAAACTAGGGCATAAAAACTATTATGAGAATTCTATTCATTCTGAAATCTGAGCAACTACTTTCAGTGTTTGAAGAAGCTCCTGTCTGCTCATCTCAAATAAAGAGGATAACTATTTGAGAAACAGAGATTGACTATGTTTAGAACTGCTTTCAGGAACACAGTGGAAACCTGGATAAGTATATCTGCTGAGACAGTCATCTGTTTTTCCCCCCTCTGAGTTTTTCTAAAATATCTTGGTATAACTCAAATACCAAACTTTTGGCTTCAGCCTTCGATTATGAAGATTTCTACTGAGTACCCTGTGAGATAAGGTAATGCAAAGGCACAGTGAAGAATGTAGTGAAGGAAAACAGTTCTTGGAAAATTTCGGTAAGTTTAGGAAGACAGTATAATGGTACAAATGAACAGAATACAGGGCAGAATAGGACATGGCTTCCACCTGTCCCTTGCAAAATGCTAAGGAAGTACAGAGGAGGAAAAGAATCCTTGAGATAACGTGGATGTTGGGGGAAGTGATCCCAGATTGAGTATAAACTGGGGACTCAGTCAGGACTGCAAGTTGATCTATTTTGGTGAACCATTCTTTAAAATCAGGTCATTAGCTTTGCTCTTTGAATAATATCTTTTAATAGCAACTAACCATTCATTCAATGAGGGCAAAAACAAATCATTTCAAATAAGAATTAATATGTGTATGTTTAGTTGTTTAAAGTCCTAGCTTGCTGCAGTTTGGTGATGTATAAGGTGAAATTTAACCTACATATGCAAATGGATTTCACTGAATCCTAACTAAACATATAGGTCAATTTTGGCTGTACAAAGTCTTACAGTTATAAGTAAGTAAATTAATTTTTTTTTACATTACAAAGTAGTTTTCCTTATTTCAATTACTACGAATATCTAAAATACTTAAAGTAAAAAATAAACAATTCATTACAATCATTAACAATGACTACATCTTCTCTGGCAAACATCACAATACTAGGAGAGCACATTCTGTCCCAATACTTTCAAGTTTAACTGAATAAACATAGGCCTTTTAGTGTTCCTTAAACCCCAACAAAGTTGGGATACATCAATTTAATAGAAGAAGGAAGTCCCTAAGGCAAGGTAACTCTTTGATTTCTTTTTGGTTCTTTTCATCAAAGATCAAATCTAGAGAGTGTATGAAAATAGCTTCAGTTGACCATCAACATGGTTACAGCAACAAAAGAAACAAGAATACAACCTCAATAATGAGGATCCATATCCTGTGGGCATTTTAGATAAAAGAACCCCACCTTAACTGAAACCAAAATGCACAGAAAGCCATGGGAAAACCCACAAAGAAAATTAATGTAATTATTTCCATGTGATCAATATAACTGGTTGTATAACTTACTATCTTTAGTAATAAGCAGTAGCAATTTGCCTTTTACATATGAGTTTTATTTAACTGCCTTGAACTGTAAATGCATAAACATTGTCATTCCATATAAGTAGGTCTTGTCCTTTTGAGGAGCAGACATCATACCTTATTTATCCTCATGTTTCCAGAACCTAACTGAACAGATACTAGCACAGAATAAACACTCAGTCACTTTCTGCTGAATGGATAAAGTGAGAGAGGAAGTAAAAAACTATACTTATTGGTGATTAGAATGTTCTAGGCATCACCTTAGATTCTTTGCTTATGCCTTTTTAATTTAATTCTAGGCTGAGCACGGTGTCTCATGCTTATAATCCCAGCACTTTGGGAGGTTGGGCAGGTGGATCGCTTGAGTCCAGGAGTGTAAGACCGGCCTGGGCAACATGGTGAGACCCCATCTCTATAAAAAAATACAAAAATTAACCAGGCATGGTGGCATGCACCTGTGTTCTCAGCTAACTTGGGAGGCTGATGTGGGAGGATCACCTGAGCCTGGAGGTCAAGGCTTCAGTGAGCTGTAATCATGCTACTGCACTCCAGCCTGGGTGACAGAGTGAGACCTTGTCTCAAAAAAAAAAAAAAAAAAAATTAATTGTAAGTATCATCCTATGATAAATAATCATCTCCATTTTACAGATGAGATTTAAGCTCCAAGTGGTTAAGTAACTTGCCCAAGCTCACAGCAAGGAAGTGGCAAGGTCAATATTAACATTCTGGTCTAATTCCCAAACATTTGTGGATAGACACTGACACTGCAGGCATGTATGAAAAGGTGCTATCTCCATCTATTCTAAGCCAGCTAGAGGTATGTATGCATATCAGATTGCAAATTTGATCCGCAGAATTGAACACAGCAAAGAAATTACACCACAATCAGCTCCCAGTAGCCTCTAAAGATGAGTAATTTTTGAAAAGCATATAAAAGATACAAACTGGATTTTCTCCAGACAGGATACTACAGAGAACAGGAGAGGATATTTCCCAGCTCCAAAAATGCTTTCACAGAAAAATGTGTATTTGACTCATAGTGGCTTTGTAAAATATATGATTTCTCTTATTAATCATTGTAATGTTAATTCTGGAGAAAAATATAACAATCTTCTTCTTGTTACAGAATGGGATGAGGTCATGATAAATCAAATAGTTTAGAATAATGAAAGCACTTTTGCCATTAAAATAAACCAACATCAATGTATCTCAAAACAAGGCATACTACATCCAAACTAGAAAATCTAAACATTCCTCCCATCTTTACCACTGTTAACAATGCCATGTGTCTTCATTAGCTAAAGCTTAAAAAAAAATCTGTTAGACAAAATACAGGTAAACACAATATCATAATATGACTAATATATATTCAATTTCAGAATCTAATATTAAAGATTCAAAAAAGTTTAAATCTTTAATATTTCATATTTCCAAATTTTATCTGAGAGAGGCAAGTCAAATATCATGTCCCCATGATAGAAGTAATAGCTATAGTACTTAGATGCTGAAGACTTCTCTAACACATCCTTCAAGAGGCAAATAAGGACACAAAGTCAGTTGTCCTTTGTCCTGCTTCCTTTCACTTCTTTAGTTTCTTGCTTTGATATTTAGGGTTTGTTATCTGTTTAGCAATGTTATTATAAAAGTATTCTTTCTGAGAAGGTCAGCTTCATCTAAAAGAGCTTCAAAAATGACTTTTTTCCTGGAAATCACACCAATTAATGTGATGTCCTACAATGCTATTTTCAAAATCTGACAGTAGGGGTAAGATGCCATACTAATTTTCCAATTTTATCTCATTGACTGAACATTTAAAAACTGCTACAATAGTGCTTGATGCACTTCAGGAAATTTTCCAGAAGTAGTTCTTGAATGAAGAACACAATGTTCTTCCACCACCAGTCTTGGAGAATCAGTTGTCCTGAGGCATTAGCTCTAAAACTACATTTCTTTTTGCAGTTATGGATACTGCAGCTCCTTGTAGTAGGCAGAACTGTAAGATGACCTCCAAGATTCCTGGGTCCTCCTGTACATACACTTTCTCTCAGTTATTCAATAACACTGATCTAGGACCTGTTCTGAAGGGCTTTGACAGATGAAATTTAGGTCCCAAATAGTTGACCTTACAACAGGAGGTTATCCAATTGGGCTTGATATACACACACAAGCCCTGAGTTTTGTTTGGCTGGTCTCAGAAGAGGAAGTCAGAGAGACGTGCATCACCTGGCCTGAAAGAAAGCACACATCTATGAGGGCCACATGGGAACTGCCCATAGGGGCTTGACAGTGGTCTCCGGCCAACAGCTACAAGGAAAATGGGGACCTCAGTTCTATGGATGCAAGGAAATGAATTCTCCCAACAACCAGAGAGCTTGGAAAAGTACTCTGAGCCCAGATGAGAACCACGGCCCAGCTGACATCTCAATTTCAGCGTAGTGAGACCCTGAACAGAACATCCAGTCATGCTGTGCCCAGTCTCCTGCCCTACAAAAAACTGTGAGATAATTAATTTGCAGTATTTTAAGCTGCTACATTTGTAGTAATTTGTTACACACAGCAATAGAACATACGCCTCTTTAGTTTTACAGTGTACCCCATGCTTGCTGAGTCATACCATATCCAAACAATGTAGTTACTATATATGTTGCCTATATATATCATCAATACTATATATAGTCACTCCGTGAGGGAATGTTAAAAAAAAAACTTCACCACGATCTATGCCAGTTTACTGAGAAGCTGAGGCGAAAAGGCACAGATATAGGAAACGGTTCTTTGAAAACCCAAGTTACAATCTGAGTCATCAGATGATTTTGAACAAAGAGATGATATAATTTGGGAAGCTGATCTTAGCAGGAACTGCAGGATGGTCAGGAGAGAGGAAATTCAGAGAACAGGAAGACCAGGTAGTAGGCAATAAATCAGGAGAGAAGAAAAGAGGCTTCTGATGAGCAGTGGAAATAAAAAGAAGAAATTAGTCATGTCACATTTGAAGGAAAACTCCATAAAATTATGCTCCTTCATTACATAGTGACAGGCATACTTTGTCTTATTAGGCTTTGCTTTATTGTGCTTCACAAATACTGCATTTTTAACAAAATGTCAGTTTGTGGCAACCCTGCATCCTGCAAGTCTAAAGGAGCCATTTTCCCAACAGCACGTGCTCACTTCATGTCACAGTGTCACATTTTGGTAATTCTCACAATATTCCGAACTTTTTCATTATTACTATAGTATCTTTTATGGTGATGTGTGATCTGTGATCTTTGATGTTACTATTGTAATTGTTTCAGTGTGCTACGAACCACACTCATAAGGTAGCGTACTTAATAAGTGCTGCGTGTGTTCTGACTGCTCCACTGACCAGCCATTCCCTCATCTCTCTCCCTCTCCAAGGGTCTCCCTAATCCCTGAGATATGACAATATTGAACTTAGGCCAACTAATATCCCTACAGTAGCCTTTAAGTGTTCAAGTGAAAGGAAGAGCTGTCTCACTTTAAAGGAAAAAACAGAAATGATTAAGCTTAGTGAGGAAAGCACACCAAAAACTGAGACAGGCCGAAAGCTAGGCCTCTTGAGCTCAACAGTGAATTGTGAATGCAAAGGCAAAGTTCTTGAAAGAAATTAAAAGTGCTAGTCACGTGAATATACAAATGATAAAATAGCAAAATTACCTCATTGCTAATATGAAGAAAGTTTTAATGGTCGGGATTGAAGTTCAAACCAGCCACAATATTCCCTTAAGCCAAAGTCTAACCCAAAGCAAGGCCCTAATTCTCTTCAATTCCATGAAGTCTGAGAGAGGTGAGGAAGCTGCAGAAGAAAAATCTTAATCTAGCAGAGGTTGGTTCATGAGGTTGAAGGAAAGAAGCCATCTCCATATAAAAGTATAAGGTTAAGAAGCAAGTGCTGAAGGAGAAACTCCAAGTTATCCCGAAGCTGTAGGAAAGGTGATTGATGAAGATAGCTGCAATAAACAATAGATTTTCAATGGAGATAAGACAGTTTTCTACTGGTAAAAGGTGCCATCTAGGGCTATCATAGCTAGAGAAGAAAATTCAATGCCTGGACTCAAAGCTTCAAAGGACAGGCTGAGTCTCTTTTTAAGGGCTAATACAGCTGCTGACTTGAAATTCAAGCCAGTGCTCATTTATCATTCTAAAATACCTGGAGCCCTTAAGATTTATGCTAAATGTACTCTGCCTGTTTTCTGTAATGGGACAGCAAAGCCTGGATGACAGCACATCTGTTACAGCATGGTTTACTGAATATTTGAAGCCCATTGTTGAGACCTACTTCTCAGAAAAAAAAAAAGATTCCTTTCAAAAGATCACTGCTCATTGACAATGCACCTGGTTACCCCAGAGCTCTGATGGATATGTACAAAGAGATCAGTGTTTTTTTTCATTCCTGCAAAGACAGTATTTATCCTGCAGCCTGTGGACCCCAGGAGTAATTAGGACTTTTCAAGTCTTATTATTCAAGAAATACATTTTATAAGGCTGAAGCGGCCATAGATAGTGACTGCTCTGATGGATCTGGGCAAAGTCAATTGAAAACCTTCAAAAAAGGATTCACCACTCTAGATGGCATTAAGAACATTCGTAATTCGTGGGAGGAGGTTAAAATATTAACACTAACAGGAGTTTGTAAGAAGTTGATTCCAATCCTCAAGAATGACTTTGAGGATTTTAAGACTTCACGTGGAGTAAGTAACTATAGATTTGGTGGAAATAGCAAGATAACTAGAATTACAAGTTGAGCCTGAAGATGTAACTGATTGCTGTAATCTCATGATAACATTTGAACCAATAAGGAGTTGCTTCTTATGGATGAGCAAAAAAAGTGGTTTCTAAGAAGAAATCTAGTCCTAGTAAATATGCTGTGAATGTTGTTGAAATGAACAAAGGATTAAGAATATTACATCAACGTAGTTGACAAAGAAGAGGTAGGGTTTGAGAGGGTTGACTCCAATTTTGAATGAAGTTCTACTGTGGGTAAAATGTTATTGAATAGCATTGCATACTACAGGAAATCTTTCACGAAAAGAAGAGTCAATTGATGCATCAGACTTCACTGTTGTCTTATTTCAAGAAACTGCCACAGCCACCCTCACCTTCAGCAGACACCACCCTGATCAGTCAGCAGCCATCAACATCAAGGCAAAATCCTCCACCAGACAAATGACTATGACTCCTTAGAGGCTTAGATAATCAATAAACATTTTTAGCAATAAGGTATTTTTAAATTAAGATATGCACACTCTTTCTTAAGACATAATGCTATTGTATACTTAGTACACTACAGTATAATGTAAACATAACTTTTATATGCACTGAGAAGCCAAAATATTCATGGGATTTGTTTTCTTTTGATACTCATTTTATTGCAGTGGTGTGGAACCAAGCCCACAGTTATCTCCAAGGTATGCCTGTGTGATATAAATAAGACTACCGGCCAGGTGAGGTGGCTCACGCCTGTAATCCCAGCCCTTTGGGAGGCCAAAGCGGGTGGATCATGAGGTCAAGAGATCGAGACCATCCTGGCCAACATGGTGAAACCCCCCAAAAAATTAGCTGGGCGTGGTGATGTACGCCTGTAGTCCCAGCTACTCAAAAGGCTGAGGCAGGAGAATTACTTGAATCCAGGAGGTGGAGGTTGCAGTGAGCTGAGATCGCACCACTGCACTCCAGCCTCGCAACAGAGTGAGATTCCGTCAAAAACAAAAACCAAAAAACAAAAAAAACAAACCAGACATTTTTCAAAGAGCTTCTCTAGAATCTTTTAGAGACCACATTTTCCCTTCTCACTCAAGATAATATTGGAGAATTCATACTAAAAGGCAGAAAACAGATATATAAGGATAAAATAGACACTTGGATAATTTAGAGTTAAAATAATCAGCTCATATAAACAGTGACATTATAAATGAGGTTATGTATTAATATAGTTCAATACTTTCAAAACGTTCTCATAAAAAGTATGTAACATTTTAGCAGGCTGCAGTTACTTCTATTTTAAAAAAATTTTGTCTAATAAGTAGTATAGCTCTTATGACTTTTAAACTCCCACTCCATTATAATAACACCTTTTTGTCTACTGAAAAATAATCTATATGACTTAATTTGGCCTTCTCATCCTCCACATCCTGCCCCCATTCTTATGCAAAATGGAATACATACCTGATCTCAAGTGAATTACATGGTATATACACTTTCACTTAGAAACATACACTATATGAGACACCAATAAAATGTCAGCTTGCTTTATCACTGCATATGGGAACATATTGTCTTATTTCATTTTTGTGTAGCCACATTGTCCAGTTACTCCCATTATACCAAACCAAAACAAAGACTGGGACTGAATCCCAATCTTAAAAAACAACAAGCTTTTAAGGAAAAATAGTGTTGTTACTGTTTTCTTTTTTTACTCTGCTTTGCAGAAAAAAACCACAGAATTTTTCGTGCAGTATGAAATCTTTCCCAGTTAAAAATTTTATAGCATACCATTGTCTGGCAGAATTTGGTTCAGCAATCACATATTTCTTGGTTTACTAATAAAGAGTTGGATTTTTAAACATTAATTAAAGAGTGTACATTTTGTTTTCATTTATTTGTATCAAAAGATCATGAATTATAATGCTCTGAGGCCACATTATGTTTGAATTTCAAAGCAAAGAGTGGCTTTTGGCAGGATGAAAAAAATGCACACATGACATTTTGTAGAGCATGGTAAATATTATTAGAAATATACTTTATTGGTCCCTATTAGCATGAATTTGGCTTTTTAAAAGAGCTCCTTTAAAATTAAGGCTTTCTGAAAGACATTCAAATCATTTTTATAAAGATATTTAAAGAACAGGTAAATAATATCTTACCATTTTTAAACGGTAAAATTGCAATATTCAAATATGGGTTTCTCAATCCATCTTAAACTTAATACTTTTAACATGCCAATTTTTATGCCATACATAAAAATGTATTGTGTTGTTTGTTTCCATTAAAAGTTACTGATCCTCAATGTCTCTTTTTTAGCTAAATGTAAGAGTAGAAGAAAACACAAATGAAATAATGTTTGTGGTATCTGGCTGATGGTTATCTCTACATTTTATTCCATTTTGTTTTACAATTGTATTTTTATAATAGATATCAGTGCAAGGCACACACAAGGGTTCTGTCAAACAAACTTTTTATCTTACCAAGACAAGGAAGTTTTACTAGGGCAAGACCAAGTTTTACAAGGAATTCTTAAATGTCTGAATTCTCATAAAATCCAGAAATGGTAGTAAGCAAGAAAGTAAAACCGTGAAATAACTCTTTGCATTCCAATTTTTCTTTAATGTGAGGATATTTTAAAATACCTTTATTATAAGGGGATAAAGATATATAGTTAATTATGCCATTATATGTATTAAAGTTCTTTGAAAATTATAATCCACACCTTAAAATCCATACACAATCTACTATATACACACATATGCATGTAATACATGTAATTTTGCATGCTTGCAAAAATAACTTTTTCTTAATAGGGCTAATGAATAATGTTCTAATAATTTGGAATTCTATATTATAAATTCATAATTACACTAGAAGCAGCTATAAACTTAGTACAATAACCAATACATTTCGATCTTTTATATTGTGTCTCAGTAATCGTCTACCTTTCTGCTGTCATTCCTTTTGTCTGTTATTGTTATTGCTAACATTCACAGGTGTATCAGCCCAAAGAATTCGATTGTCTTAGACCACAGAATTCATCTCTTGAAATTTGAAACAGTGATTATCTTCTTAAGAATCTTACCTTTAAGTTAATATCAAGGACTAGAAAAATGTTTTCCCAGAATTTTGGAGGCTGGTTTATTATTTTATAAATTTGAAAGCGATCACTCCTTTATTCAGATTAAATCCAGGAGAGATGACAGCTCTTTGAATACACAACTCAAAAGATTCTCTGCATTTATAATATTCTATTTCTACAATTATCGAAACACACGGGATGAAGGACCAAACAACATCAACAACAAAATACTGGGAGGGACATATATTCTGAATTGTGATTTTTCAGAAAATTCTTCAATTTTGTACTCAGGATGTCAGTTTATGGTAACAATTCTCTACTCCCCTTCTGAGGTGCTAACTGGGAGACAAACAAAGGAGACATCTAAACCCTTTACCTTGTAATAATTAGACTTTGTTAAAGACGATTCCAATTTCCCTCTTTTGTAGCTTTGTTATTCACTATTACGTTTGAGGAGACCTTTGTCTTTGTCTTTTCCTCTTTCAGAATATCACAGGTAGCTGATGTTGCCAGATAAAACTCCAAATAAGGGAGTTTTTGCATTTATTTACATGGGATTTAAATTCCAAGATATTCCAATGGAAAGAGAAGTGGCAATATGTACAGGGTGTTAGCGCATTAGATCATTACCCATTCCATCCTGAAGTGTAATTGGCTTGCTTTTTTGTCTTTTTAGCTTTGGCTTAAACCTGAGAGTCTTCCCATCAGTGCTACCAGAAGGAATCATGGTAAACTTAGTGGAGTGTGCTGGCGTATGCCTGTAGTCCCCACTACTCAGGAGGTCGAAGAGAAGAGGGAGGATTGTTTGAGATTACTTAAGCCCAGGATTTCCAGGATGCAGTGAGCCATGAGCGAGACCTGGTAGAAAAGAAAGGAAAGAAAGGAAAGAAAGAAAGGAAGAAAGAAAGAAGAAAGAAAGAAAGGAAGAATGAAAGAAAGAAAGAGAGAGAGAGAAAGCAAGCAAGCAAGCAAGCCTGATACTGCTGCCCACCCTCAACCGCCTGTTGCTGAGAACCTGTTAGCAACAAGGCCACTGGAATCATTACACAATGATAAGTATCTAGATAATAAGTTAACCAAACCAATGACAGGTTCAGATTCATTCAATCTGTATTTGAATGAATCCAAATACAAACGAGTTAATATAAATTTTTATGATAAATGAAATTTGTGGAAAGCAAATATCCTAGGGATATGGCTTTTCTTTTTGTAATAACATTTTCATAAATGAAATATACCCAGGAGGACTTGATGATTATGAAAGGTTAAGGGTCTTTTAATTTCAAACTAACTCTCACTTGGCTTCTAATACATGTTTAAAATTTTGAAAAGAAAAAAAATCTATTGAGATGAGAAACAAAAAATCCAGAGGGGTGACGTTTGGTTAGTCAGGAAATACTTCAAAGAGTATGGGTCTTAGAAAATACTGACCTTAGGCAGAATCAGAGGGGTGACAGTGCTCTTGGTTGGAAGCTTTGCTAAACAAGGACTCAGAGGTAAGAATGTTCAGGAAATGTGTTTGGCGTGTGTCCAGGCAACAACTAGATATGTTTTCAGGAGTTAATTAGAGAGGCAGATAATTTTGCAGGAACAGACAGGGTTCCAGTGTTAGAATATCTAAACATTTTGTCAGAAATAGGGAGCCACCAAAAGTTACTGAATACAACAATTGTCAATTGTTATTTATTGGGTGCCAAGCACTGTGTGTGTGTGTGTGTGTGTGTGCGTGCGTGTGCGTGTTCGTGTGTGTGTGTATGGGTTTAATTCAATCGACAAAAATAACTCTATGGGGTGGGTGCTATTGTCATTCTAGTTTATAGATGAGGAAACTGAGGGACAGATAATTAAATGACCCAAAGTCACATGATCAGTTAGTGGCAAAAGTATGAATGGACTCTACGTTTCTCTGAAAAGTAAGTGAACAAAACAGTATTGTTAGTAGGATAATGAGACAAAGTGTTTTTTGTTTCTGTTTGAGACAGAGTCTCACTCTGTCACCCAGGCTGGAGTGCAGTGGCAAGATCTCGGCTCACTGCAACCACCACCTCCCAGGTCCAAGCAATTTTCATGCCTCAGCCTCCCGAGTAGCTGAGACTACAGTAGTGTGCCACCACACCCAGCTAATTTTTGTATTTTATTGTAGAGATGGGGTTTCACCATCTTGGCCAGGCTGGTTTTGAACACTTGACCTCAAGTGATCTGTTCACCTTGGTCTCCCAAAGTGCTGGGATTACAGGTGTGAGCCACCTTGCCTGGCCCAGACAAAGGGATTTTTGATTAATAGGAGGGGTAAGATACTTTTTTAAAAGACTGGTCAAGTCTGTAAGTTCTTCTTGAAGCGCATTAGGCCTGGCTTCTAGCCTGCACCTGAATATCCACCCCCTGGACTATTAGCAAGAGTCTGCTAGTGAAAACATTTTGTGATCCATCTTTGAACTTACAGGTTTTTAGCCTATCACCATAATAAGCCACTAGCTTTTAACTTCCATGAATTATTTCCAGTTTTAAAGACTAGAATCTACTGTATGTCACATGGCATATAGCCTTTAAAACATATTGCTAGCATTAATATACTATTCTATCCTGTTTCTATTCTATGAAGCATTTATTTATTTGAGACACAGTTTGGCTCCTGTTGCCCAGGCTGAGGTGCAATGATCTTGGCTCACTGCGACTTCTGCCTCCCGGATTCAAGTGTTTCTCCTGCCTCAGCCTCCCAAGTGGCTAGGATTACACATGTGCGCCATGACGCCCAGCTAATTTTGTATTTTTAGTAGAGATGGTGTTTCTCCATGTTGGTCAGGCTGGTCCCGAACTCCTGACCTCAAGTGATCCACCCGCCTCAGCCTCCCAAAGTGCTAGGATTACAGACGTGAGCCACCACGCCCCGCCTATAAAGCATTTTTTAAAAGGTACATCCAACATGCATTACTATCATCAATTTATATTGTTAGAAACCATACTGGCATGGATATTATAATAATTTGACTTAAAGATTTGCAATTTTATGTTAGTTTTTATGTAATCTACATATAATTTTAAAAGATATGCTATAAATGTAAATGTAATAGGGAGGTAATTAAATATTTAAATAGATGCGTACATTAGTTTTCATAGAGGGCTATAGCATGGAATTATTTTATTTTACTGGAAAGAAAACACTGATTTATAAAGGAAACTCTAAATTCCATAAAAAATATATTCCACATATCTTTCACAAGGTTCTGTCACAACTCTGAAAAAAATATATTCGATCATTTCATTAACAAAACTTGAACTCCTGCTGGGACATCTCATTCTGAAGCCCTAGATTTAACAATGGGACTGTGAACTCCAGTGTCCATGGCAACAGTAGCTAATTCTTCTTTCCAATCATGGTGGCAATTTTCTCCCATGGCTTGAATCAGTTACAAAACAAAATACTCTCAAAGACCTTTCTGAGCCAATAGCCTTGCAGCTAATCTGCTAATAGGAAATAATCTGCAGCTAATACACACATTCCAGGGCAGCGGTGTGTTTTCTTAATACTTTGTTTCGTGGGCCTCTTTCCAAAGAAAGCACAGTAAAGAATAGAAAACAGGCATTCATTAAAAATAGTATTATACTACCTGGCCACTATTAATGCCTGAAACTTGCTGCAACTTGCATGGCTCTTAAAGCGTTTGTTAAAAAGCAAGTCGAGAGGAGGCAATGTAGCAACAAAAAGAACGAAAGCAAATTGCTTACGCCAAGAGGGTAGGAGCTAAGAGAAAGAATATTTAAAACAATTGATTTTAGCAAGACTTCAAAGTTGACAAATTTATTTTTCTTCAGTCATTATTATTTGTAGAATTAGTTATTGGATGCGCTCCAGCAACGAAAGTCTCAACTTACTTGTAAGCCTATTTTTTTCTCTCTTTCTCTCTCATGGAATAATAGAAATGGTTTAGCCTTGAAATTAGTTTTTCACCTCAAGGGTCACATTTTAACCTCTTGATGAATTATAATGACCTAAATCATTCTAATTAAAGAGAAAAAACAATATTACCCCAATTCTGATACAGTTCGATGAATCGGCTCCCAAAGCTTAATACTGCTTTTCCTTCAAAGTAAGATTAGGATGTTTTTCGCTTGAAAGAAAAGCTATGAATCATCATTAAGAAAGGTGAAATACCTTTTCATCCCACTCGGAGTGGAACTTCCTCCCTGCTCAGAGTTGGCATGTTTTGACACAGCAGTGTATCTGATGTGCTCCTGACCCTGAATTTTACCTGGCTCAAAGAGAATGGGATGACTTAAACTTTGATGCTTCAACTCTTCATTTGGGAAGAAGTAAAGATTTCCATCATTCCCTCTAGCCATGCAGAGGATGTACCATGGCTACTTTTAAAAAAATAGCAGTGTGACACATTTTGCAAAAAGGAAGCAAAATAAACAGAAGTAGCGGTAGAACAAAATCTTTAAAGCTAAAGGAATCACAAGGTATCTCTTCATCCTCTTTAAATTCGTTTTATAATTCTGGTTACTATGACAACATGATGCAACTCTGTATTACCATGACAATCTGACACAACTTTCAAAAAACAGTAAGCACTGTTTCATTCTGTTGTTCAATTGCTCCCAAGGAAACATGCTGTTATTTACTTCTGTGCTGAAACCTGTACTATAGTCTGATAGATCTTATGTCAGAAAAGGAGAAGCCAAATTATGGCAGAAAGGAGGAAAAAAATATATATATATATATTTAAATTATATATAAATTTATATCATATATAAATTAGCCACTCACTGCATCAGAATCCTTTTTCCTATTCCTATTCCTAAAGAATTTGACATTGGAATGTTTTCCATTTGAAGACTGAAAACTACTTATTTACACTAGAGGGTGACTGCACATGAAAATAGGATTAGTTTACCTTTCTAGGTACTAAATATCTTTTGCTATCATCTGTTAAAAAAAAAAATGAAATCAAAGTCTTTACAAGCCCAGTCTTTTGCAGAACTAAAAGGCCATAGGAAAACACATGGAATTAACCAGAGGATCAGGTTACACACAAGTGATAGATTTTAATGAGCTTATCATACTGTTCAAACAAAATTCTACTGTTCAAATGAAATTCTACACAATCCAAATTTTTAGTTCAATTGAGCAGGGTGATGCTTGAATTATTAGACATCTTCAAAAAGGGTGTATCTGGAGTCCCTTAGTCTTCTTCCTGGATGATCATTTCCAATTGTCACTTTATATTAAAGCGAATGATTTGAGTCCTCGTTCTACCACTAGAACCCCCTCAATTCCCCCTCTGCTTCTCATGGCTCAAAAAATAAACGTGTAGCTACACTTAGTTGAGCAACTAACTACAACATGTCAAATCCTGTGCTGTTTCTAAAAATCCATTACATCCAATCCTTAAAATAATTATGCAATAATAGGTGTTATTTATCCCAGGTTGAAAACAAAATTATAATTTACAAAGCCTAAGAAACTATCAATAGAACCCGGTACTAATTGGCAGAAACACAATTTGAACCCATCTCTTTGGTCTCCAAAGTCTAAGCTCTTTTCAACCAATGGGTTGTCTTTCAAAATAAAGACCATTGTGTTATGGAAATAAGCAATGTACTCTTTAACTGTAACAATCAATTGTTAAATACAGAAAAGAAGAGCCTACATCTGGATAAGGTTTCCTTTGCAAACAGGTAACTGTTTAACTATATCAATATAAAAAGACAGAAAAATAAATCATTCTAGGCAGAAAGAAGGCATATGTGATGAATATCCTATAACGAGTTTGTCTATTTAAAAAAGATGCAAGTACTTTGTTTTTTCATTCTGAAACATAAAGGCTATCATTTATTATAAAGTGCCAGGGGAGAAAAAAATTAGTAAATTAAACTAATTTACTGGTTATTTCAATTCTTATGAAAAATGTAAGGTAGTGTGAATTTCTAAATGTTATGAAGAAAGGATAATGCCAATTTCACAACCACAACAACAAAAAACTCACTGAATTCTGACTTTTTCAAAATAACTAGTAGTCTATACCGTGAAGTCCTGATTAATATTTATTACAACAGTTAGCAGTTTTCTACATTTGTATCTCCATTTTAGAAAAAGTTTTAATATACATTTATGTGTATATTTAAAACTATTTTTACTCTTATACACACATCCTACCCCAAGTTTTGCAGCTTAAAGTTATGATGCTAAAAATTACCAAATTTAAAACTCAAATGTACCTTTTATTTCAAGTAATGTTTTCATATGTCCAAAGTAAGAGGAAAAACTAATACCAGAAAATGAAGGTTAAAAAATATGGGAATCAAATATGTTCACTTTGCTCATGGGACTATTCCTCTGAGTGAACACAGTACCTTTACACAGTTCTCATATGTGCCTTAGGACAGCGGTCCCCACTCTGTTTGGCACCAGGGACAGGTTTTGTGGAAGACAATTTTTCCACAGATGAGGGGTATGGTTTGGGGATGAAACTGTTCCTCCTCAGATCATCAGGCATTAGTTAGATTCTAATAAGGAGCGTGCAACCTAGATCCTTTTCATGCGAAGTTCACAATAGGGTTTACTCTCCTATGCGAATCTAAGGCAGTTGCTGATCTGATAGGAGGCGGAGCTCGGGCCATCATGCTCCCTCAACAGCCTCTCACCTGCTGTGTGGCCCAGTTCCTAACAGGCCACAGACTGGTACGGGTCCATGGCTTGGGGGTTTGGGACCCCAGCCTTGGGAAACATCTATTTCCTCCACTCCCTTATCATATTTGGGGCTTATATCAAGTCCAGAAATGGGCTCCAGGTGCTCAAGTTCTAATTCTTCTGAAAAACAGGAAATTACACAAAAGAAAAATAGAGACATGATTGAAAGTGGAAAGGGATAATTCTACCAGTTTTGTTTAGGGAACATCCTTGTGATCTGAGTAGCTTTTCTGATTCATGCTGCTCAGTTTCAAAGGGCAGACCCTCTACTTGCCCAATTTTTGACATTATATATGACACAAAAATAGCAGAGATTAAAATTATGTTACATCAATAAGCCTTTGTAAAGGGCATTGTTCATATGCCTGGGTTTTGATTGTGGGCATATACCAATCAGGTGCATTCTTGTGATATTAAAATTTCTGGTTTTGAAGTCCTCAGCAGATTAGAGGCATCCAAAAAGGAGAGGAGTAGGTAAGGTCATTTAACAACATCAGGAATGGAGAAATATTAGTCAAATGACGAGGAAGATTAGAAAACTGTAAGAGGCCAACAAAAGAACTCGAAAAACAATGGACAGGTGTAATATAGGCAGAACAATGGGCACTACTGCCTTACCATACCAATAAAGTTACAAAAGAAATTATAGGCTGGGTGTGGTGGCTCACGCCTGTCATCCCAGCACTTTGGGAGGCCAAGCTGGTGGATCACTTGAGCCCAGGAGTTTGAGACCAGCTGGGCAAACATGACAAAACCCCCATCTCTACAAAAAACACAAAAAATTAGCCGGGCAAAGTGGTGTGCACCTGTAGTTCCAGCTACTGGGAGGCTGAGGTGGGAGCATCGCCTGAGCCTCTAAAGTCTATGCTGCAGTGAGCTGAGATCATGCCACTGCACTCCAGCCTGGGCAACAAAGAGAGAGCCCGTCTCTCTCTCTCTCTCTCTCTCTCTCTCTCTCTCTCTCTCTCTATATATATATATATATATATATATATATATATATAGTTGATTCAGTGGCTTCAACTATAGGAATATTTCCAACAAAAACACACAAGTTTGTTGTTGTCATTTTCAGTTTTAATCTTGGAGAGTAACTTCAGAATTTGTAAAATTTACTTATATGGAAACTAATAAGCCAGAAAAACGATGTAATGTAGTAGAAGCCATGCATATATATTTGAATCCTGTAGCTACAAAATTTAATGTATTTGAAAGAAAAAGTTAGTGTCACACAAAGTAAAGAAAAACAAACTTTGCCTGAAAACACTAAAGGAACTTCATCCTGCATATTTCTTTGAAGAAATGCCCTGGTTGATGGAAACATGATGTGTTATAAATACACTTTTGTCATTAAAAGAAAACAAATATAACCCCAGACAGAAGTGAGTTAATCCGGGTTGTTAACTGAAGTTGTAATAATGTAACCTGTTTCTATCACAGGGCAGCTACCTCCTGGGAGGTATGGTAGACTTCAGAATAGACTTCCTAAAATGGAAAGGTTCATTGATCCTTTTAATCTGCTTATTAAATCTTTTGGAAAATGAAGTACTTTTAAATAAAAAAATACAAAATTTCTCAGAAATCAGATACTATTTTTGGCATTTAACAATATTTTTATGTCTCAAGCAGAACTTATAACTATTATCTCCATTTTTATTTATTAAAAGAGTATACTAAAGAGCAGATGAAGAGCTACTTTCCAACAATGATTATGTAGGTTCAGAGGGCATAGACGTCTTGGTTATTTCCTAAACTGCTTGTTAAAATTATTCTTGTCTGCTTATAAAGTATTTTATGATTCTTGAGCAAAAATTCCCAGAAAGTGTAATGTGTTACATTAATGATATATGCACATTATGGATGAATCAAAATATTGTGCTTCTTTAGAAAATAAAACAATTTTTCGTTGTTTTCATAATGCTACATAAAAATAATACTGCCAGTGGCCAATATCCTTCTTGTGTGTCTTTACTGGGCTCCTCTTTCCTTCCTTTCTCTTTCTCATGAACATCCTACCATCGAGAGGGCCCTTGCTGTAGCTGGTGAAGACAAAATCTTCTTTTTAAAAAGCTAATAAAGATTTTCAAATTGGGATCTTTTACAGATCAGATTTTACCTCTAAACAACAAGAAAAACAGTTTAAATCAACAAGAACATTAGAGCCCTAATCAGAACCACAAGCTAGGGATTGACTCCTGAAACTCGCAGATGTCTCTAGTAATGGAATTGGTCTGTCTAATGTGTTTCCATTCTATTTCCTTGGTGCAGAAGAAATGCTGCTTTAGTGTTCTTGTAGGTTTAAAAAATTAATAAACAGAGATTAAGAGGAATTACTGGATTTGTTTGCTGTGTCTAAGCAATATATCTAATTAGACAGTACAACTAAAGGAATATGGGGAGCTAGGATACAATGTGAATTGATTTGTAGTACTAGGTTAAGGCATGATGACATCTGGAAAAGTGCTAAATTTCTTTCTTTCTTTCTTTCTTTCTTTCTTTCTTTCTTTCTTTCTTTCTTTTCTTTTCTTTTCTTTTCTTTTCTTTTCTAGTATTATTTCTGAAGAGTGGTCAGCTAACTTTTCTTTTCTTTCCTTTTTTCCAAGACGCGATCTCGCTCTATCACCTAGGCTGTTGTGCAGTGGCATGATCTCAACTCACTGGAACCTTTGCCTCCCAGGTTTAAGCAATCCTCCTGCCTCAGCCTCCCAAGTAGCTGGGATTATAGGCACGCAGCACCACGCCCGGCCAATTTTTGTAATTTTAGTAGAGATGGGGTTTCACCACGTTGGCCAGGCTGGTCTCGAACTCCTGACCTTGTGATCTACCCGCCTTGGCCTCCCAAAGTGCTGGGATTACAGGTGTGAGGCACCGTGCCCGGCCTATTTCTTAAGTTACTTAAAAAGTTCAGGGTCATTCGTATGTCGTTACAAAACAGTCAGTGTAAGATTTTGTCTAGATTTGTCTCAGCTGTCCACCTCTATTATTACAAAAGCAACCAAATGTTCAGCATATTATAATCCATCCTTACTGAATTCTGTAAAAATCTTCACCCTGAACAACTGTACCTTCAGAAAATTTCTAAAGACATAGAAACAATATTTTTAAACATTGTTGCCAGTTTATCACTTGATGTGTGAAGAACATGGAATAGGTTTTCAGTCACCCAGGCTGGAGTACTGTGCTGTGATCTCAGCTCACTGCAAGCTCCGCCTCCCGGGTTCACGCCATTCTCTTGCCTCAGCCTCCCGAGTAGCTGGGACTACAGGCGCCTGCCACCATGCCTGGCTAATTTTTTTGTGTGTGTTTTTAGTAGAGACAGGGTTTCACCGTGTTAGCCAGATGGTCTCGATCTCCTGACCTTGTAATCTGCCCGCCTCGGCCTCCCAAAGTGCTAGGATTATAGGCAGGAGCCACCGCGCCCGACCTGAACTTGGTTTTAATGACAATATAGTCCAGCGATGGCATCTATTCTTGACAATGATAAGGAATCTCAAATTTCATCCTAAATGAACCAGACATTCTTCCCATGTGTATGTAGATCTTTCTATAGGTAATTTATTCATCTTGGTTTCGGGGGAGGGAGCTAAATGAACTGAGCAGTAACTCCTGATTGTGCGACTCTATCCTCCCTTGTTTTCAGTGGTCCCCACTACTCTTTTCTGGTTCTCATCAAAGTTGTCTGACCACTCTTCAGAAATAATACTAGAATCTCAAATCATATTTTCCCCAGGATTTCTTCCTTCTCATTCTACATTCTTGTTTGGTTTACTACGTATTCACTTATTTATTCATTCACTAAACACCTAGCTGAGCAGGCCCAGTGAACATGTTCCAGCTACTATGTTAGGTGGTAGAGAACCTGAAAAAAAGGTAGACAATTCTGTCCTCAAGGTGTATACCTGCTAGTAGGGAGATAAGCATGCAAGTAAAAATGATGGTATAGTATAATGGCAACAATCTAGTTATCTACAAACGAGTGTTAACTTTAAAACCTAAGGAATTTCAAGTATGTCCACTTTTCAACTAATATTTAAAAACTCTCAATTTCCAAATTTTTATGTTCATACAAAAATATCTTCTACACCCATATTTTCACCAGCTGACAGTATTAAAGCCTGGATCCCAAATATGTGAAGTTCAAAGTGCTCACGAAAAATAAAATCATTATCACTATACAGAGTCCTCTAACCAAAACCAAACAAAAAACCCAGTTACTTCTTATTTCTCTATCTTTGTAAATAGTACAGCTTTTCATACTGTCAGCCAGAGCCAAAATAGAAAATCATTTTTGTTTGTCACATCTGGTATCTTATCTTCACCAACTCTGGGTAACTTGACCTCCTAAATTTCTATGAAACCCACCCCTATCCTACTTCTCTAAATCCAGTCTATTGCTTTTATTAAGGTCTTCAATTGATTTATAACTGATCTCCTCATATCTGGACACTGGTTGCTGCCCATTCCAGTCCATCTTCATTGCCAGCAGGATACAACTCCTAAAATGCACATCTGACCTTGCCCTCCTGCTTGACATTTTCCATGATTCACCATCAACAAAGTTTATCAAGTCTACCTTTTTAGCATTATACAGTCAACACATACTTAAATATGTGGGAAACACATCATCCTATATGGTTTAAAAGTGAGCTAAAAATGAATCATCAGGAAGATTACAGGCACAACCTTGATATGCTGCAGATTTGAATCGCCTTTTTTTCTTAACAGAACAAAATACAGTCACAAGATCAGGGCAAGATCAATTAAGTCATGACACTCTTCTCTGAGTTACAGTTTTGGTTTTCTTAAGTACAGGCATCAAAGATAGAGAAGGCCAACAAATAATAGAATCCAATTGCTTAAAACAGATGAGAAAACCTTGAATACTTGAGCCCTAATAAGCCTTAACTTCAAACACTAGAATACTGAAAGGCTTATTACCTCCAATTATCAATTCCCTCCCCTTATTTCTTTGATGCAGGATCCAGGCAAACATAGGGTTATGAAAAGAGAAGCTACCAGTACAGAAATGTGGACATTTGTAAGACTGTAGGTTTCAAAACACCTAAAGGCTATCGGCTATGACAGCTTACAAAGTATCCATGCAAACACCAAAATCCAAAGCTGAAATAAGATTATCTAGAAATGATACACGGTATTTGGCCCACAGTAGGTACTTAACAAGCAGTATGTGAATTGTGTGAGTGCCAAAGAGCCAGCTAGGGACAATCAGGAAGTGGTGGCGGTGAAACTGTTAAAAATAGCCAGCCAATTCATCATGCTTAGACTATTTATACACATACACACATACATGCATACACATTATTTTGAAATGGCATCTCATGTATTTAATATTTAATAAAGGGAATATTCATTACCAGGCACAGTGGGAATTTTTTGACAAATTATTTTTATAATAAATTTTCAATACAAAGACCCAGAAAGAGTCAAACTTTCTTGGTACACAACCTACTGATAAGCCCTACTTGATGGTGTTTCTCTCTCTGTAGGTAAAATACTTTTAAGAATCACACTTAGGCTGCGTGTGGTGGCTCACGCCTGTAATCCCAGCACTTTGGGAGGCTGAGGCAGGCAAATCTCCAGGTCAGGAGATCGAGACCATCCTGGCTAACACGATGAAACCCCACTTCTACAAAAAATTACCTGGGCGTGGTGGCGGGCGCTTGTATTCCCAGCTACTTGGGAGGCTGAGGCAGGAGAATGGCATGAACCCAGGAGGCAGAGCTTGCAGTGAGCCGAGATCGCACCACTGCATTCCAGCCCCAGCCCGGGAGACAGAGCAAGACTCTGTCTCAAAAAAAAAAAAAAGAATGATACTACTTAAAGATGCCACACCAATGTACGCGAATTACCATAAAATTGAACCACTGTCCAGGGCTAGCTGTCAAAAAATAAAAACAAAAACACTTTTTACCAATAGTAAAAAGAAAAAGTTTAAGACTAGGCATAAATTGGGTAAGGCTATCTTGATTTGTTTTCTACATTTTAAGAAAAATACCAGAATTATTAAAAATACAGGAACAAAAATTACAATGAAAGAAATTTAAATATCCTGAAACAGAGCCAAATATAGGGTAGGTTAGAGCCTAATCTCCAAATTGAATATACAATAAAATTCTGTTTTATCTAAAAAATTAGAAGGCTAGGCCAGATTTCATGAAGTTCCCTTGACTTTGGAAAAATTATAATGAATGTTTACAAAACTAAGAGTTTAAAAATAACTTTGAAAGACAGCAACATGTATTCATGTATTAACAAAGATGCAAACCAGTATGCAATACACATTTTGTCATCATCTTGATTGATCCTGGAGTTATTTATGAGCTGATAGAAAAGAATGAACAGTCCTTTCTTAATATGGTAATGGTATAATTCAAACCATCAAATTGTTACTTCATTGAAAACCATGTTATCCCCTTATTTGGTATCATTGTGACTGTGAACGAAAATTATGCACTCTTATTATTATAGACAATAACTTACATATTTTTCCAAGGGCACACGTGAAATCCCCAAATGTGTGTTTCATTAGATTGCTCAACTGAATTCTACATACTTCCCATACAACTTGCTTACAGTCTTGGGAAGGCAGGTTAACTTCCTTGTATTCTTGTTTTATTCCCTAAACCTTCTCATTTCCTACTGGCATCCAATTGGTTACCAAGTGCTTTGGCTTCAATTCCACTACAACACTCCAACTTCAGAAATGTATTACATCTTACTTAGACTATTTAAAAATATATTTAGTGTGTTTTTAGCCTGTCTTGTAGATGTCCAAGGCCAAGGGGAATGAGAACTAGGCACAATGAGTCCAGAAACTCTAGAGTGTTTGGGGGACTACTATAAAAACAACCATTGTCCACAAATGGTTGCAAATTCTATATTTGCAAATCAATTATAGAATGATACATGGGTGGAACAAAGACCAGGAGCTGTGATTCTTACTCCCTACAAAATAAAGTTCAGATTATTTCAGAGTATTCACAACTCCTCTGCAATTAAAACTTGAACTATTTTTTAAATTAATATAATTCAGTGCCCTCATGCACACAACCTAATGCACCCAACTGAGAATTGGCCCTTGCCCTACCTTTAAACACAGTTGTGTATGTGTGTTTGGTTGGTTGTTTTTTTGTAAGTGGTAGAATAGGCAGGTTCAATAGTCTTGTTAAGGGAAATAGTTTTCCTAGCATAAGTCAGGCCATATGATTATGAGTTATACTGATAGCACTGAGTCACTTTCCATGAAATTATAATGTTAGGCATATTTATTCTGAAATCCACAAAAGATTGTTGCTTTTGAAAATATATGACCTTTTACAACAACGATTCATTCTGTAACTAGCTAGTTAAAATATATTAAGATTATGTCATAAAGAAAACAAAATGAAAACTCTTGTTTAGGTGTAAGAAAATATCTGACTGTAACACCATCACAGGATAACATTTTATTTTAATGCACAGCAGCTGTGGAAAGGGCTTTGGCTGGCATTTTTATAAGGCACAGCATATATATCTTCATATTCATATAGAGAACCACATCATCTGTCATCCTGGTAAAAATATATCACATCAAACAAACACTCATATAAATAAGAGTGAAATAAATAAAAGACAGCCCTTTCCAAGACATCTGTAGAATTCTGTAGAATTCTCTGAATGTTGTCATTATCAATTAGGATTTATTATTTCAATGAAAGAATTATACCAAATAAACAAATGTACAGAAAAGACAAAGAAGTAGCTTGTGAAATATAAAGCTGTCTACACCATGTTTGAAATATAACAAAATCCATGGTTAAGTATTGTCTCTGTTAACACAGTTTACCTACAGTGCAGACAAGACAGTAAATTGTCACACATTCCAATAAGAGTACTTGGCCTCACTTTTGAAATCACAGTGGTAATATTTTTAATATACAAGAATTCTTACCTGTGGCTAGTAATGACATGGGAAAACCTATGCGCTAAAATTTTTTCATGTTTGAGACAACCACACACTTCACCAGTTTTTTAAGATGTCACATGACACCTTGATAGTGTATCTTCTGTAACAGGTGTTACGTGTGACTTTGTCATTGAATGATCTGAAATTATAAAGCCTTCTGGTTTACCAATTTCTACTTATATATAGCATTCTTTATCTGAAATTTTCTTCTAACCCTTTTAATTTTTACAAATAACAAATAACCTATCTACCCACTAGAAGAATGCATTTGGTTCCAATGACTCTACTCACAATTTTTGCAAAATGATCGTGTAAAGCATTTGGCACAAACTCATGAGCTTTTTGTTTACCAAGTCAGGTCTTAAGACTTCTGGAGGCAATTTGAAAGACTGTGAAAACGTAGGACATATAGATTGAATGCATGTTTACACTGAAAAGCTTACAAATTTTTTTAAATGTGTATGTTTAAGTGTTTGAAATGCTTTCCTCTAAAAGTTGTATCTCCTAATTTGGAAAGTTGTATATGGGTAGAAGGGGAAAACTTCAAAACTATAATGGCTTTGAAAATCTGTCAATATTAATCTATGACTTAAAAATGTATATTAGAAAATAAAACATTTAATTACCATTATTTCTTTTGGAGTCAAAATATATTTATTTGCAGTGAAAGTTATTTATCTTGTTAATGAACTACAAAGATTTATATGACGCTACTCACAGGTTTCTAAAAGTTATTGGTAAAATTAAGTTAAAAGAAATATAAAGGAAATAATTTCATGAATAATGTTAATGACCTACAAATTTGTAGGGGAAAAAATGGGGTAAAAAAACATGCAGGAAAAAAAAACATGGGGGTGACTTTTCATATACTGGTTATCAAGAGGCTCAGCAAATTAAGCTCTGAGATGACTACGGTTGAGTAATTTATTGTCAAATATAATTGAGAATTGAAATTCACTTCTAGAACTGATTTTGTTAATCAAACTCATCATTTTTTTTTCTCTTCTGTGTCAAGTAGAAATCAAACAGTCCTAATGGAGTTCATATCTTATGGCATTATAGAAAGGCTTAGTTATGAAACTATCTTGTTATTGTTACTATTACATTGCCTGGCTCATATATATAAAGCATTTAGAGAGACTGTTCCAATAACTCTCATTTAATTGGTGAAAAAATTAAATATTGGTTTAGATACTTACCTAAATATTACTAGTTAAATTCAAAGTAAATGAGTCTGTATCTTTAAAACTACTTGGCAGTAATAATTTTTAAAAGTAGATTTTTATTGCTTTTCTTGAACTAACTAGTGTTCATACAACACAGGTAGTTTTATTTGTGCCTGGAATTAAGGAGTGAGACACATTTGTAAAATGTTCACAATCAACGCCTGTCCCATTTTAAAATCTCACAAGTTTTTCTTCATGATTAACACAATTCACAAAATAAGAAATGGTATTTGGTCATTCTCTGAGTTCAATCTGTGCTCTAGTAAATATAACTTGTGAGGAAAAAGTAAAAAGGTCAAGAGTCTAATTCATTTTCAGTTTTTAAAACTATATTTTAAAAAAGAATGATTTGGGTTAAAAATAAAGATGGCTTAGTTTTATCTCCCTTACAGTAAGTAGCAGAAACTTGAGCTGAAAACACATAGAAGCTGTACTCATTTCTATTCACAAAGAACTGTTCTACTGTCTGTCTGCAAATAAATCTCCTCAGTAAATAGCTCCAAGGTTGAGCTAAAGAATACTGTATGGATCAAAGAATTCATGTCTTCCTGTGTAAAGTGAACAGGCTGCAAGCTCGTTCGTTTGTCTAAAACAATTAGGGCTCGTACGAGAAGAAGGGGGCTGGAACAAATAAGTTACAGCTGATTTTACTCTGCAAAATATATAAGGGGTTTTCAAATTAATAACCATTCAGGGTCCCCAAACAGCCTAATCTTTGTCAATTGGTGCCAAATTATGCAAGGTGCTGCCAATTCTGGTTGTCTAACAAATCAAGACCAGTGTATGTTACTCCTCGGCTGAAGCCTGATTGATTCTGGTCATTATATGGGCTGATCTCATTTTCACACATGGAATCAATATGTGAGCCAGATGTTCATTTACAGAGAAGCACAGAAACGACTCATCTACACGCAACTTTATCCCGGACCACAGAGCACCACAGACCCAAAGTCTCTCGTCACCCATACAAAGCTTCACACAGTACAAAAATCTATAAAACATTCCGCTAATATTACTGTCAGCTGAATGACTTTTACAGTACTATATAAAGTTGACAGATAATACATGCCAGTCCTAATTTGAGATAGACCTTTTCTTTTGGGACCTCAACCATTGAACAAGCAAACAGATTGAGAAGTAACATTTATTACAACACATAAATCATTTTCTTACAACTATTATATAGGTCTGGCCCGAGGGTGAAGCTTCTGCCTAGGCTGAGAATCCTAATGTACTGCTTAAGTCACTAAATTGTACTGTCATTGCATGATTGGTGTGCAGAGAAGAGCTAATCTAGCTTTTCAGAAACAAGTTCTTATCAAGATAATTTTTGTTCTTTGTTCCTTGAAAAAAATGCTAACAACTTGCCTGTCTAAAATAAAAAAGCAGAACATAAAATAAAAAATCAGAACATTGGTGACTCTTGAATAGTAATGACCACCTTAACATGTTTATTTAAATTAAGCCAATGTGCCCAGTTCATGTAGAAATTTAGTTCATGTAGAAATTAGTGCATGTTCAAAATGAGAACAAAATCTGTGTTTACTACAAAGATATACAAAGAACTTTTCACTCTGAAGATAAAACTTGATGTATATCACAAATATAATGGAATCAATATTGATGGCACGAACTTTCCTTTGAGAAATAAACGCCATTTTAAAGATTGAACAAAGAATATTAATAGAGAATCATCATACACAGCTTCAAGAATTTCGCCATTCTTTTTAGAGTTGACTGAAATAAAAATTCTCTACATTTCCTGTCAAATATTGTCGTAGTACTGTCCTCAGCCGAGGAAACGAATGTGCACTTCATGATACAGTAAATTTCTCTAATGCTCCTCTAATAGCACCATGTTGGAAACACATGAGTTACCTAACATGGTGAGCTTATATTTTATATCAGTTTGCTTTCCTCGATCATCTGATCATCTTGGCCTCCGTGGAGTCTTCTAATTGCATTTAGTTCTGTTCAGTTCTGCTTGAGGATAATCCAAAGGATGTCTGTTTTTCATCAGGTAACGACCATTAAATTTGGCTGCATTTCCTTCTAAATCTTGTTGAATGGCATAAGAAACAGAAGCTAGAAAACCTTTCTCTTGTAACTTTGCTATGGTTTCTGAACCTAGACCTTTCTAGAATTTTTGCTCACTACTGCAAAACTCTGAGGCCAGATCCTTTTGGAAGTGAGTCTAAATGGTCTCTAAACTTTGATCTACTTTCCCTGGGGGTACTTAAGACTTTGGGGCATCTTTCTGCATACCCTGGAAACATTTGGACTCTATGTAAAGTTGCCAGATAATTTCTAAAATGTTTTGAATTGTGAGTTTATGTTTAGGCAGCATTTGGGGCTTTCCTTCTCTTGAATTAAACAAACATCTTGGCCAATCAAATACTCTCCCTTAAAAAAAATCTTAAAATTCCTCTCTGTGGCTCCTTATACTGTATTAGTGTGTAAGGCTGGAAAGAAATGTGTCAGATCATTTCTTTTTTCCTGTATGACAACAACCTAGAAAAGTAATGATAAATGGAGTCTACAAGGTGTTTTCCCTGAAGCCGAACTCCTTATCTCTTTAAAGAGGTATAAGAGTTCCTATTGGAGCAGGACCTATTCCAGGCAAAGCTGGGAATCACACTAGGCTTCTATTTATTCATTTAATCATCATTTATGGAACATCTGTTAAGTGCTAGGAATGTTATTAAGTGTTGAGGCTATGGAGACAGATAAAAAATAAATACCTGTCATTAATGAACTCACTGCCAAGTGTGGGGAAGGGTTTGGTGAATATCTCAGGAATAATCAGTGAGTGTGGCACATGGCAGGTGAAATATGTTAGTTTAGGCCAAATATTAAACCTAAAGAATCCAATTCAATTTTTGTTGGTATTGTCAATTTTCTAATCATCTGCAATGCAGTAAATGGTTCCTTCAAGACTAATTAATGTTCTTATCATTTTACAGAAAAGAAAAGTAACCAAACCAGAATTTGCACTAGGGAAGTTTGAAAGAAGTTGATCCATTTTGAGAAGAGAGTTACAGAAAACAAATAAGGAACCCATTGACGTCCTAGTAGGCTGAGCTCGACGTGAGTGATTCTTCGTTCTTTGGATTCTCTCTCACTCAATATCCAGTGTCTCATGGTGCCTTAGGAATTTTCCTTCCATCTGTGTTTTATCTTTGCCTTTATCTCCAATGCCTAGGCCACCACTCTGCTGTCCTGCCTGCTGTAGCTTTACCCTGGAAGTACTCATTCTTCAACAGGTTTCCAGAGGTCTCTTCCCGCTGACCTCCACCTTTCCTGCCAATATTGCAGTAGGATTAACCTGCATGAAACATTTTTCTCATTTGTAAACATCAATGGTTGAACCCTGATTAACAAGGAAAATTCAATTTCTTAGCTTTGTATTCAAGATTTTTACTTCCCTGACTCCAATTCTATTTCCTAAATGGAAAAATCTCCTGGATTCAAATTAGCCTCTGTGCATCCTCCTCCAGCATCCACATTTTACCCAGTACATCCCACTTATCTTAGGCTCAATTCAATCGTACATATCCTAAGTAACAGCAAACCAACCTGTGTCATACCCTTTGCTTTATTTTTAAAGAAACACTGGATCTGTATAGCCATATAAACATATATTCCAGACTTGGCTGGTTATGGACTTATCCTTTATAATGCATTTTCAGTGGCCAAAGAGCCTTTTAAGAGTTCTTAAAATTGTGCAGTTGCAGACACTGAACTGATTGATCACTCATGCCAGGGCTCAGGTCATCCTTCTATAATTCAGGCTTTACTCCAAAAACTATTAATCTGTTCTTCCTAAGCTATAAATCTTAAGCTATCTATTAATAAAAGTCAGTTCTCTGGGGCTTCGTCTGTTAGACCCCCAAAAGAACATCGAACTTCTAACAATGACACTGTTTCTCAATCGTCAATTTCTTATTGAAAGAGATTTTCATTAAGATTGAAAATCTTTGGCATTGAGTCATGTTTCATCTTTGACCTTGGCTTTTCCCAATGTATTTCACATCCTGAAAATAAGCACCTTCTTTTACTTTTTTGCACAGCTCAACAAGTCAATTTGGAATTCAACACAGATGTCACGTTGCTTTATTTGTCAATATTAGATGATTCTTCTTGCCATACTGAAGCGTTTTGTGGAAGGCTATCTATCCTTTATCTCCATTTTGAATGCCAAGGTTATCAGAATTAGTTCCAGACACAGATATTAGAAAGCTTCATTCAACTGAAGAAATAAATGTAAAGAATTTTCAGGATGTAGTAAAGCAATACTTCATCACTAATTCATGCGCTTGTCTCAAGGACTATTAGTCTTATAGTAGTTTGTTTTACTTTTTTTGTTCTTTACAGTTATCCTTTATCAAACTATTTGGTTTTCCTTTTAGGTCACTTCTTCCACAGAGTATACACGTCAAGAACTTAAAAAGCATTAACTTCTGCCAGATATGAAATTATTGTCTTTCTGGTGGAGAAAAGGAGCCACAGAGAGGTTCTAGGTAAAACATGGACTTTTGTCTCTTTTAATGTGGATTATCTGCTAGAATAAAATTTAGTAGATGTCTATAAATTTTCTACATTACTAGAATGCTGTTCAATCAGATATTGTTCAAAATAAATCATACTGCTGCTGAGAAATATTTTTCTCAGGAGACAACCTAACCAGAATGATATGTGTGCATTGTATTGGCCTTTGATCAGCAGTACTTCTTCAATTTTGTTTTGGTCCATGCAAAAATGACCAACGCTCCCTGTTATTGGGTGTCTATGTCATTCATTCTCTTTCCAGCACTGCCCTTTCTTGGTGCCCACAGCTTCAATCATTTCCTATCTTTTTCTTTCTCTTCTCCAATCTAAAATTGACTCTGGTTGCAGTATAACAAGCTATCAATTTTGGAAGTGACACCTGTGGTTCTAGTTGCCTAAAATCCCTGTGACAGAGTTGGGACCTGACAAAGACCCACAGCGACCTGACAAAGATCTGACATATTCTGGGTTTCCCCAAAGGGCAACTGACCCTTTGGTTTATATGATAAAAGTGAGAGGACAACAGTTTATTCAACTACAATAAATCTAACTTCTAGGGTGAATCGCTTGCAAGTTAAATTGCTAGTCAAGTTAAATAATAGGTGACATATCAAAAAGATGGATAAGACATATTTCTACATATAAACTATATGTGGTAGAGGACAAATGCACTCTAAAATTTAAAACTTTTATATCACATACGAAATGTATGAACATACAGCTAAATCTTAATATGAATCTTAATATGATAAACCAATGTAACATATCTAACATACGACTAAACAAAAGCTCTGTCCTTTAGAAACTATCGCATCAACGTGTTGCTACCATCCCTAAATACTAAAAAATTACCTTCATTCTCAAAAAGTGGCAAGATTTGTGGCTGTCACTAAGGGTGTGTAAGCATTTCCATTTAAAATTTTCTATTTTCAGGGTTTTATAAAAGCTATAAAAATTCTCTCCAAGCTGAAACTTGGCAAACAAGAACTCAGCATGAGGACAATTTTTTAAAAGCCTAAATTTAAAAACAGTATGTTCATGTACTTTTTTAAGCAATAAGAGGACAAAAAAGGAGAGAAGTTTTTTAGGTTTTGGTTGCCTTTTAAAAAAATCTGCATTCCTTAGGAACTAGTTTGTTTTTAAAAAAGAAAATTTGCGGACTATAAATTCAAAGCTTGGCCTTATTTCTTCAAGAATTGGACATAAATGAACATAATTTAAAATGGACCCTATCATAAAGAGAAGAAATTCATTGTTCTTAGACAACTATTTCTAGAAATAACTGTATCATTCTTCCCTCTAAAATGAATGTGAAAAATAGAAAATTATGCTTCATGGTTTTTTTTTGAGCTAAAAAATTCATGCTCATGAGTGAAAAAGTTCAATGAATCACCATAATATTTTTGGCCGGAAAATACTATGTATTTTATCTGTCTCCACCACCAACTACTATATATATATATGAATATTTTCTGTATTTGGCATTATCTATCATACTCTTAGATTTTGGTCAAAACTTACTCCATTAAAGTTTGTGTGTGCATATATTGAATTCCATAAATATATGGTCATGTAAGACTACTGCATACTTGCCTACAAAAATCTGTCTTAAATATATATCTTAATGGGATTAGTTTACTATTGCAGAAAAGACATATCAATATACATGTGAACTTTAATTACTATTTCATCTTCAAAAACATTTAACTCCTTTTTCCCAAGTATTGTTATGGGGAATGGGAATGACACAAAAATGAATAAGGCATGGGACCTGTTCTTAAGATACTCATAATCTTGTGGTGGATCTAACCACACAAAATGTAAACACTTGTACCCACACCTTCTTATAGAAACCTGTTACAAAAATATTTTCAAAAAAGATTGTTTCAGTTTGCCTATTCTCTTACTTCCATCCTTTTGGAAATATCTGAAATGTAGTCAGGCACTCATAATATTAAGTATTTGAATAGAAATTAAATTGAACTTTTGTAAATATAATGTAACTAACATGAATTCAGTTGCCTTCAATCCATGTAATAAACATGAAATACCAATGTCAACAAAATCCCAAACTGCAGCAGAAGGGAGAATGATTGGTGTTTCTTCTTGCACTATATTCCCAAGGACTTATATTTTTGGGTACCATTTTTATTTTAAGCACCATATTTGGTTCTTCCATTATTTACATCATGATCTCATTTGTGAACGTGGTATGGTTTGCAATTAGGTGCTCATACCTTAGGCTTCTTGTAAAGAAAAGAAGTAGACAAGAAGTGCCTTTTTGTGTGAGTTATGTCTGTCTTATTTCTATCCATTGTAAAGGCTTTTACTTAACAGAGCAAGGGTTAATAAATTATGGTTCCATAGACAGCCAATGTCTATGCTATAAGTATAGGTTTATTGAAAACCAGTAATACCCATTCATTTACTTATTGTGTATGGCTACTTTCATACTACAATGTCACAGTTGAGTTCAGAGATACCATGTGGCTCAAAGACTAAAACATTTACTATAGAAAAAGGTTTGTGAACACCCTGGGCAAGAAAACTATTTCTAGTTTTCTCATAGTTCCTCTTTCAAATCAGAAATCAGAGTCTCCTGATCCTCTCAACAGCACACTCCTATATTATAGGTGTCTTCTGTTGAATAGTGTCCTGTGATAGACATATATGTTTAAGTTGTATATATAAAGAGTTGTGTGAAAGAAATAAAAGTGATACATAATTATAGCTAGAGAGTCAGATTATGGTACACAAAGGCTTCTCTGTTATGACCTAGGTAACAAAAGACTATACGTACCCTTAGTGAACATAAGGAGTATCCACATGGTATCTAAGTTAAACAATGTCATTGCATCATAGTAGATTAAATATAATACACATCCTGAGACATTTTATCCAGAAATGCCTATTGCAGGACATATGTGAGTCTATTCTTCTCCCAATAACTGAGAGAATTGACTCCCTTCTCTAAGATACTCTCTTGTTTGATTTATAAGAACATTCACTTTGGAAAGAAAGAATTAAAGAAGACATGGTCCTATGTTCAAAAACTCACTATTTTTAACAGCCTATAAGCTTATGCCCCAAATCTAGTTTTAGGTGGGAGTCAGTGTAACACAATAATGAGGGGATTTCGGAGCTACGCTGAGTTGAATCCTGGCTCTGCCACTCGTCAGCTGTGTAATGTTTCATAATCACTCTATGTCTCCATTTTGATACCTGGAAAATGGGAGTAATATCACTATACCTCTTTTATTAGATAAAGGCATATATTCGTTTTATTAGATAATAACATATAATTAAATGGAGAGTCCATATTCTCTTTTCTTTCTTACCCCGTAGTCTATCCCAAGATGTTAGCACACTTAGTAGTTTTTTTAATGTATAATGAATTATTTTAAAAATTTCCTTGAATTATTAATAGAACTAAGCCTTCCATGCAAAAGATATTTTGCACAATGAAATGAGTTTACCATACTGATTCCATTTCTCATTCATACAAATTACTTTAATTTTGCAGTGAACTATTACATGACGCAATTCCAAATACTTCAATCGTTCAAATAAACTCAAGACATACCAAAAAAAACCAGCTTAATAACTAAAATTATTTCTTAGAATAGGATAAGAAATACTGTGGTTACAAGCTGTCATTAATATTCTCATGTTCAAATGTATGACTTCTACCATCACAAGATCTTTATAGTGCCATATGTCAATTCCAGTGTAGAAAAAAAGAATACATTTTGATGGTTTTTAAAAATGTTTTTCCAGTATGACAAAGACTATTACAACCTAAGACTAGAAAGGAACCTCTAGAGATGATCAAGTACATACTTAAGATAATTAAGATGGCATATACTGTGTAAGAAAAATTTGTTGAGGACTCAAGAGAAATGAAGTAACTTTCTCAGGGTCACAGATTAAGTTGGGGAGAATGATAGCTAGAAGACAAAGACATATTCAATGTCCAAATTCTTTTCGTTACTCTCCATTATCTAAATATTAATAAGATCTTCATGGAAGCAATGGAGATCTGGTTTTCTCAAAGACTAAACTGCTCTTCGGGAGTCATCCAAGCAGATTCAAAAACCTAATGCAGTAACACGAAGAAGTACAGTAAAAAAGTTAGAATTAGCTCACTATTTAATGTGGAAAGAATTTAAGAACCTGAGATTACCCAAACCTGTGCATTTTGCCATGAAATATAAATCAAATGCCAAATCTCTTTTTCCTATGATTTTAAATGTCATTAGTTTGGCATGTAGCATTAATAAAAACAGACAAATGAACGTATTTTTAAGGTAACTGACCTAAATCAGGACACAGTAAATCCACTAATAAACTTATACTTTCTAAATAAATGACTAAGTATTTCATGTTGATAAGACATTAAAAAATTTTTGGTAATTGTAAAAAGTTATATTCTAAGTGCTCTTATAATACTTAGTAATAAGCTAAAATTACATCATGTTGTGGTTTAATATTTATTAAAGTAATAAAAGAGAATATGCATAACTTAAGACCCACAGAATCTTAAGTTATCATGTAAAATATGATAAATAAGTTATCAGTGAAATATCATGTAAAATATTGACTGCTAACCTTAGCTGGGTAGATTATTAAATGGTCCTTGTCAGTTAGTACTCATTATTTTGATTTTGTTAGCAAAATTCATGACAGAGTAAAAATAATTTGGGTTCTGAGGCCATTATCTTTAGTTTGGTTTTCTCTGATTCCCTGAAAACTTTTTAAAGTATTCCCAATGATGTTGTGCAGGACAAATAAGCTTGGCAATTATCCTTTTAAAAAAATCTATAATTAAACTGAGCATACTAGAGCATTACATGAGCTACCACATATACCACTAAATCTACAGTCATTAACAAAATTGTATATAAAATGAGGGGAAAAGAAAACAAAGGCAATGAATACTCTTATTACCAATGTGTTAACAATGTTACTTTAAGACCAATTTTTAAGAAAATTATCACCGTAGGTTTTAAAAGATATCTAATTACAGAATGTATAAATCTTGCCATAGGTACTGAAATTACTTGAGCTTCCTTTGTACAAATAGCAAATGAACTAAAGTATCGTAATGAGTTTTAAATATATTTCATACTCGTCTCTACATTTTATATTGTTATATATTCTTCTAGTCAATATTTCTAAGAAATTTAAGTTAGTAACTTTTTAACCTGATGTCACACAATGTGAGTGAAAAAAATTGATATGCTTTATGAAAATCATGTTGAAATCTTTGGAAAGACTCAAAAAGCACAAGTTGCCATAACATTAATATTAGTTTGGATACGGATGATACATATATATAACTCTATAAATAATAGAAGAAAGAACTCTATCATAATAAAAACAAGTAAAACAGGATTTAAAAGTTTAACCGTTGCTTAATATCTTTCTAACCAACTATGGTAATTGCAAGGATGACACATTGGCTTGTCATTTTCATACACATTTTGTCATTTGATACTCACAGCAAACTTAGAAGTAGGCAAGGTAGTATAGTTAGTCCCATTTTGGAGTGCAGGAAGCAGAGGTTTATAGAGGTTAAAGAGTATGAATAAAGTCTCTTGAGGCTCAGACTAAAACACCGTTAAGCTTAATCCCAAACCAGTGTTCTTTTACTATATAACACTATCACTGAACAAACAGATAAAAACATAATAAAACAATCTTCTACATATTTTATAATTGTGTGAACAATTAGTAGAATTAAAAAAGTAAAGGGTAGGGAGGAAAGTCCTAATGCTCCTTATTTTTGCAAGGAGTGGTTAGTGGTTAAAAAAAAAAAAATTCCTTTTCCGGAGTCTTTGATATATACATTGCTAATGCAAGAAGTAATCTGGGGCAATTTCTTGCTTTTTAAACAAAATATATGGTTGTTCATCCAAATCTAGAATATTTTCTGCTTTGATATTCCTAACAAATTGTTTTAAAATATAAAATCTCTATCTTTCCATAATCTTCAAAGTGGAATTGCCAATCTGTACTCATTGAATTCTTATTATCATTTAGATAGATATCCTAATTACTTTCTTATACAAATCATGCAAAAGCTTCACTTTTAACAAGCCCCTGAAAAGTTTTGCATAAATACACACCTTCTCTGGAAGGTACTTAAACTAGACATGCCTCTTAAGACTATATGAAGAAAGTACAGCTATTATAAGCAGATCACGGGAGTTGGGAACTTATTCCTCATGCAATTTTTATACAACAGTTATTATTAAAATGAGAGAGAGAGAGAAAGAGAGAGAGAGACGATGGGAGACGATGCCAAAGGATGTCATAGGGGTTCTGCAGGGCTAATTAGTAACATTAAAATAACATTATAACAACAAAAATTGTTGTGAAAAGAAGTCCTATGATTCAATATGCAGAGAAAAAAAGATTAATGGTGTGAATTAATGTTATGATATACTAAAAATTATGTCTTTCTGCATCAAAGAAAATAACTTTAAAGCATAGTTGGCATCCTACCCATGTTAAAGTTTAAAGCTCCAAATTCTGATTTCCAGACTATGTAGGAGAGACCAAAAAGTCACCTGACAATCTTTCATCAATCTCAAACCTTTGTCAGTCTGACTCCAGGCTCTGTGCTCTTGATCATGACAAAGAATGGCCTTGATTGTTGCACTGTTTGACACTTTCAATCCTGGTTGACTGGGTTTGTTTGATAATTGCATTTGTGTTAATTTTGACTATTACCTAACTATGTAGTAAAACTTTTAAGAACCCATACTAAAACTGGATCCAGTAGATGTTCAGCAAGCCGCTCTGGTGTAGGAAAGGCTTCCAAACATCCACCAGTGTAGGACAGGAAATGAAGGGCCAGAGGTCATATCCCAGAAGAACTTCCACATGCCCAGCACTACACAATTCTGGTAGTAAAGAGCAACAGGCTCAATGCACAGAGCCATTAGTTAGCTAATGAAAACAAATCCAAACCTTACAGTATGTATGTAAGAAATTTGATGGGAAGTGTTTCCAAATGGAATGACAATACTATAAATTTAAATCACACACCAATAATGAGTTGTAAAGCTAAAGGAAACTATCCTATAACATCAAAAATAAAAAATACACTTTTATTATTCCAGGCTAAAGCAAAAACTATTCTCACTCTAGAAAATATTAGAAAAGTCTCATCATATGATTAGGTGATCAAAAAGCAAAAATACAAAAATGTGAGAGAAAAAGATTATAGAGATTATCAGAAAGATAATGAACACAAATATTATGCTATTTTCCTGGGTTTTCATGATAACTATGTTATTTGTTAAAATTTAAATTCCGTAATTTGCTGTGACTTATTTTCTCATTCTACACAAATATTAATTTTTGTCCTAAAGGTATATCCAAAATTATGAATTATTTTTCCTAAAGTGGAGCTTCCAAATTTGACAAGCTTTCAGTTGCACAAAATTGCATCAACCCCTGTAGATGTTAGTGTAAATGGAGAAAATTATTAGGGACAGTGGATATACTTATTAAAGTTAAAGAAACTCTGTATGGCATAGCTCCGATCACTTTAAAATAGAGGTTAGAAGAGTAAAGGTGATATTTTCTCTGCATTGCCTTTTGCCAGCGTCAAACTAAACCATCAGAAATTTAAACTTCTTCTCACACAATATCAACAGATACAAATCAAATGCTCATATACAGTCATGTGTAAAGTATGTTGGTCATGAACATCACTTGCCTTTTACAATTGTCAAGGTTATCCATCTCATGTGCTACTATGCAACACTTTCCTATGCATTTTCCTAAAGGGTAGGGACCACTTTAATATATGTGCAGTAGTTACACATGTCCAGCAACATGAAGTGATGAAAATTCCATTAAAATTTCTTTGATGTATTATCCTTATGGTAATATTTTAGAACTTTTTTTTTGCCTGCTACTTTTTCGTTTTTCTTATTAACTTATAAGTAGTATTTTCGTGGACAGTAAATTGGACAAGAAAAAAAGCAAAAAAGCAAACATGTCATTTAAAAAAATGACATTTTAGTTATAAAGGCACGCATTGTGAAAAACTAAGTAGAAACACATCCTTCAGATGAATATAACTTCTTAACAATATTATCAGAAAGGATTTACCAGCATAACTTCTCATTGTAGTCATCTTTTAAACTTAAATTTTTAATTAATTTTGAAATCCACTACGTAAATTTGAAATATGTTTCCTTTAGAAATCATGTCCCAGTTAAGGGGTTGGAATAAACTAAAATCTCATAAAAAGATTCTCTTTCAAAATAATTTATTTAGTGACTCAAAGTCCATTTCGATAGATGATCATTGGATTAAAAAAATTAAGAGCGGAATTTTAAATTATATATATTTTGTTTTTTTCCAGTGTATTTAGTACACAATAGATGTGGTGCCAACAAAAAAACTACTAAATTATTTGGTCAGAAAATACAGGATACATAAAAATATTTTCTGTATTATAACTTTAAATTCAAAAGGTTTTGTCCCATATTGTGTAAACAACATTAATAACAATATGGAAAGAAATAAAAACTAAGAAAAATAAATTAAAAAGTCTTAAGTCTGTATTTACTAAAAACATAAGATTACAGAGTGAAGTTCTATGACAGTTCAAAAGAAAAGAAGAATTAATTATATTGAATATAATGTTTTTCCAAAACTCTAAAATATAAATTGCTAAACAAAATAATCTAGAATATGCTTTTCAAGAAATGCTTTTTGTAAAATTTGTAACTATATTTTGGCAGTAACTTTGCAAAATTTATAGCTCCCTTTTAATTCCATCTAAAATATTCAATTCAGCAAAGACGGAAATAAGCATCTAGATTCTAAACACTGATTCATATACATACCTCTTCACTGTCAATGTAATCATAATTGTTTTGCAAATTCATCAACAGATGACATGGAACCACTTTAAAAAAAACAGCATTAATATATGTCCTGATTGTGATTGGCAGTTTTAATTACATGAGGTTTTTATCCTGTCAGCAGTTTCAACACAGTTATCCTTAGGTTTAAGTTCCAGGAATGCTCTGTATGCATACATACCCATACATTTTGTGCCCTAGGAGATCAGGAGAAACAGGCTAAAGAGCAATTAAAGTACAGAAAAAAGAAATAACATAAAACTGGGTATTTTCCAGGCTCATCTCACCTCATTTATCTTTCAGCTCTTCTCCCTATAACTTGCTGTAGATTCTTGGTAAAGCCATTTAACCTGTTGGGAGATGAACTAGATGACAAGTATAATCTACTCAGTAGTCAAACTTATTGTTTATGTAGGCTTTGGAAAACTAATTTTAACATGAATATTTTAAAGATGACATCTATTATTTTTATCTGTTAGCACTGCTATGAAAAATTATGCAAAACTTGGAAATTAGGCAAAAAATAAAAATGTAGGTGGCATGTTCTTTTAATATACACTAGGGACTGTTTGACAGGCTCACAAAAGGATTATTTAATTACCTAAGGGAATGTATTTGTGTTTGACTTTGCTATTTACTATTAATTAAAGTTCTTAGACTTCTGTGAAGTACATGTTAATTTTCTCCCCAAAAGAAATGATAACCTCAAAGGTTAATGTGCCATTACCTTATTGGACAGTATTAGCTTCAGAAGGTCACGTTCCTCTGATTTTCCTTTAAAGCAGTTTTTCCATCTCACTATTTTCCTTATTAATGAGTTAAATTTTTAACATATGTTTACTCTATATTTGTACAGGTGTGATGTTTCAAACCTTTTCATAACTATTCTTCGACAGTTTTGGAGGTTCCACGCTTATGCCTCCCAGAGGTGATTTACCTACTAGAAATATTTAAGCAAAGGCACACTTTTTTTTGGTCCCAGGAGTCAATTTCAAACAATAGAAGTTATCAATATTAGAACTTTACCTTCTGTAAGAGTTCTCTATTTCTCTTTCTTATCCCAACTCTATGTTTGTGTTACTATTTTCTGGTTCCTAGCCTACTTGTTTGGTTCTTCTTCTGGTGTGCACACAGCAAATAAGTTATTCCTAGTTGGTGACGGCAATGATAGTGAATCCTACTGCTGACCATTTGGTAATCTCTAACTACGATTCTCTATTATCCACTGGATGAGAGGCAACAGAGATTGTATTTTGTAGTTTCTTGTATTGATTCGTTTGTGCAAGAACATATTTCATACACAGGAAAAAAAAAGAGAAGAAAAATTTCACATTTGAAGCAGTGAGTTTTTGTGTTTGTTTACTCTTGACCCAAGGCTGAGGTTGAAGAATGGAAGCTGAAAGCTCTCTGTGTTTTCTGTGTTTATTTAATTTAGAAAGGACTTCATCTCTCACTATAACTTTCAGATGTTTTCCTATATCCACGATGTGTTAATAAATTATACAATAATATCTCTAATAATGAGTTCTGTTATGATTGCTTTGAGAAGTTAATAATCACATTCATCTAACGTTCCCAGAATTCCAAAAAAATAAAAAACACCTGTATTTAAAAAATTTAAATGTGCTAATACTTTATTTAAAAAATAGCAATATTTGTAGAAGATACAACCTCAGAGCATTCTTGAATAAGGATATAAACCAAGTTTATGCAATTAAGGTAAATATTCAAACTACTATGACATTTTTTATAATTTTGGTTTGAAAACACTATATATCTTTCCCTGATTTTACCAATATTAAGTATATTCCAAGATTACAATTATTTTTTAAATAAAATTTGGTTTAATGTCCTCATGAAGAGACGAATTAATCTAAACTTAAACGTATTATAAACGTTTACTGCTAACAACAATGTCGAGCACTGAGAAAGACATAAAACTATGAATTCAACCAAAATCTTTTTATGTCAACAATAAGTATGTGCTGTAGTTTGTCAGGTTAAACATAATTAAGTCGATTTAATGGATCGTTTTTAGATAACTGGTGAATTTCTACGTAAGATAGGGTATTGACAAACTAATCACCAACCTGTTAGAATTATAGCATGGCTATATCTTTGAGTAATTATAATGTAAGTACTTTTTCCCACAATAATAAAGTGTAATATCAATGAGTATGACAGTAGGAGATTGTGTGATGGCATTTATGAGCTTTGCATATCTGTGAAAATGACTATAAATGATAGATATATCTCAAATATCTACCTCTTAGCTCTCTGTGTTATAATTCATATGGGTGCTCCACACTTTATACAAGCAATGGGGGAGAAAAGTTCAACTGTGTAACTAAGTTATGGATTATGTTCTTCATTTGTCAAGTGGAAATTTTTTAAAAAAGAAGTTTTCAAAGTAAAGTGTCTGGTCGCTTTATAATATGAAAAGGTATGGTGAAAGACAAAACTTAAGTGAGTACAAGTTGTGTAAGAGGTGAGAGCTGACTCAGTTTGATAACACCAGAAAATAATGAGCCTGAAAGGAAATAATGAAATGTGTGAAATTTTGGTAAGTTGATAGACTTATTCATAAAATAATATCAAAGAAAAGAAAGCATGTAAATTATTTGCCACTACATATTATGTTAATGTAAATTCGACATATTTTTAATAACTGTTAAAATAATACATTGGTCTTACAGCATTTACTCTGTTCTCAGCAAAGATTAGTAAAAGGTTATTTTTTACCTTCTGTAATAAATTCAGATAACAGGGATGTGGTTTACCACCATAAGTTTCTATACTTTGAGTTTTTTGTTGTTGTTGTTGTCTTTGTTAAGTTCTTGATTCTGAAAGATCTACAGTTCATAGCAATCATGTTACTTCCATGTTGATTTAAAAATTTGCATTGTCCTTCTGATTAACAATTAGCCAAGCTATTGTTTCTAGGCACTTTTATCCTATTTGAATCACACAAATCCCCTGTGATAAACCTTTTGATTTTGCTTTTCCAAGATTAGATCCTGAGTTTAGGGGAGAAAAAAAAATTGTTCTCAGAGAATCCCAACATATCCCAAAATATACTGTTAAGTGCAAGTTTTACCCTTAACAGAAATATATAAGAATTGTAAAGGACCGGGAAAGGCAAGAGGCTTAAAAGGTTTCAGTAATTTTGATAAATCAGAAGGGCTTAAAAGGTTTCAGGTAGTTTCATAAACCAGAAGGAGGGATCCAGAAAAAATAGTGTTTGATCTCCCTTCCGTCAGGAATATGCACCATGGTAAGACTTGGGGTATGTAATGGCTATGCTTTTCTTTTCTAAGGTGGTTATGAACATGTGGGTACATGTGAAAGTTTAGTATCTGGAAAGCAATTCCATTAAAACTATCTATATAAGAGCTGCAGTGAGCCGAGATCACTCTACTGCACTCCAGCCTGGGCAATAGAGCGAGGCTCTGTCTCAAAAATAATAATAACTATCCATATAAACCATTTGGAAAGCTGTCTCAAACTCTAGGCAAACTTGCATTTAAAAGACTGCTGATTAATCCCTAAATTCTATTCTGAATATTTAAAGGTTTCTCTGTAGTCCGAGGCTTTAATATATCGCAAAGCCAACCTGAAACAAAACAAAAAGGCTATCTAAAAGAGCATGATGATAACAATATCCGTTGATACATGGATGAGTCTCCGGCTAAGGCTTGGCTGTCAAAAGGAAGCTTTCTTTCCAGCCCATCAATTGAGTGTCAGGATTGTTACTCAAATGAAGTGAATTGTAAAAAATTCCTGGCCAACTGGAAGGCTGACAAGGTTACTGCCAAAATCAAGATATAGAAAAGAATCTTCCATTCTCTTTCCAAAATAGTTTTAAGACTAGTTTAGCCTTCACGAAAAATAAAAGAATACAATCTATCAGGACACTATTTCACAACAATTTTACAAACAAAAACTCCAGAGTCCAGAAAATTGTTTTTTGGTCAAGCTTCTTAAAAATTATCCATAACTGAATTTATTCAATCATTTCTATGATAGTGTTATTAAAATAATAAGATAAGTGGGTGAGAATGTGTTTTACTTCCCCATCTAGATGCTAAATATGTACATTAAGGGACAGATTTGGCTTTAACTGGTCGCTTTATTGTCTGCTCTTCAGCAATAATTGGCATGTGCTGATAGACCACTGTATTGTTTCATAACATAAAACACTCACAATTCTGATTTTTGTTTTCTTTGCATTTTCTTCTTCTTCCTTTTTTTTTTTTTTTTTTTTTTTTGGCATCTTGCTCTGTTGCTCAGGCTGGAGTGCAATGGTGTGATCTCAGCTCACCGCAACCTCCACATCCCAGGTTCAAGCAATTCTCTTGCCTCAGCCTCCTGAGTAGCTGGGATTACAGGCATGCGCCACCACGCCCAGCTAATTTTTGTATTTTTAGTAGAGACAGGGTTTCACCATGTTGGTCAGGCTGGTCTCGAACTCCTGACCTCATGATCTGCCCACCTCAGCCTCCCAAAGTGCTGGGATTACAGGTGTGAGCCACCACACCCAGCATTTTCTTCTTATTTCTAAGAGTAATATCAGAAAAGGCACATGCCATTTGTATTAATATCAACTCTTACTCTCAAATATAAATCTGTGGTAAACAAACAATAGAAAGTTCTAAAATAATATAAAATGGCATTAAAATGGAGCTTCTTTGAAAAAAAATCTAATGATGTATGAATGCAATTAAATTAACTGTCTTCAATAAACATCTTAGTATCGATCAACATAATTTTACATAGCCAATACCAGTGATCAAAGTTGCTTATAGATATATGTAACACTATAATAGTGGTTATTCCAAAATGTATAATTTCTTGAACTTTTACAAAGATTTTAGTATGGCTGCTAATGAAGGAGTCATTAGTTCAAACAACTGTGTCCTTTAAAGATTTGTTTCTTGTCAGTACATAGAAGTACATCTTTTAAAGATAAAAAATGTATTTATTGTTATCTTCACCAAGTCTTCCGAAAGCACCTGATGCATTTTATTTGAACAAAAAAAACTTTCAATTTTACCAGAAATTAAGTATCTTATGGTCAGATCTTCTGGCATACTCTGGATTTAGTGAAAGCAGATCAGTTCTCCCTATGAACATACGAGGATTGTATAGTAAAATTTCTCATAAGATACAGAAAACCTATCAGAGAAAAATGCCACTAATTCAATGCCCTACAAATTGAATTTGAATGAAATTTTAAGGACTTCTAAATTCAGATAAAGTAAGAATTTGTCTATAGTACAGAGAAGCCAGGAAAGAAGAAGCTGTATTCTATCTCTATCAGGCTCACTCAGCGTTCCACATGGTGTTGTGGAACGTTCATAAGTACCATGTATGCCAGTGTATAAGATATTTCATCCTAAACAATGGTGGTGGTGGGACAGGCAGCAGAAAAAAGCAACAGGAATATATTTAATATTTTATGGGTTAATATGTAGAATGGTAATAACCATTCTCAATCTGATTATTTAGCAGATTCCTGAAAACTATAGTGTTGATTTTCATTAACATCTTAGTAGAGTGAGAGAGTGGTTAGAAACAAAGCTTCTGAATACAAAAAGATAATGTAACAGCAACACTTATTCTTTTTATATTGTCTTCACAGCTATTTCTAAAACTCAGATGCAAAGCACATATTCTATAAATTGTGCTACCATATTGGACAGCACATACTATAGAAAATTTCCAACATCACAAAAATTTCTAAGAGCACTGAAATGTGGAGGAGTTCAAAGTAGTGGAAATCTATACAGGATTTCACTTGTTTGGTATAACCAATGGAAATAATTTAAAAGACAACAATGATGGTGTGTTAAGCAAATCTTTCAGCTAAAATGGTAGTGATACCACTGGCAGAGTACATGCTGAAAAATACTGTTGGGCAATAAATTATTTGCAAAGATTTTACACTGTGGGAAGAAGGGCAGAACACAATATCAAGATAAATTAGGCTAACATGAAAACATGTAAAATGATTAAGAACGTTCTGGGTCTCGAGAGCAGCCTGGCCAACACGGTGAAACCCCATTTCTACTAAAAATACAAAAATTAGTCAGGTGTGGTAGTGCGTGCCTGTAATCCCAGCTACTCGAGAGACTGAGGCAGGAGAATCTCTTGAACCCGGGAGCTGGAGGTTGCAGTGAGCTGACATCACGCCACTTACACTCCAGCGTGGGTGACAGAGCAAGACTGTCTCAAAAAAAAGAAAGGAGATAAAGAATGTTCTGGGTCATCTACTCAAACTGGTAATGCTGGTAATACTAGAATGGACTCAACATGGGTCTAGTTTTCTAAAACCTGAAGATGTTTGAATTAGTAGGTAATATATTTTAAAAAACAGTATTATTATTATCTTTCAACATTCTAAATCTGTTGTTTCTTTCTTCTATTTTCCAACAATATAATACATCTACAATTTGGACAAAAACAAAAATGTTAGAAAGGGACTCAATTCTGAAAGCAAGAGAGAAGAGAGAATGCCTAAGTACTGTAAATTTTAAAATAACAAAATCACAGTTAAAAATCACAAATTCATGCCTTATATAGAAATGGCAATAAGCTATGTGCTAAAGACAAAACATTAGTTCTAGTACATTAGAAAAGGGATCCCCAGACTGTCCTGCCTTAAATTATGTGTCAAAGAACCAGACTATTTGTTTCTACTAGCAATAAATTAGATAGTCACACAAGGATTAATTACAGAATTGACCCTTGAAACACTGCCAGTAGCCCAATTTTGAACAATAACTCAAACTTGGTCTCCTACCAAGGAATTTTTAGGAAGGAGAATCCAAATGGTTTAATTTCTAGGAGAGATACACTGATGTGAGGCTTCCTTTCATAGATTTTTCCAGCTACTTACCTACCCTCTAATATATGTATAACCCTGTGTTTCTTTCAAGGGCCCAGCATCCTTTGGGAACATAAGACTGTGCAATTTATATACAAGTTTTCCAGGGGATATCACGTTTCCTCATAAAATAAAATTGTTATTACTCATGGCTTCAAGAATTTGATAAAGAGAAGGTGTTGATTATATAAGCTGATATAAACAAAGACTTCAGCCCTCAGCCTTTTTTTTTCATTCTGACTCCGCCTTCTTATTAATTTTTAGTAGTCACTTAATCTTTATTCTCTAAGCTCTAATCTCCCAAGAAAATATGTGCCTCACAAAAGAATGATATCGTTTAGGTGAGTACATTACCTGCTATTTTTCAGATGTGCAAAATTATATTTAATATACAAGGTGAAATAGCTTAACTCCAAATGCGTGTGAGGCTTTGTTCAGTTTTGAAGTCAGAAAAATGAATATTTGAAGATCATACTATTCCTGACAACTTAACCAATAATGTATTCAATTTCCCCAACATCTTTCATACTGAGTTCATATATTAAAAAAAAGTTGAAAAAAATTCAGTGGCAGGATTAGAACAAATAGAATAAAAGAATAGTTACAATTCTCACTTTTTCACTTTGTTTCTAATGCACTAATGGGCAATTTATAATAAAACTGAAACTGTGAGGTAAAGGTCTCTTTCACTAGCCAATTATACCCTCACTTGAAAATGGTCCTGAGAAGAAAAGTCAACTTTAAAAAAGTACAGTTAATAGATGAAGAGACATTTACCTCCCCAAATGCTCAGGATAATTGAGCATTAATAAAAAGAAGCCATTCTGGTATTACACTTCAGCTAATAGGGTTGAGATAAACTGTTCCTTCTAAATAAAAATCGAACGGTCATGGTTATCTATTCTCAAAGTGTCAGAATCTGAGTAAGGTACCCCAAATTAGAACCTTTCTAACACATTACCAGGAAATGAGGACGATTTTGTTTCCAGCCATCTTAGATTTCAATGGACAGGTAAAACCGGAAAGATCAAAGCATAATCAATTGCTTGTTCATATATCCCAAATGGAGAATTATAAATTGGCCTGCTCTCCTTCTTGCTGACATTCTTTCTGATTTCAGCATTAAGAAGCAATCACTGCAGAAAAAAGTAAGTAACTTAAATAGTCACCATAAAAGACTGATACAACCTTTCTGGGAAAGTAAAACTGAAGGCTGATTATTTACTAAACTCTATAATAATTTGCAAGCTGAGCAATTTACGTGAAAAAAGTTGTTACACTCCCCTTTGTACATAACTATAAGATTATTGTGTACCTATTTATCATAGGAAATGAGTTATAATAACAACTAATATATACTGAGCACTTAAGAGTCACAAAGCATGGCATTAATTTGAGTTATACGCTACCTCTCTTAATCCTCACAGCAGCACTCTGAGAGAGGTTAAATAGCACTCGCATAGACAGAAAATGAGAGGGTCAGGATTACAACCAATAAAGTATGAGTCCACACCAATAAGGAAGCCACATTTTTATTTAAATACGATTTTAAAAGATTTCAAACACACCTGATCTCTAATTTTCTTGTGTTACATTCATATGACACCTTAAACTTCACTGACCATTATTAATCCAGCTACTATCCTCAGAATGGTACTAGAAATCCTAGGGTAATAAATGATAATTGAAAAACAAAATTCAAAACTAACCCAGTAGACAGTGTTCAGATTAATCAGTAGTCTTTAACTACTAATCACTTTATTATAAATAGTCTCTAGATGACGTATAAAATCTCATCTAGAGGCATATAAAGATATATATATGTATATATAGTCATTCAACTGTAGAGATGGTATAACATGCAGTTATAAAGGACAAATACTAAGTTCCCTAATTTTTTATGATTCTTTTAAAAACTATTTCAAAATAGAATGTGAGGTCAACTAGAATAGAATCACAAATCAGAGTAGCTAAACATTATGAGGACAAACAAGGTACACAATGGTTACCGTTAAGAACCTCACCAAGAGAATGAAATTAAGAACAGTATCACTGGCATCATCCAGTTAAACAATTAAGGAACCAATGCTATGAGCTAGGAAGGAGACGATTAAAAACTAAGCTGAGGCAGTGACACAGGGAATATAAAAAGGAAATGTACATGAAAAACTGGCAAAAAATTGGCATTTTGGCTGATTGGCTATCAGGTAAGAATGAGAAGGAATAAAATACAGCTGGAGATTTTTTTTGCAGGAGAGGTACAGAAATGGTGTACATGCCAGTGAGCAGAACTGTGGAGGTCAGGTGAGCAAATATGTAAAATCTAAGTGTAGACCTTCAAAAACTTATGCAAGGTTTTGCTGTGTCTTTGAAGAAGCCGATCTGAGTCAAATTTTAAAATAACAATTGTATATGTAAGATGTAGATTGAAAATTACACGATATATATTTTCATTATTAATATTGCTTCCATGTTTTTATGCTAATTAAAAGGCATGATCCGGAAATCACTGAAAAAGATTACTCTTAAGAATTGATTTTACATTAACAAAAAAATGTGCCTTCACTGGACAGGTTCTTTCAACATCTTAGTGCAGTAAACATCTATGACTACCTCTCCTGAAGAAGAGAAAGGTTTACCCTACAGAAAATTCCACACCCATTTTGCACCCCATTCATATGCATGAGACTGGAGTCATCTGCAGCATGTTTCCACAGCATAAAATCTGTATTATATTACAGAAAGTGTCCAGTGTACTTATTTATTTTGTGCCAACAATGCCCACTATATTGAGCAGAACTATAGAAAATGAGAGGGCAACACCAGGTAGTTACTTGATAACTCTAGTTTTCAGCACCTGGTAAACCAGCATGTAGAAAGCATAGTTCCTCAACATTCAGAGGATGCTAATCACACAAAATATCTAACAGTAACTGGCAGGGAAATATAAAGGTGCTTTGTGTATAGGAGATCTTTACAAAATTAAAATGGCAGAGATGCATTAAATGAGAAAATCCATCAGAAAGAAAGGGGTAAAGACAGGGTAACCAAAAGCTGAGCCTGAATATCGGGTTCCTATATTTTCCTCCCAATCTGAAGAACTTAATAATTTTTTTAAAAAAGTTCATGTTATTAGTACTGTAGGCATTCTAATAAATCTCATAAACTGACCGTGTTGTGTCATTATTCTTTGAAGGCCTGACTTTTAATGTCATGATAATATTCCATAATATTCCAGCATAATGTACAAACCTTTATTTTACCTGACTCTGTTTTCAGATATTCTATAAATATCATGACATAAATTAGTAAATATTGACCCCCACATTCAGCACTGTTCTGAGAAATTTAGAGACAATAAGAGTATTGGTGAAAGACAAGACAAAGTCCAGAAATGGTAAAATGTGAAGTCGTCTTGGGAGAAAATAGGCCAGTAACCTAGGGATCTGGTATAGAAAGAGCACTTAATCAGTATGAGGAAACAAGTTAGGTGTATAGTCCTGGGTAAGGCAAGACAAAAATAATCCACCCTGATTGAACTTAGATACGTGTGCAAACCAGTGTGAAAACATGGAGTAACACTAAGGTAAATGCAGTAATTACAGGAGAAACATAACCCATTTGTCAGGGTTGTCAATTGCAGTAAAAAATATGTTAAGTGATTTTTCCGTATGTTTATTGTGGCACTATTCACAACAGCAAAGACTTGGAACCAACCCAAATGCCCATCAATGACAGACTGGATTAAGAAAATGTGGCACATATACACCATGGAATATTATGCAGCCATAAAAAATGATGAGTTCATGTCCTTTGTAGGGACATGGATGAAGCTGGAAACCATCATTCTCAGCAAACTATCTCAAGGACAGAAAACCAAACACTGCATGTTCTCACTCATAGGTAGGAATTGAACAATGAGAACACCTGGACACAGGAAGGGGAACATCACACACCAGGGCCTGTCATGGGGTGGGGGAAGGGGGGAGGGATAGCATTAGGAGATATACCTAATGTAAATGACGAGTTAATGGGTGCAGCACACCAACATGGCACATGTATACATATGTAACAAACCTGCACATTGTATACATGTACCCTAGAACTTAAAGTATAATAATAAAATTTAAAAAAAGAGTATGTTAAGTGATTTTCATGTCAGAACAAAGAGGTCTCTAAAGAACTTTTGATTTGTTAATTTTATGAATTAACAAGATAACTGCAAAAACGAATGATATAGGTGCCTGAGAAATTTTGAGAAGGAAACATCAGGCAGACTGAAGTAATAGAGAAAGGCTTCCTGACAATATTAAACCGGCTAGTTCTGAACTTTCTATTAAATTAAATAGTCAAAGTATTCTTGTAATCAAAAATGTTTGCAAATCGGGTCACTAGACAGACTAGCAAATTCAAGATACTTGTTGATTACTGTTGAATCCATTAACTACGGCCCTAACCTGGCAGGAATCTTTCAGCTCTAGGCCATGAGCTGAAGGAAGGGAAAAAGCTTCAGAGGAAAATGTAAAGAAAATAGGGGATAATTTAACATACTTTTGTGCAGAAATAAATAGATTGGTAGAAAGGAAGACTGAAATCAAAGGCTAGTGTGGAAGTCAGAAGGACGGATGAAAGGGATTAAAGAAGACAGGTTAGGAAAGAAGGTGGAGTACCCTTTCCCTGTTAGGAATGGGAGGAAGCTGGGGATGCCTTTGTGGTAAAATAAAATATTACTTACAAAGAGTAAGAGTTTAGAATACATAGCTGAGAAGGGTTAAAAAAAACAAAGTGAAGAGCCTTGTTTGGGAGGAATAACATGGGCAGTCAAATAAAGACCAGTAAAAGGATCGCTGAGCACAAGTGGAGGCATAACAGGGAATCCAGAGCATGAAGACGTCTGATGGAGGCGGGTGCTTATTTCATAAAGGCTGAAGAAATGGAGAAGGTACAAGAAAGAATGGGAGGATGTGGTCACAGATCGGGGTTTCTGAGTTGCTGGTTGTATGGGGCTGTTGCCATGAGGAATGACGAAATCTGAGGGACTGCATGCTTGTGAATATCTGAAGAAAAAGGAGTCGAAGGGCTACTGACACTCACGATGTTGAGATATTCATAAAGAGAGATATTGGGAGAGTCACCAAACATACAAAACGATATACAGATTAGATAATCAGACCTTGGAAAATACATATTTGCACCAGGATTTCAAAATATCTATAATTGGTCCAATACTTCTGAAATAAGTCTACCTAATCTAAGCAAGAAATGGAATGAAATCAGAGCGCATTTTTTTTTTTTTACCATACATGGTAAATGGCATGGTAAATAGTACAGCAAATATTTGACTGATGAAAACTGTAAGTCAGAGAATAGATGAAGAATCTATAACCCAAAGACTTTTCAGGCATATTGCAGTAAATTAAAATCTACAAATACTGGCTGAGGGATTATTTCAATCAGGCACTAAGCTTGGTGTCTGGAATATGTGGATAGGACATAGTCCCCATCTTGGAAGCTCAGTGTCTAGAAGAGAAATAAATCTGTAAACAACTAATTATAATATGGTGCCATTTTAGAAAGATCAGTAAAATATACAGGACAGAGCTACTCCCTAATAGTAGGCCCAATGAGAGAAGACTTCCCTTTGGACTTGAAGGGTTGAGCTGAGTTCTGAAGCATGAATAGAATTTATATTGAGACCAATATATTTATATTGAGACAGGCACTGTACGTTAATTATCTTGGTAGTCCTGGACACAAAAAGTCCTCAAAATCTCTGAGTAGTAAGTGAATAAATCTGACTGGTCTGCAAACCATGAGAGAGGAATATCAGGAGATGAGGCTGCATCAGAAGAGTAGTGAATAAATGAAGGGCTTTGGGTGCCACGAGGATGATAAGAAGGCAGAGAAGGGTTTTATTCAAGAGCCAAAGAGGAACATTATCAGATTTCATAAAGGTTACTCTGTTGGCAGAGTAGAGGATAGATTAGAGACAACAACCCACAGGAAAGAAGAGAAGTTCAGCAGCTATTGTGAGAGTTTAGAAAAGAGAACACGGTCTAAACCAAAGGAGTGAAACAGAAGATAAATTAGTGATTGACAGGATATGAGTCCCAGGTGTTCTGCACTTTAACTTCTATAGGATCTAAAATTTCATACTGGAGCAACACTGAATGCTGGAATATGAGAGAGTAAATTCTAGCTTGAGCAAACTTTTAATGGCTCAAAAACAGAAGATTCAGTCTTAACTGTGAGGTTATCCGCTAGGTTGTTCACCACACTCTTTGAGAAAACCTCCCAAATACTCTCCCACCACCCTCTGGTGAATCAAGGTCAGTAGGAAAACTAGTTCCAATATTTCTAATGTTGTCAATTACGGTAAATCCTGTCTACAATGCCACACAGGGAGTACCTATATGAACTTTCTGATTCTGAACAAGACCAAACATTAAGGGGCCCGCTTCCCACATGTAATCTGTTTTTTTTTTTTTTTTTTTTTTTCCTGAAAAAAATCATGAGTGAGTTAAATTTAAATATTTCAAACATGCAAACTCTCAAGAGGGTACCATGATTACAGGGATTAAATAACATAAAGGTTTCCTACAAACTCTACACCTGCTTTTGCCCCTTAAATATCAAATGTAGTTACATTCTGGTGCAAACTTAAAAGTAATTTTCAAATTCTGTCTGAACATGGTGTCTTAGTCTGCTTGGGCTGCCAGAACAAAATACCATAGACTGGGTGGCTTAAACAACAGAAATAAATTTTCTCACAGTTCTGAAGGCTGGGAGTCCAGGATTAAGGTTTTGCAGGGTTTGGTTTCTAGTGAGGGCTTTCTTCCTGGCTTGCAGATGGCCATCTTCTCTCCATAGGCTAACATGGCCTCTACTTTGTGTGTGGGAGAGTCAGAGATAGAGCAAGCCCTCTTGTGTCTCTTCATATAAGCCTACTAATCCCCATCAGACCAGGTCCCTTATGATCTTAAACCCTAATTACATCTTAAAAGCCCCATCCCGAAACACCATCAGACTGGAGATTGAAGCTCTAACCCCAATACCATCACACTGGAGATTGAAGCTCTAACCACCACCACTGGGGATTGAAGATCTAACCCCGATACCATCACACTGGAGGCTGAAGCTCTAACCCTGATACCATCACACTGGAGGCTGAAGCTCTAACCCTGATACCATCACACTGGAGATTGAAGATCTAACCCTAATACCATCACACTGGAGATTGAAGCTCTAACTGCAGTACCATCACACTGGAGATTGAAGCTCTAACCCCGATACCATCACACTGGAGATTGAAGCTCTAACCCCGATACCATCACACTGGAGATTGAAGCTCTAACCGCAGTACCATCACACTGGAGATTGAAGCTCTAACCCCGATACCATCACACTGGAGATTGAAGCTCTAACCCCGATACCATCACACTGGAGATTGAAGCTCTAACCGCAGTACCATCACACTGGAGATTGAAGCTCTAACCCCGATACCATCACACTGGAGGTTGAAGCTCTAACCTCAATACCATCATACTGGAGGTTGAAGCTCTAACCCCCGGTGTGATGGTATTTGGGGAGCAACATTCAGTCATAACACATGGCAAAGGACTGCTGAAAAAGAAAACATGTTTCATGCTTTGTGTCATGTAAAGACAAAAGAGACAACTCCCCAAAACTCATTCTCTTTCTCGCTTTTTTTCCTTTTTGAAGATCAAGGTATGTTAAGCATATCAACAACAGTGATATTCAGAGAGTGGTAATAATATATGATGCTAAACTGTTTTGGAATGAGATTCAAGCAGCAGCAGAATGTGGAGAAAGAAACTACATTACTTAATCCTTTCCTTTTCAACTACCAGTTTACTAATTATTTGGGTAAAATATAAATACTAGTTTTAAAGTTAGAAATACACTAGGAACTTACTCTACTGCCTTCTATAAAATGAATGCTTTAGGTTGGAGAAGGTGAAGAAAAAGTCCTTTTGAAAAGATATCTAAAGTAAAACACTTGGCATATAAATATATATAGCATATATATAGCATATATATAAGCATATATATATAGCATATATATAGCATATGTATAGCATATATATAAGCATATATATAGCATATATATCGCATATGTATAGCATATATATCGCATATGTATAGCATATATATAGCATATATATAGCATATGTATAGCATATGTATTGCATATATAGCATATGTATAGCATATATATAGCATATGTATAGCATATATAGCATATATATATAGCATATATAGCATATATAGCATATATATAGCATATATATAGCATATATAGCATATATATAGCATATATATAGCATATATAGCATATATAGAGCATATATAGCGCATATATATAGCATATACATAGCACATATATATAGCATATATATAGCACATATATAGCGCATATATATAGCATATATAGTGCATATATATAGTGCATATATATAGCGTATATAGTGCATATATAGCATATACATATCACACATATATAGCATATATATAGCATATATATAGCGCATATATATAGCGCATATATAGCGCATATATATAGCGCATATATATATATATATAATTAGTATTTCACAGGCTGGGTGCGGTGGCTCACCCCTGTAATCCCAGCACTTTGGGAGGCCGAGGTGGGCAGATCACGAGGTCAGGAGATCAAGACCATCCTGGCTAACACGGTGAAACCCCATCTCTACTAAAAATACAAAAAAAATTACATATATATGCTAAGTTTTTTCATATATATATACATGTATATGTGTATATATATATGAGACTGTCATATATATATATATGAGAGTCAAGCCTTTTGATTCACCTACTTTGGATACCAGTTAAAGTTAGTGCTTCATCTCTCATTGTTATTAATAAAACTGCAGAGCATTATAATATGAATAATATTTCAGGCTCAAAAGTCTCACAGTTCATTTTATGTGTGATAATTACATTGCCCACTACTACAAAAATAAATACACTCAAGAAAGCTACCATTTTCACATCATAACATAATTTAAGACTGAATTGTACAATAATAAAATTAGATGATTATTACTCAAAATATAAAATTAATGAGCCAATCAATGTAAAGCACTAAGGTACGTGTTACCAAAACTATTCAACTGTATACAAATACGTAATACAGACAAAGATGTAATTTTACATAATGTAATTCATTTAATCCTAAACTTGCAAGAAATAGTTTTAAAATTCTAGCTTACCATAAAAATAGTATTTCACAGGCTGGGTGCGGTGGCTCACCCCTGTAATCCCAGCACTTTGGGAGGCCGAGGCGGGCGGATCAGGAGGTCAGGAGATTGAGATCATCCTGGCTAACATGGTGAAACCCCATCGCTACTAAAAATACAAAAAAAAATTAGCCAGGCGTGGTGGCGGGCGCCTGTAGTCCCAGCTACTCAGGAGCCTGAGGCAGGAGAATGGCGTGAACCCGGGAGGCGGAGCTTGCAGTGAGCGGAGATTGCGCCACTGCACTGCAGCCTGGGCGACAGAGGGAGACTCCGTCTCAAAAAAAAAAAAAAAAAAATGTATTTCACAGCATTGTAAAATGCCATTTACATACTTTTAAAACAACTCCTCATTTTTGCCATTACTATTTTGTGAGTTCACATTTTACTCTTATGTAATTAATATAAAAGGTACCATAAATCCAGTTGGCAAATTTGCCAACCTGTTCACTATCATCATCCCAGTTGATACTTTACTCAATTAGGCCCTGCATTTTATCCTAATGTTTAGGACTTCAGTGAGTACTTACTAAATATAGCTGAAGTTTTTTTTTTGTTTTTTTTTTCCCTCTTAGTGGTGAGAAATAGATGCATTTTTAATGTTTTAATAATTTAAAAATATTAACATAAATTTGAAGGTCAGAATTTTACATATAGGGGGTTCTTCCTTTATATTCCATTTAAATAAAGTTATAAATTGCCTTAAAGGAAAATTGAATTTGTTTTGACACATTAGCAAAAATTTCCTTATCACATCACAAATCATGAATAAAATGCTGTTACAGAGCAACAGAGGGAGCTCACACATATTTGATTCTCTCCCTGTCTCTTCACTCTGGTTAGAAAAAATGAAGTTTGCTTTAAATTTTTTATTAGATGATTCCCCCACCCTGCCAAAATAAATCCAAATATATTTTTTAAATCAACAAGGAAGTTAACTACAAGTATATTCTTCCACTCTAAATCTTAGATGTTGTGTTGTTTTTCTTTTTATAAAATAATTTATCTAAGAAATGCTTCTGGAAAACGTTCATAGTTATGATTCATTCTGTTTACTATATTGTGTTAAATAAAATGTGTTCTCAAAATTATACATGTAAATGTTTGAGAATGAGAATCAAATCTTAAACACAAGCAGCCAAAATTTCAAAATCAACCCTTACCTACAGAGGACTATAAAGAAATCTCATTAACAACCACAGAAACTTAATAAAGCTAAGAAAATCACATATAACAAGCCATCAGAGAATCCAGACAACTTCTGCCACAAAACCCATAAGTCGATGCCTCTGCAAAATTTATTTAAATACCATGTTTACGTATTATAATAACTTGTCTTCTGATAATGTTTTGGGGGACCCAAATTAGTCTCCTATAAAAAAAAGACATGTCCTGAGACTCCAAAATAAATTTTTAACTTAGGAGAAAATACATATGTTAAGATACTAAAATATAATCCAGGAAATTCAACGGTTTAAAAATTGTATTTATTATTTTTCAAAAACAAAAAATCCAGGCTTTGCAGGAACCTCAATGTAATACGTAAGTGAGTTGGACTTCGAGCAACTTAAAAACTGGACAATTATCCTTGCTCTAATTTGCTCCCGGTTTAATCTTAGTCACATTGTACAGAGCTAACACTTATCCTCCAGTGTTCTACTAATTGCTTGGTGCTATGTTGACTACTGGGAATGAACCACAAGATACATCACTGTAAACTGCAGGGAGTGCTTCAGTGATCATGAGGTTAAAATCTCCCCATCAGCAGAAAGAGAATTCTTTACTTAACTTAGTGGTACAAATTATTTCCAGGTGCTGATAATTATCACTTGTGGTGTTTGATATTCCGGACTTTGCATCTAAATTTATACTTGACAAGTTAAACTTTTCATCGTGTGCATTTTCCCGTAATCTCTCAACAGCCAAAGACAAGGATAGACGGATTAGTGATGGGTGAAACCAATTCAACCCAAAATGGCAACACTTAATTACAAGTCTTGTTGTTTATAATTAACTGTGTAAATCACTAACTTGAAAGTTTCTTTTCAAAGTATTTAAAACCAACTCTTTTCCCAGGGGGATTTAATACTGTATATTATTGCATAGTTAAGTATTATTTTGTTTGCTCTATGAACAAGATGTGAAAATGGCACATTTTACCGACTATCTTGCTAGCAAATTTGGAAAATGTTCATGAATTGCATTACTAGCACCATTTGGTGCTTCTCAGTATTTTTGGACATTTTTTGCCTTATATATGAAAGCCAATGGAAAGACAATCCAACTACCCAAATGACTATGAGTAATTTCTGAGAGTGGAGAGTGAGGGTCAAATTCTCAATTTCAGAAAATAAAAAAAAAAAATGAGCTTCCAAATGTATCTTCTGAGATGCATTCATTTTTCTGTGACCAATATTTAGAATAAAAAATTACTGAGAACATACTCTGTGCTAGATACCATATGTTTTCTAATATTCTAATTTAGTATTTTCTATTGTAATATTAAAAAATACTGAGAGACAAGAAGACAACTCCTATTTCACTGACAATTAATCTGAGATTCAGAAAATGTAAATAACTTGTTAATGACTACTGAGCCAGTAAGAGGTTATAGATCTATAGTTTGAACTCAGTTCTTCTAAATCTAAAGTCGTACTTTTTAAAACAACCTCTCCAACATAATATCAAAAAAGTAAAGTATTCTCTTACCTTGCATATCTACATCAAAGAAAACCATAAGGAAAAGAAACTACAGATGTGCACGCAGTAAGTCCAAGATGCTTAAAAATGTCACATCATGTTAAACCTGAGTCAACCTAACAGTAAGGCTGTAAAAACAACTCTACTTCCTGATTTGTTACTGCATTCAGCTAATGTATTGAGGGCCTATAATGGCTCAGATCCTAGAAATATAAGGAATAAGAAGCAAAGAACCCTTCCCTAGGCTAGTGCAGGAGACCTATCAGTAAAGACATGACTGTAACACAGCATGATAGGTTCACTGGTATAGGTAGCAACAAGGGTTTCAAAGAAAGGTTAGCGGTTCCAGATAAATTTCATTTTAATTTCCAATGTTATTTTAAAAAATTTCTGGGCTCTAACTCAATCTATTTAGCTTCAGCTATCTAATTTTTGCACCATTTCTAAATATTTTATGTCTAGTCCCATCCTCTACCCAGTTCCTGATTTTATTATTTATTATTCAAAAAGAACGAAATGAAAATTATGTAGTTGAAAAGTAAAGCAATCGAATTTGAGTTGGTAGATGCAAGAATCAGCAAACCTGAAGATGGGTCAATTGAGATAAAGAAATTTGGCCAGGCATGGTGGCTCATGCCTGTAATTCCAACACTGGGAGGCTGAGAAGGGAAGACTGCTTGAGCCCATGGCTTTGAGACCAGCCTGGACAACATGGCAAAATCCCATCTCTACAAAAATTAAAATAAAAATAAATAATCCCCCAAAATTAGCCAGGCATGGTGGCACACACCTGTAGTCTCAGCTACTCGGGAGGCCGAGATAGTAGGATTGCTTGAGCCCGGGAGGCAGAGGTTGCAATGAGCTGAGATCCTGCCACTGCTCCAGCCTGGGACATAGAGGCTGGAATGCAGCCTCCGACTCAGGAATTATCCTGATTTTGCTGGATAATATCTGCCGTCTACATGATCCATCATCGAGAATCTGAAAGCCTGCTCCTAAGAATCATGTTTCTCTCATTCTTCAAAGTCTTTGCAGATTGTTTTTCTCTTGAATGAGAGTTGCATATGTTTGGCAACAGAACTTTCAAACTTCACACACCACCTCTTGACCGCAATGTCTCTTCTATCCCACATTCTTTTCTCATTCCTTAGAATTTAGAATTCATAATCTGATTTTATTTCTCTTGAGTTATAAATTCCATCATGGAAGAAAGCTTAACATGCTTTAGTACAAAATAGAAAAACAGCACAATGGACACATTTAACAGCGATATTTGAGAATTCACAAATGTTATAGTGAAATCAGAAAGCTAGTGGGAAAGTATAATTAATAAGAAAATGTAGTAAGACATTGGTAAATATTAAGGAATATATTAAAGATCAGCAATATTGTAACAGAAAAACTCAAAACAAGCGATGGATGACTGGTGGTTGGTTCTGTGTGCCTCCTATAAATAAACCACAATAAAACGAAATGAGTCCAGCAACAAAGAATTTAGTTAGAACTTTCCATTCTCAGAAAAATAAAAAGGATTCTTGAAGAGGTGAATAAAAAGATCTTGAGAATAGCATTTCTTGATCTTCCATTACTGCAGAATTCATCTTATCAGTTGACTGATCAGTAGTAGTCAGTTAACTGAAAAAGTCAGTTAAAGTGGGGAATCATAAAAAAAAATGTAATCACCATTTAAATTACTAATTATATTATTTAAATTAATTATTTTATTTAATCAGGAATTATATGTCAAAACACAAAAAATACATACTTTGGCTAAACTTTGAATTACATACCAGTTGTCTTTTTTACATAAACTTGTGCACATAATAGATCCTCTAAAATTTCTTCATTGCATGCCTGTATCAAAACAACTTACGCACCCCATAAATATATATCTAATATATACCCATGAAAATTAAAAAGAAAATAAAATTTTCAAATGCTTATGATCTTTTCCCCAATCTGCTACAATTATCTCACCCACACTTAATCTGACACCTCAAGTGATACATTTTTATTAAATCTTTCTTTCTGAAGCATTCATTTTTGTGTCACTGAAGAACTTCCTTTTCATTCTCAGATTTTATACACTTATATAATATTTAATTTATTTACATAAGTATATTAATAAGTTCACATACCATAACAGGTTTGGAACAATCCCCAACAACTCTTGGTGAACGTACAGGTCAACTAATAGTAGCAGAAGCGAATGTATGTTACATTAGAGAACAAAGCCTACTATCTGAAGGCACTCAGCATGCTGTGGACATCAGATGGTGCATTTTACCAAGAAGGTCCAGAGAGAACTGGTTACATAGGGATGGCTTAGGAGGGTTTCTTACTATACTTTTTTGATATCCATCTTTCTTTTTCACCACAGTGCAAAATTTTCAACTCTACCCTCCACTCAATACACATTAATGCTTTCACCACGAACGATAAAGAACAGGAAACTATAGCTATTCTTTATTCTAGTGTAACCAATTTTCACTGGTTATGCCAAGGCAATAGAACACTTTCACCTTTAAAAAGTAACCTCTCTTTGTAGACATACTTCCAAACTTATATCCATAATTTACTTGTGTTTTAAAATGAAAACTCAATAATTAAAAATTAGGTTCAGAGGTCAAGCATTCCACTTGAAATCAATTGTTTTTCAGCTCTGACAGTTACATAGCCTGCCTTATATCCAAAAACTAATCTTTATTAACAGCATTCAATCTCAGGTTCCTCATTTGTAAAACGAAAGGCCAAACTAAGAAGCTACTCATCCTTAATATAGTTTATGTTTCTGATATGGATGTATTTTAAAGGACCACATTCCACTTTAAGATATACTTGACACATTTCAGCCAAAATTCTTGACCGTAATACAATATTTAAGTGAAATGTCAGACATAAACTGTGCCAGAACCCTTATATCCACACACAGCAGGACCCAAAATGAGTATCACTATACTGGATTACACCAATAAGAGAAGTCAGAGGTCAGAGAAGCCACACAGAGCCCTGCAATAGTCAACAATGCAACTTAATGTCCTTTCCATGTCCAGAACAATTTGCCATAGAACTTCTGCAAAAGAGATTAATGGTGATAGTAGCAGCAAGTGGAAGAGAAATGCAAGATATGGAAGCCTAGCCAATATTCCATTTGTAATTTGTCACATCACAGCACAATAAGACTACTGCAATTTACTATTTGCAGTGTTGGCAATTTACAATTCAAATGAGCGCCTTGATTTTTCAAAGAATGGACTGTGTACACATCAGTCAGCATGACACAAAAATGCCCGGTCAGGTTCATTTTAAATGCACGTTTTATTTGGTACTGTTAACTAATCACTATCATTACTTTTACTGTTTACGGATGCGATATTTATTAGGCAAAATGTAATTTGGAATCCTTTCTTGCACCCAAACCTAATTCATTTCCTGACTTTCCGAAATATTTATATCCTGATTAGACACATTAGATCTTTAAAGCTATTATACTAAGATGATTTATTTATTTCTGGGGGCAGTGTTAAAAAAACTACTCTCTAAAAGGAAGACTGAAAGGAAAAACGCCAGAGTCCTTTCCAGAACTTAGAAAAAAAAAGAAATAAAGACGGGGAGATGGGGAGAAAAAGGGAGAAGGTCTAATTTAGGGCTGTGGAAAAGGATTTAGGCGCCGGCCACTCCCAAGTTTGCACCCTGCTTTTAGACTCTGACTTCCTCCTATGGCCCATGGCAAGACTCTTAACTTACTTGAATCAATTTCCACATCTGTAAAATGGGGATGATGATACTCACCTCACAGACATGTTGTGAGGATTAATTAGTGCCTGTGAAATGCTTTGAAGATGAAACGGGTTATATAAATGCTAACTATTATTATTATGAGAGAACTGCCCAATGCTATAATTACAGTTTTAAGTCCCACAATATGACCTACTCTGAAATAATCATAGTTCCATGAGGGAAAAGCACAAGCTTAAGCTTTCTCCTTTCAATTTATTGAACAAATACAGGGAGAAGACTCACATTTTCTCTTTTATACTTGCAAAAAGCAGAGAATCTATACTCTCCTTAACCTTGACATAAACGATTTCAGCAAGTCATTATGGCAGTTTTGAAGCAGGTTGGTGTCCTAAGGGATGTGGAGGCCCAAAGGACAGACGGGTAAAAAAAAAAGACTGAGAATATTTTCACCACCACTTGAAACACAAAGGGAAAATAAGTAAGTGGGCTCGCTGTTGTTATCCTCACTATCACTGTTATAGGGAAGCAGGCATGGTCTTATGGAAAAGACACAGCTTCCAGGACCTCAGTGTACCACATAGAGGTGACAAGGATTAAACTAAATTGTGGCTATGTCAGCTCTGTTGCTATTGCTATTGGGTTATGTATTACACATCCACCTCTAATATGGAGTTTTATCTATTGTCTCTTTCAAGATTAGCAATGACATAAAAATTGCCAATTAGCTTTCAAAAGATCCAATAATTTTTTTTAAATTTTTTTTGCCATCTGTGATTTTTCTTCTGAAAGAACCAAGTGTTTATTTTTTGTTATTAGGCCTTTGGTTCTAAGATATGCAAGTGAGCATTTAAAAAATATATATCTATATACCAAGATAAAAAGTTTTAAAAATTGAGGCTAACTCTTTAGCAAATTGAAAAATGATGTCCTCATTTTTTCTTCTTCATACAAGATTAACTTTAGCGATTTGTTTAAGCCAAGAATCTTTCTTCTTTTTATGTACCAGGAGAAGGTGAAAAAAATGAACCAAAGCCAACACAATACTGTAAGTCAAGTAAGAATCTAACTTAAATTAGCCTGGATTTTAAAATGACCCCTTCACCAGTTTATAGATCAATTACCTATCTTATACAATTCTTTGATTTGTCCTGACAAAAATAATTTAAGAAGTGATTTCTCTGAAATTTGCTCTACAACACGTTCGATGCTCATGTCTGTTTAACATAATATTGACAGTTCCCTTAATAATAAAACATAAAAATGCAAATATCCTAAACATTAAGACATGGAATTTAAAAACTGTTACTTGTAATTCATCAAGACAAAAGTGAACAAGAAAATGTATTTAGACATAAAATAAAATCCTCCTATCAAGAAATGTAAAGAACATTTCAGGCTAAAAAGAGAATAATTTCAAACCTGTGAAGTGGCATTTTTGTGAACACAACAATGGAAAGGAAGCAGAAGAAACAAGCGGCTAAGAGGAAGGATCTAGTATGAAATCTCAAATTGCAGCCCATCACTAAGTAGCCTAATTTAACTCCCAGCCAGCCACTTGCCTTCTTCAGGCCTCATTTGCCTTATCAGGGAAATGGGAGTTATAGTATCTATCTCATAGCATTACTATGAGGATTTAGTAAGTTAATGTATAAAAATATTTTACTTCCTGACCCTGAGGAATGTCATGAATGTGACCTATAAAATGCTGGATTGGAGGCAGGTGGAAGGGCCAGGAAGCCACTGAAATCTAAGTCCTGTACCTCCCTGGCATCTGCTGAGGATGTTGCTAGAGCTATACCTAACACCACAGTGTGCTAAGCAATTCTTCCAACTACACCTAAAAATACTAATTAAAAAGCTGTATTTTATTGATTCACTCACTAAAATTATTAGACATCCAGCAGCCTAAGAAAACCCATTTCATGTACAATATTTATAATAACTTAATGTTATTTCTATCAACAAGGATTCAAACACAACCATTTTTGCCTGATATGGAGGCACTTACGTCCACCAATGCTGTAACATTTGCATTCGTTAACACCCTTTCATTAATTTATTAAATCATTCTCCAGTGTAACTTCTGTAGAATTCCCAGTTTTTGCTTTTGTGAAATTCTGTAGTTGATGAACCTCAGATTTTACAAGTAATTGAACTTAACTACAGGAGAAGGAGGAGAAGAAGGTGGAGGGAAAGGACAAGAAAAAAAGCAAGATATAACTTTTTTTGGTTCCCCTCTTTTAATATTTTTTCTAAAATTCATACTAATAAATACAATCATTTAAAAATGCAGGTATCTAAAATTACATATAAACTGGTCCTTCGAGTAAGTCAGAGAATGCTATTTGCTCATTGTTAACTGTATTTTTAGTATCTTCCAAACAAAATTCTCTTTATCAAAATTATCATTTGCAGCTTTTCTAGGTAGTTTCCAAAGTGGATGCACGCTTATGGTTGGAAAGGATCCTTCTTGACAAAGCTTTCACACTCAGAAACTACTATCAAATGCAGTCAAGCACAGGAAGAAAGAATACACTGATGACCGAGTATGCTGAAATAAAGAAACATAAGGTGCTGCTGTCTGAATTCACACTGGAGTTTCTTCCACTGGTGTCAGTGTGGTAACCTATCTAATTAAACTGCACGAATTATACTTTTCCTTCCTCTATTCAGTAGCATTTTTCACTGGATGGTGGAAGACGTCAAGTTTAATAGTTAACTCTGTGTTTTCTTAAATATTCTCTCTAATTCCTATCTAGATAATTCATATCCCTTCTTCACTATGCCTAAGAGCCTTGGACATTATTGGTTGCTACAACTTAACTTAAAGAGCAGAAAGTCATTAAAATAGCACAAGGCATTCAATGGTGTCAATTATTCTACCCTTGAAACCATCTGAAATTAAGGCCAAACTAAAAACAAATAAATAGACCTATACTATTTACTGTACTTACTTTAAAAAAATATTAAAATTAGGCAGACCATTTCTTCATTCATATTTTAGATAAAGATCCAATTCAGATTTATGAAAAATTCCAATACAACTAATGATCTCATCAGTCAAATTCATACTATCTTTTAGTTATACTTGATGAATCAATTTTTCAACATTATTTTTAGGACAAATGGCTTCATTGTTTTATTTCAAGAACAGATTCAAAGAAGTGAAAAGGAATAGAAAGTTATCTGAGTGAAATGCACACTTTGCAACTTATTTCACCAATTTTAATTCTTTTATCTAAGATATCACAGAGTACAATAAAACTTGCAGATAACCTAAAACAGTTTATGATCTCAAAAAAGTATATAACAATGGAATTACAGTGTCTTTAATTATTATCATCCCTCACCTAAAGAAAAAGAATATCTTTTCAAATTGTCCACATTGTGAACTTAAGCTAGCATTATTTATATGTAAGAACATATTTAGAAAATGTCAATGGTGGGCAGCAAGCAACTTTCAAAATAAATAACATGCAACAAATTGAAATGAATATATATATTTATATAATATGTAAAAATTAAATTCTTGCATTTAATTAAATACACACATATGTATACACTATATACATATATATTTAAAAAGCATTTGCAATAGTTTTAACAAGATTCCCAATGCTAGCTAAAAAATGCTAAATAAACAAAAAATATAAAAACATCGTACTAATAGGTGACTTTCTCTAACAATCAAATCTATATTCTAATACACTTAAGTGATACCTGGGATACTATTTGTTTTTAATTTCAAAGATATAACAGTGATAGCATAATAATATTTGCTTTTGTAAGTAACTCTGAATTTGGCATGTTCTTATCCTTAGTGTTTCAAGAAATAATATACATCCAATGGATAAAGTAGGAAAAAATATAAATGTAACTCTCTGGCATGTAAAATGTGACACACACACACACACACACACACACACACAGAGCCACGGAGGTTTTAGTGTTTAACTAATGTAACATTTCCATAAATTATTTCCATAAATTACTTTTTAAAAATCTTTTCAAAATATCTACTATTATAAGTACCTAATATAAGCAGACATCTGTAAACTTGGGCAAAACAGTTTACATAACTCTTCATTACTGTGAGCTGAATAAGCAACTTTAGTTAAAATTTGCTTACTTTTTAACACAGAGCAGAGGTTCCTTCGAGATCCAGGTTGGTAAAACAGAAGCACAGATGTCACAAGTACGGACAAGAGGCAATTATTAAATAATTCAAAGAAAAACGTCCCAATCCTACGTTAACTGTTCCCACAAAGTCCAGTTCAAATGTTTAAATAATAAAACTGCCAGTGTAGTTGTCAACTACATTTGAAGTTCATCACAGACTTTGTAATTTCCTAGAAATTAAGTTTTTAATCTAGCATCCAAATTACGGGATGTTTACTTAATTTTACTTTTTAATTATATTAAGAAATATATCAAATGGTATAATTCATGCCTGATAAAATCATAAAAATGCCATATCAAATAGCAAATGATTAAAAGATGCTTTTATTACCCATACTTTGTTAAACTGACTTTCTAAGCATCACTTGCTTTTTTAAATCAGGAAAGGGAACAAAGAATGACTCAATTCTCTCTCTCTGTCTCTACCTCTCGCCCTCCCCTTCCCTTTCTCCCTCTCTCTCTTCCCTTCTATAGCCCTCTCTCCCTCTGCCTCTCCGTCTTTTTAACTCTGTGCTAAGCTGAAATAATCTGATGAGTCTTTAGCTTTAGCTGGGCCAGTGAAGCATGGGGTTTAAGCTTGTGGCTGTATGGTAGTGACCTGAGTGTGAATACCTGCCCCTAGAGCTAGGATTTTAAGCAAGTTATTTGATTCTCTGGTCATTAAACGCATCACACACAGGTTAGTGTTTCAAATAGAAGGCAGTCACCGTAATTAGCTTCAGGGCAATCAGAACTTCTTTCTTAGGCTTCTCTGTTTTCTCCCAACCTGCCTCCCTCTAGAGAGACTCTTCACCATCTTGCCACGGTCCCTAGTCCCTTGAGCTACCCTCATCCCGGGAAAGGCTTCATTCCTTTCACTCCCGAAGAGTAGCTGCCTTTATCTTAGCCATCTCTCCACCATTCCTTCTACGCTGCACTTATTTCGGTTTTCCTTTTGTGTCCTGTTGTCTACTTTGAACAGTGAATTAATTACCTGAGAACTAAACTGTGCTGGGTTGTAAACACTAGAAATAAATTAACTTGTGGCTACTCTAAGGATCACTTCTATTTTAAGAGAAAACTTCTACGCATAATAATCCTAAACCTGGCCAGGCATAGTGGCTCACATCAGTAATCCCAGCACTTTGAGAGCTGAAGCAGGAGAACTGCTTGGGGTCAGGAGTTCAAGACCAGCCTGAGCAACGTAGTGAAACACCATCTCTACATAAAAAAAAAAAAAAATAAGTCTGGTGTGGTTGGCGCATGCCTCTAAGCCCAGCTACTCAGGAGGCTAAGGCAGGAGGATCACTGAAACTCAGGAGGTTGAGGCTGCAGTGAGCCATGATTGCACCAGTGTATTCCAGCCTGGGTGACACAGCAAGATTCAAAAAATACATATATATAAATAATCCTAAACCTAAAGAAATCAAGTTTTAATTGTGGGCATTTTAGAAACCAAATCAACAACATTCATTTTTTTGTTTTTGTTTTTTGGGTTTTGTTTGTTTGTTTTTGAGACAGAGTCTCACTCTGTCGCCCAGGCTGGAGTGTAGTGGTGCAATCCCAGCTCACCGCAACCTCTGCCTCCCAGGTTCAAGCGATTCTCCTGCCTCAGCCTCCTGAGTAGCTGGGATTACAGGTGCCCCGCCCGCCACCACGCCCTGCTGATCGCGAACTCCTGATTCTGCCCACCTCAGCCTCCCAAAGTGCTGGAATTACAGGCATGAGCCACTGTGCCTGGCCAACAACATTCATTTGGAGGAAACCTGAGGATTTGGGAACACTGCAAGCCAAGATATAAAGAGAGAAAGAAGCCAGCCAGAACCACATTAAAACCTTTAACATTAAATTCTTATATTTCTAATAGGCATATTACTCTCCTTTGAGTCTATAATTAAAGTTTCAGGTAAATAAGACTACATTCAAATTCATAAAAGAATTAGTAAAGGATGAAAAATATTCTCAGTATAATCTGTGCTGTGTCTTATTCAGAATGCCTGTCTTAATCACATAGGCTTCTGATTGCTAACAATTAAAATCCTGATCTCCTTTTTCTCTCCCTAATAGATGAAAGCCTTTGTGAAGAAGATGTAAAATTCACCCTGTCATATTACTGACAAGTGGCACTGAGCTGGTAAAGTAGTGTATTAATACTGATTACACTGATTAATAGTACCGTAAAAATTGGTTCAATGGTGCTTTAACGTTTTTTAAAGAAACAGATGAGAGACATTCTGGGCAGAATATATAATAGCTTTACATCATTCTATCACAAAGAAAAATCTTTGAAATGTATGAATTAATGTGAAAGCCGAACTGTTCCTACTGTATATCAATAAATTCATTAAAAAATTGAAATGTCTAAACATCTCTCCCTAACCCCCTGCTATCAGGAACCTTTAAGAAAAGAATGCTCAAGGCTTATGACAGATCCTGCTAAATTCAATCACTGTCAATCTCTTTCATGCAAATGAATATGTATTCAGCATTATATAATTGTAACAAGAGTCAATATCAATTATGTTTCCAATATGACAGGTCCTAGGAAAACATCATATTGTATAAGATGATAACATCAATACCATAAATTCTTCTAAGCAAAAGTTATAAGTTTTAATACATCAATTGGTAAGAATGTTCTCATATATAGTCCATTGTACTCCAATATCAAAGATGGACGATTAGTAGAAAAGGGATTCCCCTGTCCCCTTTTGACAGCTGAAAAGGCTATCTATATTCCTTGAGTTGTGTAGTTCGCCCAAATGTTTGCAGCTACTCAGACAGACTTAGGAACCTTGGTCAAGTAGCTTCTCTACTATAATACTCTATTAAAAAAAAAAAAAAAAACGCTAAACAAAACAGCCCTTTGGAGTTAAGATTTAAGACACAGGAAGTGTTAAATTAGAGTAAATTAGAGTTTTACTGGATAAACTCAAGAATCTATTTGTTTTGGGGAGTGCTTTTCATACCACTACTATGCAGCAATTGTAGGATGGGCAATGCTGTCCTAGTAACCCTGGATAGGTAACAAATGTTGCAAGAGTCTCTCCTTGCTCTATTAAAGAAAACAAACAAAACAAAAATGATTTCTAGGCTGGGCCTGGTGGCTCATGCCTGTAATCCCAGCACTTTGGGAGACCCACGTGGGTGGATCACCTGAGGTCAGGAGTTTGAGACCAGCCTGACCAACATGGCGAAACCCCATCTCTACTAAAAATACAAAAAATTAGCCAGGCGTGGTGGTGGGCACCTGTAATCCCAGCTACTTGGGAGGCTGCGACAGTAGAATTGCTTAACCGGGGGTGGAGGTTGCAGTGAGCCAAGATCTCACTATTGTACTCCAGCCTGGGCAACTGAGCAAGACTCTGTCTCAAAAAAGAATGATTTCTAATGGCAACCAATGATTTGTGGGGCTTTTAAAGGAAAGTAATTAAAAATAGTTCTGTAACAATAACAAAAGAGGGGCAGCTGTGGGCTATGATGCCAAAGCATTCCAGCTCTTAAGTCAGATACTGGTGGACTCTCATGCTGGCTCAGCCACTACTTAGCTGTGGGGCTTTGGGTAAGTCACTCAACCTCTCTGAAGTTCAGGAGCCTTATCTGTACAATGAAGATAATCATATTTAGTGGCTAAATCTTAAGGATACTGTGAAGACTAAATGACAATTAATGCAAATTCATATAAAGTACAACTCTTTTAACTACCATTTGTCATTACTATAAATTGGAGTTGATCAATCTAGAAACAGCTACTTTGCAAAGTAGTGACCTCTCTGGTACTGGAAATCTTCTACCAAGCCAGGAGAGGACCTATCTGTTAAAGAACATCCTGTAAGAAATTCTTGACATTGAGTTGGAGGTTGTTCTATTTGACTTCTAAAGCCCTTGGTATTCTTGGAAATCTATAACTACCCTGCAAGTCTCTTCTGCACCTTGACTATGTTAAGTTTAACCAACTTTTATTGAGCTCCAACCACTGTTCATGTAAACATTAGCGAGAATCAGTCCCTTCCATTGAGGGACTTCCTTCAGTTGGAGGAAACCGAAACACGGACAATTTCATGCTAACATGGAATATCAGTAATACAAGTTCTACAAAGTTTAGTTTCAGGAAGGGCCTCTTCAAAGAGATAATCTCACAGTGACTCCTGAAGATACAAACACGGAGGACTTCTGTGTAAAGACTCCAGCCTTCACTCTGAATAAAAGGCACATGCATCCCTCCAGCCAAAGTGCACAGGATAAATTTAACAGGCACAACACTGGAAGTAAAAAGGCCACTTCACCACTATAAAGCACTTTTTTCAAAACCAGATTACAGAAAAAAGATCCAATAAATTATTTTTCTTAATATTCCAAAATATTAGGATATTTGTATATCCCATGATTTTATGATAGATTTGTAAAAAGTGAGCCTACCTAAGGCAAATTTCAAAAGAAGAAAAATGCTTCTCAGAGCTTTAGGATTGAGTTTCTGTATCATTCCAGTGCTAAAAAGTTTGAATTGTTTCCAAAAGTCAACAGCTTTGCTCAAGTTGTGATAAATATAAATTCTATACTTATGATGTAGTGTTTTCCTCTGGCCTTCTCGGGAGCCAATGCTTGTATACTGTATGTGGTTTAGTACGTGTTAAATACACATTTAAAAATTCCATTTTTGTGAAGTAAATGTGACAAATGTATGCCACTAAAGTCTTTATCATCAAAGCTGGATAACTCACATGTTTTACGTGCAGAGTATTGAGAGTTCAAAGAAGCAAAGCAGATTTTGATTATTATGATGCTTCCAGGAAAATGAATGAAATGATTCATAGTATAAAGTTTTTCAAAGTGCTTTTGAATAGACTTATATCTAGTTTCTAAAACATCTTATATAGCATTAAAAGCATAATTGAGCAAAATATGATTACATGGAATAAAATTGGAATAAAATTATGTTCAAAGGCGGAAGTAAAATGCATTTTATAATCTAAATTGGGGAGAATACATTTGCAACACTTAATTTAGTGTATCCCCTTTATCGCTGGCTTGCTAACATAGCAGAAAAGCAGGCCAGTCCGTCTGCTCTCACCTCCATGCAATGCCTGCCTTTTGCAGGTGTGCCTCAAGGACTTCTTCTCATTCTTCGAATCATCTTGCAGACACTAATGAGCATCGCTCTTCAGCTTTAATTATTGGTCCCTGACAAGTCAACATAATAGGAATCAGCTTAACCAAGCATACTCCCCAGCGACATGTTCAATTACTCAGGTTGTACTGCTCCAAGAGAGGTCTGAGGGGTTGCTAATTTAACACTGTCAAAAAAATAAACATAGGTATCACTTACAGTTTATCTTTTGACCTTTATGTCACCAAATCTAACAGTATATGCTTTTTTTTCCTCCTGCCAGAAAAGATCTGCAGATTAAGTGTGCTACAAGACCTTTTCAAAAAAAAATTAAAGTATCTGTCTGAGGTCTACATGATGAATGAAGTTACATAATGTACTTTACAATCTAAAAATGCTGGAATTTGTTAAGGGAGTCATTTCACCTCTTTAAAAAAAATGAAAAGATATTCTGATCTGTTGTTTACTCCTACCACTTTATCCCTTCACATCATGAAAAAGCAATAATCCTGTTACTTTAATGCAAAGATTAGTAATCATGAGTGGAAAATCAAATGCATATTAAACTAAGAATTTTATGCATAACTTTTCAACAGAAATATATTATACAGCAAATGACCATCATTTATGCAATATATCCCTTTGTTACAGTACAGAAATAAATAAATTAGTATTTTTAATTAAAAACTGTAGCATAGTAACTTCCTTGGTAACTTAACTAAACACAACCAGCAAACTGCAAACTGTACCATATTTGAGCTATATCAATAACACTCTTCTTATAATTTTTGTAACCATTTGGTTGTTATAATAAGTGTTCCCATTAGCTCTTATAAAAACTGAATCTCCAATTTATACAACTCATTGAAGGTACTTTATTTGTCAGCAATTCCCCCCACCCCCTAAAGCCCTCTTACCTTCAAACTTTAATCCTGGCAATATCCACAGTGAAAGGTTCATCCAAGAAATAACTAATTAAATTTGACCTAGTACAATGGTCACAGACTACACACTTCTAGAATGCTGAAATGTAAAAATGCATCACTACCTAATAGGGAGATAAGGTGTCCAAGAGAATAAGACGAATATTCACAAAAGTATTACATCTGCTACTAAAGAAACTCAAAGCGTGTGTCCTAATGATAGTGGGCCAATTTTAAGTTTACATAAAACCTTGATTTTTAAACAGTACCAAAATTACATATTTTTATACATAACATTATATAAATCATAATATATTAAAATTTTTTATTATGTTGAGTAAGTAGTATTTTTTGTTGCTTTTTACCAAGATTATTGAGATGTAACCTTTACTTGGGCAGGAATCTTGCATATTTCAACTTTGTAATTGCAATGCCCAGATCAGAATCTTGATCATTTAGAGTGTCTGTAAAAATAAATAATGACTGAATCAACAAATGAATTATCCACATTCTGAATGTTTAACTCACTCTATGTATAGGTATATGTAAATCCTTCAAAAAGTAGTTTCTTAACTAACACACTAATATACTAACATGAAGTTTAGGCTGACCACGCTGTTAAAAACCTTTCTAGCTAGTTAAAAACCATTATTGCTGCTTATCGTTTATGATAATATATGTTATTGTACAATATTCTATTTTCCTCTTTGATATGAAGGTAGCTTTGATAAGTAAGTAGTCATAAGTAAATAGACAATGAATTATTTAGGAGAATGTAAATGTCACCACAACATATATAAGCAGCTTAATTTTCAATAACATTTAGTTTTCTAGGCTAAGATACTCTGATGATAGATATTAGAAACTTTCATTGCTCTTCTTCTTTTTCACAGTAGCATAGAGGTAAATAAATTTATATTAGACTGTTGAATCCTTTAGAAAGTGATAGCTAAAATTTGGAAAATCATCTAAATTTGTGATCTGATTATAAATAGAGAATATGTGGAGTTCATGATATTCCTCATACAATTAACACTTCAATGAATTTATTATCAGGCTCTGATAGCTGAGTATTTGCTAAACTTGAATTCCAAATTTATAGTCTTTATTAAACACTTACTTTTTTCCAAAAATTCTTAAAATGTATTTGTATACTACAAGTTATAAAAACATTTTTAATTTTAAAGAAACTAAGAGTGTGGAATGTTTAAAAGTATGAAATATTAATAAACATTTCTACAAAAGTGTTTATTGCTTTCCCATTCACTAAACTAGTTCCTCAAAAGCATTCTTAATATTAATAGAAAAGCAAACAAGAGAAGAAAATCTGTGAAACTGGCTCAGCATTTCTAGTCATTAATGAATAATAGGGGAGGATTTTTTTCTCCCTTTCTTTCAAGTCCTCAGAGATAACCTAAGAGTAGAGTCCCACTTGTCTTAAAAGGGAGCTTTTCAAAATGACAGGACAGTCAGACATCCAGGCCCTACCTAGGGCCCCACCTCATACCAAAGACACTTAAAAAGTAGAAGGGCATTTCCGTTATCACCAAATGAAATGACCCACCCCTTTCCTAGAACCAATCTTTATTCCAAAAACATCACGATAAAACAATGCACAAAATAAAATGATTGATTCAGGGTGACAAAACTGAACAATGCTTCATTCTCAAACTTTAAAACTGAGATGCCTCCATCAGTTATTATGCGCAAAACAGCCCACACATTATGACCAATGAGGATTGCACCGCAGTTTTCGATTCAAGATTTACATCAGTTCAACAGCATATCCCTCAAAGTCTGGTTAAATGTGAGATTTATCAATGTAATAATAGAAGCAGAAATAAATTACAGTGTAGAGGCCAAAACGAAGAGATAAGGCTTCCAAACAGATTAGAAAAGGGGGCAAGTCAATGGAGTCCTGAGATAAGGGCAGCTGCTCTAGATGGCACAGGTTCAGAGGAGAAGGCCCTTTGAAAGGCGTGCCAGTGTGAAGAGGGAGATGAGAGGCCCGGGGGTAGGTGAGGAGAAGGACAAAGGGAAGAACAGGGTGACTGAGACCAGTTTGACAATGAGCATGAATGGAACAGGGCAAGAGGGCGAAAATAAGTGGTTCTACCTCAAACACTGAGGGACTCTCTTTCTACTTCCTAGTTACTGATACCTTCCTATCTCTTCCCAAAGTATCTGTGGGAGCTACATTCCCCAAACACCCAAACCCTAGAAGCTACTAACTGTCAAAGGCAAACACAGTTTAACAGACACTTAACAATCACAGTTTTCACAGTCTTCTGAATGGATAGTTCCTAAATGATAATCCAATTAAAAAATATACTTGGTTTTTTTTCTGTACTGCTAACTTCGCTCTTAGAACATTCAGTAAGATATCAGGTAGAATTTCTTTCATATCAGGTAGAATTTCAATCGGACTCTTAAGATTACATGTCCTAAATGTAGGAGTATGTAAGGTAAATGAAACTGATTATTTCAACATCTGTTTCTCACTTCCAACATCAAGAATTCCTTTGTAATTATTAAAAACAAGAAAGAAAACCTAACAGTTTTTCCGAACACTTCCAATATGTTATGAAACATTAATGACCTTTTCTATGGATTTTAGAAAACAGATTTCTTTGGCAAGTACTTCTTTTTTTTTTTCTTCCAGCTGACCCATTCCCTTCAGACAAGACTATGTGAAGCAGAGGGGGTTGATGAAGGGAGGATAATGACATCAGTATGTGGTCAGGTGGGCAGAGCTCAGGCCAGTATATTTCCACTATGCAAGCCAGTCGCCAGCACTCAAATAGCACTTTCTGCTAAGACACTGCTAAACCTATTGCAGAATTTTAAAGACTAGCAGGGCACAGTGGCTCACGCCTGTAATCTCAGCTCTTCGGGGCTAAGTGGGCAGATTGCTTGAGTCTAGGAGTTCGAGACCAGCCTGAGCAACATGGTAAAATCTCGTCTCTACAAAAAATACAAACAAACAAACAAACAAACAAAAAAAAAAGCCAGGCATGGTGGCTTGCTATGTAGTCCCAGCTACTCAGGAGGCTGAGGTGGGAGGATCACCTGAGCCTGGGAGGAGGGAGGCTGCAGTGAACCATGATTGCACCACTGTATTCCAGCCTGGACGACAGAGACTTTGTCTGAAAAAAAATAAAATAAAATAAAGTAAAAAGAACTTTCAAGACTAAGACACTAAGTGTGATTTCAATATATCCCAACTACTCTACATGTGGATCTCAAACAGGGATGGTAAAAGATTACCATTCAAAAGGCTGATCACATTGGCAACCTCTAGGTGTCAAGGTTCCTGTTGGCAATTATTGCTTCCCCCTGAAAGTTTTGAAATTGTCTTTTAAAAACTACAGAATGACAAAACTATTTTTTTTAACAGAGAAACTGATGGCAAAGATAATATGCCTGAATGGCTGCTTTGAAATACTGTGATATTCTAAATTCTGAACTTTTTTTTACTGACTGATAAGCAGCATATTTAAATTGCCTATTAACACACCTGCAATGCCTGCATATCCTCCATCCAAAGACTGACCCTAGCTTTAAATCTCTCGGAGTCAACTGTACAGGTCTTGAAAATCAACGTCCTTTTATTCAAAACCATGGTCCTTTATTTATTCTGTGCTCTTTTGATATTCATATGGTATACTGCTACCATATCTGTCTAAAAGGATGGCAAATGCCATTCCTGTGCCAATTCATGTGCCTGTGTTCTGCTTTACAAAACAGACTGCATGTTTCTTAGGCCAAGTAGTGTATCCTACTGCTATATATTCCTAGTATTTTTGAGTCCTTTACACACAAATATCTATTCAGCAAATCTGGCAACTTAATGAAGTTGGGAACACTTCTGTCTAAGATCTCCAGAAATTCATCATGTCTAGTGGCATTTCCTATTTTTTATGATGCTAAGTATGCATGTATGCCACATTTCCAAGCTTCCTATTACCTCATCCCTAGCATTTTTAGCCCTAGCAATTTAAACGTCAGCCCATGCAAAGAACAGATTCAGTGCTGGAGTTTACTGGTTGTATTAGTATGCTTTCATGCTGCTGATAAAGACATATCCAAGACTGAGCAATTTACAAAAGAAAGAGGTTTAATGGACTTACAATTCCACATGGCTGAAGAGGCCTCACAATCAAGGTGGAAGGCAAGGAGAAGCAAGTCACATCTTACATGGATGGCATTAGGCAAAGAGAGAGAGCTTGTGCAGGGAAACCCCTCTTTTTAAAACCACCTGATCTCGTGAGACTTACTCACTATCATGAGAACACCATGGGAAAGACCTGCCCCCATGATTCAATTAACTCCCACCAGGTCCCTCCCACAATACATGGGAATTCAAGACTAGATTTGGGTGGGGACACAGCCAAACTATATCACTGGTTATTTAAGACCCTGTTTCTCATCCTCATATGTCTCAAACTCAAAAGATGGTAAGTCATGACTACAATGAAACTTTCTCCTTTTCCCCCCAAAATCTAAAAGCCTCTTAATACGGTTTGGCTATGTCCCACTCTAATCTCATCTTGAATTGCAGGTCCCATAATCCCCACATGTCATGGAAGTGACCCAGTGGGAAGTAATTGAATCATGGGAGCAGTTACCCCTTGTTGTCCTTGTGATAGTGACTGAGTTCTTGAGAGAGCTGATGGTTTTATAAGGGGCTTCCCCCTTCATTCAGCTTTCATTCTTCTCTCTCCTGCTGCCTTGTGAAGGACATGTCTGCTTCCCTTTCCGCCATGATTATAAGTTGCCTAAGGCCTTCCCAGCCATAAAGAACTGTGAGTCAATGACACCTCTTTCCTTTGCAAATTACCCAGTCTTGGATATTTCTTCATTGCAAAGTGAGAATGAACTAATACATTTTCACTGGATCCAAGAAGAGGTGCAAACATGACCCTTGCATGTCAAATGCTGTTACAATTTCCCATCCCAATAGCACCACATGTTTCAAGCACCATGGCTATTATCTGTCTTCCATCTCAGAGTTAGGGAAGAGTAATATATTCTAGCGAATTTTTTGCTTGTCACTGACAGTAAGAGACACAAAAACACTACTACTTGTAACGTTCATAATTATGGTACAATTATGAGGTGATGTGTTCTTAAAACTAAGAAACTCTAAGCTTAGAATCCAAGTAACCAGATTTCTAATTACGAGGACAGTTCTAAGCTCAATTCACAAAACAGACAGGAAAAAAAAAAAAAAGGCTTTGCATTTCTTGCTAACACAGATAAAACATTGTATATTATTCTTCAAATTTGTGAGATATTCTGTAAACTCTAGTCTAAGACCAGGGATAAAGGACACATGATGATAAACCATCTTACTATAATTTAACTTAATCTAGCAGTAATAAAGATAGTTGTAATTTACTGTTAATATTGGGAAAGGTTGATGAAATAAAGCTAAAATCTCCCACTGGCGTTCAATCAAAGCTCTTCAATTTCCAGATGATTATAAATGAAAATCAGAAAACAAGCCAGTGGGGAAGGAATGGCCAGTCGAGGCTTAAGCCTAGCTGTTCTACCTCCCCTAGATAAAGAGGCTGAGCCACTAAGGCATCCAGGCACTGGTTTTCCATAGAATTCAAGGTTATAGTTTGGCACAACTAATCTTGCTTCTCAATATTTCTTCTCAGTGCTGCAAAGCATTTTAGCAATTAAGTATGAAAAACACTTACTCCTGGAAGCATAAAATTCACTTTGTGGATTTATATCTTCCCATTATTGGCCTGTACTTAATCACTGCTTTTTTTCATCATCTACTCAGTGGGGTTCTGTACAATTAAGATTTTTCAAATCCATAATTACAATTATATTTCTGTAACATAGTTTTATGACAAATTGCATACGCTTTTGGAGTTATCAAATTATCTAGAATCAAACCTGCTAGATATAAGAAAGCACCGTGTTAATGATAAAACAACTGCTATAACTAGAAATGATAAAGAATCTTTGGAATGCTAATGTGGTATTTTTTTAAAGGATAAGGAGATGAAATTTAAAACCACTTTTACAAAGATGCTATACCTAAAAAAATTCATATGTTAAGGGGTAACATTGCTATCAGAATACCCGTGGTTATCAGCTGCCTTAGGGGCTCTTGAACTTTATTTTAAATGTATCCACATTTCAAAATCTACTAAACACCATACAATTTCAAGATAAAACCTCTGTCTTTTATTCTTTAATGTTACTGCATCAGCATTACAAAGTACATTAATATTTCTGAATAACAAAATACATTATGAAATCCTATGAAGATGTCTTCTCCATTTATGCTACCCAGTTTATTAACATTAATAAAAATGCCATATTTATTATCATCCATGGCTGGTGTGAGCATTTCAATATGTTACCCAGCAGCACTTGAAATATTGATACAAAAGTGAGAGTACATTATTCACTGGCTTTCTAAAACAAGCTTTTAGCATTTTAAATCTAGGTATTCATCTTTGATACTGCATCATTATTTGGATAACACTAAATTCATAAAGTGTCAATCTTAGGGTTATAATAAGAAGTAAGTAGGTGTGAGCTCATTCTGATTTATTCCTAGGTCTCACGCACCACAAATGGTTTATGTTTATTACCCTTGAATGTTCAGATATACACAGAAGAAGTAACTGCCATGAGAGATATTTCTGTATGGTTCACTACTGAATACCCAGTACCCAGCATAAAGCCCTGCTCTCAGCAGACACTGATATATGTTTATTGAATGTGTGAATGAATCTAGCTTCATCACATTCGATGCCATATGAGAAAATCATTTTAGGGCAATACAGAGTTTATAAATGAATTAAAATTTGGAATCAAATTTCCAAAGATTTTATTTTTTAAAAAATGTCAAATTCCTGTAAAATCTTACCCTTGAAAGTGCCCTTGAAATGCACTTTCCCCCAGGTGTACATCTTTTATATGAAACCAAATCATCAAGTTGTTGACTTCAATAACAGACAATGGATGGATGAACTGGCCTTTTAAGTCTTTTTATACAATTCCTTTACTAACATTATATACTTATAGAAATACTGAGTCATAAATGTATACATTTCAAATCTTCATCTTGACTTTCTTGGGAGGCACTAGGTTCCCAAAGCACAAGAATGAGTTGCTTATACTTTAAGAGAATTTAAAGATGACTCTCTTCTCAGCTCCATCCACCTTCATGTTGCTGTTTATTAATCTGATTAATCTGTTTGTTTGTTTGTTTTCAAAGTAGAGTAAAAATAAAATCAACATTCCTTCATTTCTCAAATCATTTCCCAAAGCTAGAAAGAGGACTACTGTGGGCATTCAAAATCTAAAAAGGCTATTCCCACAATTTATAAAACAGGTCAGGAAACTAGAAGCATTAAATCAGTGATCAATATCAGGCCTGCCCAAAAAGGAATCCACGAAGAAAAATTTTATTTAGAGTCCTTACAACATTAATGAGGCAGAGAAATCTTTGCTGACTAAAGCCAGAAGTTAGCAGAGAAAAGAAACAAAGACTGTTTTCATAAAATCATAACAACCACGTTGCTAAGGTGTAAAGGGGCCATTTAAATATCTAGGTTACTTTGTGCCTTGAACTATTTTGAACATTCCAGGGAAATGCTGCTGAATCCATTTTAGGGAGTCCCAAATGCAAAATTAGCCACACTGTGAGAAAAGTTAAAAGAAACTTTTAACTTAAGAAATTGTGAGTAAAATTTGTACATTGGTGTAAACTGCCCCTGCTCCTGAACTTACAAAGTTTACTTTTATCAACTCTGGGTAAAATGCAGGGTCCTTTCAGAAACTGGACTGGATGAATGGCCTGGAGTGATACCCAAGGCACATTTAGATTTTTACAATGCTACCTGGCAGACACCATGGTAGGAAAACAAGTAACGATTTTTCACTCCTCTTTCGACTGCTGAAGTATTAAACACCATCAGTTTAGCATAAAAATCCCTACTGAGTTGGTAACACCAAGTAAAACTTCAGCTTAAAGGCAGAAAGCTTGTTTTAGGAGGTAAACAATAAAAGTCTAACTCTGCTTATTATGATTTTAACGTTAACATTCTCCTACCTCATTACCTCTAACACATTTACTGGAACTCAAAGTACGAAAACCACAGCTTTATTTTTATAAAGACAAAAGGAACATTAACATTAATCATGGACTGGTGCAACGATTACTTTGTCCTAACAGAACGCTTTCTATGTGAATGTTTCAAAATATTTTATAAACAAAACCTCTGTGGTACAAAGTAAGAGAAGTGTGAATATTACACCAATTTTTGAAATGCTTATTCCTTGCATTTGACATTTACAAATCTTCACCTATATTCTGGGCATCTGTGTGCATGGCTTATCTTCCCTGACAGGCTGAAAACACCGTGAAGGCAAGGCGTGCATCTTGGCATTTGTATGTGCAGTCTGGGGTCTCTGGCACACACAAGGCAGCCATGAGCTACTTCTACAAGGCTGTGAAATTCAATTTTAGGAAGCTGATCTGAACACAGGACAAGCCACATTCTTCAACACTAGCTGAATCAGATGAAAGGTGATATTTTGTTCTCTCAACTTCCTTAATCTTGTGTTTTTTTTTTTCTCTTAATTAGTTTGGAACTCCAGTAGCAACAAGGGGTGCAATTTGGGGGCATGTAGAAACAACAACAACACAATACCTAACACTATTAAGTAATGGAAATAGAATTTTACCCTCGGTAACCTTTACAGTAGGATAAATTGAACGAAACCTGCTACAGGAGGAACGATAACCTGAGTAAAGTCTAAAGATCCATCTATACTCAGTGTGCATCGTCAAGCTACTGGCTCCAGTCATGCACAGCTACGAATGCATGCAAGAAAAATGCAAGAAAAAGTACCCAACCTGTTCTGACCACCATTAATACTACCATCAAGCATGTACTGGAATACTCCAAAAACTTACAACCCCATCTAAAAAAAAAAGAACACAATTGCTAGTAAAAACAAAAACCTAGGAATTACCAATATGAACTGAGCTTGCAGAGGGAAGGGAAGCCAAGCACCTTAATCATGTGCAGATCATGATCGACAAATCCAAAAATATTTTTCAAAACTTAATGATGAACGAAGAATTACGTTTTCCCAGTACGTGTATAAATGCCCCTTGAGTAATAAGCAGTTATAATACATCAAGACGATAGCAGTAAGAACAAAACAAATATAACAATAAAAAGCTCCATGAAAGGAGGTATGAGAAGGTAAATTTTTGTAGGCAAGTATAATTTCACCCTCTTAACAAACATTGTAATTTTAAAAAATAGACCAATGATATTAAAAATAAAAATCCTAATTCTGTAGAGCCATTTAAACGTACTTATATCAAAGAGGAAGACCATTCCCTTTATTTTGAAGCTTTCAATAGTCTCTTTACTCTGATTGTTCCAATGGATAAAGAAAATGGTTATTCACTTTCATCAATTTTCCTAACTTTTTTCAATATTTTAAAGAAGTTGTTTATTTAAAAAAACCACATTTTTAAGTTTTAGTACTTAATTCAAATCTGTAATTGGAATTATCAAGAATTGTTCCCTCTTCTCTTTTCCAAAATAATCCAAAACTCAAAACAGTTGGTCAGTGTGATTGCCAGGAAAAAAAAAAAAAAAGCTTAAACAATACTGAACTGCAGTTTATATAAGGGGAAAAAATGTTGTTGAATTTTAGTAACATGATTTGTTTTAAAACAATTTTAAGACTAACTGAATATAGACTAGTCAGGCTGAACAAAATTTTGAATTTTTTTTCAAGTTTCCAAGTTCAAGACACTGCGCTGATAAGATGTTCTTTTTCTATTACCAAACAATATAGTGTACTTACTTAAACAAAAGGAGAAAAAAAGGAGCATATATATCAAAGGAGAGATCAAAGGAGAGATGGCACATAACTTTTCTACCTTCTAAGATAATGTGGATATAAACCATGAAAGAACGCATGCCTACTCCCCCTACCCACAGTGTCTGTGTGTGTGTGTGTGTGTGTGTGTGTGTGTGTGTGTGTGTGTGTGTGTGGTGTTCCTCTCTCTCCATTAGTTTATTAGATTGGCTAGGATTTACATTAAAGGTTGCTGATCACCTAAGGCAAATAGCATGATCGAGTAGATTAAATGCAAAGCAACCAGCCTCAACAAGCACCACACAACATGTGGATTATGTGAATGAAACACTTGTCTTCTGTACTGACACACTCTACCCACTAGCAATGACTGTATAATTTCTAAAAAAGAAAAAACGTCCCACCCAACAAACATGCATCACTAAAAAGAACTGCAAGTCCTTTTAAGGTAGACAGTAAGGCTTTCGGAAGTGGCGGGTGAGGGTGTTCTTAGGAAGATTTTTTTCTTCTACTTTTCTGTTGTCTGCATTTTCTTATTCACCACTTAGGGCACAGGCAACTTGACACTAGTTTCTGTAACCAACCTGGTCCAGCAGGATTTCTCACACACCCTGCACAAAAGGCTAACCCCTTACAAAATACTTATTTCAGATTTACGTCAAGGTTCAATGAATTGCAGCCAGGAAACTGAGCTCCAAACCTAATATAAAAGTCTCCTCTGCTAATCACTAAACCGATGGTTAGCCAGAAGGTGGGGAAATTAAAACTTTATACTGTTTCATTTCCTCTCATGCAAATGTAAAAAGAGAAACACTATCTTAGAGAAATTTATTTTTCTTCATTAATTTATATGGAAAATCTATGACTTCAAAGTGACCACACAAGTTTACTTTAACAATGTAAATCTTCCATGGGAGCCAACCACGTGATCTTTAACTTGTATTCACAGGCCCTCCTAAAGTCTTTACTGTACTCACTTTAAGTTCCCAAGCTGTCATAATGCTTAAACTCCAGCTGAGGTATTAGGTGTTATGATAACTCATGCAATGATAATGGGTACTGCTAGAGTATACACCTTCTAAGGGAAATCAATGCAGTCTTGGGTTTATTTAACATTGCCAGAGGTAAAACAGACTCAGGAACCAGTGAATCAGTTACCAAGAAATCTCCTGATTCTGCCACCGTTGGAAAAAAAGAAAAGTGCACTTTCCTATTCTTTCATGTTCCCCTTTATGCCCCACAGAATTCTCACGAGAATCAGAGGTATCCTAAACATTGTTCAGTTCTTGCAGTGAACAGTGCTCAAATCTCACTCCAATTACCTCCAGTTATGAACTGAGCCTGCCAACACCGCAGAAAGAGTCAGTGGCCAGGAATTTATGTCAAATTACACGTTACACAATGATGAATAGGAGAGAAAAATAGCAGCGATTAAATACAATACTATGGGGTACATTATTAGATTTGCAATAAAGATACAACTATGCTTTCTTGACTCAATTGTACACATTGGAAAAGATGTGCCGTAGCTTTCACAGGGTATTTTTTAACCCTATATTAAGTGCCTTTAATACTTAATTTTATTTTTTATGCTGTGGCCCTCTAGCTATACCTGTTTTTGTTTTTCAAGTAAATTGTACCATAGATCACTGGTAGGGGAAACAAAAGCAAAAGCAAAACAAAACAAAAACAATAGATCCTGATGACACAGGTCTATTTATACAAACGATTGAAGCAAAAATCAATTGTAACTGTATCAGTTTATGCAGGGAGAAATGACAATTCTATGTCATGTGACTAGACAATATGGTGACAGATGGGTTTGGAAAGCTTCAAAATAATTGGTGTACGTTTAAACAGCTCATAGTGCCCATTACACATACCGTATGGGCCGCCAATTATTTCTTTCCAGTTTCTGTTGCCAAAATGCTGAATTCAACCAACCCCCTCACAATATTGGTACCCCAAGATTTCTGTCCACTCCTGTAGCAGACTTGGATGAGGGGAGCATGTTTATCTACAGCAAGTAGTCAAAATACAGGAGTTGCTTACATAGTTGTGTTCTTTTCAGGAATAATACTTTTCTGGCCACCATCCACACTCATGGTATACTTGTGAACACATTAACTCCACTGAATGTTACATTCATAGGTTTATAAATAATGGTACATACACTTGAAAAGACTGTCATTAAAAAGCCAAACACGTTTTTCTTCATACCCTACACTATATATATAGGGGCTTCGAATAAACATGTAGGTTTCCAGGAGAGAGTTGAGTAGATGGAGAATACTTAGAGGAAAATAATACATAACATGTTACTGCCCCGTGGGAATAGAGACCTTAGGCCTTTATTCTGATTTCTGATGTGACAACTCTTAGGTGTGAAACAAAGACTCCTGCTGACAAGCAGAAAGCAGTTAAATGACACATAACGATGTGGACTGTTTGCTGAAAGTAGTGCTGACAGCTACAGGTGTTTTTCTTTTTTAAGTTTAGAAGGCCCTCGGAAGTGGTTCTACAACCCTGTCTTTTAGCAGGCTACCCTGCAAGGAGATTCAAAATTATTTCCAAAACCCCAACTGTGTATCCCATTGGTAAAGTCTGACAGCATACATCCCTCTCAAAAGAGGTGGAGGAACATCTGAATGGTTCATATTGCCGAGAAGACATGAATTAGATAAATGTAATATTAGTGGTCTCTTTGTATTTAATTGCATTGGAAAAAATGACAGGTTTTTTTTTTTGTTTTCTTTATTACTAAACATACTGGAGTTCATTGTTTTGATTTTATTTTCCATTTGATAAGCGTGTGCTTTCATACATACATTAGTGAGTTCGCCAAAGTACTACAAAGTAACCACATTTTAAACAGAAAAAAAAAGAAAAAAATTCCACCCAATTTTCTCAGCTTCTTTAATTTGGTGGAAAACGTAAAGTTGTCTCTCCAAGGTAAACTAGCTGAGAAAGTGATTCTAAGAGTAAAAGCAATAAAATTTAACCATAGCTTTACTAGCTGTGCTCACAAATGAGGTAACTCAACAATGCCAACTAAAATAAATATTTACTGCAGTAAAAATAACAGCACCAAGAAGAAGCATCATGCTACATAATTCTGATTACACCAAAGGCAATATTTCTTATCACACCAAATTAAAAGGACGAAAGACATTTACTTGAAACTTCAAGGTAAGGGAATTTTTAAGTTCTCATATGAACAACACTGTTTACCTAATCTTGTACCATATTTTCATGTAAGTTATCCTCATACCATGGCATAGATTTTAGCAAATTCGTGGCCATATCCTATTTTAAAGAAAACTGTACATATTGAATTACCATAACATCTTTGATACTAATGTGCATGGGCAAAAGTTAAGTATGAGAGAAAGAAAGAATATCTACATGTAGTCTGTTCATTTAAGTCTTAGCAGGTGGTCAGAATGTTGCATGTATCATAAAATTCTGGACAACCCCCCAGTCTACAAGATGGCCTTGATAGAAGAGCCTAAAGTCACTAAACAGATTGCCAAAAGGCAAGTGGTCAGAATTGTGGACAGAAGCTACCCTACAGTTCCTTCAAGCCTGCAGCAACAAGAAGAATACACACCTGTTGCTCAAGGCCAGTTGGCAAAATAGAAAATGGAAGTGATGCAGATCTAGAACCTTGCTAGTGAGCTCCAGGTTATGTGGCACTAAGGGAGGGGCAGTGCCAATGGCATGGCTTAGGGAAGCAATGATTTCTGAGTTTTGCTGTTGTTTTTGCATTTTTTTCTTTCTTCTTTTTTTTTGTAGCCAGCTGGTATTCCTAAGGTCAGAAAAACATATGGAAAATGGCAATATTCCAGAAATCAGAAAACAGAAAAAAAAACAGAATTTGATTAATTTTGTCACTCATTCTTCAAACCACGGACAATGACTCTTCACTAAGTAATGGCAACTTCAACCTCTATCTGTAAAAATTTAAGACAGCTACAAAAGTTCTAATAAATTGGGATAATCACACATTTTCATTTTGCCTCGAAGTTTAGTGAGATGATATGTTTTCAAGAGATCTGTAATTAAAAATGGTTTAGTGCCTATAATTTCATCAAACCATTCTGTGAAAGGAAAGAGATAAGATGGAAAAATGAAGAGAAAAATTGATGCAAGAAACTAAGGCAATAATACTGCTTCAAAACCTGATAGGATAAATGTAATAATCATTCTAATACCATATATGTTTGTAGCATTTATGTCTCTGCTTTTTATCCTAAATAAACCCACGCATCTTTCTCATTTGAGAAAATTTACATTGCTTTCCCTGGAATATTTCTTGCCAACTATGGCAGTTTACACCATAGAGAGGAAAGTCTGGTTAACACCAAGTTTTAGGCCTCAGGTATATCCAAGATATACTTGTTCCAGATACAGAGAGACAGATGAATAAAAAGATTCACCACATGTTGAAATAATTGGTCTCAAAAATGCCATCAAGGGAATAATAAATCAACATGGACAGAAAAACTCAGTACATCAATTCCTAGTTACAGACATATTTTTTCCACATGTTGATTCTTCATTTCTACCTTCATTTCCATCGTAATCTAATGAAATTCTAAATGGACACAATTACTTCTCAGGTCATTCACTGTTATTAGAAAGGGGGGTGGGGAAATCTGGCATTACCTGTCCACATTTTCAGGTGCACTGTCCTTGACACAGCAATTCCACTTCCAGGAATTTGGCAAAGAAGGATCTTTGCCAAATTGATACCTCTCTATACCAATACCAAATCTTCCTAAATATTCAGATATGGATTCAAGACAAAGGCAAGAAACAGAATTTGGAATGAGCACTTTTGCAGTGACTTAAAATTTCTAAATAGCTTGATAACATAAAATATTCCAAATATCTAAAGCAAGGATCCTTGTCAAGAAGGTGCCACCCATCAGGTCACACCAACACCATCTGGGCAGAGAAGGGGAGCCCATGCCAGGCACCTCTATCAATGTGGACTTCTCATGTGCTCCTTGGTCCATTTCTGTCCCTAACGTGCAATCCACTATGTTAATATAATTCCCTGTGCCTCCTGCAGCTCTTTCAGGGCGTCTGTGTAGTAGAGTCTAAATCCTCTTTCAGCATTCATGATATATCAGGGATTAGAGTATTGAATACAGTGATCTTCTAGTTGTAAGAGGCTATGGTTTCAACACCTCTCATACTGAGAGTTTTAAACCAGTTGTGTTATTTTGGGGCAACTTACTTAACTTTTCTATACCTTAGTGCCATCAATAAAATTGAGTTGACAATGCCCAGCATCATAATGTTATTTGGAGGATTAACTGAGATGATGACTGTGACTGACAGTGACTGTCCTAATTCCTGACCCATTACTGTACTTCTTCCCAGAAGGCAGATACCATGTATTATTGTACTCCCCCAGCAAAAACCAAATGCCAGACACATTTTATATAAGAATGAACAATTAATCTGAATAATAAAAATAAGGCTTATTTATAAAGGTTAAGTTGAATAGTATATACATGCACATATATGCAAATATATATAATTCAGATATTTTATCTTTCTTAATGCTTACATGACTCTAAACTCTCACAATTTTAAATTAAAACATAAATATGACATAATTGTAAATTTTTCAGCTTTATACATCAGCATTTTACCATCATGAGAAAAGATATTCTTTTTCTTCTTTCTAATTTCCCCAAAGTTAAATTTTTAAAACATAGTTTACTATAAAAAATTATCAACAAATTAGCACTGAATAAATTGTTCTTTATTTCTAGTTAATTTATTTGAAAAGTTGATATTTTATGCTCTAGTTTCTGGCATGAGATATAAAACGTGCCACTGCTCTAAAAAATATATCAGAAAATTTTTTTCCACAAATGGCTTTTTTAGGAAAAAAAATTATAATTAACAGGATCAAAATTTCACATAGTTCCACATCTCTAAACTTATATAGAAATTTAATGATTACATAACTTCAACCATATCAGCAAATACACTTCTTTTACTAGCATGCATCAATATCCTCCCAATTAAAATACTCTGTAAGACTGCCTACAGTATTTCAGATCAAAATAGCTTTTACTGAAATAGACTTTCCTGCCTCTCTGATTTAGCATCTCACTTTCTCTTATTGGCAGATGGTTAGCCAAGTTCTATTTAAATCCATATGTCTTCCATAGGCATCATACAAATACTGAATTAAAAGATGAACAAATGTTTTAAAGCTAATCAGATTAGCCTTTAAGTGAAAAAAGTAACAAAGTGGAGTTTCATTTCCTGCAAATGACTTTTACTACATCACGGTTAGATGACTGAAGGAGTTACATCCCCGTAAACTACCCAGACAAAAATAACTCACTGTATGAGACAAGATTACAGAAAAAGACTTTCCTGACTTTGATTATTTTTTTCATGAATCCTTCCTCTCTGCATGAATTCCAATCCTGGCAGGCAATAAATCTGGTACCAGAGTGATAGTATAGTGTAGGCATGGTTCACCATCAAGACTAAGAAGAACAGAAGAGCAGAATACTTCACCAGCTTTATTTCCATACAGCTATACCCTCTCTCCCTCCTTTACTTCCACTAATTTGCTAAAGGGTCAAATAAACACACAAGAATTCCCACTTGAGGAAAAGAGCTCCATGCCTTTATAGATTTCAGTTTCATAAATATAACCTGTACTTTTATTCATCTCTTCTAGGCAAAGAGATTAAGATGATGAGGTTGAGTTTGTAGTACAAACATCATATGCATTCCTGAGTTCACAAAAGCTTTCAAGTTCTCGTATCCAGGTTTGTCTCTAGTTAAGTCATGCTGCAGACTTAAGGAATAATAATCTACTAGTATCTTTCTCTTCTTCTTATCACACTTTCTGGGCTATATGCCTTTGCTTCTCTGACTTGGCCATAAAATGATATAGATAAATGGTCCCATTACACATTTCTGGTTATCTTGAGCCCAGTATCTAATATTCTAAAATATCTCCCTTCTTTAGAAGGAAGCAGTATATTGGTATGGTAAATCATTCTTCACATTTTTGTTTCAACACTTGCCAGCACTGTGTTCTATATAAACTAATAATATAGCTGTGTAGAAAGAAGACTGATTAAGTTCAACCAAAATTGAACCTAGAGTCAATTTTATTAAAAAAAGAAGGTATATAAAAAATAAATTTTGGAGTCATGATTTAACAAATAGACTTTTTAGGTTTGAACTGAAACTTTTAAAACCTAGAAATGCACTGGCAGATTGTGTCTCTAGATTCCTGTGTCACAAAATTCTATAAAGAAATCTCTGTTTCACCAGATAACTCAGAAAAAAGGGATATATATAGATATATATGTAGATATAGATACATGCCAAGTGTTAAAATGTTCCATTAAAGCTCAAATCCTTTTTATTGTTATACGAACCCTAAATTGCTGTAATTGATTTTTTCCAGAGTAAGTAACTCACTAGATAATCTTATACCCTAAAGGTTATTGGAAATAATGCACAAAGTAATAATTTACTAATTCATCAGTCCTAAAAGAGTATACAAATAATAATCAATTTATAATTATAATCTTAATGGTAGAAAATTTACACAGGCGGTACGGCAGTCTCATACAGCAAATAAAATATGGTTTTCCAAATTTTAAAAAATGCATATTTCCTCATATAATTCTATTCCATTAAAGATATATTGATTTTAGACCTCCTAAAAGATTAGCAGTATAACAGGGCCAACAAGAAACAAAAATATAAAAATGCACAGCCCTCAGGAGCTCTCAGTCTGCTAAAGGAGGAAAATTTGCAAATGGATAAATTAAAAGAACTAGTATTTGCAGTATCTCTCATATCTTTGTTCTACTGTGTCCCATACTTGTCTAAAAGCTCCTTGCTTTTAGTGGAAAAACCTCAAAAAAAACACACACACACTCACACACACACACACACACACACACACACACTCACACTTCAATGAACTTCAATTTCAAGCCCAGGGAGTATCACAGAAACCCCAACATTGCCATGAAATTGATACCTTAAAATCATAAGAACTGGAAACTACATGCATGCCAACTCAATCCCATGTAAACCAAAACCACCATGTTTGAAACTCAGCATGTCTGTTCATTAAAAATAGAATAACCAAGACTTCTGACCGAACCAGAATACTGTGCAGTCAGTGTTGCCAGCCATAAGAAAGGTCAGACTAGCTTGGGCTGGTCCACTGGATCAATCGTCTGGACTGGGCCTGTAAGCCCAAGTGTAAACTCCAACTGTATTGTTACCTATTTCCAAGACTTTCACCCACTATATAGTTAGGTTAGCTATTATGACACAAGTGCAGATTGATTATGATTAGAGTTCATAGTCCTTCAAGTTTGGAAATAACTACTTAAAAGCAATCTAGATATAAAACTTAAAAGGTTTGTTTAAAATAATGGAAAATTGGTATACTCAGGGTAGTTCCTTTACTTTTAAAATGATTATAATACATCTTCAGACAATTTTCAAAAGAACTACCATAAATTCTGTGATCATCACACAACGAAGTGTGGCTGATTTTTTAAAAGACATTTTAATTTGTACTTATTATAACAAAACTTTTAATAAGCATATTTTTTTCTTAACATTAAATGGGTAAATAGGCTAGTAAAAAGTCATAAATAGGCCTATCTCTCAGATCCAAATTGTTTACAAGAACTGAAAGCCTTAAAGCTTGGAAGATTTTAATCAAGACTTCCATTAACCCCCTACCAATATCCCAGGGATCGTAGGAATTTTAAACAAAAGGGAAAGCAGAATGCTTTTAAAATGACTTAATGTGATACAGTATTAAGATATGTAACAGTGTTAGCGATTAAACAACAGGTGATATATCACAGGCAAGCATTTCTCTTTTTTCCTCAATTATAAAATAAGACATTAAACAAGACTTGAAAATAAGCCACTGGGTTAAATCTAAGAGAAATGATTAGCGAATAAATCAGAACACCAATACATAAAACTAAAATTTGATAGTTCTTATATATAATGAATCTATCCAACAGGCATAGTAAATACGGCATTCATTTTTAAATGGGTATTCAAGAATCTTTTCATGTATATTTTTTTCTTTGATAATATGTATATACGACCCTAAGTAGTAGGGCTATTTTTTATTTATATCTGAATAAACGCTATTTACATATATACACACCCTACATATATATTTATATATTTAAAAGAAGATAAACGTTTTGAAGTTATTTACATAATTAAACAATTAAATTTTTATTTTAGACTTTGATTTAAATACCCACCTTCTGTTCTAAAACGTACTCTTCTTTTAGTTTAGCTGGTTACAATAAGATACTTAAAGCATGCATGTCTTTGTGGTGTTTCTGAATCCTATCAATTACGAAAAGACTTTGACATACCCAGAGGATCTTAAAATTTGATCTCACAAATGTCAAAATAGTAACTTTCACTGCAGAGGGGGCCTCACTCATTTTTTTTAACATAGATTTTTAGTTGGAGTGAAAAGTTCAACTTCTGCTTAGATTCTCTGTAGGCTAGTGTACTATGTTTCTTAAGCTTTCCAAATACCACTTTTCAAGAACCAACTGATAAGCAACCTCTTCTGGAACACTGTCTTGATAGATTAATTGAGAAGGGGTCATTTCCTTTTTTAAATTTCTACAACATTTTGCTATTTTTTTTTTGTTATTGTTGTTGTTTTTTCTCACTCTGTGGTACCTGACACTCTTTTTTTCTTGTGCTGTAATCGGTTTATTGAACATTATTTTTGCTACTGGTTTGCAAAAGTCTTAAAGAATCAGTGTCTATAGCTTAGTCATGGTAATGCTGCTCCTATAATATTCTGAACAAACTAGGCTTTCAGTTTATATTCAATTATTAAATGAATGTTAGTTAATTTGGAAGTCATTCCAACTCCTCTATTCCCTATGACAGCCTACGTTTCCAGCTATCCATTAGATATTTTCATCTGAATGCCTTACAAACTTGGTAAGTACAAAACCAGCTTCATTATTTTACCCTCACAGAACAGCTGACTCTAGAATTCTGCTAATGATACACTGAAAATAAATATACGCCAGACTCCGTGGCTCACGCCTGTAATCCCAGCACTTTGGGAGGCCGAGGTGGGTGGATCACCTGAGGTCAGGAGTTCGAGACCAGCCTAACCAACAATGGAGAAACCCCGTCTCTACTAAAAATACAAAATTAGCCAGGCGTGGTGGCGCATCCCAGCTACTCGGGAGGCTGAGGCAGGAGAGTCGCTTGAACCCAGGAGGTGGAGGTTGTGGTAAGCTGAGATCATGCCATTGTGCTCCAGCCTGGGCAACAAGAGCGAAACTCCATCTCAAAAGAAAAAAAAAAAAGAATAAATATAGTAAAGCGTGTGAACTTTGAAGCCAGGCTACTTGGACATGATCCAGTTTGATCCAGCCATTCACTAGCTGGGTGACTTTTGACAAGTGACATAACATCTCTGAGGCTCTACTTCCTCTCTGTAAAATGGAGAAAATACAGCATCTATATAAAGGGGTTATAATGAGGATTAAGTAAGTTACTACAAACAAAGAGTAAAGCCTTGCCCATAGTTAGTCTTTATCAAAGATTAGCTATTATTTGTCTCCTTTCAGTCATCAAAACTCAAAGCCTCTTTTTTGTCACCCGCACATATAAACTTTGCTAACTCTTGAAGACTGTCTGCTCAGCATAGCTACAGAAATCACTTCCCAACATCATTATCCTAGTGTAGGCTCCCTGTTATTACTCATAGAGTAAGAGATCAGCCTACTAATGAGTCTTCGTCACCTCAACCCCGTCCACCTCCTTTCCATGTCAACCTATGTAAGATGGTCATATTAACCCTATTAAAGGTTTCATCAAATTATCCTTTGCCCAAATCCTGGAATGGTTCCCTATTTCCTTCTGAGATAAAGTTTTTCAAATAAACATTTTAGAAAATTATCCTAACCTTTATGTCAAGTCTTAGCTCCCCATACTATACTATACCTAACTTTTCATCAAGCTTTTCTCTTTCCTATATCCTGAAAATGCCCCTTGTAATCTTACATTGTTTCTTCTATATTGGCTTACCCTTCATGCTGTCATATTCACCTGCTAAAAGTCCAGTCTTCCTTTCCGAAACAAGCTCAGAAAACCTTTTGGGACAACTAAGTCGGTTTTCTCAACACAATGTGATCTGTTCCTCTTTAAACAATCATAATCATTCTCGTCTCCCTTCACCTCTTTTATGGAAGTCTGATTGTATTTTAGCTGTCACCATACCTGTCTTATCACCTACAGCTAACTGTATATAACTTGAGTACAGAAATCTTGATATACTCATTTTCATACCCTTTATAAGTTCTTCCACAGTTCCTGCCTGAAACCCAGCAGGTGCTAAATTAATATTTATCGGACAACAAGAAACTTTAGAGACCAGTATATCAGGAATTAACTCCACAAAGTTATCCTCTGCTTTTTCTATTTCTATTTCTTTCAAGTTTGAGTACAGGTTAGTTTGGTCTAGTGAATATCTGTTCTTTGAAAATAAATCCTGAATCCATATGAATACCAATATATTTAAATTCGGACACTCACCAACACGCATTCCAATCCCACAAACAGAAGTGTGTCTTGTTAAAATTTCATGAACTACCAAATATAATGAATCTCTAGTGTTATGAAAGGACTTTGCCTAGAGAAGTCTAATGCTTGGAGAAGCAACTGAAAAGAGACAGGACATAGAATAGTTTTGTACTCTTTGCTTTAACACCTGATTTTCATTCTTATCTTACAATAAACTGTACAAATAGCTGTAAGCAAATGAAAGAAAATTTAAATATTTCAAAATTCAGTTTGTGCACCAAACACTTCACTGAGTAGTTACTGGCATCAACTTCATGTGCTCACCAAAACACATTAAGAAATTTGACATATTAAGAAATGTTTTGAAGGCAGTTAAATCCCATATATATATATAACTTTATAAGTGCATTGTCCTATGAAATATTCTCTGAATGTCCAAGTGACTGAGAAATCTTTCAATTATGAAAGTAAAATCAATACCTGGCTGATTCTTTGCTGCTGCTCAAGAAATGCACCTTATTCAAATAATCATATTCACTTTTTCCACTATAATAATGTTTAAAAAACTTCAGGGTTTCTATTTCTTAGCTATCACTGCAAGGCAATTCAAAATAATGGAAGCCAAGAAATAATACTGTTTTCCTGTTTCTCAGGAGTCTATATACATGATCTGGTAAAGTGACCTATGCTTGCCAATAAACTCTACTACTGTGTGGTCCCATAGAGGAGCCTGACTGTTGGGACGCCAATTCTCAAAATTTAAAATCGCAAGCAAGTTGCAATTATTCAGCTATAAACATACTAAAAGTGGCACTATTGATAATAGCAAAAAATAGAAATAAATGTCCAACAATAAGAAATCGATAGACAGTTTTTCTAGGACAACTAGTACAACATATAGTGAAATACTATGAAGTCAATAAATATGATGTAGCAGAATATACGCTGCTATAAAACAGCGTGTAATTTATTAGAAAGTGAAATTAAAAGTTATTTAATAATAAACATACAAATCTATGTTTGCAGGTGCATGTCTATGTGTGTGAGTGAGCATGTCTGAGTGTGCATGTGCCTGTGTGTCTGTGTCCAGAAGTAAATACATTAAAAACGTTGAAAACTTATTTTCTTCTTTTTGCTTGTTTATATTTTCTAAAATGTCTATAATGAACATATATCTTGATAGGAAAGATAATGCCAAGAAATCCTAATTTAACACCCTTTTCTCTTTTCCTGGACTTTTCCCAATTTGTTTCTCCACTTAATCCCTAGCCTCACCCTAGAGGCCACCTCCTCTCCTGAAACCCACAGGAGCTAAGTAGAAATTTGGTCACTTTCATCATGATCACCCATACTTCAAATAATTCATATATGAGTAATGACATATGATCTCTGAAGGAACATAAAGAACAAAGATAGGTTTATAGTTTTAAGATTTCAGTGGGATGAAACTGAATTATTCACATCCATTAAACAGAGTTTGAATGATTCACAGCCAATTTTATTTTTATAATTGTAATGAAACAGCTGGGATTAGAGTCTATTCATGGACTCATAAGAAATTTGCACCCCACCTACTAAAATTAGTTTCTGCATCCAAAATTCTGATTTGAACATCTGACTGTGAACAAAACAGGCATCATCGCTCAATGCCAAGAAACTGAGGAAGGAGACTTTAAGCATGTCACTTTCTCATAGAATTATTTTCTCATTGTGCTTACTTTCCTTTAACTTCATTCATCAGCAGCCCCTTGACATGATTCTTTTGCAGCAAAGTTGTTTCCAAAGAATGGGCTTTCTTGTACAAGATAAGTTCAAATAATACAATTTTTGAAGCTTTCAGACTGTATGTGTGACAGTTGCTTATAACTTATGGATTCTCAGCCACTGGTTGGAAATCATATTTAAGAATTTGTAGTTCATATATATATATAGATATAGATATAGATATAGATATAGATCTAGATCTTTGGACATCAGCATCATTACGTCCAAAATATAAGATTTTGTCTTAAAGTTGCCTCGGGTATCAATTCATAGATCTGAATGTTTAAGGTTTTAAAGGAAATTTACTTGACTCTAGATTTGCTTGACTCTGCAATTGTAAAGAGATTTGAGAAACTGCATACTTCAAACTATAATCTTCCAAAGCAGGAAACAGTATATGAGGCTTGAGTGACTCACCCAGGGTCACACGGCTAGTTAGTCACAAAGTGAATCTAGAACACAAAGTCTCCTTTCCTCCAATCCAGAGCACTTTCCACTACATCACAAGGGAAGAGCAAAAAGAAAAAATAACATCTAATTTTACCAGAAAATAAAATACAGGCAGGCCTGAACCACAGCCAGAGTTAAATGTGGAGCATACCTACCTCCAAACCCAGCTGGAACCTCAAAGGTTAGTATATATTTTAGACTCTTCAAAAATATTTTAATCACATGTGAATTTGAGGAAAGCTCTGATTTTAAAAACTCAAAAACACTCAGTAGTCACACAGCATAAAGTTATGACAGTATTAGCTGGATAATAAATTTGTAGACCACAAACTGTCCATCCAGACAATTTACACTTTAAAAACATCCAACCTTCTTAGAATTAGTTTGTAAGTCAGGCAAAGAGGACAGATTTTTCTATATTACCAGGGAACTTTCAGGTAGGCAATTTCTGACACTAAGATTTAGATAAGCCAAATATGTGCATCTCCTAAAATATAGCCAGTATTGCCTTCAATTATACCATGATTTTGCAAACAAATATACTTCTAAAATGTTAACAAGTAAAGTTTTTTTCCACTGTTCAATGTACAAAAGAGGATGTCTCAAAAGTCCCACTCTGAGTCTTTTTTTAAAAAAATAGCAAATAATTATTTTTAAGTAAAGTGAATGTCTCTTTCAAATGCAGTGTTTGTACATTTTTAGATTCCATATAGAAGAGTGGCTTAACTTGTTTGTCTTAAACATTCATAAATAACATCATACATCTTTTTATAAATGTATGGTTAAGAGTGGCCTGAGAATCTGTATTTTTAGCATATAGGTAGCACAAATGCAATGTTAATTCAGAAAGTATTCTTGCCCCTGCTTCTTCAAATTTTCATAAAAAATAATAAAAATATTCTATAGTTAGCAATAATATATTGCATATTTCAAAATGGCTAGAACAGAGGACTTAAAATGTTACCAGCACATTGAAATTCTGATAAATACTCAAGGTAATGGATACCCCAAAAACCCTGACTTGACCATTATTTATTCTATGTTTGCAGAAAATTCCCACGTATACCTCACCAATGTATGAAATATTATGCATCAATAACAGAAAAAAAGCATATTCTGACATTCTGACAACTTTATCAAAGAAAAATACTTAACGGAATCAATGTGCATTTAATATATTTCAGCAAAAAAATAAAAACAAAGATAATTAAATGCCATCTTTTAAAGAAAAGAGAAATCAATTCTTTTCTCTTGTACTCCCTCAAAGCCCATGCCATTACCCACACATGCGACATACATCGGGGGAAGGCGAAAACTTCAAAACTGGTTTGACAAAGCGTGAAGGGTAGCAGGAGCATCATCCATGGAGGCAAAGCAAAAGCAGAGAAAAGAGAGAAATTATTCGCCCGAGAAAGGCAAAGCCTGAGTAGACTGCTTTTAATTAAAACCCTTGACTCAACTCTGCTTAAGAAAATGAGTTCTTCTTACAAATCAATTTCTCTAAAGAATAAACTATACTGCATATGCAATATAAAGTAAGCTTATTATACTATTTACCTTGTATCGGACATGTACTGTATTCCATATATGTGATAAAATTGCCACTTGCTTTTCTCCTAATTTTTTGAATCTATCATTAAATATGTCAATTTACAATTTAGAAGTTAATCCTTAAATATTTCTAGGATATTTTTCCCACGCATTTTTTATAAGCCAAATTATTTTATACCTTAAAAATTACCCCTTTAGATAGCAGTGACTTGGACGTTAAATACCATTTGTTATAAACCATGTACTTTCTCATTTAAATAACTGGAAATATACTACATGAAATTATCCCAAAAAGATGATAAAGCAATAGAATAATATGTACAAGGAAGTCCTTCAAAATGTCCTTTATAATTAAAAATTGGAAGTAGCCTAATTGTTCATTAATAAGGAATGTCTTAAACATACTAGGATGTCACTATTCCATGGTATAATGAGGCACAAAAATGAACATTGTGGGATGTATTTGTTGATGAGAAAAGATGTCCACAATACACTGAAAAATTAAAAAAGAAAATTATAAAACAGGGAGGTACATGATCCTATACTTGAATAAAATATATATTTAAATATACATAAAGGATACATTAGATGCCAAAATATGAACACGAAAGTATTTACAGGTTGGAATTTATGAGTGGTTTTCATCTTCTTTACAGTATATTGTATTATCCAACTCTTTCGCAATAAGCATGTATCACTTATGTAATTTCAAAAAGGTATTTTGTTTTGTACATACACACATAAAAACGTGTATGCTTAGATGAAACAAATTAATTCTGAAACTGTAGAAAGTCACCCAAGTATTTATTAGCAAACCATATTGAACCAAAAGAGGCTATGCAATGGTTATGAGCAGGGACTCTAGAATTGCCAGAGCTAGAATTTAATGTCTGCCATTATAAGCAGTGTGATCTAGGCAAAATACTTAATATCCAAGCCTCAGTTTACTCATTTAAATGATGGGGATAATAATAGTTTCAACCTCAAAGAGTTCTGGTGAGGATGAAAGGAATCCATCCAGTAATAAATTAATGGAAAGGTAGTAAGCTTAATCCTAGAAACTGAATGCTAAATTGACAACCAGTTATAAATATCCGTCTATTTTAACCAAATATTTTTTGTAATGCTTTCCTATACAATTGTTTTAAAGTAGTTTCACCAGATTTTCTTTTCTTCATTAAGAATTCAAATTTAACACCTACAAACAGGTATTCTTGTGTTACCCAATGTATATAGCTACAATCAGAAAGTTAATTCCCTGAGATTCTATGTGCTTTGTCTACCAAGACTTTTTTTATGATCAAGCATCAGTCTTGTATAAAAATTTAAACTAAATGTAACACTACAGGCAAATGCAATTCAATAAATCATGTTGTCAGGGATCTTATCACTTCCTTCACACAAAATATCATTTTAACCAGAAATCTATTTTAAAAATCTTTTCCATTTTGTACCTAAATTCTCATAAAAGTTTGATTCATAATCAGTACCTTTTTTAATGGTAGCAAAAATTATAAAGTGTATTTTGCCTTTAAAAATAGATATCTATAGTGTATATACTTAGCATTTTCTGGTTATTCATGATGTTACACATATATAAATTTCCATGGTAGAAAATGGTTTATCCTTTTCCTAATTAATATGTCCAAAGTAATTCTTCAAAATTAAGAAACTGCCTTGTTTAAAAGAGGCAAGTTAACATATAAAATTACAAGTGAGAGGGAGGCATTTAATCATTCTGAGATGAACAATGATGCCAAACGCTCAATTTATCACAAGTGTGCTGTCATCAGAAAAAAACAAAACTAAGATTCCTTTGCTTCACTCCTAACCACTGATATAAAGCTGTGTTCCAGACTTCCTTGTATTTGTAAATTATAGTTCATAATAAAAGTCTATAAGTAGTATTGCTTCTCCAAAAGGAAAAAGGGTCTTCAAACATCAATGAAACAATTTGCCTTTCCTTAAACTGATAACACAACTAGATACAGCAGTACCTAGCTTGCCAAGCTTCCTTGAGTTAACAAGCAGAGCAGTCTACTAATCAATGCCTTTGCTTACAAACACTTAAGGAAAGTTTTGAACAGTATCTAATGGAAGGGAGAGAAGAAAAAAAAAAAATATATATATATATATATATGAGAGACAATGGAGATAATATTTACCTTTTTGGTGAAAATAACAAAATCCCCAAAAATCCAAAATAAAACCTCGTTGTGGCATTTTAGGTATTAATGTGCCTGTAAAATGGACCCATCAGACTGGGCTCTGCCGGAAAATTACCAGATTCACATCAACACTACATACCTCATTTTTGAATCATTCTGGCCCTGTGCTCCTGAAACTTGGGCCACCTTCTGTATACTCTTCACTTCCAACATCTAAGAATGCTCAACAATGGGTTCTTTTGGGGGCCCTGTTATGTCCTGACTCATGCAGTCCATGGAAAAGAGAAGCCAAGCAAAAGATAGTTATATAGGAAATAATGAACAGATACTGCACTAAAGGATAACATTTCACAGTAGCTGCAAACCTACAGTCCAATTCACTAAGATACATCTGCTTCACCTGCTTTAGAAACCTGGGCCAGCAGAACTATGCCAGACCTCACAAACAGCCTAGGTTACAAAAACATTGTTGTTGTCGTTTTTCAAGTGCTATTAATGTGGGTGGGAGTGTAAACTAGGGCAGCCACTATGGAGAACAGTATGGAGGCTCCTCAAAAAAACCGCAAACAGAGCTACATACATGATCTAGCAATCCCTCTCCTGAGTATTTTTCCAAAGGAAAGGAAATTAGTATATTAAAGAGACACCTGTACCCCCATGTTCACTGCAGCACTATTGACAATAATCAAGATACGGAATCAGCCTAGGTGTCCAACGACAGATAAATGAATAAACAAAATGAGGTAAATACACACAATGGAATATATTCAGTCATAAAAAAAGAATAAAATTCTGTCACTTGCAGCAACGTGAATAGAACAGGCGAACGTTATTTTAAGTGAAATAAGCCTGGAATAGAAAGTTAAACACTGCATGTTCTCACTTATATGTGGAAGCTAAAAAAAAAAAAAATTTATCTTGTAGAAACCAAAAACGGAAGAGAAGATATTAGAGGATAGGAAGGGTAGGGGGAAAGGGAGAATAGGCAGAGATTTGTTGAAGGATATGAAGTTATAGCTAGACGGGAGGAGTAAGTTTCAGTGTTCTGTAGCACTGTAGGACGCCTGTACTTAACAGTAGTATGTAGTTTCAAATAGCTGGAATAGTGAATGTCCCTAATACAAAGAAATTACAAATGTTGAGGTGATGGATATACAAATTACCCTAATCCTTCCACCACACATTATATGTATCACAACAGCACTATGTTCCCCACAATATGTACAATTATTGTGTGTGCATTAAAAAAAAAGTGCTTTAAAAAATGTGTGGGTTAATGAAGCAGACTTATAGAAAAGAAATTAGATTGCTTAAAAATCTCATTAATCAAACTAATAAAACCAAACTTCTATACCTATGGAATATGGAACGAATTTGACAACTTTCTACTGTCAAAAATGGTATATAAATGTAAAAGATGAATAATCAATAAATAAGAAAAAGCTACTTCACTTTTACACGGTAAAACAGAACTGTCATGTTCACTATTACACATAATGAATTTGATACATGGATTGTATTTTTAAAATCTAAACTAAAACATATTTGAGTTTAAATCATATATTTTTCAAATAGATGTCAACAGAAATACATCTATATGGCACAGAAGCAGAGACATGTACAAGGATTTTTCATCTCTGCATATAGTCAATAGTTTTTAATCATTTATTTTACTCTCAGGCAAAGAAAATATCAACTGCTACCTAAAGAGAAACTACCAACAGGGCCTAAAGTCATGGCTTCATAACCAGTGTTTAGAGAGGTATATACTTCCCATTTTTCCTGATATAGTCTGATCTCTTTGGTATTTTACTTATGCACATGTAAAAAGTCCAAATCGGGTGAGAAAACAGTTATGTACATAAACATTAAGTCAGTGCTACCTCTTTGATAACTGGAATTTTGCTTTCATTTTAATTAAATATGAAGCAAAACAATGAATATCACTTTTCACTTCAGACCATCTTTAGTTAAAAAAAAGCTCCTGCAGTCTTCTGTCAGTGGTTGTAAAGGCATTCAACATTGTCACTTGTTTAAACGTCTGTTTGGCTGCCAATGGACTGTCCCCAAAAGAACATTTTTGCATCTCAATAGTCTGTCCGGTATCAACAATCTTTAAACTATAAATTTAACGCTGCTGAAGAAAAGGGGAAATAACATTCTCATTGTACTGTCCTGGTATCACACTTACAAAATGAACAAATAATCAGACTATTTCCACTTATCTAGCACTCTGCATCTGAGGATCTCAAATGGCCTGACAAACGTTAATTAACTAAGCTGCACAACACTCCTGTGAGGGTGGCAGGCAGCATGATCCTCTCCAAGCGACAGATGAACGGAGATCCTGGGAGGCCCTTCCTTTGAAAGTCAGTGGCTCAACTTGGAACTCAACTTCCAGAACTTGGAACTCAACTCCCCAGGCCCATGGTTGAGCATCTCCGCTGAAGCCAAGTAGCACAAAATGTAGATGTTACAACTGACAGACTTTTCTAAAGAAATTTAAACTGGAAACCAAGATCAATCTCAAGGAGATTTATCTTTCCTCTAGCTGCAAGAAAAAAGTGCTCTAATAACTACAGCATTTGAACCTATGGAAGAACCTGAGCTACAAGTTATCTATAACATTCCGTTTTGACAAATAACATGGAGGAGTTTACCTGAATGTTGATTTTCCATGAGCTCCCCCTAAAGACTCACCCAATAAGCTTAACTGTACTTCCGTATTTTATTAACAAATGAAAAACTACACAATGTTGGTTAATTTTTTTGTGAAATTTAATGATCGATTTTTGGATCCTTATTCATGTAGTTATCAGATAAAAAGCCAAGTTTTCTGCAATGGAATATCCAATCTAAAAATTCCATTACAAAAATAAAATCCAGAATTTCTTATTCAGGAAACAATAAAATTAATACAGTTGCATCTGCATAAATTTATCTAAAAAATAAATACCTTTGTGTAGATGTACATCATAAAAAAAAAACTTGTCAGAAAAGTATACAACTTTACATGAATGCTGACTATACTATACTACTTAGTTTAAAATGATTAAGAAACATCTATTGGAATATATAAAATAATTTACTTATACTGTTGGTACAGGTAATTTTAAACATGTTAACCTCTTCACAGACCTAAACTTTAAATAAAAACACTGGGTTTTCAAAATATTATTAGTAAATGTTGGTAACCATTTTCAGGAGGTGATTCATGTTCTATAAGATCTATTCTAGAAATGTTAAGATAATAAAGTTGTCATATAAGCTTAGACTATTTCTAGCAAAGATTCTAAAGCCCTTAATACTTCTTCCTACTAACACAAGAAAATACTCAAAAATTTTGTAGAAATATTGTGTGATTAATATGCAAAAAAAAGCCTAGTTTTCCTAGAGCAATTTATAAGATCAAGTTTATGGCAATGTGGCTTTTGTCATACTCAAAGCACAGAAGTCAACACAGAGGCATATGCAACTGAAAATTTTTATATCAAGATCAATTCCATACTAATAACAAGGGAAAAATATAGACATTTACTAAATAAAAATATACATAAATGATATCATATTGAACACAAAACTAAAAGCCAAACACTGACCCTGACATAAGCCAAAAAAAGGAGAAAACCACTAATGTTAATGAAGAGAACATTTCGAAATTTTAGCTCTTCTTGTGATTCTTATATTTCCTTCCTCACTTTGAGAAGTACAGCAAACTTTCATTGCTAAAACCAGTTTAAAAAAAAAAGTTATCAGAAAGACTAATATGCTGAAAGCAACATTTTAATTATGTGCTTTGTAACACAATCCTAACTACATTCAGCCTTTTATTTCAAAATGTTTCCATTATTTACCAGCATAGTATTGAACTATATTAAATCAACATTTTCTGTTGGGCAAGTTTTCCATACTTAATTCTTGATATCACTCTGTATAGTATTTTTAAATGATTAAGTTTTACTTTAGTATTAGAAACTGTATATATAAATGTATTAATATACTTGCTCTATTAATGCTATATTGAAAAAACTATTTAATTAAAAAGGTACTTTTAAAATCTGATAGTTTACATTTCTTAAATTGCTTACAATTTCTGAATAATTGTAGTTACTTTCAAGTTCTATTTTATTGTTTCAAATATAAACATGCATTCTGTAGGCATATATTTATACACTACTGTAATTTGGGTTCAAAACATGTAAATTATATCTGTATATTTCTATGGTGTATTTTAAATTATTACAGGACATCTTCACTAATAACTATGCCTCTGAAACTATAAACTTATAGTACTTTTTTTTTGGCCTTTAGTAAACATGACCTCAAAATTCTGCTTTTTTTTTTTTTTCTACCACTGGTAGGGTAATGAATTAGAGGTAGGTAATTCGGTATGATAATTTCAGAATACCAACTAATACCACCAAAGTAGAATTGGTGTCAAATTCACAATGAGAATGGGCTGTTTCTTAATTCTGTTAGGTGTCTTAAAAAGCTCATCATCTAAGATATGTACACATTGAAAATTTCATATACAGCTAATAACCTAAATGTTGCCCAATAAATTAAATTGGCTACCCTTCCTATTCCAAATATCCAGTAAAATTGGTGATTTCCAAAAGCACTATTCAAATATAAAATGTGAATCTTAAAAGATTTAAATTTTATTGCAACCACAGAATGATTCAATATTCTTCCTTTTATATATGCATATGCATGTATTTGTATATATTAATGTAATTTTATCAGATCTCTGAAATTTAGTAGATTACAGCCTTTGAAGATAATAAATCATAGGGTTGGAATTTGGCTATTATTGTAGAACACAGCTAAGGAATCTCTTGTTTAAGGTTTCCTACTTCAGCAGCTAATGTGGAGGAACTGAAAAGGCTGTTAAAATGATGCAATAGAAACTTGAAATCAGGGATTTAAGGAAGTGGAGGAATTGAGAAAAACAACTTTTTAGAAAAGTATTAACATCTCCATCTTGCTCAAAAAATGCAACCACTACGCTCAGGTTTTTTATACCATTGCTTAATAAATTGTCATTTCAAAGTCTTAGAGTATATAAACAATGGCAGAAAAGGTAATATTCCAGAAACAGTCAAACAATATGGTGTCAAATGAAGATGTCATGGATGAAACCAATTTTAAGTAGAAAAAGGAAGGAAAGGGGTTCCGGTGATATAGATATAAGGCCCCCAAATATACCATACTCTCAAAATGCAGTATGAATTTAATAAAACATAGGACATTTCATTCCCGCCTTATAACCAGAAGCCATGAGTCACTTGAGGCCAGAAGAGTAATGACATGCTGAGAAAACAACAAATATTGACAATGATAAAAATGCAGCTCCATGTATATTCACTGGAGGGGAGTTCCCTAAATTGAACCCCCTCTTGAAGGGCACAGAAACTGTTTCTCTTTTTTTCCCGAAGTTACTCCTAATAAACTTGCTTCTTCCCTGCAGGAAGGATTCTTTGTTTCTCTCTGTACAGGGGGCATCTCCTCTTCTGTATTCAAGTCCTTCTCTTAGCTCCAGGGCATGACTACAGATGGGAAAGCTAACAGCTTCTATAATTAACTGTGCACCTCTAAGGGGCGTTTTTCAACTCCGCTAGAGAATACTGAGAAGCACAGATAGGCTTCAGAGAATCTGCAGGAAATGAGAGCAGAGCAGCCAAGCAGACATTGGGAAGAGCAATTTTTCTCCCCAGAATACATCCAGAGAGAACTCACTGGTCTATGACCCGCAGGTCAAAGCACCTGGCTAATGGAACTCTATTTCCCAACTGGATCTTTTGTAAAGGTTAGCTGGTTTCTGATCCTACCTTCTATGCACAAACAAAGCTTCAAAATCATCCAGAGAAGCTCAAAACTTTCACAGACTTAAGGTAAAATGTCCAAGAGGTGGTGTCTTAGGCATCGAGCAACTATCACTTATTGGGAGCTCATGAATTTTCAAAATCTAAAATACTTTTTAACAATGCTGAGTCTACATAGTATGAAGAGAGCAATCGAGGATCTTACCTTACTCAGAGGTTTTGTTTTCTTTTTCCACATGGAACTAGGTCTTTCCCCCTAAAAGATCCTGTTCATATCAAATGCATGGCACTCTTCTTTGGCCGCTTTTCACACTATTCACACTTAGCCTTTTCTCATTTTTCCCCCTCTTGTTGGCAACTCGACAACAACAAGCATTGTCATTTATACATAATTATATCGTGGGTTTTAAAAAACTCCGTATTTTGGTATGAACATCTCATCAAGGACATTACATTCTTAGTGATTTAAATCTCTTCTGACTTCCTTATTAACCATATATTGTCATAGCAGCCTAAAATTTAAAAGTCATTTAGTTATTTCAGTGTAGCAGATGTACATCCTTCTGGGATTCTAAACCTCCCTTCTCCAAATATGGCCTTGTTGTTTTGTATAGTCACCAGGAATGATTAACCAACATTCAATCTGAGCTAAGAGCAAAGACAAACAAGTGACTGCCTAACACTGTATCAAGTAAGTGCACAGCACACACAAACACACATGAGTTACTTGCTGCCACTTTGGCCTTAGGAGTATAAATCCCCAGATTGAGACAGATCATTAAGTTTCACTTCACACACAACACAATCCTGTAGAGAAAGAATGTGTGTTCCTCCTTTTGCCCTTCAAAACAAATGAATTATTTAAAAATGAAACCATCCTACCCGTAACAGGGACTGGGATTCATCCTTGGACTTGTTTTCTCCCGATGCAGGATACTGCTGGGGGAGGGCCCCAGACTTCTCTCCGCCAGCTGGCGCCCCCTGCAGGAATCCCTTGGTTTCCACAGCCAAGCCATAAATAGGTCGCGCCAGATGGGCGGCCTCCACATTGGGACTATCCCTTAGAGTCTTTGTCTGCTCTTGGGTGCCAGACACAGGCGTCAGCAGCCCCAGGCTTGCTTGGGTGTATGACGGACTCCCCCGCAGGATGTCTGCCCCTCTCCAAGTCACATTGCGAAGGTCATCACTGGAACTCTCGGTCCAAACTTTCTCTTTGAGCCCGTCCTTCTCTTCCAGCTTCTCTCTCTTCACCACACTCTCAGAAACTGGCTCTCCCATTTTAGAGTCTGGAGTTAGCAGATTGTAGACCCTGAAGTCAATTTTGGGCTCCTCTTTGATGGTGGATATGGCATGACCGTCCTCTTCGCCGTTGGCTGTAGTGATGTCCTGTTCCTGGCAGTGAACAGTGTTGAAGTGCTCCAGTAGTGACTGAGTATCGGCAGCTGTAAAACTGCACTGACGGCATTTGTAGCAGCTGTGTGCTCTCCTGGAGAAGAAGAAAACAGTTACTGCAAAGACAGCGTTCTGAAGGGTTGTTTTATTTTTAATAGCCTTTAAGCACCTGAATTTTCTACCTACTCATGCAATATAGTAGGTAGAAAGAAATGCAATATTCTTAACACCCCAAAACTGGAATGTAATTAACAGGCATTTTCAGTTCTATATAAAGAGTTCAAAGTGCCCTTGTTATATTAGCAGTAATAGGTATAACACAGACACACACACACACACACACACGCATCGTGCACGCACGCACGCACGCTGCTCGTGCTTGTGCGCATACATTCCAGGTGATTAGCATTAAAACTGGTTAGTTTGAATTACTGTTAAATGCCCCACTCTGTTCATTTTGCCTTGATAGATGCAGTTTACCCTGATGGATAATCATGAATTATATCATTTAAGTCACTATTCTTAAGTTTTCACACCTGATTTAAAATGCCCTTTTCACTTTCTGTTATTTAAACTAAATTGAGGATTTTTCCCCCTGTAGATACACTTCAATTTCTAATGCTGAAATGCTTTGTACAGCTTTTCCATATATTAAAAGGAACTAAATTTAAATATAAAATAATAAATCATTATCAAATTATTAAATGATTTTAAAAAAGAAATAAAGTGTTCTTTTCTATCATCAAATTTAAATCCATTTAGTGAATTAAATATTGCTCACTGATCTGTAAAGTCTAGAAAATAAGATGTATTTATAACCCATGATTTTTCTCTAAACAAATTCTATCCATCTATGAGAACGTAAACACATTCAAGAAATTGAGTGTCTGTTGAGTGTCAAACACCATAATAGAGGCTTTACAAATATATTCATTAAAAGGGTGTGTGTGTGTTTTCTTTTTAAATGGCATAAAACAAGACAATTTTATTATCAAATTCCCTACCATCTTCTGCTGTTAAAGAGAGAACAGTGACTGCTACATTAGGGCAAATATTTGATTAAAAAAGAAGAACAGAAGTATTGCACTGTAAAAAGCATACCCGAAAGATACACAAGTGATGTGGAAAAAGTCATATTTTGTTTAACTATAAAAACTGTGTATGGCTGTCTAAATAAATATCAGGGAAACACTTTCTACTTCCCTGATATAACTTGCTATGAATTACCAAATTAAAGTAACAAAATAAATTTTGTGAGCTATTACTTAAAGCTGTAAGATACTGTAAGTTATGTACTCATACATGTAATTTTAGATAATCATCAAAATATTTCCTTGCCAGGCACTGGGTACACATTGGTGAATAAAAGATATATAGTCTTTGCCCACCTGCTGCTTAGAGTCTCGTCAGGAATGACTAGACAGGAAGTTTCACATGACTATAAGTCTATTAAGTACAAAGAGTGACAGGTGCTAAGAATGAAATGGATAGTAATTGGTATAAAGGGCTGCGTAGGTAATCAGGAAGGACTTTCTGAGGGAGATATATGAAATCAAAGGGTGAAAAGAAGCTATCCTTGGAGGATGAGGAAGGGGAAAGGAAGCCACATTCTAGCTAGTCTGAGACACTGAAAAGAGGACATTGTGGTTTTAGAGGAATAAGTGTGAGGAAGAATGTCAACTGACAAGCTTGAAGGGTTATCTAGAGCTTTGTAGGTCATGGTAGGGACAGGGGATCTCGTCAAAGGTAAAGGAAGGCAATCAGCTGGGGAGTAGGTGCTCAAATGCATGTTTTAATTACTCTGGGGCTGTAATGTTTATCAATAACTTCATTCCTTTATAAGACATGTCTGATGGCTGAAATTCCAAAAGAATGTTCCTATTTTATGGAAGGAAAATTCAAAGGTATAAAACATGAAACAAAATCTCAAGTATTTGTTGAGAGTGCTTAATGTAGCATACAAGAGCTTACATTTTGTTGAGTAAATATCCATATTTACTTTTTACAGAAGATTGTTTCCAATCTTTTCCCTATTTTTTTCATTGTTTAAGTAGTAAAGAAATATACAACAAATGACAAATAATGGGAGGATGAATTGACCATAAAAGCACAATAGTAAAATTAATTCCCTCAAGTGGAAACAGCCTAACCTTTAACGTGAAGACGATTATCAACAAGAGGAATAATCTTGCCACCAATGTCAAGGCCAGAAAATTCAAAAACAGGACTAAGAATACAAAAGACAATAGACAATACCTAAAATCTAGGACCTAGAACCTCTGTGGAGCTCATCTACAAAAGCTTCTTATCAAAAACACATTCTAGGCAGGGCCTGGTGGCTCACGCCTGTAATCTCAGCACTTTGGGAAGCAGAGGCGGGCAGATCACCTGAGGTCAGAAGTTCGAGACCAGCCTGACCAACATGGTGAAACCCCATCTCTAATAAAAATACAAAAATTAGCTGGGTGTGGTGGCGGGAGCCTGTAATCCCAGTTACTCGGGAGGCTGAGGCAGGAGAATTACTTGAACCTGGGAGGCGGAGGTTGCAGTGAGCCGAGATCACGACACTGTGCTCCAACCTGGGCGACAGAGCGAGACGCCATCTCAAACAAAACAAAACAACAACAACAAAAAAAACCCACACACATTCTAGTTTAATCTAACGGGAGATAAACACATAAATCCAAAATTACCCTACTGAATATATTCTACACAATATATTGAGTCATGGAAATTAAAACAGCAACAACAACTTCTGAAAGCACTTAACAAACCATGATTGATTTTCACCCCAAGATGGTTATAATGGACTCACTGTCCACTTTAGCATATTTGTGGTTCCTTGACATGGTGAGATCTCTGCTTGAATTCTCTAAAGAAATCCATGCCTATAAATTAAAACTACAAATTACCACTGACACTTCTACCAAAACTGGTAGCTCCAGTGATAAAATGCCAAAGAATCATAGTGATTCTGTTTCAAGATATCAAGACTGTAAATACCAGGGTGACAAGAAGGAGAAGGGATCAACATATATGAAAAGAAATACAAAATTCTTGTGGACCACAAAGCAAAATTATTTTCAAACGGTAGACTCTCAGTTCTTACTGGTGAAATGACCAACCACATGTAAGCGTGTAGACTCTTAAGGAGAATGCTTAAGCTTCAAACTTTGGCTCTGTATTCTACAATGTAAGTAACTTCGAATAATTTACTGAACCTGTCTCAGTTTCCTCATCTGCAAAATGAAAATAAAGTTGTCTCTTGATATGGTTCTTGTGCATAATAAGTAAATAAATGAGAGTTAATCAGTATAAATCCTAAAATTAAATAAAGCCCCTCTGTTCTCTGTGAATCCACATTCCGTACTGTTTCTGCAAGAGTTTAAACTTACAAACTGGTGTTTTGGTATCATTCATTGCCATTCCCCCATGTACCTTAACCATGACCAAAAAAAAAAAACATTTTTAAAACCAAGCTTATGTCCTAGAAGATCCTTTGCTTTAGGACATGGCCCAGTAGAATATATTCTATGCTTTTCTGCTTCATCTAGCGGCGTTTAATGACATGAAAGAATGAGCAGTTTAGCCTTTTACTGCTTAATTGTCAAGCTTTACTCTTTTTTCATTAATAGCAGTCAGAGCCAGTATCTTCAAATTCTAAATAACAAAGACAGTAAGGGCATTACCTGTGTTTTATTAAAACCTTGGGAGGTAAGGATGTTTTATGAATGTATTCATTAAAGTTGTTTAGAACATGGCATATCTAGGAATATAGCTAAGTAATTAAGATTATGTTACTTCAATGTCTACTGATTCTGAATAAAGATGAAGGAATAGGGGTCGCTTAAGAATATTTCTAGATTGCAGAATCAGTAGATATTGAAGTTACATAATCTTCACCTATTATTTAACTAGTACTTCTTCCTAAATATACAAGGTCCTAGGTCCCTGCCCAAAACATGAGTTCATCACAGGGTATGACACCCTGAGACAAGGTGTCTGAGTCTTCTAGGTTTTCTAGTTTGAAGTTCCTGTCCCAAAGGAAAACTCCCTGACTCCTGGCATGTCTCAGCAGGAGCTGCTGTCATCATCCTGGAGAGGACCTCGTGAACCAACCGACCTAGGCAAAACCGCCCATGGTACAGGTGCTGGAGAGCTGTAGGAACACAGAGAAGAGTGGGGATAGGAATAAAGTACAAAGGAAACAGAAAGTGCAGGGGTAAGTTTTCCGTGAGACCCAGGTTTTATGTCGAAAAGGAAAACACATTTTAACGGAAGGATATTACAACAAGGTTGTAAAAACAAGCTCAATTCACACTTCTTTTGAAAGTTCAAAGCACTCATGTCTACAGGTTCTCATGTTCCACTGAAGTATACGGCCCATTTCACAGATAGTAAAATGGAGAAAGAGTGCCTTGCCCATTTTATCTATATCAAGTCAAGAACACAGGGCTTCAAACTCCCAGAACAATGTTATATTTTTCTACTTTCCACTTCCTACCTTTCTAATTTTATATAAATGTTAACTACTGACGATATGCCAAATGAAAACACAGGGGATGGAAAAGGTCTTCTAACAGAGAAAAAAGAAACTGACTACAGCAATGGTTTGCAAAACAGGCTGGGCAGCATTGCAACCCAAAGAGTTTCTTTCTCAGCGATAGAGATTCCAAGTCTTTCTTATCCCACTGAACCAGAATATCCTGGGCATAATCTGAGAATCTAAATGTTTAACTTTAACAAAGTCCTCAAATGACACCAACGCAGGGACCAGTACCCATAAACTGTATTACTAGCTACATCATGGCTCTAAGCAACTTAATGAATAAACTCACAAGACATCTCCTAACTCCCAAGGCTTTAATAAAATACAGGTAATGATCTTACTATTATTGTTATTCAGAATCTTAAGACTCTGGGTCTTACTACTATTAATGAAAAAAGAGTAAAGCTTGACATTTAAGCAGTAAACTGTTAAACTGCTCAATCTTTCAGGCTATTGAACACCACTAGGTGAAGCAGAAAAGGCAATTTGCTATAAAGTGCTCTTGAGACTTGAACAACTCCTTTCTCCTTATATTATCAGTTCTAACTGAAGGACAGAAAACATATTAAAAAGACAACATTACTGTCAAAAGCCTGGAGCAATATGAACTTTTCAATAACCTATACTAAAATTTAGACCAGGCTTCTCAAACTAATGTGTAAAAATCACCTGGGGATTTCATTCAAATTCATATTCTGATGCTGGAAGAATAGGGTAGAATCTAATATTCTGTGTTTCTTCTTTTATTTCAAATTTTCCCAGATCCTGATAATACTTTGTATTTCTTACAAGGTCCCCAGACCACACCTTGAGTAGCAAGAATCATGCAGCTATGGTCATAAATAGCTCATGACAAGTGTGTTGGCTTGGAGTGTACTCTTAATATACCTGTATATATTCAGCACTTTTAGAACATTCCCAAATAAATTTTTTTTTTTTTAAGAAACGAGGTCTCACTATGTCGCCCAGGCTGGCCTTGAACTCCTGGGCTCAAGGGATCCTCCCACGTCAGCCTCCTGAGTAGCTGGGATTAGAGGCATGCACCACCATACTCAGGTCCAAGATGAATTTTTTATGAATGGCAACATTGTTATAGTTTTTAAGTCACATACACCTTCTGAGTCAACATTCACAGCTTTATAAAATAAACTACAAGCACAAAATTGTCAGGAATAATCCCAATTCATTTTTTCTTTATCATTGTTTGGAGATTGTCTTTAAATATTCTTTAGTGCCAGGTCATTTACATATATTGCCCGCAGCAATAACACAAAGTATATATTTCCACCCCATTTTGCAGATAAAGAAGTGGAAGCACAGAAGAGTTAATTAACATAAAAATATTGAAGGCAAAATAGAATACTTTTGCTCTTGTCTATGGTTACTGTTTCACGTACGTTATTTGATAGTTAAAGCAATGGTTGTTCAGGAATTAGTACCTAAAAGATTTGAGCATATTTTCTGACATGTATCAGTCTCTCAATAATAACTGACAAGATCTTCAATGTAATGTCACACTTCCAAATAATAAGACTAGATTATAATAAACCCCAGTAAAAGAAAACTTTTCTCAAGAATAAAAGTTTAGTCATTGTGAAAGTACATTAATTTGGACTCTCCTCCAACCTACTAAATGCACTTTCTTTTCATCAGCATTAACATGAAAACTTCAAAGACATTCAGGAAATTTTTCCTCTATTTCTCAAGACCCAACTTAACCACCCCCGCATCCATAAAGACTTCCCAAATGATTCAATCCAAGAATAAATCTAGTGTCTTCTTCGTTATTCTAAATCCTTGTATTCCTCTTCAATTTTTTTAATCACAGATGGTATGTGATTAAAATCACATATGCCTCACTTTACAAGTATATGTAATTACCCTAAGGTCGAGACCAAAGCTCACACATCTATTGATTCCCCTCATCACAAAACATCCAGATTGACAGTAAGTATCTGCTTAATAACAAAGAAATGGACAGTCACAGCTCTGGATGTTCAGGATGCTGGATTTAATATGTAGGGTCACAAAGCAGCAGAGAAATATTAAGATGTACACAGATATTTTGCAGATGGCATATTTTGAGTGATCCTATGAATAAACCCTTCATTAGTTAAAAACTCCTAAAACCTCTGGGTACATTAAGCCAAACTAATTTCAAATTTTTTACAAATATATGCTTTGTATTAATCTAAATGCTATATCCTCCTGCCACACTGACAGCAAACACTGTCTTCATATTATCTGAGAAAAAAAGATGTCATTTTATAGATCTCATTAGCATAAGCACAAGGTCATCACATAAAACACAGAATGCTCAGTTAAATTTAAATTTCAGATAATAAATGAATATTTTAGTGAATGCTGCATAAAATATTTGGGACATACTTTTATAAAATCTCACTGTGTCCCATACAATATTCGACAATGTGGAGGCAAGTCAAAGAAATTTTGATTAAAAAACTAAATCATGCTTTCTCTCTAGGCAAACGACATCAAATTGCCTAAAAAGATCAAATTTGTATTTAATTCAAGTGACTTAGAACCTCTGTGAAAAATGTTATTCTTATCTACTTTATAGAATTTTCATGTGCCATAAAAAAGCATTTGTTTTTTGATCCTTCCATGTTTCAATGCACAATAGTCTTTATTCACAATAGTAGTATTTCATTCATTAGTAGAGAATATTATGAATTATTTTCATAATTCATAAAGCATTGAGGAATGCTTCTAGAAAAAAATCAGCTAAAAGATGCTACTCCTTTACTATGCTCTGATAATATTTTTATTTTTATAATAAACCAACCCTGCAGCTGAGGGATGCCTTGTTTTTTTTCTTTTAAATGTTAACTTGAGATTTATGTCATCACTTGAAGAGCTCTTTTTTACTAGATAATAGCATGTTACTTTCAGTAATTTTTTTAAATCTTAAAGACAATCAATGAATAATTTTAACCACAGTTTTTATTCTTCAATGACTAAATGAAGCATCAAAGTAAATGAATAAATCATAAATACTAATTGATTAGACTTTCAGAGGTTTTTTTTGGTTATTACAGAATCAAACAACTACAGATAAATTATCACAGAAGTGGGGAAAAGGGAGGTGATTCAAATACTTAAATTTAAATGTAGTTCAAGTAGGTCTGAAATCTAATAAAGTTAGTCATTTTTGTAATATATGCATTGTTGCTATAAATGTCTACAATGAGTGGCATGTGGCATTACTGCCACTGTAAAATGATAAAATGAAAAACGAGAAGAGAGTAGCAGGAACAAAGACAAAAACAGAATTACAGATGGATTATTAGGTCAGTCCTTGAGAACTGTAAACTAGTTAAAAGAGGAGAAATAGTCTACAGAACATAATCCAAGAAAAATTGAAATTCTGGATGAAAATAATTATGTTGTTTACTCATCTTGCATTTTTAAGTTGAAATAATCTGATTAGGATTTGCTCAGTAATAGTAACTGGCTTTTGGGGACATGGGATGAGGTGCTCACATCTTCAAGTGGTAGAAAAAACACTACTAACACCATATCTTAAAAATCAAACTTAGAATCCCCTTTCAAAAGGTAAACATTCCCTACAAAATGTTCATGTAGAAAGTCTTTCAATAAAATAGAAAGTAAATAAGGAATAGGAAATTATTTATACAAATGTCAATGGAATTGAAACTGTGGCTAAAATGTATCTTATTCCAAGACTTGATAACTGTTCTTGCATAGTATTCAGAAGCATTAGTTCCGAAATTTCTAATAAATCATGTATACAAATAAAGGTAATATTGCTTTGTGAGGTTTTATTTGTTTGTTTGTTTGTTTGTTTGGTGAACTATAACATCCTGGGTAACTTTTTGTCTCATAGTGGGTATTTTCTAATTGAACTATCATGTTTATTTCAAGGTATTATAAGCAACTGATTTATTAGGTATTATTTTTAAAAATATGACACATAACATACACAAATTTAAATGTAAGATAGAGATTGAGCAGGAGCTAAATTAATTTGACTACCTACTGCAACCAATGTCAACTCTTTCAGTCTGATTTTACCCATTTTACGTCTGGAAGTTGCAAGCACTGTTTAAAAATTTTAAAATGCATTCGTAAATCTCCTAATACACAGTCTTGTCATCGCATACACTACCAAAATATGTGTGTAGTTTTCCACATTTTAGCCAACAATGAACATTTTAATATTTGTACTAGACCATAATTATATTACTGAGTTTGTAGTAGTTCTTTCACAGTAAGTTATTTAATAGTGAGATTGATCATTCATTCATATATTTACTTGACATGGGCAATGATGAGAATTGATGCATTTTTTAATTTTAAAGCTGTACACTGTATGTTAGTGACATACAAATAAATAAACACACACATATTCATTTACATCTAAGTTCGCAAACAAATTAAAAACTGAAGCGATTACAGAATCATAGAATGTGATTTTACATAACTGAATCGAGATCTATGCGTGTGTAGAGAGGAAGAGATTCTATATGGATAGATATAGATATGATTACATATGATAAAGAAAGTACTATTTATGGTACAGTAGAGTATATGTATATGATATACATGAGTATCATATACATATATACTTATATGTATGCATACATATATACATATATCTATGTGCATATATCATATGTATGTATACATACATCTATGTATGTGTATATTTCAGATGTATTTATCCATGCATGTACACATATGTATGTATATGTATGCATGCATATGATATTCATATGTATATCATAAACATATAACATGAAAATTTGTATAGTTTTATCTTTTGAATTTATATAAAACACTATCCCACTGTGACTTGTCTTTATCATCTGTTTTTATTCCGTCAAAATTATTCTTATAAGATTCATTTATGTTGTAGTCACTTGTCATTTATTAAATTCACTACTGTAAAACATTCCACTGCTTGAAAATTCTACAAATAAATTAATCTTTTTTGGAAAGACAATCAGAGTTTTTTCCTGTTTTTATTTTGGACTGACTTTGTTTTGGTTGTTTTGTTCTTTCTAAAAAATGCAATTATGAACATTTTTGCACGTTTCCTAGCAAACCTATGAAAAGGTTTTCTTCTGAAAAGTAAAATTATGTAGTCACTGGGAATATGAACATCTGATATTGCCAAATTTTGCCAAATTTGCCTTCCAAAGTAGTATGTTCCGACCATTTCTATCCCTCATAAGGTGTTTTATCGTAAAATCTATGTTTTCTGAGATTAATAAAGGGATATAAAGGGATCTCTTTCTTTTTGTTTGGTTATGATTGGCCCTGTATAACTTTATCAATCCTTAGCTTTTTGTCATTGAGGTCTCATTTCATTGCACTGAGTCAAAGGAGATGTTCTATGAGATACTGTTTTTTTGACATTTAATTTCTTTTTGGCTTAATATGTCTCAATTTTTAGAACTGCTCTATATGTGCTTCAAAAGCATGTACATTCTCTAATTGTTTGGTACAGAATTTGTATATTTTTATCAAATCAGGTGTGATAATTTGTTGCTCAAATCTTTTCAATTTTGAAAAATTTTTTGTGCTTAACTTTTAATAAGGAATTTTCCTAAAACTTTATCATTGTGAGTGTGGTGTGTCATGTTTTCCCTGTAGTTCCTCTATCACTTTTTGCTTTACTTATTTGTATTTATGTGTTATGTATTTAGAACCATTGTACTTTCTGAAGAAGTTAAACCTCTTATTATGCAATGATCCCTTCTTTCCTCCATAGGCTATTTGTAATAAATTCTTAAAATTGTATGAGATTAATAAAGATACCTCAATTTTCCTTTAGTTTATATTTGCTGGTATAACTAAGTCTATTCTTTTCTTTTGAACATCCAGAGACTTATGTTTCAGGTGTATATACAGTATGCAGGATACAGTTACATCATCTGATATCTTTTCAGTGGAAAAGTTTAACAGACACAGGTTAAGACTTTTGATATCTACAATTTTTATAGATTTTACTTTAAAATGTCTACATGTCTAACACTTCCCACATATTTTCTCACCATTTTTTAAAAAGTTGATTGAATTTTATGGGTGTTCTTTATTTCATCATTCCATTTTTTCTCCTCTATAGTTTTGGAAGTTATGCATTCATTTCCTATTCTTTCATTAGTTATCCTTAAATTTTTCCAAGTATGTATAACAAAGTCCTAGCTCGCTAACTCCCAACAATTCAGGTGTCTTAGAATACCTTAATTCTAGTCATTTTCCCTTCAAACTTACATAGTAGCACTAAGCAATACCTTAGTCTTTGTCGCCCAGGCCAGTGGCATGATCATGGCTTACTGCAGCCTCGACCTCCTGGGCTTAAGTGATCCTCCCATCTCAGCGCCTGAGTACCTGGGACCACAGGTAATCACCACTATACTCAGATCATGTTTTTATTTTTTGTTTTTTTTAGAGACGAGATCTTGGTATGCTGCCCAGGCTGATCTCAAACTTCTGGGTTCAAGCCTTGGCCTCCCACATGCTGGGATTTCAGGTGTGAGCCACTGTGCCCTGCCTAGTCTGTTCCTTTTTGAACTACATAAACAAGACAGGCAATGTTTGTTTGGATTTGCTCAGATGTTTCCCTGGTCTTCACTTATCAGAAAATGTCTTTGCTTTGCTCTTATTCTTAGGAGATAGCTTTGATGGGCAGAAAATACAAGGTTGACTATTTGATGTTTTTTCCAAACTCTGAATAATATTCCTCCTTCCTCCAGTTTCCATTGTTGCTAATAAAAAGTCTGCCAACCTAAATGTCTTTTCTGAGTAGTCGATTTCTTGTTAGTCTACAGCTGTTTTTAAGGATGTCTCTGCCTTGGCATTCTCATTTTTGCTACAATGTGTGTGTAACTGAATTTATTCCTATACATCATCCTGCTTAGTGTATGCTACGCTTCTTTGTATCTGAGTATTTATGTCTTTCATTGGTTCTAGAAAATCTTTTTCCATTTTCTCCTCAAATACTGATTACCTACTCTCTATTCTGTACATTTTCTTTCTTCTGGGACTCTGATTAGATGTATGTTACAATAGCTCATTATATTCCATATCTTACTAAATGTCTTTGATATTTTGCCCCTCCTTGCTCTCTCTTAAATATTCTGTCTAATGCCTCATTTTGATTAATTCATTTGCTCTCTTTGTCTAATATGTAGTTTAATCAATCCATATGTTTTAAGTTTCGAGAGTTATATTTCTCAATTAAAACAATGTTATTTGTTAATTTTTTGGTGATCTTGATTTTTTTTTAATTTTACTTTAAGTTTTGGGGTACATGTGCAGACCGTGCAGGTTTGTTACACAGGTATACATGTGCCATGGTGGTTTGCTGCACCTATCAACCTGTCATCTAGGTTTTAAGCCCCACATGCATTAGGTATTTGTCCTAATGCTCTCCCTCCCCTTGCCCCCGACTCTCCAACAAGCCCAGTGTGTGATGTCCCCCTCCACACCGTGTCCATATGTTCTCATTGTTCAACTCCCACTTATAAGTGAGAACATGCGGTGTTTGGTTTTCTGTTCCTGTGTTAGTTTGCTGAGAATGATGGTTTCCGGCTCCATCCATGTCCCTGCAAAGGACACCAACTCGTTTTTTTATGGCTGCATAGTATTCCGTGGTGTATATGTGCCACATTTTCTTTATCCAATCTATCATTGGTGGACATTTGGGTTGGTTCCAAGTCTTTGCTATTGTGAACAATGGTACAATAAACATACATGTGCATGTGTCTTTATAGTAGAATGATTTATAATCCTTTGCGTATATACCCAGTAATGGGATTGCTGGGTCAAATGGTATTTCTGGTTCTAGATCCTTGAGGAATCATCACATAGTCTTCCACAATGGTTGAACTAATTTACACTCCCACCAACAGTGTAAAAGTGTTCCTATTTCTCCACATCCTCACCAGCATCTGTTTCCTGACTTTTTAATAATCTCCATTCTAACTGGCATGAGATGGTATCTCATTGTGTTTTTGACTTGCATTTCTCTAATGATCAGTGGTGATGAGCTTTTCTCATATGTTTATTGGCCGCATAAATATCTTCTTTTGCGAAGTGCCTGTTCATATAGTCTCATGTTGCTTGATGATTTTTTAATTGTAACATTCATATCTTTGAATGCTTATTAGTATTTTATAATTGAAAACTCCTGTATCTGAAGTGACTGGGTATATACATCTATTATTTGTGTTTTCTACTGATTTCACACATGATGGCTTATTTTCCTGTCCATATGGTGAATTTTCGTAATAGTGAGCTCATGTAAGATTTATCTGCATCTATCAATATCTTGGAGGTAAAATTTGGAGTACTTTTCTACAGACAAATTTGTGTTTAATTATGCCAGAAGTCAGAGGAAGAACTAATGTAAAAATCCTAGCCACCTTTAAGATCTAAGCTTAAAGCAAAACTCAGATTCGTCCCCTTCTCTCTATGAGTAACTCCAGGCTTAGTCTTCAGATCAAATGCAACATCGACATTGGCATTTGCCCTCAGTGTAACCTCACATTCCAAGCTTACCCTTCACTTCTCCCTACTCTGTGTTTAGTGCACTCTTGATGAAAGGGAGAACAAAGGCTCCAAAAATTTTTCTTACTTTGTAGAAGTCTGGCAATGCATTACAAAATATGTTTTATCTAGTATAGTTGTTTTGTAGGGAAGTAATCCTCCTACTCGTGCCAAAAACCTAAGTTATAACACTGAAAATTTTGATAAGAAAAGTAGCAGTTAATAGAGAGCAGGTACACAGTTGAATTAAATGATAAATAATAAAAGAAATGCAGTGAGAAAACCATTCATGGGTGGAATATAATAACCCAGTTATAGTCTGAGTTAGGGGTATTATAGGTAAATACTAAACATTAAGTGAATGTACTAAGTCCCTGTTGCTGACTAGATCATGTTTGCAGTTCCACCAAGTTTAACTTAGCTCTTAAAGAAAGCACCCATGCAACAGAATCGACACTGAGGTTTTTCACTCAGAGCTCTAGATAAACTCTTCTGCTTCTCAGCTATAGTCATTTTATAGCTAAATGATTTCACATATTATACAGTTCATGGCTTATGCTAATTTTTACTACACCATTAAGTCTTCTATATAAAGCACTCAAAAGCCTAGAATATTTCACAGAAATAACACAGAATTATGGCAGAAGTTTCCCAACATGAATAATCTGAGTAAACAAATTAAATTATAAAGATACTACGTGATAAGGTAAACTTGTCCTCTTATTTTATCTTAAAAGGGGAGCATTTTTAGAAAATGCTTTGATAGCAGATCAAGTTCTAAACATCCACGTGACTATGTTCTTTCACATCTCTGGGGCCACTATTACTGTTCAGCTTTCAGTCGAGTTTCTTTATCTTTTCTACTAAGCTGTGACTTCTGAAATTGTAAGGCTCCAAATTTCAAATATCTCTATAAGAACTCAGAAACAGATTAGAGATAACTACTCAGCACCTTAAAGGATCCCTGGTCAGCCAAACTATATCAGGATTTAAACATAAGTGCAAGAATATTTTAATGCCCTATGGACAAGTGCTATTTCAATTTTTAGCTAATAAAATGCTGAGAAGTTGACTTAAGGTCAAAATGAACAGACAACTGTCATTTGGCATGGAAGCCTAGGTCCTCAGAAGGGTTCCAAGACCATATAATAGTGAAGCATTAAAATGTAACTCACCTGGAAATCTCAGCTTATTCATAACTACTGTGAAGTCAAAAACTCACAGGGATCTCATTTACATAAAGATACTCATTGAACTCCCATTAGGCATCCTGCCACTGTGTTAAATCGTGCAGATACAGTGGTGAACAAGAAAAGAATAGTTCTCTTTTCTCTAGAGCTTACTTTCATCACTGAATATTAACTAAATTCTGACATTATTCAGTAATAGTTTTATTCATATTTTATTTCTTGGGGGATTATTTTGTTTACCTAAAGCATGTGAAAACCCTGTTTTCCCAGACATTCTCAAGCAATGCCTCAGCTGCATCAATAGAAAAACCACTTGTCCAACTGAGCTGGTATCTAGATGTATCAGAATGAGTGCGTGTGCGTGTGTGTGTGTGTGCGCACATACGTGGGTGTGCAGGTCCAAGATGTGTGTGTGTTCTGGCTGGTTTCCTCATGATTAAAGAAAATCATGAAGATTTCTCAAAAAAAAAGTTGTCCTTGTCCTTTTCAAAAAAAGAATGGACTATCTGATTTTTACATCACTCAACACATGTACATGCACAATGTGCACATACACACATATCCACGCTAGTAAAGCTCAGAAAGCAGCTGATGTCTGCGAGCCTCAGAAATAAATTAACATGCAGCTAACATCAGAGGAGCCAGAAACACTCATTGCAAGTGTGAACACATATTTGATGCAGGACTGTGTCTTTCCCAGGGCTGACCTTATAAATTAAACAGTGTAAATCTCAAGTAAGTGTTTTCTGAACATTTTGATTCACTGTGAACATTGGGATGCCCTTCAAATTAACATCTAACATTATGAGCCTATTGTTGGACATGAACTGCTTCATTACTGGTGACTGAAAAAACATACACACACTTGCACTAACACAAAACTTTTAAAAGGAGTGGAAGAAACTGTTTAATATCATGGGATGTAGAAATTGAATAGATTTTTAGACTAGCATATTGGTATAGTAAGTAAAGCTTTCTACTTTGATGCTGAAAGGCATAATAATGAGAAAGTACCCAATGAGCACTAAATAATACCTAAACGCAGGGTACCACCAATGCTTTGCTGAACTAATTCCTATTTATAACCAAGTCTCAGTTTAAATGCTCCTTCCCGAGGAAGTAATTTCCTAATCTACCATATTAGGTTATGTTATCATTATATTCAAACACACTGCCTTGTACTTCATCTTTTATGACACTTATTACTCTTGTAATCATCTAAGTGTCTCATCTTCCCTACTAAACTGTAAGTTCCATGAGGGCACTGACTATGTCTTCTCTTGTATATTCAATGCCTGGTACAATAGGATTTTTGAAATCAATTAATTAAAGAATGAATGCATACATGAAATAAAGATACATATCCTATGCTTATCTCTAGATATTATAAAAGATTAACTGGGAAAGTTAATGTTTATAAAGAGAATAGAGTGAAAGCAGAAGGAAAACACAAACTTCCCACATCCATTTAAGAATCTGGAATAACTCAAGCAGTTTTACCTGCTTGGAGGAGCAAGTCTACATCCAAAATCACACATAGTACAAAAATTCTCACCTTTAGATTACTGTTTGTATGCTAAACAAGGATGTTGCAGAATTGTTCAAAGCCAGAAGAATATATAATCTCATTTTAAAATAAAAATGAGCAACAGGTTCTCAAAATTTTTTTGCAGAATAGAGAATAGGATATATTTACAATAGCATCTTTCATTTAGCTCTGTCAAAAAAATATAGGATGTGGAGTCATATTTAGTAAGGATAAATAAATGGACTACGGTAAATTAGTAAACTCATCAGCATTATTAGAATCACTGTGAATTTAAAAAGACAATCAGTAAATGGTATAACACAAGTATGAAACATGAGCATACAGTCCAAAAGAAGGAACCAAATTAAAATCTACAGTGATCACAGCTGTAACTATATCACCTGCAAATCTGTGATGAACTTTTATGTGGTCTTCTCCTATAACTTCCCCAAGTCATTGGAATCACTCTCAACAATTCCCGGTTCAGCCCTCTTTCTATGGATTTTTTCTATTATTTTATTTGTATATTCCTCCCGACCCCACCCCCCATGCCTCACCTGTAGTGTCGGGAAATCTCTTCTTCCACTTGGGTAATAAAATCACATTTGGTACATGAGTGTTCTTTGCTTTCCTTGACAGACTGCTGCCCATCCGATCCTTGCAGGTGATTTGCTTCTTGTTTGACATCCGATGCTTGGGACTCATGCACACTTTCATAGTGAAAGAGGAGTACATCTACGTCAGGGGTGGTGAATGAACACTGATGGCACTGATGTTTGACTCGCGAGCTTCCAGCCGCCCCAGGAGACAAGTGCAGAAGCAAGAGTGCACAGTGGGAACAATTACTTTTTCTACAAGCAAACGGATAAGTAATTTCTCCAAGGTGCTTTTCTGGGCTGCAAAGTCCTCTGGGACAGAATGGACAGTGTTTAATGGTACACTTGTGAATGTTATGGAGCTGTTGATAATGACGGAGAAGTGGCCCCACTACAATTACATCAGGGCCATGGCTTTTGGAATATCGGAAGTCACAGAACTGACAATTATAGCTCGTTACCATATTATCCTCGGCTCCCTTGCTGGAGAAGTCCTTCTTTTTAGCCCCACTCGAGCTCTTGTCTGTCTTGGTCATTGTCTCTCCTTCTGAACTTTTGGCTAGATCATTCTGATTAATGACAGAGCCCCTGGAAAGCTTATCATTTAACTCTGGATTAAGGCCGCCTGACTGCACTGCTCCGTGCTGCTTGCCATAATGTTCTAGCAGTTTAAGTGAGCTAGATGACTCACAGCTGAAACTACAAAATTTACACCAGTAGTAACTGGTGGCCTCTGTACCATTTTGTCTAGAGGAATCGAGGGGCTTTATGGGCACTGAGTACCCAACAGGAGTGTCATCTCCTGCTTTGACTGTTATCTTGTCCTGCCATTTTCCCAAGTCTCCAGAATCACTGGATTGAAGTGCAGGGATGGACTTGTTAGAGTTTTTCTCTGAAGGTTTTGCAACCTCAGAGGAGGGGAGAGAAGCTTTTATTTTGTTTGGGTGAGTCTGAAGAAAATGTTGTTCTAATTCGGTGGATGAGTTGCCCATATAAGTGAAATTGCAGAATTTACAGCGGAAATACTTGGTGTTCCCTTGGCAATCTGGTGTTTTCCGTCCAATGCCAATGAATGTTCCACCTGAAGTCACCTGGAGAACAGAAGAAATGGACTTTACTTCCAAGGTGTCATTAATTCAATGGGCCCTCTGCAGGGGAGGGGGAGGGTACTGCCAAGTATTCCACATCAAAAAATACAATAGTACTCCTGCTTATTATGAAATCACTTGAATAATCAGAGCCAAATAAATTCACTCTTCATTTCTCAACAGCTACTCTTTGAGAGGCTCATTATGTTATACACTGTAGGCCAAAGTAACAGGTGAAGGTAAGTAATAAATGCACTATAATTTGAAAGACTTAATAATACATTTTTTAAACTAAGAAAACAATTTTCAACACAGTACATTTTACTATTGCCTCCTTCAAATCACATTCCTACAGAAGCATCCAAATCACATGGGATTTCTTTTCAAAAGGTGAAGCGTTACTGTCAAAACTAGAGGCACTTGCTCAAAAATTACTCAATGCAGATGTTCTCCAAGGAAATATTCTGTTCAGTTCCTACAGCAATGAGGCTGCAGGCAAAGATGAGGTCTCTGTTTTAGGTAAAATAAAGGTGCTCCAATGACCACCCAAAATGGCTTATAATTAAAGCACAGTGAAACAAACAAAAAGATGAATTGAGTATGCAGGAAATACTAGCAAAGAAGAACCGTGTAAATAAAGAATTTTGAATGTTTCCCCATCTAGAACAAACAAAAAAAAAGAAAAATCTTCCATGCCTTATTTGATTAAGGTTCTGTTTCATTGCAAAGGGCTCCCAACTTCTCACATGAGTAGGTCATGATGTCTGAATGGTAAAATAAAATAATTCCACCATAAAAAATCACTACAACTCTGCTTTCTTTCCCAAATTATGAAATTACATGGAATCAGGACTATGAAAGCCTTCAAAGGGCACTTTGCATAAAATCCTTCCTCCATTCTCAGTGTGCACCTCAATAGGCAGTACAATTAAGCCACCACTGAGCAGCCAAAATTCAGAGTTAAAATAGAGTTTTTTGAATGAAATACTCCAAAAAGGGAAAACAATTTCTCTTCCAACCACCAGGGAATTTTTAAATTTTCCCAGCAACCAGATGTAATATATTAAGCAAGTGGCATAATCATCTTCTGCCTTCTTCAACAGCTGTTCAAAAATGACACGTGTGATCGCTGTTCATATCCAAATCACTGCATGAGAAAAGTCTCAGGCATCTCAAAATCACGTAAAGGCTCTATTTGAAATGCAAATAATATTGCTGTAGTACACTGAGAGATATGTTTGTACCTCTATTGTACAGGACTAAGATTGAAGTATTCTTTTTGCTATTAAAAAGAGATGTGACCTTGATCAAATTACTTAATCTCTCTGGCCAATAGCTTCTTCAACTGGGGCAACCTCCAAATTTATGTCCAGTATTATAGTTCTAAGAAATGTGCATTAATATATAAACAACTCAACATTTACTGTACATTAAGATAGGATCTTACAGAAGTTTTCCACAGCCTTTAATCAAAGGATGTAATATTTCACATTAGGCAATGTCTATAACCAGAACCCCAATCACATAGATTTCAGTCTGTCAATGACAGAGCATCAACCAGCCAGAAAGCTAAGAATGGGGCACCCTTCCAGGCAGCAACCTGACAATCATTCAATGGTGTGAGAGGTTTCAAAGCCATACACTCAAGGATACAGCACAGAACACTCTAATCTAGCATTTAAGTGACTAAAGCAACTAAAACTTGCACTGAAATATAATTCATAATACTGAAATATAATTCATAATATTGTAAAAATCTCTACATATATTTCCCAATTCACTGGAGGTAAAGAGAAGGTTCATTTGCCAAAAAAAAAAAAAAAAAAAAATACATATATATATTTAAATGGATAGCCATCAATCAGGTTCTTTGTTCCGGAACTTAAACTTGATTCAAAAGGGATAAATTCAGATGTATCCCCTTCTTTAACACAGGCAAAGAAAGAAAGTATGCAAAATCTAGAGATAAAAATTTTCTTGTTTAAGCTTTCACATTGCATCTGCCTTGCCAAGCTTCCCTATTATAAAATGCTTTGAACTTCTGCTTGTTGACCCAAGATTCCCAAGAAACCACCAGGCATCATCACTATTTCTTTGATTTTGCAATCTTTAAGCCTCATGTGCCATGACCACACTGAAAGGGTTGAACAAAGAGCATACATATACTTAAGAAATCCCTAAACATATGATTCTGAAGTGGATTTAAATTATTACTAAGCATCCCAACATACTAAAAAGGTTGTTGTTATTTAAAAACAACCTAAGAAGTCAGAAAACCCAGGCTACGAATCAATACTATCAGGAGAAGGGACTACGAAAGAAGGCAACTTTGTGAAAAATTATCAGTAAAGCATTTTGGTTTAGGATTAACTAAGCTATAAAAAACGAGTTAGGTCTTTGAAGTTGGTGTACGTGTCTAGATGTGTTTTTTTTTTTTTGTTAAACCCAGGGAAAATGTGCCAACTTCATTATTTAAGAAGCTTTTAAGGGCTATATATTTTAATTATGCTGAAGAATGAATACCTTCATACTATTGACTGCTCTTTCAAAAGCCAAGCTAAAAAATGAAAACTCACGGATCTCATTTAATGGCAAGAACAATAATGACACTTCTATAGGTCACATATTTGCGTTTTTGGTTAATATCGGTAAATAATATTAGTATTATATATTATTAAAAGCTAATATAATATTAGAATCACATATTTTAAAACGCAGTTTTGGAAAACATAATGACAGTGTTCTATTCCTTTTTTATTTCAAAAAGAACACCTAAAAGCTCTATTTGTGGCAATTTTTATACTTTCTATACTGGTAGATGTACACTCAAGTCATAGCGAAATATAGATGACATACAACATTTAAATGCCATTCTACAATAAAACATAATTTATTATTTTAGGAGACACTACTGGTGTCTATTGACCATACTCATTTTATTTGCATGCCCCATTTATGCTATTTTAAATCTATTCTTTTCTAGGGTAAAAACAAATACACAGTGAGAACAATTATGCAAAATAAGTGTTTTCAGCAATGGTTTATTGAAACTTATTGTCTGGAAACAGTGCCTACACGTTCATAGAATATTGCAAACTTTTCAAATGGCTGAATCCATCACGGAGTAGGAAAATTTACTGCTTCTTAGCTGTGACTATACTAAAAAGAGAGTGCAAGCAGAATAGAGAGCAGAGCTTTCAAACTTCCTTCTTTTACTAACCAGAACTTTAATTATAACCCTTTAAACCCAGCAGTTCCTTTGGTAAAGACATCCAAATTTTTACAATTATATTAAACTGTAATTTCTGTTTGGGCCAAAAACTACACGTATTTATCCCTCTAATTAGTAGTAACTAAGTGTTCGGCTTGTGTCAGACTCTGCAATAGATATTAGGCATATAATATTGAAGAGGTAGACAACATCTCTGCCTTCAAGATACTTACATTGTAAGATTTAAAAATTGTAGATAAAACCCTTTATTTATTTGTATTTACATCTGCCTGTATTTATTTGCTTCTAGAGGAAGTTCTCTAGCTCAAGTTCTATGAAAAGATACATTATTTAACCTCTTGGAACCTTAGTCTCCTGGCCTCTATGGATACAATACTGTACAACTTGTCATTTTATAGGATTATCGTGAGGATCAAGTGAGAACTATGGATTTGTGCTGTCCAATAGTACTTCCTGAGATGATAAAAATGTTCCATAGCCTTCCTTGGCCAATATGGTAGCCACTAGCCACAAGTAGGCTTAGTAAAAATGAAGAACTGTTTTTTAAATTTACTTTCATATATTTTTCTCAGCATTTCACTAATTTATTTGTAATTAACTGAAATGTATTTATTTTAAAAATTTCTTTTTTAGAGGCAGGGTCTCAGTCTGTCACCCAGGCTGGAGTGCAATGTCACGATCTCCGCTCACTGTCACCTCTGCCTCCTGGGCTCAAGTGAATCTTCCCACCTTAGCCTCCAGAGTAGCTGAGACAACAGACACATGCCACCACACCCAGCTAATTTTTGTATTTTTTGTGGAAACAGGGTTTTGCCATGTTGCCCAGACTGGTCTTGAACTCCTGGGCTCAAGCTAGCCACTTGCCTTGGCCTCACAAAATGCTGGGATTACGGCATGCACCACCATGCCCAGCCTAAAATTTAAATAGCCACATTTTGTTAGGGAATACCATATTAGATAGCACACTCAACAGTAACATGTGCATAGGTAGGATTATTATTTAATAAAATGAATCATTCAAGTAAATTTTTCCTGCAAATGGGATAAAGAGATTACATAGAAGGGAAGTGGTAAATTCATTCAGTGACAAACTCACACACTTGTCACTATCAATATTCTTAGCTGTAAATGCAAAGGTTCAATCTGCTGTTACTAAGATAATACTTCTGTTTATATTCCTTCTTGAGCTACAAGAATAGTCTTATTCACATCTAGAAGAAAGCAGGAGTTCAATGCATTTTGACTGAATGAATGAACGAAGGGAGATGTAAGCAGATGAAAATGTCTCACCAAGGCCCCTGAGTTACCTGAGATTCGCTGGCCACAGTACTTCATGGCACCCTCACCACTGACTTGACCTGGCATACATGGCCTTCTTCAAGAAACTACAAAATGCATCTTTTGTCCACAAGCAAATGACTGACTATGGAGTCCTTTGATTGTGAATTAAAGTTATATAAAAACACCTAAAACAATTAAGGCACAAAAAAGAGTATTTTAAAGTCTTTTTCACTGACTAAGGACTAGCATGGCTTTTTATACTTGATTTTAGCCCTAGTTTTAAAAACTATTCCTTCCATGAAGTGTTTTCCATGGCTTTCATTTATAATTTATTTACATATGTCTTTTTACACACACACAAAAATGTTTTACCGTAGAAGTGAAGAATATAAAAGGGTTGGTTTCTTTCAAGGTCATTAATCTCAGTTTCTTTCTTTCCTCCCAATAATATGGAGCAAAAGCTAACAAGAATAATATCTAAAATAATATGTCAAAGGAAAATATTTCTTAAAGCCTCAGAGCTCTTAAAATGACACTTCAACACATGTACTTATTTTCAACGCAGCAAAGAAAGAGTTGTTTGAACTAAACACAAACCTCTTCTCAGTTGTGGTTCATTTTCAAGTACTATAATTGATAGCAACAGAGACAATTATAAGGGTACTAATTTAAGAGAACTTGAGGTTATGGGCTGATAGTCAAAGAGGTAAAAGCTTAAAAATAAAAAGCTAAGTTGTTAAAAAAAAATCACTGTTCAAATACTGATATTTCGAATAACTTGAAAAAAGTCTGTAAGGGCCGATCTTAGCGGAAAATAACTACAGCCAGAATTAATCTGCTTATATACATCGGGAATTTTTCTGCATGTATAGTGCTTCAAAAAAACATTCTAGAATATAGAGTGTGCTTCAGTGATATACTTTTGATGGAGAATAAATGTTTCAGAATCTCAATAACAACTCAAATTATATGGCATCATCTGACTCTCATGCCATCCATAGCTTATTTCTGAGGTTTATTCCTATCAGTGACACTGTAACAACTCCCTTATTTGGATTTATAATACAAGAGCCAACCAACGGCAGGGGAGGGTACAGGGGAAACCAAAACTCAAACTCCTACACTGGGCACATTGAAGAAGAAAATACTGCATATTCCTCATTATGCAGATTTTTATTATTGGCTTTTTGCATAATAGCAATAAACAGTTTACCCTAAACTGGTTTTCTCATTTTACTCAGTATAATTCTGAATTAATTTTTCTATATTATCTGGTATTTCAGATGACAGAGTACCAATAAATCTTAAAGTCCATCTTAATAGGCCGGGGACAGTGGCTCACACCTGTAATCCCAGCACTTTGGGAGGCCAAGGCGGGCGGATCACCTGAGATCAGGAGTTCGAGACCAGCCTGGCCAACATGGTGAAACCCTGTGTCTAATAAAAATACAAAAATTAGCCAGATGTGGTGGCAGGTGCCTGTAATCCCAGCTACTCGGGAGGCTGAGGTGGGAGAATCGCTTGAGCCTGGGGGGCGGAGGTTGCAGTGAGCCGAGACCATGCCACTGCACTCCAGCCTGGGCAACAGAGCAAGACTCCATATCAAAAAAAAAAAAAAAAAGTCCATCTTAATAAATTGGAAGACAATATTTTATAGGAAAAATAAACAAGACAAAATGCAGTTCAAGTGGGTTACAAAGCTAAGTGAATTCCCCATAGCACTCCTCTACAGCATCCAACCTGCAGGTGCTGCTGGTTCATAATGGAGATATGTCAGAATTGCACATGTATTCTAAAGAGCATCTTAATGGGAAAAGAGAAAATCTAATCTCCGAAAATATAGAACATCCTTCCTCCAGGGAAGGTTGCTGTTTTAACACATCTACTATGTGCCAAGCACTGGAAATACAAAAAGAATGACATAGTCAAAAATCGTAACATGTCTATGGTTTAGCACAAAAAGCTCACAACTAAAAAGACAACAACAATGGAAAACATGCTTCTGCTGAGACATGTAACAGGTTCCATGACAACACAGAGGAAGAGCCCCTAACCCAGACTGAGGAGTCAGCAAAGGCTCCCAGAAGTAACAACTGAGCTGTGGACAGATGAGCTGATATGTGAAGGTTAGCCTCAAAGGCAGTGATCATGAAAGGGCATTTCAGGTGAAGGAAACAAAACCAGTAAAATCAACAGCGAGAGTAAGACAATGCAAGCTGCTCTCAGGAAATACTGAGGAGGGCCGAGGCATTATCAAATCGTTAAATGGAATATGGTACATAACGGTGCTTGCTATGTAATAAGTAATATAAATGTAATAAGTAATATAAATGTGCTAGCCTTGTTCTTACTATTATCCTTTCTGGAAGAATAGTGAGATTTAATCTGGAAAGTTAATGTCTTATTGGAGAGCTGATATTTACATAAGCAAGTATAATTAGATGATATGCTTTTCAACAGAAGTAGTCCCATACTTGCTATAAAATGTAGGACAACTGATCAATAAACAGAATTTTTAAAAATTAAAGGAAAGAAGAAAGAAAGGAAGGTGAGAGGGTGGGAGAAAAAAAGAGAAAGGAAGGAGGATGAAAAAAAGAGAAGGAGAAAGGAAGATAAAAGAAGGAGGACAGAAGAAAAGAACAGAAAAAGAGGCCAAAGAGAGGAGGAAGAAGAAGGAATGAGGAAGGAAATAAAAACAGAAGAAGACAAGAAAGAGCACAAAAAAGAAATCAAAGGAAAGGAGAGGAAGATGAGGAGGAGGAGGAAAGAATAGGAGGTGAGAAGAGAAGGGAAAGGAAGAGACAAGAAGGGAAGATAAAGCTAGAACAACAGAAAAGAAATCAATAAGGATTTACTTGAAAGAAGTGACAGTAAAAGAATAAAGAAGGGAACAATGGGACACACTGCTCAAGTGTTTGGGGCGTGATATCAAACAGAAATCCAAGGTAACTCCAAGATTTCCAGCCTGACTTAGCTGAAAACAGGAGTAAAGAAGAAAGGAGGCAAAAAGAAAGTTGTTGTGGGGAACTTCACTTTTACATATGTTGACTTTGAAGTGCCAATGAATTCCAAGGTGGAGCTTCCCATCAGCTGGAAAAACAGGTCTTGGAACAAACCATCATTTATTATAAGATTCCCAGATATGTTCCTGGACACATGAAAGGATGCAGGCATTCTTTAATCTTATATCAACAGTTCAACTAAACATGAAAGGAGAAATGCTAGGCCAGGAGACTCTGTGAATTCCCAAACTCCTCACTATGTCCCACCCGTCTATTGCTTTCTGAATTCAATGAAATCACACAGCTCCAAGCACAGCTGGAGAATCCAGCACACTCAAATTGGACACTCTAAAGGCATTCTGATTTGTTCTCTGCTTCCACACCCATTCCTGCACTGAATGTAGGCGGAGGATAAAACCTTAATTACACAGCCTTGGAGGACATAAATGGGAATGGAGTGTATCTCCTTAACATGTAATCTGCATGGAAAAAAAACAACCTAAATTGTGCCTGGTAACTAGAAGAGCATAAGACAACTTTCAGACCATCATTTAAATAATAAATTCCTAAAACAAAGTCCTCTAAATGAGGGGAGTACAAAAAAAGTCAAACACCTGGATGAAATGTCCCTTAATTTGGGGATCAAACATTACATCCTTAATTGATTACATCAAAATTTGCACCTTATTCGCTCTACCAGAACTAATTCCTGCAGCAAAAGTACCAGGGAAAAGGAATCACTGTAATTTTAAAAAGATGAGTCAGCAAATTTAATTTTCTTTTTACTGATTTCGAATAGAAGCTTAGTAAGTTCAAATAAGGTAGCATTACACTACACGGAGCAGATAGCAGATAATCTCAAAGAAATCACCCAAGTCCCCAAAATCAACCTCATTCAGAGAGACTGCATCAAAGAGCTCTGATTTATGTCTTCTATCTCCTCCCTTACATGCAATTGGCCTACCCTCTATTGCTTTGCTATTGGCAGTAAACTCAGACTCATGTTTGGCCAGGCCATATATCAGTGTGGTTGTGAAGACAGGCTTCCGTGGCCTGTCTATCATGGTTTACATCCCATTCTCTCTACTTATGCAACTCTGTGATCTTGGGCAGGATACTTTAATATATGCTGTTTCCTTATTTTTTTAAATGGACATAAGGTTAGTGTTTACTTCTAGGGCTATTATGAAGATGAGTTCATTAATACATGTAAAAAACTGAGCTCCACATACACACATAAGAACCCTTAGTAAATTTTAGCTATTATTAGATGTGAATCCAAAATTGGAAAAAAATAAGGGATCTGTACAAATTTTGATTATGTAAACTAAAAGATGAAAGAAGTATGAATCAACTTAAATGTAAGACAGAAAAATAAATTTTACATTTGACTTTCAATTAAAATTAAACAAGGGTTTGTATGATATTCTGAAAACGTATAACATTTGCCTCAAATGTGGATCGCCTGATGAAGAATTCAAGACATCTATGGTCTAATGACTGTCAGAATCAGACTCTACAAAGGAAATCAGAAAATGAAACAGAACAACTTTCTCTCTCCAAACTTTCCCCGTATTGGCACACTACTTGTATATCTGTGTTTCTAACAGCTGCACGTATGCTGTAATTACAATGATCCAAGAAATAAAAAAACACTGAGTAACCTCCTGACTTGAGATGGTTAGCAGAGCAGGCCATAGGAGAGGTAAAAGATTTTCTTAGGAGTTGAATAATGCTAAATTTGATTGAATCCACTGATAACCACAATTTATTCTCCTAAACATTCTGCATAGAGAAAAATACTGATATTCAACAAAATTATACATGTTCCTTTAAATGATAACAAATAAACCAAAAATCAAAGATGATACCAACTGTCATGAACAAGGCCAAAAAAGATTTAACTGTCATGCAGGTAAAGGGATTAGTAATGATAGTTGAACTATTCTACTAGGGTGGCTACATTATTTAGCTCTGCCATCTCCACTGATGAAAATAACCTGGTAAATACCAGAACTTTGCCTTGCTTTATGGCCTTGAGGTGAGCATATGTCTTATTTTGCACACTTTATTACTTGTTAAGGAGACACAGTCCTGAAAAAGAAGTGTGGGTTCATATGCCAAACATTCTGTATTCTATAGACAGTCTGAATTGATAAAAGTCTCATTCACCAGTTTTTCTAAACTGCAATTGTCCTCAACTCAGAAAAACAAAGAAACAGAACCTGCTAAGATCTACAACTTCCCTCCTACTCCAGATCAAAGAAAATGCCAAGGCAAAAAATAAATGTTTAGAAGTAAAATTCAAGACAAGTCAAAATAAACCACAGTAAGATTAATGGTCTCTGATTTTTTTTTCAAACCAAACTGTAATCCCCTGCTCAAACGATTGTACTGATACATGTTAAAGATCTATAAACTCATACAATTAAATCTGTTGAAAATACAAATCCAAAGGATGACTTCCTCTCTCTAAAATCTGTTCTTCCTGCTTCTAACATGACATATTGTGCAACTCTGATAAAAATATTTACAACACAGAAATGTAACACTCCTAGCTCAAACATAAGACAGTACTTGGTAAGTTAATCATGTGATTCTTCTATTAGCCTTAGAATTTCATTAAGGGCCAAAATAAATTTAATAGCTGGAAACCAGTAGCTACCTTCTTAAAGTCCTGAATAATGCAGTAATAAAAAGAATTCACTAATATGAAAAGGCAACATATATATCATAAGCATCTGAACTTGGGATAGCATAAACACTTTCCCGTGGGAAGCACAACTTGACAAGACTCCTACTTTTATAACCTGATCTGAGGGCTAAAAGCTCCCCAATAAAGATGATGCAAACACCCAATGCACAGCGCATTACACCCTAATGAAACAGCAAAGGCCGCGTTGTTAATGCAGGCCTCCATTCAGTAATGGTTTAAATATAAGCATAATAAAGCAGATTAAAAAGAAAGAAGCTAGCAGGGCGCGGTGGCTCACGCCTGTAATCCCAGCACTTTGGGAGGCCGAGGCGGGTGGTCAGGAGTTCGAGACCAGCCTGGCCAATATGGTGAAACCCCGTCTCTACTAAAAATACAAAAAAATTAGCTGGGCGTGGTGGTGCACACCTGTTATCTCAGCTACTCGGGAGGCTGAGGCAGGAGAATAACTTGAACCTGGGAGGCGGAGGTTGCAGTGAGCTGAGACCATGCCACTGCACTCCAGCCTGGGTGACAGAGTGAGATCTCCATCTCCAAAAAGAAAAAGAAAAAAATAAAAAGAAAGAAGCTGTAATTACTTTTTTAAGAACTCGATCTCTTGTATTATTGGTCTCCATGTGAGCCTCTATGGCCGAATACAGATAGTAAATATTACATGAAAAGCTAACCAATCATGCTGCATCTATGATTTTTACAAATTTAAGCATGACAACTGATAGAACATGCTGGATAAATGAAAAATTGGAAAACTAACATCCTGGTCAAATCAATTAGCTCTAAGCTAGCCATTATAGCTTCTCTTGTTTTCTTGGTAAAGAATTTACATGTCTTCTGCTTTTAGGACTGGGCATGCTACCTCAAGGTGTTGGGGGGAGAATCTGATAAATGCCACACTCAGAAAGGACAGTCTTGGCTTTCTGATGGCTATTTACAGTGACCTCCATTATCCGGCTGGGGCTCTATCTTCTATGCAGCACAAAGAAACATTGTTATTTGGCAGTATTTTTACAAAGTTGTAATTCTTTGACTTAGTCATTTGTGATCTAATTTATACAAAAGTGGATATTATCAGCACAAGCATGTCTAAATTTCAATTATTCCTCCAAGTATATTTGAAATAACTTGCACTTAAACCGGGAAATCTTCGAATTTGTTTAAATTATGTACTTCTTTTCCCAACTGTATATCTCATATTTGCTCTCAAGTCCATTCAAATTATTTAAAACCATCCATGTCAAACCAAAATATAGATCAAAGCCATAGAGTTCTTTCAGTGTTTTGCTTTTGGCTTCTGTTACTTTTTTTTTTTTTTTGGCCTAAAATGTCATAAATCTATCATTAACCACCAACTGTTCTGAATGTTTTTTAAAAAGCAAGTTTAATTGAAAAGGATTAATGAATTCTTCATCTATTACTTCAATTAGCTTAAATTATGGACTTATATATAATTCCTAAAATTGAACGATTGTCTGTAATACTCATATTTACCAACATCTTTTTATCAGAATACACACAGGCCATTAACTTACTATATATTTCTGACAAAACTACATTAAAGAAATTCTATAGTCAGCATTTTATCTCCCACAGCTTTTAGCCTCCACGAAGTTTAACCACCAAGGAAAGAATCTCTCAAATAGCATTTCAGTAACATAAACTTGTTGGTATAAAAGGAAATTTCAGATGCGTTTTTATTCATTTTATGCATATAGAAAAACTGTTCAATATTTATTTCAGCATGAAGATACTAATAAGTTACTTATCTTCAGACATTTTTCTGCAGCAGTATCTGGCATATGTGCAAAGCATTCAAGATTAGCATTCGATCTACAAGTATATTCAGTGTTATCCTCACAAATTGAAGTTAACCCTTTAGATGCGTTTCAAAATCCAATTGTTTGTTTGAAATAATCACGCGCTGTTGCCACAGATTACTTTTTTCTATTTTTAACAGTATTATTTATCTTGGAAAAAAATTATCTTAACAAGATTATGTTCCTGCATGCTCTTTCCTACCACTTTTTGTCTTCCTCGGTGTGTGCTGCAAGGATTTAGCAGACAGCATAGTCTAGGATCAGCTGTTTTATTTCTAGTTCTATTAGTTCAAACTCAGATAGCTCACACATCTGTTTTACTTCTAAAATCACTGCCCAGGAAAAGTGTCCAGCTCCTTCTACCCAAACATAAACTTTACTATAAATAACTAAGAACCTAACAAATAACTGTTTGGGGGAAATGGAAGTGTGTTTAAAAATCTGAATTCTTCCAAACTATAGGCCTTAGTAATTTTCGTTTTTAGAGTTTTCCCTGACAGCCTAGATCAGCTTCCCTCAGAAGTTGTCCCTAGAGTGAACAGACTGAAACGCCTGCCGGAAATCCAGGTATTAACTTCATATTACTTGCTAATTATAAAACACTGTTTCACATACTGACATTATTCACTTCCAACCCTTTTATCTAAAACAAGTATTTGCTTCCCAATCATAGTTTGACAGCAGAGTGTATCTGACATAAGACAGTGAAATGATCTTTAATAGACAGCAGTTCAAAGCATGTAGCTTTCATGCATAATAACTATGTTGGGTTAATTTGCTGCTCCACAGAAATAATTCTATCTGTGGAAAATCACAAACTAAGATGGAATTTTTAGAGAACTTTACCAAGATGAAACTGGTGTTTTAAGAGTTCTTTATATCTCCCTTAAAGTGATAAGATTGCCATTCTGACATTTAAAGGACCAGGAAATTTCTCTTCTGATTCTTCTTACAAGTATTGCAAAATATGTTCACTACCTGTTATTTACAACCTCTTTGCCTGCTTTTCTTAATTGGTATTAGGTCAATAGAGAGGTCTGAGACAAATGAGCTGTAGCTATCAAGTGGATAAAAATGACTGATATTTTAAGGGATTTATTTCATTAGTTCTCTGGGTACTTCTAATCATTCCTAAAAAAAGTTACTAGTAAAGCTAATATGTTTTGAAATCCCCCTGGCCTTATAATACAATAAAAATCTACAAACTGTAACAAAAACTAATACACTTTCTCAAGCTGACCATGAATTTTGACTATGCTAAAATTACTAAAATTAAATGTATACATTTATTTAGACTCAGTTCCATGTTTCGTTCTATTCAAAATGGTAACAGTTTCTTTTTTCCATTTCACATATGCCATAAACTAAAGACAGAAAGATAGAACAAAAAGGTAGGCTGTTTTTAATAAAAGTAAAAATCTAAATTATTACTAAATGCTTTCATAAATTATTGCCATTTTCCTTAAATGCAGAAAGGAATGCTTTATTGGCCCCTACCAAGGTCATTCTGCTGTCCCTAATACTTAAAATAACATTTACTTCTTTCTAATCAACATAAAATGTTATATCCCAGTTTTCATTTGCAATTATTTTGCCTTTTCAGGACTATCTCTGCAACCATCAATATGAACCGTCAGGATGAATATAAAATCAAATCCTAATCCAAGATACAGGAAATATCCTCACTGAAAGAAAGATTATAGCAAAAGCCTTATAATCTAAAACTGGAACAAGGCATGAATTATTATCATGTGCAACCATAAAGATTAGTAACATTTTTGGAAGACTGTGAAAACATCAAATTACCATGACATATGCCCAGAATTGTGAAGCTTAGCTAATTCCATGAAAAGACTTTCCCAAATTTAAAAAAATGCTAGGATTGTTTTCCACAATAAGAGGCTAAAAGTTGTCTTTAGACAACTCTGAATATACTTGTATGAAGTAGCTATGGAGTGTGTCCATCTCTTCTGCTAGATCTAGCAGGCTACCTGTCTGGTACTGGGACCTTGGTTTTAACATGAATATAAGAATTCACATTTCATTTCTAATAACTTTTTCTGTACAAAGAGACAATACAAAGTACAAACCTGCACATCATAGGTCCCATTTAGTAAAACAGGCCTTGAAGAATTGATGTCCTGCAGCACACCAGAAAACACAGAACGGTTGACCTTCTGGAAGTCTTTGGAATGGCTGAACTGCACCATGTTATGAAGGGCCAAGATTTTGCTGTCCAGCTCAGCATCTTGCCTGGTGCGGTTATGCAGTCCTAAGTGATACTTTCGGAAGTGCTTAATCAGATCTGTGGGGTCGTTGCCGTAGTAACCATATCCACAGATATTGCATTTAAAGTCCTGAAGCTCTGGAGACAGAGGTGCCGGGTCTGGGTTGTCATTCACCAGTAAGTCAGTTTTGGATTTATTCAGTCTTACACCCCCATCTGAAGGCACTTGTGGGTTTTTTGAGGCCACTGAAACTGGGCTCAAACCTTGACAATTGGCTTGACCACTCTGTGCTTGCCCTGTTTCCTCTGTAGCCTTTGGTGACATCTTCTGATCTTCCTTTGTCTCCAGTGAGTCCCCTGAGGGGGTGCAGGCCATATCTTGAGGGTCATCTGCCTCTGCTCTTTGCGGAGACTTCAAGGGCTCACAGACTCCCCCAGCAGCTGGAGATGAGAAAGCCAACATATTTCTGTCTGTCACCTCATCATGCGGAAAGGAGGGAAAGTTTCCTCCCTTACTGGGGCTTTCATAATTGAAGCCAGCCTTCTCACTCAGAACTGCGCTTTTCAAGTCCTTCTTACTGCTAGAAGATGGATCTTGAACATGCAAGCTATGTTCCTCCTTATGATTTAGTTCTGCAGCATCACTCTGATCCGTATTTTCTGACATCTGATCTGCAGAAAATTCTTTGTTCTTTCCAGATACCTTGCTTTCTGTACCTATAGGCTCCAGGATCTGGCCCTCGCCTTCACTTGCAACGTTTCTCAGAGGGGGGTTCTTTTTCCGGACCATATCTGCAAAGATAAAGGGAAAAGGCAGATACAGTGTTATCTGAAAGTTACAGAGATACAGTTGAATCTGGAATATTTTACTTATGTGAGTTTTTTAAGGTGCATAATCAAATGCTTCCTCTAGGAAAAAAAAAAAAACCCATTCTAAAAACAGCAAAAAGTTGAGACTAAAACAAACAATTTACATTTAGAATTACTTTTGTAACCAAGACTGGCTCATTTATTATTTTAAGGTGGTTTTAGGAATAATGAAGGATTTATTTTTATTACTAGGTTTACCCTCCCTATTACTTATTCTTTCCTGAAAATATATTTTTGCCCAATTTCTTCCTTTGATTGTAGCTAACAATATATATGCATGCTTATATATTTATATATGGTCTATATTATATATAACATGTACACATGTTATGTTTATAAAATACATATATGTGTTTATGGTTATAGAATACATCACATTTATTTATATGGTACATATATGTATACATAAATAACATAAATTGGAATTCGATATTGTTACCCTATGTAACCGGGATGTAAATATAGTTTCAAACAAAATATCTTCATAGTCAAAAAGACAGAAACAGCTATGTTATAAACAGAGTGAAAACTGCCTCATCACTTTCAGGAAGCGGAGGATGACAAACGTTCCAGCTCTGACCTACCAACAAATTTCTTTGAGCCACATTTGGGGCTTGCCTGAAAGTCAGAAGAAAGACCTGCTATGCATCACAGTGGTCAGATCAGGTTTTCCTAGGACTCTGTCCAGCATGCTGGGGAACCTAATAAGCTCTGGGTGTCCATATGCAGCCTGGTGAAAACAGTACCTGTTCCACCACTGGGAGCACACTGGAAACTGACTAAGAAAGAAGATTAAGCTGAACCATATGACATTGTCCTTGTGTAGTTCAAAACAGCAAAATATTAGCAGTTTGCTATGGTTCACCTTTACACATTAGCTCAACCATGTCTCTCAAGTTAAGTTAGTGACATCAGTGACTGGGGTCAAAAGAAGAATACTGGAACAAATTCTTCTGCTGGAGTAGAATGAGTCAGAACTTTAAGAATATAAAATAAACTAAGAAACAATTTGTGTAGTGTCAATTAAAGAATGCATTAACAAAGGCTGGTCGAGGACTGGGTTCCGTGGCTGCTGTTTCTTAATCACTCAGCTTAAAAAGCTGTCGAGTGCTGTGTAAGTCATCACCCCAAATGTCTCTTGGAAAATTCCACCTGTGACATTCTGATTAAACAAGACTTCTTTGTTAGTTGACTTCGCCATAAGGACTAACAGTTAGTTATACCGCAATTATCCAAAACATGCTGAGAAAATCTAAATTAATAACATGAGGTTTAGTCATTTTCATCTATAATTTCTCACAAGTACTGAAGTACCACACTGGCTTTGGATAGACAAGTGTACCTTTGCTTCTGAAAAGCTGGTCATGCAAAATTTTTATATGAATCACTGAACAAGGATAGTGCACTAGAGTATAAGGAATCATTTATAAAGTAAAAATGTGCCACAGTGAATAATGTGAAAAATAGCATAATGGTACTTAAGAAAGTACACTGGGCCAAGCACAGGGGCTCACGCCTGTAATCCCAGCACTTTGGGAGGCCACGGCGGGTGGATCACCTGAGGTCAGGAGTTCAAGACCAGCTGACCAACATGGCGAAATTCCATCTCTACAAAAAAAATACAAAAATTAGCTGGGTGTGGTGGTGCATGCCTGTAATCCCAGCTACTAGGGAGGCTGAGGCAGGAGAACTGCTTGAACCCAGGAAGCGGAGGTTGCAGTGAGCCAAGATCATGCCATTGCACTCCAGCCTGGGCGACAAGAGTGAAACTCCATCTCAAAAAAAAAAACAAAAGCAAAAACAAAAACAAAAAGAAAGAAAGTACACTGTTCTTCTTACACATCAATAATGTTATTCGCCAAATACCTATAAAAGCTCCCTCTTGGAACAAAATTACATATATAGGATGGAAGAGTGAAGTTTCAAGTGAAAGTGTTGGCGTTGAGGCAATGTAAACCTGACTGACTTCTGGAGGAAAGAAGGGGAATATGAGCTTCCCATCTTGGTGTCATTCTATTAGGCCCTAAAATTAACAAAACTTGATAACCACTGTTAAAAAAGGAAACACTGGTAAACTATTTTTTTTTAATGTTTGCATTTCAATGTCTTATGTGTTATGTCAACCTTTTAGGAGTCCTGTATTCTTTTGTCAGAAGTGACTAAAGAAGCCCTGGGAATGTGTGAAAATATGCAGAAAACCGAAGGGCAATTTTACTAGTAGTCAATAAAGGGAAAACAGGGAAAGAAAGACTAAATGAGCAAACTGAAAAAATTAGTTATCATTTAAAATATAAGGTTGAGCAAAATATGCATGGTTTTAACTTGGTCTACAGAAAAGGATATTTTAGGTTGTAATCAAACATTCCTACACATAAAATTGTGAAGGTTTGATACAACTTCTCTTACCTTTCCCTCCAGAATTTCCTGATTGTTAATTTTTTCCATTACACATAATGTCTTCACTAACTATTACAATATAATCTTCCCTTACTGAATAACTATATCATTTCTATTTTAACAGTTTCTTCTTAAGATGACTAGAACTTAACACTGAATCACCTAAATGAAATGAATAAGGTTACACACACAAAAAAGATAAAAATCCTATATCAAAAGACAGGACTCACAAAGAAATGAGGAAGAAATAATCTAATTCATTAAGGTTAGCCTTCCATCAAAATGATGAGAAAATGGTTTATGCCCATATGTTAACGCCAGGGTGAGCGATTAGGAAAATGGCAACATTTTAAATAGCAAGGGAACCAAGATAAAATACTTAAAAGTGAATAGATCTAAATACATTAGTATTTTAAAAATTAACTTATTTTTCAAAACAAAAAGAAGCTTTAGCTCTAGTTGATTTATTGTTACATTGAAGAGATATAATGGGTCATAGTTTAAAGACTACTCAACCAGCATCTTTAGTGGCTGGGAGAAAATATGACTTAATTAAATTATCATCTTTCTAAAATTTCAGTTCCTTCTTCTACCCAAGAACAGATACTTAGAACACTTATGACTCATGACTCCTTATGCTGAATAGAGCCCTTAATAATATACATTGCAAAGACTGTTAAACTGCTAAAACTTCAAAGAAATCTCTGAAAGGTCATTTGGGTTTTATTTTGTGTTGTGGGGGCGGGGGCATGTTCTTTAGTTGCTGTTTTTTAAAAAAATGTGCTTAATTTAGTTGACTATACTTTGAAGTAGCTATAGAAGAAATAATTTTACTGGAATTATATCATCGTAATTTTTCAGAGTGACAGATTATGTAAATATAAGCACATTTGTCATACTTCTAAGTGGAAGAAACTCCCCTAGCGAGTCGTAAGTTAGATACCATAAGACTATAGCCACCCTCAAGTTATTATCTCTAAGACAAATAACAGATTGCACGATGTTTTACTGTGTGCCAAGAACTTTTCCAGTTAACATTTTCACTTGAAAAAATAGATCACATACTTGTAAAATCATACCCAGCATTGACTTCATAAGGCATGTGGCTTTAGAGTGCTTTTTACAATTATTAATTCTATTAGTCAACTAGCAGGAGGCTAATGCAATTGTCTTAGAAGACGCTCAGAAGACACAGAAGACATTTTGAGAGCTGATCTGTACATCTGCAAAACAAAGCAAAAGAAAAATTTTCCTTCCTAAATGATGTAAACATATTTTCATGTATCACACCTAAAATATATTAATATGCTGGCATCATAGGCTGCCTGAAAGATATAAAAGCATGAGCAAATCTGGAGCAAGATCCTCTCCCTCCCCAGGGTTTTAATAAAGCAACAAGAGAAGGAGGAACATGATATAAAAGGTTACAGGACATAAGTCATTTTCATAACAGACTGTGATGTTGGTGAAATTATTTAACCTCTAAAACCCCTTCAACCCTAATGACCATAATACTTAACTACATTGGGGTGGGGATAAAAGATCTTAATTTGTAAACACCAGCAAATGCTTTTATAGGGAAAATCTTAAAGCAATTAAAATACGTAATCACAACAATGAACACAGTCATTAGTTTTGGCAACTCTATTTTAAACTTTATCATCCTACTACATAGCAATATCCTTCATGCAGTCTACCTTACCCCTGGAAAAGTTCAAAATGCCCGTTAGAGTAAGTCTACTATGAATTGCCATTTTAGATGATGGGCTAAAAGTGAAGTTGAGAAAGAGGAGGTAAAGAATTTAAAGGAGAACAGCAAAGCTCAAAATTGCTATTTTAAGTCCTCTATTTAATTGTGAGATTAAAAATTGACCTCTGGGGCTATGTAATAGTGAGCAGGCCTACATTACATTATTCTCCACCTGAACAGCCCATATAATGAGAATGCATATTATACGCCAAGATATTTAGGCAGGTTAAAAATATATGTAGCTTTCCCAAAATATTCTATTTGTATTAATTTTCATTGCTGAGATATAAGACATTCCATCTGTAAAAATCATAAATTTCTACTCTTAATTAACCGTATTTCCTTCTAAATAAAACAAATCTAAATGCTTTGCTTTCTTAGAAAATGTGTTTACTTTTATAAAAATAGGAGTGCACTATTTCTGTTACCGTATAATTTAGACAGATTTATGCAGTAGAAATAATCAGCATTAGAGCTTAAAAATAATTCTAACTATTTTATCTCACTATTTAAAGTGCTTAAATACATAAGAAAAAAAAATCTTCTCCTGTAAAAGACTGACTGATGTTCTCAAGAGGGCACCTTCACAGCAAAAGGGATTTGAGTTTTCTATCATTATCTAGATACTGTAAATTAACCACTAGTGTTTTAGTTATATTTCATATATTATATATAAATATATACATGCATACATTTAATGACATATTTACTCCAACTAACCTTGCAATAGATAATCAAATAAATTATTCAACTAAATAAATCAACTATCACAGTAATTTAAAAACAGAGCTTAGATCACGCATCAGCTCAACACAGGTGAACTAAAATTTATTTCCATTAGATGAGAAACTCTTTGAAGGTAAGAGGTGTAAATTCTATAAATTCTATATTCTTTGTAGTATCTTGACCCTAAGCAAAGTAAAGAATCAAAACATGAGTAAAAATCGTATGGAAATTGCATATCCAGTTTCTACACCTGATTTAAATCACCTGCTCGTGTGATCAAGGGCAAGTCCTTTTGCTTCTCTGAGCCTCCATCTTTACCTGTACAATAAGGGAATTTGAATAAATTATTTCTAAAATTCCCCCACCTCTGTGACTCTACAATAGTTCCGGTTAATAGCACTTCAATTTTACCTTTAAAAAGTTTGCCCAATTGCACTGAAAGACTATAGAACAGCAAACCACCGGCGCCAAGGGTGGTTTAAATACCACCGAAGCCTATCTTTGCCTCAATTTCTCACTTCCCCCAATATTCATTCATTCAGTAAATATATCCAACCTCAGTTATGTGCCAAACACACTAAGCAAGATGACTTTAATTTTATTATTTGTCATTAATTTAAGAAAGAAAGATATGCTTAAAAAGCAAAGAAAATGACTATAAGGAACTCCTCAAGGAAAACTGACACTTCTGAGTATCTTTCTAAATATAATTTCATAAACAAATATGTGTGTGCATATATATGTACAGACACACACACATCACATTCTGAACAAGACTCTAAAAAATCAGGAGGGCAAGATCCTGTAATTGGACCTCAGTTTCAAATCTTGTTGCGCATAATTTTTAATTATAAGTAACAGTTCTTATTTTCATAATATGTAATGCCAGATGACATTTTCTTTTTGTTTTTCCAGCTTATAAAACTTTTCAACTGTTTGAAATCAAAGCTTAACACAAAAAGAAAAGTCATCGATGGTCTTCGCCTTAAAAAGTATGTTTTCTTCCATGCTTGCTTGTATACACATCAGCATAAGAGTACTGAGTTATTAATTACACATTTCATGTAGCTTTTATTTTTAAAAAAACTTTTAAAAGAAAGAAAAAATGTTTCTTTTGATCAAAAGTCCCCACAAAGAATTTAAAGAATTAAGCAAGTGATAGCAAAATAAAAGGAAGGTCAAATCTTGGGCCTAGAGCAAACTAGATAGCTTCCATATGAACAATGTATACAGTTCAGTTTTGAAAGAACATATGTGTTTGCTCATTGGTTTAGGGAAAAAAAAAAAACACTTGAATCCTGTCTACTCCATATATACAGATCAAAATCAGATTGCTTAAGTGAACTATAAAATGCAAGAGAACATTGTTTATCCAATTCACAAACTCAAGAATCACTGAAGGAGTTTAGATGTTTTCTATTTCTTCAGATTCCAAGGCAATACTTCAATGGTAGATCGCTTTTTTTATAAACTGCTTCAAACTTCGTAAACTCAATGTCAGATCCTGTTCTTTCCTATCCATTTCTATTTAATTTGCTCTCTCTGAATTGACTGTTCCCAAATTTTTAAAGCTATTTTTGAACATCTTAAATCTTGTTGAGTTTTAAATGTCAACACCTTCAAACAACTTCCACCAAATAAATCTCTTATTAATTCACATCAAACTAATCCAAAATGATCATTTCTATTAACATATGCTTCAGAGCACAAAAGCCCATTAATAGTCATCTGGACACTAGAACTAACCAAAAGCCCTCTGAGATAAAATGCACATTATTTAGATATCCTATTTCAAAGGTTTTGATGCTAGCCCAAACACATTTTATTAGGCTTTTATTTCATCTTGCTATGTTCTCTAGATTTTAAATATCTCATTTCAAATGCACTTGTCTAGGTAAAAGGAGATAGTGTGGTAAGTAAGTAATAAATGTCCTATTTGCCTAAATGAATCTTCATATATCCAAATACATGTTAAAGAAAAAATGCATTAACCACTGTACTTTTATAAGAAAATTACAAAACTTTCTTTTTTCAAAGACTTTAGGCTATAGTCACAATGACACTGTAGGACACATGTATATATATAAAAAGAATGCACCTATTTCACTAACTAGGGAAACTAAAATAGAGCAAGAATACCTCATGGAGCCTCAAAAGGCAAGGGGAATTGATTATTTTTCCTTTCATAACCAGTGAGAGGCAAATGTATTAAAATCCCTGATTGGAATAAGATCATAATTTCACTGTGCAAATTGAGAAATGTTACCATTTGTTTCCCTGCAGAAAAGTAGTTTTTCCTTTTGTTTTCCTCTCAAAACACACACACACACAATTAAAATATCTGCAATGACAACTGTTGATTCACATAGGCCAATCTGACTTTACATTTGCACACAAGTCAGTTTCAACTTCATCCCTACTTCTCTGTTAAACTTAGGCTATTTCAACTGGTCTCTGGGCAAAGAGCCAAGCACAGCACTTAAATTCAAAAAGAGTAGCTCATCGAAGAGTATAAATGTTTCTATTTATCTTGATGGTTATGATGTGAATTGACATTTTATTATATGTAAATTAGATTTTCACTCATAACAAAAATAACGAGTGCTGTGCTTTGTAGGAATGTCTTTGACTATGTTGCCAGCATTTGGTGAAAACTATCATTGAATAGTAAAGGTAGTTTAATATTTTTATGTACTAATGTTGCTTTTTTCTGTTTTCCTACCTGTTAATCAATAGAAAAGAAAATCTCAATTATTAACTCAATCCACCAATATAACTAACAGCTTTCTTTGTTCTCCCTTAATAAATCTGTGTCAATCACTGCAAATCCATTTGGTAAACTGACACACATATACAGTATAGTGAATCTAATAGATGCTTACCATAAAGATAACATAGTGCAATTAGAATGCTCGCTGTCTTCACAGCACCAGTAAGCCAAGTATATTCAGTAAGTTTTATTACTATTAGTAGTATTAAAAGTGCCAAATTTAATATAAGATTAAAACCAGATGTTATGAAGACATACTGAGAACTTATACCTGTAATATACTCTGTATGTGTGCATGTGCATGTGTGTGTATCTCTAAAAATGAAGGGAAGTAACTTTGTGCCTTCATATGCAATAGTTCTTCCTCATGAAACTAGGAAACAACTCACAAAGCACTAGGCTCACTCCTACTCTACCACAGGGAGCAGTTTAAATGGCCTGCACCCATCTGAGAACCAATGGACTAAGGACAACCATAGACATATCCAACAGATAACACAAACATTACAATGAACCAGCTAATCCATTCACGCAACAAAAGGGATTTAGAAATTTGGTACAAAATACAAAATTTGGTTTAGCTACCACCCTATTTAGTGCCAACTCCTTATTTTAACCTAATTAGCATCATTTTTCCCTCTGACAAAAACAAATTACACACACACACACACAGGAGTCATTTTCTCTCTTTTGTTAAGTATGGAGAAATGTTCCAAAGAAAACTGATCTTAAAATATATATATACTTGAAAGCAACTTCTCATAATAAAATTAAATAACTTTTTCCTGACTTCTAGGATATGAAAAGCTTTATATATGGGCAAAAAAAGTAAACATATAATCCGTTCATAATTTGGAGTTGGATAAGTAACAGGCTTAGAAAGCTTCAACTATAAGAACCTTTTCTGAAAAAATATTATGGTATTTCAGAACATTCTGCCATGCTCACTGCAAGTTTAGCTAAGCTCTGCCTGGGATTTTAATACGGTAACTGTTTAAGCATAGATGACAAGAAACCCAAGACTTGTCTCTAGACTCTTCCCATAATATTAGCTTCAAAAAAAGAAAATGAAAGGAGATTCCTTGGTCAGATTAAGTTTAATGGAAACTGTATAATACATATCCCTCCCAGAGATCCACAATGTACATTAGCGTTTACAGCTCTAAGAAGTCCTAGGGATTGGAGAGGGTGACGTGTGTCCAATCTAGACTGAAATTTCCCAATCTCATTTGGCTTTATGTCACATAGTGCCATTTAGCCAACAAAACTAATGTTCTGATGAACACAGTGGGAAAGGCCACTCTAAGAAAGTAATGCTCAAGGAAGAAATTTAACTGAGATTTTAAAGCACGCGTAGTTAAGGAAAAAAACAAAAAACAAAAAACAAAAAAAACCAGTATTCCTTCACTAACTTGGCAAAAAGACTAAGATGTTTTGTTATGAAGAGGGCTGTTTTGAAGGATTTGTTTTTGTTTTTTTGTTTTTTTTCCAGAAGAGCTATCTATGTTAAAAGAAGATTGAGGCATATCATCATTAAAGATTTAGAATCAGAATTTTTTTGAAAGAATGTGTAGTGGCAGAGCATTACAGATAGAACATTGGATTTTAAAAAGGGAACGGATAAAACATCTACATACAATAAAATCCCAGGTGTCCAAATTACACATTCATAAACATACGTGGATATAAACTCAATGTTATCTTTGAGCTAAATAGATTATACAGATATCACTGCATAAAGAAGCTCTATTTTTTCAACTATTGTTGCTAATGCTGTCCAGCTACCGTGATCAGTTTAAAACCTTATATGCCAAATTTGTTATTATTTTATAATAACTTAAATTTTATCTGACTAAAATTGAGCCAGGAACCAAGATATGGCAAAGGCCTTTAATTAAATATGGAATGTGGAAAGACCCAGGATTGCACTGAGCCATCTTCAGTTCATATAGTTACAATCAGTAGTTCTCAAATGCTTGCAGATACCTCAGATCTATCCCACATGCTCCTCCCTGATTATTAATAAATCCTTTCTTCTCCACTCCACTCAGTCTGTGTCCCCAGATCCACCTATCCTAACAATGAAGGACAGAAAACCAATGCCTGGGGTCACAATCAGTAAACACATGTCTATTATAGACCCTATCTCACCCTTGAAAATCCCAAGCAGATCCCATAGCTTTACAGGCTTTTGAATTTTGTTTTATCATTATTGCATTATTTTACCCCCAAAGATTAAAACAAAAGATCAGAAAGAAAGAAATAAAGCAAAAAATAGGTTAGGTAGATGTCAAAGTAAAACTGAAACAGGTAATTAAACTTAAATTAATTGTAAACACAAAGCCAGATAGAGTGGTGAGATTCAAGCCTGAGAGGATGACCACAAGTTCCTTCTGGACCCATCCCACACAGCCTCTATTTTACACATTCACATATGAGAGGAAGAATAGTGATGTGACATACAGGAGTAAGACTACAGAATTCGGGCAGAAATTAGCTCACTTGTTAAGTATTTTGTATAGGCAATCTCGTCAATCTTCACTTTCAAATTCAGTATAAACTTAAGAATCTATCTAAACATACACAGAGCCATACACACACACACACCTTTAGAAAAGATTTTCACCATCTGCACCCCAATTATTAGTTTCTCCATCAATCTTGTTGTGGACCCCTATCATAACAGAGTAAGGGAAATACACATATATAATTCCAGGTTCAGGTGTTTTACAAATAGTTCTTTCAGAATTTAATTGAATGTTGAAAGAAACCAAAAGTCAGAGGTAGGTTTTTTTAAGGCCTATGATCTTCAGTGTTGATACATATTCTAACCTGAATTTCTAGCTAATAAAAAATATTTCATGTTCTTATTATATGAGCCAGGAACTGTGCCAAGAGTGCATTATCTCATTTGATTTTAATTTGGATGAACAATCCTTTAAGTACTATTATCATTCACACTTTACAGATAATGCAGCTAAGACATGGAGAAGTTAAATCGCTTGTCTAGGTGCAGACCTAGCACATGAACAAGTTGGGTCTGAAGGAATCTAAAGACCACTTGGTTTCCCAATGCATTTCTCATAATCACTTTAACAACAGTTAACCAATGCAAAAAGTGATAACATTTTAAGAAACTTACAAGAGAACACAATCTACAAGACGCCATGTTACAAAGGCTGCTATCAAACATATTTGTCTGCCTCTATAGTTACGTCAAGTGAATGAATATACAATCTTCCCAATATTCTCACAGAGTACCAGATTATCCTAACTTTCGAATCTGCCTCATAATGCCTAACACATCACCAACATTACCAAACTACATGCCTCTAAAATGGATTCACTTCTACAAAGCCCTCTACAATTTTCACAAGCAAAACTTAGTCTTCTCCACTGTCATGTGGCACCTTGTGCATATCTTCTCTCAAGGTACCTGCCACTTCACACAGAATTATGTGTTTATGTTTTAGGCTACCCCTCTAGACTGTGAAACTCTTCAAACCAGAAAATATATTATGATTTATATTATCATTGTTGTTAATTCAAAATATTAACAGCTATCCATTCATATATGTGATACTAATCAAAATATTGATATAAAATAATTCAATATATATAAATAGCTACATCTCATCAGTGATCTCAAGTTTTTTCCAGGTGCAACACATCTGAGGCTCATTTCCATCATCAGCACTAGCAGACTATGATGGTGACTATTGCAGAGGAATAAAGTATAATAGCATATTGGCACAAGGGACATGCAAGTTTTTAAAAAGCCAAGTGATACTAACATGCCCTTCCTCACAGTGACAGGCCTATGACACAGAAGGCACTCGTTCTTATTAGATGCATGGATGGATGGATGGATGGATGGATGGATGGATGGATGGATGGATGTTGACACACTTAGAAATTTCTATATATTGCTTTTGTCTTCAAGGAAAGTCTGAATCTCTTGATATTAAATAGGCTCAGGAAACTAACAGCTAGAAAAATGCTAAAGTTGTCTCAACAACATAATAACAAACCAAATCACGACATCCAAGGAATCAAGGCATTAATTTTCTCCTTATTTCGGCTGAAAAAAGAATCAGATATCATAGCTCTAGGTCCATGGGCACAGATCAAGAAATGTACAAGTCGTGAGACATAAGAACTACTGAATTTATTTTTTAAAATGGTAAATCACAGCCATGTTGGTTTGATTTAGATTCCATAAATGTCTGTGTAACTTTACACATCAAAAATATCTGTAGACTGATTACACAGAGGAAAGTTCATTAAAAAGTGGCACATTCTCTATATAGTGATAATTCTATAATAAGAGTACCATAATCAGTAAAATGAATTTGCATGTTTGTATATTTGGATGATTATGTATGTTTTATACATGAACATCATATGGTATGTAATAGGTTTATTAAATATATAATGTTTACCATAAATATATGCACTTATATATACATATGTTTTATTTACAAATTTTTCATTCTGTATTCTCCAACATTCCAAAACTCAAAATATACTATACAAGTAGCATAATACATAAAAAATAAATAGTTTATCTTTTAAGAGAATAGCCTGGAACATAAAAAGAATACAGAAAAGCCTCAAACATCTGGATTAGACGCCAAGAAACTTAAAACATTCAGAAGGACACAAAACCAGAAGTTTAATTTTAAAATGCGCGTACACACACAAACACACGTGCACACACACACACACCAATTCTCACAGTATTACTTCCTGAATTTCTCAAACTGGAAACAAGCTAAATCTGTATCAGCAGTAGAATAGATTTTTTAAAGTTGTGGCATATGATTATAAAATACAATACCTGTTCATACAACAGAATACTATGGTACAATACAAATGAACAAACTACATACAACATGAATGAATTTTACAAACATGATGCTGAGTGTGTCATGGCAGACACAAACGAATGCATGCTTTCAATGTATATGGACACGTGTAAAGTTCAAAAACAAGTAGAACTATCTAAAGTGTTTAGCAGTCAGGAGAGTGACTGATTCCTGGAGGACGAAGAAAGAGACCAGGAGGAGCACAAAGGGCTTCTAGAGTACTGGCAATATTGTATTTCCTGACATGAGTGATAGTTACACAGGTGTATTTGTTTTGTAATAATTCATTGAGCTACAGACTTAAGATCTGTGCACTTTTCAGCTAAAGTTTAAGAGTGTGTGTGCGATTTTTCAGTGAAACAGCAGTTGCTCTGCAGAGAGCATGGAGTAATATAATGAAGAGAAACCTTTGAGCTGCGATATTTTGATGAGCAAATCAAGCAATCCAATGGAGTGGAATGGGTCATTGACGCCTCAGGCTGAATTGTACGGGAGAAAGGGCCAGGATGTGCCCCAGCAGGCAAACAGGTGGTAAAAGAAGGAAGAGAAGAGAAATTGAAAAGAAAGCGTTCTGAACAAAAGGGATTTCAAAGGGTGAGGGGTTTGAAAAGAGAGATGAAGGGCAAAAACAAGAGAAGAAAGCAACAGACACCCTAACAGGGGTGAAGATAATCAGAGACAGGCAAACAGAAGAGAGGATAAGAACTCTGTATGTGATTCTGCTGGTGGTGGTGGTGGTGGAAGGACAAGCACAGACACACATCTGTAGATATTAAATGTTCCATGAGGATGCACTACCTTGATTATATGACAAAGACAAGCTACATAAAGGTGGAAGAGAACTAATATTTCTTGAGTACTTATTATGACCAGCCATTTGCTTACTGGCTCACGTAATTTCCCCAGTTGGTTTTCACCAAAAGCCTGATAGTTATTTAGTAGTCCTATTTCACAAATGAGGAAACTGGAACTGAAAGGGGGTTAAGGTAACCTGCTTACCCAAGAAGACCGGAGGGAACAGATGAGCAAATAAAACAATACTGTGGTTTTTTCAGAGGATTCATGTATCTAAAATTCTGAATATTTTTATAAGGCTGAATAAATGCTGTGTTTACATGAAGTGTGTGCTAGATTCTACCTTCATCTAAGGTGGTTGCTGTAAATCTATGTAATATCAGTAGACCGAGGTATCCCATCTCACAAACAGAATAATGATGAGTGGTTTCTTATTTTGCATAAAAAACATAAGTTAATAGGTACAATGCCATCAGTTTTCAACTTTATGCCTGGTTAATATTTTCTTAAGACTTTGGCTTCTAGTATCAAATGGCTTCTAATGTGTACTAGCAACTAACCAAAACAAACAACAACAACAAAAAAAAAGGCAGCCCACAAATGTGCTAAGAAAACTTGAAAATCTTATTCCTTAAAACTATTTCATGTGGCATTTAGTCTTTGTTTTGTAGGTACACACAGATATGATACAATCACATTTTATTGCACATAATTTGCCCCATCTTTGTATGATATGATAATTTAACACTATTCCACGGAGTTTCTCAGACAGAATCACAAAGTCCAAGACTACAGTCACCTAAACAAGCTTGAGAACTTTGGGTTTAAGCAAAGTAAGAATTAGTTGACTGATCCCCAATCTATGAATGCTTTACATGTTCTAGAAGTCAAAGCATGAATAATGCTTTACATGTTTTACTGCTCTCTACAGGAAATAAGCCTACACATGGAAAGAAAAGGATGTTTGTTAAAGAAGCAACATAATACCCAAGAAAAAGTAGCACTCTATAGGATAACTTAAAGTTAATCACATCCATTAGTCTTTTGAACTTTTTGCAAAACAGCATTTCATAGTAACAGTTTTACCTGATTATTTCAAAAGCAAATTACTACAGATTTCACCTAAACAGTACTGGTATCTGGTGGTATTATCACCATCTTCATACCTGCTAAAGATAACTTGTTTATTGAGCCTGCAAACCAGGGTGCTATTCAGAAAATACAATACTGTTATTTAAATGACTTCGTAAAAGAGTTAACATATCATGAGAGTACCAAACAGTACTTTTAATCCTGTTGTAACATTAAGAATGCCCTGTTTTAACATCAAAATAGAACAAGTTATATTAAATGTGAGACATTATGACAGTCATTAAGAAAGAAAATTGCAGCCTACTAAGTGTTTACCATCTTCTTAGGTTAAAAAAAAAAAAAAGATAAAAAGAAGAAAGAAAAGACAGGTTGTTGTAGGTCCCAAAATATCCTGCCCTGGTTTACTGAAATAAAAGTGGAATTCTCCTTCATGAAGTCTCACCAATGTAGTCCAGGTAAGCTAAAATAATAGATGAACCCTGGCAGGTAATCCATGTAGTCCAGGGTATGAACAGTGAAAAAACCACATGAAATACTTTGGAGAGTGCTAACCAGTTAAAAGATAGCACTGTTCAAGAATATTTTCTGATGACCAGAATACTGCTTGAGAGATGACTGCTATAGTCTTTGATGCAATAAGTTAGAATGCAGTTAGTCCTGTCAAAAAGTCCTACACTTTATCCATTTGTGCATCTACCACTTCCCTTTCATGGAAACTCTGCAAGCAATTATCCAAACAAGCTGATATGAGAATTTTTTTTTCCCCAGAAACCAAGGTCAAAGATATCTGCTGGCATCAGCACTCATTTTGCACTAAATCCTATTTTTGGGCAAATATTGCAAACTGACCAAGTGATATGATAACTGATGCTCCTAAGTCAAAACTCACGTAACATTTATTCATTCAACATAGTTTCTGAGGGCCAACTATGTGTCAGGCATTGAGTAAAGTGTTGAGTAAGGTGCTGAGGATACAACTGTGAACAAGGCAGAGAAGAAACTTACCCTGAGTGAGCTTATAGTCTACCTAGAGAAAAGAAATAAATAAACAAGGAAGAGCAGTGACTAATCCCAGTTTGGTATAACAACAAGGGGTTCTGGGGGTAAAAAGGAAGAACACAAACAAGGATAGCAAAAACTGGCCAGGTGAAAAGAGAGGATTGAGTGATTCCAACAGAAGAAATGGCAGGAGACCTGGGAAAGGCCCAGATGAAGAGAGAATGTGGCTTCTTAAGGGAACTGAGACAAGTTCAGTGGTATTAGCAATTTCTGTGGTGTTTGGTTAAATTTTTCAATTCCAGGAAATAAAAGATTAACACATAAATGTTGTAGAAAATTTGTTTTCCTGAAAACATTAGATAATAATGTATCATATGTATTGACAAAAGTTCACATCAAGTTTTCATACATAATGTTTACTACTGGATTATGGATAGTTTTCCTACATAATTATGTCAAGTAAAAAAGCATTACTGAAATGACATAAATTTTTTCTTTAAAATATTGTCTGATTTTGATGCATTTTTTCATTTTCTGATAAGATAATGCCAATCGTCCTTTTTTTATCATCAGGAATTAAATATAACCCTGTAAATATAATCATTATATTCTATATATTACATATTAATGTATATGTACATACATATAATTTATTTTAAATTGATCTCTTCCTAAAAGCTTAATAGTCTGGCTATGAAGCACAAGATGACACATTTAATTTCCAATAGGGTTCCTGTTTACTGCGCCACAGATGCAGAGGCATTGATGGTTTTAAAATCACTCTTGTCCATCAGGCTGGAAAATAAAGTACCAATGCAACCCCAAATGTCATACATACATTCTTCTTATGGGCAAGGGCATTTCAGACTTCTAAAATATCCAATCAATTAATTTATTCATATATTATGTATTTATTGGGCATATATTTAAATTCGAAGAGAAAATTATTGCTCTCTAAGAAGCAATAATCTACCTTTGTTAAAGAAACAAGGCTCACATTAAACATTTCAGTAATAATACAGGAGGAGACATGATTTAGCACCAAAATGAGCAGTGTAAACAGTAAATTCCCTTGAAAGTAATCAGTTAAGTACTTGGCTGGGCGTGGTGGCTCACGCCTTTAACCCCAACACTTTGGGAGCCTGAGGCAGGAGGATAGCCTGAGGCCAGGAGTTCAAGACCAGCCTGGCCAACATGGTGAAACCCTCTCTACCAAAAATACAAAAATTAGCTGGGTGTGGTGGCGGGTGCCTGTAATCTCAGCTACTTGGGAGCCTGAGGCAGGAGAATCGCTTGAACCTGGGAGGTGGGGGTTACAGTGAGCCGAGACAGCACCACCACACTCCAGCCTGGGCAACAGAGTGAGACTCTATCTAAAAAACAAAACAAAACAAAAAAAGCAAAAAAAAAACACACACAAAAAAGTAATCAGTAAGTACTAAATGTTTGCTATCTTTTATTAATATTTCTATTATTTCTTTCGTTCATAATAAAATAACCAACGTGGTCAATGGCAGAGGAAACAGTTAACAGAGATGAGAGTGAAGATTATCCTGAGAGAGAAGTAAGAATTGCACAGCTACAGGGGACAGAAAAGGGGATTCCAGCAAACAGGAGTAAGAGAAACAAACGGTTGCTAACAATATTAACATATGTCAAGAAACAGAGAAGAAGCTAGGTTTAAACCAAATGGCTCACATGGAAGACGTGGTTGCCAAGGTTAATAAGACAGAATCTTGAATCCCAGTTGATGAGGCTGGACCACTTGGAGAAAGCAGGAAGCCACTTGAAGTTTCTAAAAAGAAGAGATTAGGAAAACTAAACTAGATGTGGTGTGACATGTAGACGGAAGAAGGGAAAGGTAGAAAATGAAGAAAAGTGATGGGTTTCAAAACAAATCTTCAACTCTGATCGTAAAAGGAAGTGGAATTTTTAAAACCCCAGAAATATCGCACAGGTTCAGATAAAAAGATGGGGTGACTGGTATACATTAATGGAGACATTAATGATACTGGATTTTTCCAGAATTTATGTGCTATGATCATCTTTATATAGCTATATTGGAGTTATGACTATCAATATTTTATTTATCTGTTACATTATTTGTATTCTTGCCTGGACAGTGTTCTTTTGTTGTCATTCATATTGATATTATCACACCTTAGTACAGTATCCCATAAATGAGTAGGTGCTGCTTAATAAATATTTGCTGCATGAACTTATTGAAGTTACTCATGTTTGCTGAACAAGCTTCATGAAACTTATTGAAAAGACAAAAATAGAGCTGATCAACTCACTAACTTAGCTCTTGACACCCATCTGTTTGTTTCCATTGACTGCCTGACTGTACTTAGTGTTTTATTCTAGCCCCGTTTATCCTGATCCATTATAATTCTTAAGTTCTTATACCTGTAGCATTTTACCAGGTTTTCCAAATTATTTAAAAACATAAATTTAGGTTTTCCAAAATGAGCCAGATTTTCCCAGTCCCACAGGGAGCTTTCCCAGAACTTGGTCAAAACTCAGTGATGATCCCCACTATACACCCCATGTAAATCAGTAGTTAAAATAAGGGCCAGGAAGGCTTCAACACAACACACCTCTTTAATTCAAGTCAGATCTATAAAAACGGAGACTTGACAGACCTCAGATTTAGGTGCTAAAGGTTAATCTAAAATTCCATTTTACACCAAAACTCCCCGGTAATCACTCAAGTCTCCCAATGACTTGCCATCCAGACAGAGTTTGTTTTTGAAGTAGGAACGCTGTAAAGTCAGGGTACTTTTCCACAGAGGTTAGTAATCTTTGTGTCCATTCCAAAACAATTCCTTTAAGACTCTGCAGTGGAGAGCCCGAAGACATGAGTGCAATGAATAAAATAGGTTGATTTGTGAATTTGTGTTAAGGTCATGAAGGTACCTTTGGGCAGAAGCCAACACTGCCTTTAAGGCCCCAAAAATTGACATTGTTCTCAAGTGTGAGGTAACAGACCTCACAGAAAAGGTGTGGGCAGAGATCTCCTTTTAGCTCCAAAAGCAAATCTGGGCAAAACTACCCCTTTGCCAAAGTTGGACAGGATACAGACAGAAATATACACACTTACACACAGAGTTTTACACATACACTCAGGAAAGACACAGATTCAAAGGATTATGCAAGCACATTAACCAAAACCAACAGTGGTTTTGGCGGGGTTTTTACCCTTTTTTTTGAGCTTACTCACATCTTTACTTTCTTAATTCCCACAGTAATATGTATAATTGGCCTATTTTACAAAGTTTTTTTTAAAGGGAATAAACAGAAAAGAGAGTACAAATTAAATGAATAAGATAATGTATACTGAAATAGATTGTAAATGCAATGTGCTATAATTTCTTATATTCCTCCTATCCTTCCCCCATTAGACTATAAACTGCTAACAGGTAGCACACAAAGTGGCCACTCTATATATACTGAATGAAGATGCCAGCATCCATTGGGAGAAAGAGGTACTTTCTGCACAGATCAATTCAATCACTATATGATTTTATTTATTTATTTATTTCTGAAACAGGGTCTTGCTCTGTTGTCCCAGCTAGAGTGCAGTGGCATGATCATGGCTCATTGCAGCCTTGACCTTCCAGACTCAAGCAATTCTCCTGCTTCAGCCTCCCAAGTATCTGGGACAACAGGCATGTACTACCATTCTGGGTTAATTGAATTTTATATATTTTTGTAGAGATGAGGTCTCCCTGTGTTGCACAGGCTGGTCTCGAACTCCAAGGCTCAAGCCATCCTGCCACCTTGGCCTTCCAGAGTGCTGGGATTACAGGTGTGAGCCACGATGTCCAACAGTCAATCACTATATGATTACAAAATGCAGGCAGCCAAACAATTTTGGGTGGAAGGATAAAAGCAAATTTGACCAGATTTCCCTTGTTTTCATTTTTCAAAATCATTGACTCTTATGCTTTAAGATCAATGTTTCTCTTAAACAGCTTGTACACTAAAAATACAGTATAAATCAAATAATGGCCAGGCGTGGTGGTTCACGCCTGTAATCCCAGCACTTTGGAAGGCCAAGTCGGTGGACCACTTGAGTCCAGGAGTTGGAAACCAGCCTGGGTGACATGGTGAAACCCAATCTCTACAAAAAAAAAAAAAATTAACCAGGCGTGGTGGCACATGCCTGTAGTTCCAGGTACTCCAGAGGCTGAGGCAGGAGGATTGCTTGAGCTTGGGAGGCAGAGGTCGCAGTGAGCTGAGATCGTGCCACTGCACTCCAGCTTGGGGAACAGAGTGAGACCCTATCTCAAAAATTAAATAAATAAATAAAAAGTCTAATACTGGTAGTGGAATGTCAGTCGCCTGCCTATGTCACTTCATGAGGTAAACCCTTGATATAAGACTAATGTCTCTTGTGACAAACTGAGAGACCTTAACTTCTTAAAGTAGTCAATACTCAGTAGTAGTTACATATATTATTGACAGTATAGTAAATGTACAGTATGTTACAGTATTAGCAACACATACTTTCACAGTATCAAAACACCTTAATTCCATAATCTGCATCCAGAGAAAGTCTTAAGAAAGATTAAAACATAATTTAAGCATCAACTTTATACTTGATAATTTCAAAAATTTCCAAGAAAAAAAATTCTCTATAAAAGGCACTTTGCAGAAATTCCTCGTGATGGATTATTAATTTTATGTACCTCTTTCTACCTGAACCTGGTTTCTCCTAATATCCATCTATATGTTAATTGGTAAAAGAGACACAGGTTCATTATGGGAATGATAAAACAATCTCCTCTGAATTTGATAATGATTATCTTTTCTTTCATGATGGAAAACATGCATTTCCTTAAATCACTGAAGGACATAATATCCTCTCCCTACTCCACAATGCCTCCCCATGCCTGCCTTTAGAAGTCTTTGCAACGACAAAATGATGTGCATGGAGTTTTAAGCTTTTAAAAGACACAGGTCTACTGTTCAAAACTGTTATCTGTCAGTGTTGTTCGTGTTCACAGGAATAAGCAAATCATAGTACTAATATGAACACGCATAAAACAGCAGGTCTTTGGGAAAAACCCTGGAAATGAATTGCTGGTAACTAACACACCTACAGTACCAATGCCTGTATCCAGTATGTGTTCCAAAGGACTGAAAGCAATACAACTTTACCTAATTTTCTCAACTCCTAACGTATCCGTAAGTGTTGAAGGGCGTAGTCTATGTTCAAATTAGGAGAGGCTCTTGGTTAGAGGTAAACTGAAGCGCTGAAAACTAAGTTTTGGATAATTACAGTTCAAGATGTAACACTCTCATTTATACCCACTCTCCCTTATATAACAGGTAAGCCTCTGAGGTTCAGAGTCTGACAATGGAACTTCTACATTTATTCAGGTATTTGGCAGCCAGCAGGTCGGAAGCAATTCAATTGCTTAAACCTGATTTTACTACCTAACTTGGGGGTGGGGAGGTGTTGCAGGGAACAGTCTGGATTCATATGTATCTGGTTTTCTGTTTTGGAATATAACTTAAAATATTTTTGAAGAAATATGGTAAAGTGATTATCCTTCTGGAACTAGATACACCGACACTGTCACATTAACTCACAGCTTGTTAAATACTGTGCAATCTTTCTATAACATTCTTTGTTATGAGACTAGAATCAGCATATGGGAATTGCTCTTTTCCTGCTAAACTGAAGTCATTACTAACTACTCATCTGTGACATGTACTCTTTCTTGTAACCAGGGATTTTAGCTTCACAAAATTTAGAAACTGCCGCATTGTTTCTTGGCATTGCTTTCAAATGTGACATCATTTAAATTTTGGAATATTCCATTTTAGCAAATACACTAGTGGGTGCCAGGTTAAAGATGACTGCCCAAAAAGGGGCAGCAGCGTCTCTGTAGGGAACAACCACAGATTATTCTTTCAACCTATACCATCCCACGCCTTTCACCAGAGGCATACTGAATTACAATGAGCTCAATAAATACATTTCAAAAATGGGTTATCAAATTACCAGCCTATAGCAATGGCTTCCAGTCACTGAAGACCTATATTGAAAAACAACTGTGATATATGGAAATGAAAACTCCATTTTCATTTGGGAGGCCAGGGCAGGTGGATCACCTGAGGTCAGGAGTTCGAGATCACCCTGGCCAACATGGTGAAACCCCATCTCTACTAAAGTACAAAAAATTAGCTGAGCATGGTGGCGCATGCCTGTAGTCTCAGCTACTCGGGAGGCTAAGGCAGGAGAATCACTTGAACCTGGGAGGCGGAGGTTGCAATGAGCCAAGATTGCACCATTGCACTCCAGCCTGAGTGACAGAATGAGTCTCCGTCTCGAAAACAAAACAAAACAAAACAAAACAAAACTCCATTTTCAGTTTTCCTAATTTCCAAAGTCTAAAATATATGTGTAATCCCAGCACTTTGGGAGACTGAGATGGGAAGAATTCCTTGAGGCCAGGAGTTCAGGACCAGCCTGGAAAATACAGCAAGACTCCGTCTTTACAAAAAATTAGAAAATTAGCAAAGGCATGATGGCTTGTGCCTGTAGTCCCAGCTATTTAGGAGGCTGAGGCTGGAAGAGCCCTTGCGCCCAAGAGTTCAAGGCTACAGAGAGCTATGATCGCACCACAGGACACCAGCCTGGGCAACACAGCAAGACCCTATCTCAAAAAAAGAAAAAAAAAAGAAAAGAAACCTGTGTGTATATATATATATACACACATACACATTCAAGACACTACATACATAATAGTCATATATCCGATATGAATCCAACAGAAACACACAGATGGACCTACTGACTCCTTTATTGCTGAGCAAAAAAATAATACAGAACTGTGTTTAAATGACAAAGATGACAGAAAATCAGTATCATTCACAGCCTCTGAAAGTCTTATTTTGGAAATTTTTGTATGATTTCTAGAACTTCTTCCATTATTTAAAAACTTACATAACCAAAAGAGTAATTCTAATCATCTCATCAATACACTCCATAAGCCTCCAATTATGAAACTTGTGAATTTTATAATCCAAATACAATTCAATAGCAGCACCTGCCAACAAAAATTTAAAATTGGTACTCTCAATTAGGGACACCTTTTCTATCAAAAAATGACTCCAAAGGTGCATGGTAATTTCTCCTAGAAAATATGAATGACTGTGTCAGTGTTTAAAAAAATGCTTTGATAATCTAACCCCAGCAAAAACATTAGTAAGTTTAATCATTTTTATTATTCCCCAAAAAGACATATTTGGTTAATGTTTTTATCTGATAATAAAAGCATGCTTACTTCGTGAAAAAAAATATATATATATATAAATATATATATTTAACGTTATATATATATAACACCTCGGAGATACTACACCTCGGAGATACTACAGATTCAGTTTGAGACTACTAAAATAAAGTGAATATTGCAATAAAGCAAGTCACAAGAATATTTTGGTTTCCCAGTGCATATAAAAGCTACATTTACATTACACAATGGTCTATTAAGTGGGCAATAGTATTATGTTTAAAAAATACACTTAGTTAAAAACATTCTTTATTACTAAAAAATACTAACAGTCACCTGAGTCTTGAGCAATTGGTAATCTTTTTGCTGGTCTTGCCTCATTGTTGATAGCTGCTCAGTGGAGGTCTTTGCTGAAGCTGGGGGTGTCTATGGCAATTTCTTAAAATAAGGCAACAATGAAGCTTCCCACATCAACTGACTCTTCTTTCATGAATGATTTGTTTGTAGCATGCAATGCCACTTGATAGCATTTTACCCACGCTAGAACTTCTTTCAAAATTGGAGTCAATCATCTCCAACTTTAATGCTGCTTTATCAACTAAGTTGATGGAATATTCTAAATCTTTTGTCATTTTGACAATGTTCACAGCATTTCCACCAGGAATAGCTTCCATCTCAAGAAACCACTTTCTTTGCTTATCTTTAAGAAAAAGCAACACCTCATCCATTCCAGTTTTATCAGGAGATTGCAGCAATTCAGTCATATCTTCAGGCTCCACTTCTAATTCTAGTTCTCTTGCTATTTCTACCACATCTGCACTTACTTCCTCCACTAAAGTCTTGAAGCCTTCCAAGTCATCCATGAGAGCTGGAATCAACTTCTTCCAAACTTCTGCTAATGTTGATGTTTTGACATCCTCCCATGAATCATGAATGTTCTTAATGGTATCTCAAATGATGTATCCTTTCCAGAAGGTTTTCAACTCACTTTGTCCAGATCCACCAGAGGAATCACTATGGCAGGTATAGCTTTATGAAATGTATGTCTTAAATAATGACTTGAATTTTGAAATTTCTCCTTGATCCAAGGACTGCTGAAAGGATGTTGTGTTAGCAGGCATGAACATAACATTCATCTCTTTGTACATCTCCATCAGAGCTTCTGGGGTGACTGCGTGCATTGTCAGTGAGCAGTAATACTTTTAAAGGAATCTTTTTCCAAGTAGTAGGTCTCAACAGTGCACTTCAACTATTCAGTAAACCATACTGTAAACAAATGTGCTATCCTTCAGGCTTTGCTGTTCCTTTTATAGAGCACAGCTCCACAGAGTAGATTTAGCATAATTATTAAGGGTCCCAGAATCTTTGGAATGCTAAATGAGCAATGGATTCTACTTCAAGTCACCAGCTGCATTAGCCCCTAACTAGTCAGCCTGTCCTTTGAATGTGCTCCTTTGTCTCCACTGAAAATCTGTTGTTTAGTGTAGCCACTTTCATCACTGATCTTAACTAGATCTTCTGGATAATGTGCTGCAGCTTCTTCATCATCACTTGCTGCTTCACCTTGTACTTTTATGTTATGGATGTGACATATCTCTTTAAAACCCATGAACCAACCTCTGCTAGCTTCAAACGTTTCTTCTGCAACTTCTTTATCTCTCTCTCAGCTTTCACCGAATCAAACAGAGGGCCTTGCTCTGGATTAGGCTGTGCCCTGAGGGAATGTCGTGGCTGGCTTGATCTTCTACCCAACCACTAAAACTTTCTCCATATCAGCAATAAGGCTGTTTTTGCTTTCTTATCATGTGTGTGTTCAACAGAGTGGCACTTTTAATTTCCTTCAAGCACTTTTCCTTTGCATTCACAACCTGGCCATGTGGCACAAGAGGCCTAGTTTTTGGCTTCTCTCTTTTTCAGCATGCCTTCCTCACTAAGCATAATCATTTCTAGCTTTCAATTTAAAGTGAGAGACATGAAACCCTTCTTTTCACTTTAACACTTAGAGGTCATTGTAGGGTTATTAATAGGTTGAATTTCAAAATCATTATGTCTCAGGGAATAGGGAGGACCAACGAGCACCAGAGAGACAAGGGAACAGCCAGACAGTGGAGCACTCAAAACAAACACATTTATCAATTAAGTTTGCCATCTTACGTGGGTACCATTCATGGCTCCCCAAAACAATAACAATAGTGACATCAAAGATCACAGACCACCAACTCAGATATAATATAATAACAATGAAAAGGTCTGAAATATAGCAGGAATTTTCCAAATGTGACAAAGAGACATAAGGTAAACACATATTTTTGAAAAAAATGGTGCTGATAGATTTGCTTGACACAGGGTTGCCACAAATCTTTATTTATAAAAAAGGTAACATCTGTGGAGTGTAATAAATGGAAAGTGCAATAAAACGAGGTAATTACATATATATACACACGCACACACATACACACTATTAGCTTGAAATTTAGGATATGTGGTTATAACCCAGAATCACTCTGCTCTAGAGTACACCCTACAGTGGCTATGGAATCACACAACTTCTATTTATTATTCTCCTGCCGAAAAACTGGGTGATCTCAGTAATAACAAACCATTTTTATTAACGAAGTGCTTATGATCATGTAGGATATATTCCACATAATCAAAATAAAACTTCTAAAATATCCAGTGAGAACCACAAAACATTATCTCTAAAATACTACCCCTCAAGAAAGGTTCTGAGGTATTCAAAATTAAAACAACCTACTGAAAAATAAGACAGTCATTAACTTTGAAGAGGAATTGTGTGCTCATTTTGAGGAAGAGGAAAAAATTTCATGAAATTAATGCAAAAAAGTTACTACAAGAGGAAATCCCTGGGTATCAAAAAGTCATATTTTTTAAATCATGTATTAAAATTAGGTACTAATACAAATATTTTTAAAAAATGATGGCACATGTCATTAAAGGCCCAAAGAACAAGGCAAAGATGTACAATGTGAAAAAACAATGCAAAAATACTTCTTGCAAGTTTTTCCAATTTAGACCTTGAACTCGGCACTATTGAATACCAAAGCTTATAGAACTGAAATTCAAACATAACAGAGCTTTTGAATTTAAGGCATGTATTCTACCAAAGGATGACACTGAGCTAGCCTTTTGGGATAATATAATGCCACTCTTTCTACAATAGCTGACGGCTAGAATGCTCAGTTTGTTCCTGTCCGTAAATATCCTAAATATAATTGTTAAAATTAAAAATAAAATAAGGCCTTAGAAATACTATTTTGAATAGTCTAAGCACTCCCATAGTTAATGACACACAGAAATTACAAAGATTAGAAACAGAACAATCATTATCATTATTTATAGAAATAAATATTCAATCGTTTGACATTCACCAAACCTGTTTTACATGTTTTATCTAAACTGATTCTTCCCCCCAAAACCTGTGCCCAGGTACTACTACTCACAGCCTATGGGTGAGAAGACTGCATTCTAGAGAAATTATAGAATTACTTTAAGACTGGTTTTATTCCAACAGAGCCACTTCACAAAAAGGAAAACATAGCTACAACCTATGGGACTTCTAACCATAGCTGGACAGAAGTCTATTCCAGACAATCACATGTCCCAAAAGGCACTGTGATGACTGAACTTTCTTTTAACTTGTATTGTACATATCTGGAGAACAAATAAACTTGAAAAGAGGTCAAAGTGCTCAAATTATAGAAAAATGCAAAATAAAACAAAAAGTTTAGAAAATACTGTGATCCACATTTATGACAACTGAAGTAATAAGTATGCCCCCCATACTCTAGGACTTGCTCCTCCAGCCATGAGAAAAATATATGGTGGACCTAAAGTCTTTATTACTTGAATATTAAAGCCAGTGTTTCTGGTGCTGTGCTTTCAATACCTTTGTTCTAATAAGGTAATTATTTAGCTAAGACGTTTGACGGCAAACTGTAGTTATTAATAATTGGTTTAGTATTATTTTTATCATAAGGTCATGGTTTTCTCTTAAACATATTACTTTAAAAAGAGTTGCCGTGCTAAATCATATATTAAAGGGACAACTTTTTTGTGACAAAACATCTCTAGTTTTAAATACTATAACTTATGAAATCAACTCATGTTATCAACTGAAAAATTCTCCCCTACAGAAAGCAATACTAGAAGTTGAAGTGTTACAAATTAAAAAGAAGGATCTAAACTTCCTTATGTTGTTTTTTGTTTATTTATTTTAAAATTAACGAAGAAATCAAGAGATAAATCCTGTCACCTACAAGTTAAAATGGCCACCTCACATCCAGTCATATATCAACTATTTTCTTTACCTAATATTAGGTACACTGGAAATCTCAAGGCAAAATGAAGCAGTTGGATACAAATTATATGAATCAATATAGCTCAGTCATTGCAAAATATCTCTTGTGGAAAAATTTCAGAACAGCCCTACTAAAAATACTAATTTTCATGATATGGCCTTACTAATATGGACTTCTAGAAAAGGAAATTAATACAGAGGGTATAAAAAGCATGTCCGTAACAAGAATTAATTTAAAAATAAGCTTGATGATGTAAAGAAGGCAAAAACTTGATAGGGATCCACGTATAGCTACTGTCTTAAAGTTCATAATTTAAGAAAAACATAAAGGCCTCAGTTCCCAGAATGCTAAAAATACAGTAGCCTTATATACATATATAGCCTTAGTCACTCCAAAAGGCTTCATGTGCTTTTGAAACTATTACATAAGGTAAATTTTGATTAAGTGACTTTATTTATAGTTTCTGATTGAGAATGCATGAGACACACACTTCCATCTACTCAAGAATGTTTGTGTAAGTAAATATACTTCAAAATATCAGAAACACTTTAAGCAGCTCCTTGAAAACGCTATATGACAAAGTACATGACTAACTTAAAGACTAATAATATTTTCATTAATAAAATCTAGTACTTTATCACAATTTTAGTTATCTCCATAAAAAATGGGCAATTTTGTTATATTCATTTGAGATTATTTTTTCAGATTGTCCTTCTTTGCCTTATTCCTGGACTCATTAATAACCTATGCCATCATTTTAAATTTTTTTGTATTTACATTAGTGCTTAATTTTAATATGTGACAAAAAAAAAAGCATGACTTTTTGATAGCCAGAGATTTCCTCCCATAGTAAGGAACTCCCTTTTTTGCATTAATCTCATGCCTCTTACAGTTTGCCCAATGATCACAGGTGAATAAGATTTAAGGATGAGTAGCTGCTGATGAACCCAATTTGGGATCTGGCAAGAGGAAATCAGAGCGTCAAATCAAGGAGGGGTGGCAGCAAAGAGGAAGCAAAAGAGAAGACAAGAGGAAAGAGAGTTTATGGAGAGAGGAAGCCAAGTTGGGAAGTGGGGAGAAGGGCAGGCTGGCCAGGGGATGCGACGCGACAGGGCAGAGGGAGTGGGAAGAAGCGGGCAGGAGGCGGCCTCCACGCAGCTGGCAGGGCAGGCAGCGCTGGAGAGGGAGGAGGAGAGGGAGGCTGCAGGCACCGCGCAGCAGCCGAGGATGAGAGAGGTAACCGGAGGGAACGGGCGCACACAACTGCTTCCGCAGGACTTCCTGCGATAACACGCCCACAGCCCGGGCGCCGAGCACGCGTGGTGGCGGCCGCAGGCCCGGGGCTCCTGCGAGAGCGAACGCCAGCGACACACACGCAGCTCCTGTTGTGTCGCCGCTGCCGCCTAGGCAGGGCCGCAGACAGCAGCCTCCTTCCCAGACTGAGCCAACTCACTCTCACCGTAGCTGCTCCAGAATCCGTGAAAAGAAAATGGAATGCTATTTCTGTTCCTGATCTGCAGTTCTGATTCTTTTTTCTTCTTAAAAACAAAAGGAAAAATTTTTTTAAAGAAAATGTCCCTTATTATTATTATTTTATTTCTCTCGCTACACTATCCACTAAAGCACACTGCGTCTTTAAAGCTCTTTCATAAAATATAAATTACTTAAAAATCTAACAGACACGCTGGATAATAACTGATGAAAGTACTTTTTTAAGTCTAACCCAAACCACGCTTTCTTTTTTTTTTTCTTTTTTGTCTTTGTAGCACACATAAGCTACCTCAGATTCAAAGCTGTCAATACTCCATGTGGAGCAGGGGTAGTTACCCAGGAGTATAAATAAACTAAGAAATACAAAGCCATAGGATTATCAGGACAGTACCACATCCCTGTCATTCAACAACTTCCCCTTCCAAGAGGGTGCTGATCACAGACTTTTTACTGTAATGGGGCCAAGAAGAGACAGTTACTTAAACTAATAGAGTTCTTTTTATAACAAGAGACTGCAGATATCGCTACAGAAAGAATACCGGTTGTATGTTTCCTGAATTATTACTAAAAACATTTGTTTAAATGTCTCATATATAAAGGTGATGGCCTTATCTCTGACAATGAATTAGGGCCTAAGGAGAAAGCAAATTGGAACACTGTTAACATTAAAAAGTCAGCTAGTCTTTGAAATACCATTATAATACTACCTTGGAAGATACAGCAACTCAAATCTTGTTCACCCACCAGATAAGAAACAAAGTAGAGGGAGCCTCAGCTCTTAGGGCCAGGCTGCCTGGACTGAAATCCTGACTCTGCTACTTGCTACCTGTTGTAGCCTAGGCAATTTATTATACTTTCCTGAGACCCAGTTCTCTCCATTCTATAAAATAAAGATGACAGCAGTTTCTATCTCAAGTGAAGACAACATACAGCACACTGCTCAACCAGTGTGAATCAGGATCAGCATTTTAAGGCGGCCCCAATGGAAGACGAACCTCTTGGAACGCAGCCTTTCCCTGGTCAACCTAGCTCACCTATGGCCTGAGGTTGCACTCACTTTTACTTAGTAATCAGTGCTTAGCTGCGCATCTACCAAGTCAGTTATTACTACACGCAGCTCATTTCTATGCAAACCGTGTCCAGCCTTTGGGCAAAGTTTGCATGCCCTCTGCTCCCTGATGTTCACAAGTGAAAACACTAAGCCCAACACATTTAATGTCCTCCTTCCCATCATTAAAGGGCACCACGCAGCTTTAGCAGCCAGGAAACTAGCCCAGCACACATGCTGTACAGCTGGCAATAGAGGCATCTTCAACAGCATCCACTCCTACATACAGTCTGATAAGGAACATTTTAATGGAGCCAAAACATCCATTTCCTTCCTCTATTTCTGCATTTAGCAAACAGGAGAGCTGGACAATCATATCAGGGATTATGAAATGGCCACTAGGGCTACCAGAACAGCAGGTCTAAATTTCGCCTACTCACTTTCAACCAAAAGTATGCACCCTTTCAGTTGTGGAAAAGTACAGAGGATTTTAAAAACCCCTACTTATTAACTAGCATGTACTCTACAGTGAAACTGTTTCTACTGTGGCTTAATTTGCAAAATCCAAGCAGATATTACTTTTAAAAATCCAACTATCTCTTTCAAAGGATTTGTAAAGTTGCTTACAGACATAAGGTGACATCAGAAAAGCATGTTGGTATAATGCAATTAGCTAAGGTTTCTAGGAAGCTTTGGAATGTTTTGTTTTTAAAGAAGGCATAGATAAGTGCAAGTCCTACAAGTAATGAACTGTCCTAGAAGCAAAGAAATTCATTAAATAGATCTCCTTGATTTCTCCTTCATGGTCCCATGTCCATAGAGATTGGGAATGTACAATAATAGCAGGGCTTAATTTTCCAGAGCTGTTTAAAGTAATATTTAGGTGCTTAACAGAGTTAAATGTTAAATCAAAGGGACTTCCCAATTGTCAGATAAAATAATTCTTTTAAGTTAAAAAAAAAAGTTCTTAAACTTCAAAATTGTTCCCAGGCTTTTAAGATGAAATTAAAAGTGATTAGTAAAAATCAAACATTCAAAGAAATCTCAGAGGCATTGTTGTTCCAACATGAAAAACGTCTCAGCAGCTATTATTCAGTTATCACTTGATTGGCTATCACTGAGGGAAACGTGAATATTAAAAATATTTGAGCAAAGAGGAATCCAATATCCTCTTGCTGCCATAAACCTGGGCATCTCAAAGCAACATTACCTATGGTTGTGCTCAGCTCCTAACCCTACTCATCAATATTCATGTTAGATCTCCTGACTCTAAATCACCCTTGCCCCCTCAGCATGCAAGCATTGGGCCCACTTACAAGTAACTTTCATCCTGAAGCCAAGACATAAGCCATTGTCCTCAAACATCACAACACAACCTTTGGGCCTGAGAACATTCAAAACATGGACGTTAAAAAGGCACATTTCTGACTCATGACCTTAGAGCCTAACACTGTTATCCTCAATTAAGGACACACCATGTATCATCTTGCATCTCTGATTAGTTCATAGTGTCTCACATATAATATCAGTAAAGTACAAGGCTGCCTGTGTTCTCCTTTTTTTATACTTTTCAAATGAATTCAGGCTTCCCCTTTGCCTTAGTTTCACTGACACTGTCCCACTTCGCTAAATGACATTAATCGATAAAAGGCAGGATTTGCAAGCACACTGCAAAATACAACATACTCCGTTGCAACCAGTGGTATCCTACCTTAGGAACGATATATTAGGGCAAACATCAAGAAACATCTAGAACTTATGCAATACCAGATAATCTTTATTTTCCTCTGAAACCTGACAAACCAATTTCACAATTTTCTCAGTACCTGAAAGTCTATGTTGCCAGCCAAAGTGTTCTTCCCCTATGTTCCTATTTAATGCAACACTTTTGAGAACTACTGCATCCAAGTCATTTGTAAAGGGAACAAAAATGAATTACGTATGCTCTCACTCTCCTCAGGTTCATGATGCCCGGTAGCTTCTGGTATGAGCTATGCTAAAGCCACACATAAACAGGAGCACAAGGCGGGGATGTTTTAACCTAAATGAGCGGAGGTAGAGCGTTTCAGGAAGAAGAATACAGAAGTGAACATGCCGAGGAACAGATAGAATCCCTGTAGTTAAGGTTGCGTAGAAGGCATTTCATAAGGAGGGAAGAATATGAACAAAAGTCGGTGTGAGAATGTTCTAGGACTAGAAAGCACTATAGTAAGGATAGACACATGATGTAGTACATTTGGAACTGGTAAATTGGGGGCAAACTGAAGGGTCCTGAATGCCAAATTAAGGATGATAAACAAGTTTAAAAGCAAGTACTTACGGAGGCTGAAGGCCACTGATATGGGAACTCAGAACCAAGTTAGGTCTAGAGGTGAAGGCTCAGAAGTTATTTCATTTGGATAAAAACCTAAAAGCATAAAACCCTCCAAGAAAAGTGCATAGATTAAGAGAACATTCAATGATAGACTAGAACAAGTGTGGCAGAGATGCAGTGCCTAGAAGCCAAGCCAGAAGAGATACCCAAGAGAATGGCTGACAGCATCCAATTCACGTGAGAGATGCAGTCAGATGGAAAGACCACTGGGGCTTGGCTTCCATGAGGCTACTGGCGACTTCAATACAGCAATGTCAACAAACAGAGGCGCCTTGGCAGATATCGCTTAGTTGAGAAATGGAGATTCACATGAAATGAAACCCAGATTTGGGGATTCAATATTTTCTCCACTCTGAGGTTATTTTTATGTCTGAGTAGGTTTCTCTTTTATCTGAAACAGAACAAACTCCGTATCTGACTTAAAAACATTCTAATTAATAAATCTCAACAAGCAACGTTTTGACTTTATGCCATGTCACCTGCAAGTTGAAATCCATCTGGAAATAAATAAAAAGTAGCCATTTGTTTTGTTTTACCTTGTCTTGTTCTAAACTTTCAAAGGAGCCATATTCAATATTTGTTGTTACCTAAAATCCATCCCTTGCTTAAAACCTAATCTATCTCTCAGCTTCATTAGCCATGTATAAGCTACAGAATTGCATTTGGACTTTTCCTAGATTCCAAGAATGGTCCGTAATCAATCTACAACTGGATTATAATCCAAATAGCCAGAAGATAATGCTATTTAATTAGCTTCTATAAAATATCCACGATAGTCTGTGTTCACAAATATGCCTCATGAGGTCAAGTATAAAATAGTTTAAAGAATGTCTGAAAAGGAGTTTTCCAAAATAGGTGACTACATTAGCATAGTTGTGATTCAGGGGAATTAAAATACAGTTAAGTGTATACTGATTTATCAGGAGGGCAAATCCCTTAAGAGGTGGAAATAAACATTAAAATACAGCAACTCATCTTATTTAAACCTTATCTGGATATCACCTGTTATAAAAACCAACAAAAAACGGTGTTTTCTGATAAACAAAGCCCAGAATAAGAGCTATTTTGCCTTATTTTGATCTGCAATGCCAAGAGTACATGGAAAGGTTCCAATCTCTCAAAGTCAAAGAAGAAAACGAGATATTTTACATACAGGGGGAGAATTATGTAAAAAATAAATAACATTAACAAAATCATTAAGAAAAACTAAGGCTCATAAGCACTGATAGGGTTTCCTATGGTTCTATAAGGTATACAATGAATGGTAAGTTATAATTCACAGTCTGGGTGAAAAATAAATTTTGCTATATAGAGATAGTAGCCACAGGACAAGGAGGAAAAAAACAGATGATTATGTAATAATAATGGAAGTTTTCAGCCTTTCTTCATATAGTATGCTCACCACACCAAGAAAGAGATTTTACGTGGGATGATCAGCATACTAGTCAAAATAGTTCCTTAACCCATCTTAAAATTGCTTTTTAATGTCAAAGATCATTCTATAGTTTTCTGATTTAATTGATTATATCTGACGGAATGAGTAAGATTATTTTCCACCAGCAAACTGTTTCATTTAAAGGAATAACTATTTACAAGATATTTATAAAAGGCTTTTCACCTGAAAGAAACATTAAAGAAACAAAACAACCAAAAAAGAAAACAAAACAAAACAAAAAAGACAAGGCTGCCTTCTGGCTAAAAGACAGAGCGGAAAATCCATGCAAATGGAAGTACAATGTCTTCTTCACCCTGCGACTCAAGATGAACTGAACGGGGTTCAAATACAGACCCTGGACCAGCCCAGCGGTTTCCAGGGCCTGACACACCTCCTCCTCCACCTCCTCCAGCATTTCAAAGACACTTCTGGAGCTATGCTCTGAAAGAGCTTGGGGGCTGTCTTAGGTTCAACATCTTTCTGCATGGTATTTACCACAATTCTTTAAAATCCAGAGGTGAAAATGACAATAGCATTGGGGTTGTAATGTGTGAATTTCACTTATGTGGGCATTCACCCTTTGGACTATACAATATAACTATTAGGTTTGAAAGATAAGAAACAAGGGATTTAAGTAAAATACCTCAGAAGTCTAAGAAGACAGAGAAATATTCCTGTATTTCCACTCCAACAAAGTATGATTAAAATTAGCTTAACTATAATCAATAAACATAAATGGCATCCATATTGTACTGTGAAGTCATGGCTAGAAATGGAAAGTTGAGAAATTTAAAAGAAAAATAGAGGCATTAAATGTATATTTTAAATTATTTTCACTACATTTGAAGTTGAAATTTATCATTCAAAAGACAGGATTCATAAGGAAAGTATTTAAAATAAATGAGGTTCTTTTATTTTTCTTTCATTAGTTTTTTATAAATGCTGAGGAGTTTATGTAAAACACCACTTATGGTTTTTCCAGCCAGATTTTAATAACTAATTGCACATTTCAAGCCTAATCTCACAGATGCCATCTACAGTTTTTCAACCTGCCAAGGGAACTATGACTGTTATGAATAAAGAAACATCCATTTCATGGAAGATAAAAATATCCTTAATTCAAATGGACTATTTTTAAAAATACTACTCTCTATATAGATAAATGTTAAAGCTGCTTTAAGCTAAAGGGAAAAGTAATACAAACTAGCTTCTTATTAGTGACCATTTTCATAAGCAGTTTTTCAGTACCAATTAGATTTTATCTAAATGAATCCAACATTACTATTGCTAAGGTGTCTGAAAAAAGCATTAAGCCTAGATTTTTCACAGTAATTCTTTAACTTTCTGTGATAGCTTCTAAACATTTGATGCCCATATCTAAAGTACTGATAAAGAAATAATGTGAATATATCAACTGATTCATTATGATCATCAATTTCTCACTGCATCCTAATAAATGACATTTTAATTCTATTCTCATATCCATGTGCAAAAGGAAAAATAAAGACTAATGAATCTTAAACAGTGGGCAGATTTCCTCAGCAAACATCAAAATCACCTAGTGTTTCACATATGAATGAGGATGGTGAACGGACCCAAGTTCTAGTTCAGTCCTTTAACCAAGTAGGGGGAAGTCACTTTTATCTTCAGTTTTCTTGTTTGTAAAATAAGATCATGCTAGAATGGATAGTAGCTCAAGTCCGTTCTGTCACTCAGAATAAAACATGACCCAATGTTCACTTTGATATACCTGAAGTAAAGAAAAACAAAGAAGTAAAACCAAACTTGAATGGCAGATTTTAGACTGACCAGCTGAAGAAAGTTCCATCATTGAGAAAAGAAGTGTTTCCTTGGCCAAGGTCTATTTCTCCATAACAGAATGTTAGAAGAATCTTAAGCCTAAACCCGTATTTTCTCCTTTTGTGGGAAGCTGAACATTGTACACTTTGGCACAATGTGTCCAAAGCAGAATAGATGGGGGCCAGCTCTTATGGTGAAATCACAGAACTAAGAGAGTCATCTCAGAGACTACACCATTTACCCTACATCTGATTCCAGGGAGGTGATTTCATCTATTCTTCCATTTGTATGTTTTTGTACATGGTTTTATTAATGTAACCTAATGAAATAAAATGTACATTCTGTTAGCTCAGAAAGTTAATATATATGTACATGATCTTTTGTCAAAAAACATTTCATCAATTATTTTTACAATGGTGTTTATGAAAATAAACCCCCACCTTCTCCCATATTAGGAAAAGATGAAAAGAGCTACTGAACTTTTCATAATTTATCTGTACATAGAGGCTTTGAATTAAATCTAAAAACATCATCCTGCCTCTTCTATTGTATTCCAAATGGGCAAATTTTTAAAATTACACTTTCAAAATAACACGTTAACAAGATTCAAAATCAGCACATTATCTTAATTACACAACACCGATGTGATTACATCGGACCAAACATTTTGGCAAAATGTTTGCCTGACATCACAGGAACCAAACAAGGGGATAGCTGGTTGAAATGTCCACATTTCTACCGGTGGAGACACCAAAATATTGTTAAATACACTCTACTAGCAACGGAAATAATGAGCTCTCTCAGAATCAATTCCACTTTGCAGGGACTAGCATGGGTAATGTATTAGAGATACTAAGTTTGCAATTTGGTATCTTAAATTTATTTAGGGCCTAATGCATTTATTCCTCTAATGAAAATGTTTTCTAGTAGTATTCAAGATATATGTGCAGAGCTGTTACTTTTTACAGTAGCAGCTTATTTGTTTTTACACATAATTATAATTTAAGAATGCCGATCGTCTCATGCAAAGCAGTCGAAAAACAAAAACAGCCGACAAAACCAGAGAAAGCTTTCTTTATTCTAAAATGTCTTTACATTAAAATATGTCAGATTAAAGTCTCCACTCTACATACAGATTTAATTTTTAACCCTGTGTCTGGGCAGTATTTTAAATTTTCTTATCACTTTTGGAGAATTCCACAGAACTATCTTAAGCTAGTTTCAAACCTGGTAAAAGTTGTGAGTTCTTTTTTTTCTTTTTCCTCCCATCAAATTTTGAGATATAAAATGCATCATGTCTAAATGAGAAACAATTAAATGTCATATTATTTTACACCATTCATAATTTTCAACTAATCACAAAGAATACTATATGATTTTCCAACATCACTGTTTTTTTGAAGTGAAAATGATTTATGAAAGGATTTCCCTCTAACTACTCCTTAGAAATGACCAAAATATTTTATCATAAAAAGGTGTGACAGGAGAACTGAAATCACTGATCTCTCAATTTCTGATGCATCAAAACATTTCTGAAAACACAAGAGAAAATAAAACAAAATAAGTGCAAAATTCATTTGCATTTTACAGGCAATAACAAGGTTTCTGGAATAAGAAAACCCCGAAAAGATAAAGTACTTCCTCTACTTTCTGATAAGCTTTAAAAGAAAAAAACTAAACTAAATATTTCAAAATCAATGGACTTCAAGTAATCCAAGAGAATTTGGAAAACATTTCTCTAAAAACTAATCCAGAACACAAGGTGTCAGTTTGGAAATAATGGAAGCATATTTCGTTTTAAAAATCTAAAACATTTTAAAGACAAAAATTCAAGTTAACATCCCAGTGATTAACTCTGGAACTGCCTAGCCAAAAACAACTTTCGGCACTTAAAACATAAAACTGTCAGTTTCCTCTGCTTGGAGACAAAACATACAAAAAGCAAACATTCACTGTTATATTTTCCTAGACATGAAAGATAGAACTAACTTTCATAAAAGGTGATCACTCTGAGTATTTCTACCTGATATGATATTCATGTCGTAGCTCCTAAAAATCAGTTACAAATTCCAAACCTCAGAACTATCCTTAATAGATGGCTACTATTCTAGTTTGCGTTACTCCCTCGACTTGATGGAAGTACAATCATTTATTGAACTACACTAGCTCAACTCATAAATACGTTAAGAAGCCTGTGACTGATGTTATTGAATTTATAAGCTACCAGAAACAAGTAAACTCCTTACTGTAGACCTCAAAGAGTTGATAACATGACACTTGGCATTGTACCTCTTGGGAATCTAAAACATACTGATGGTGAGAATCTTTCAAGTATTCTTCTGCCCTAAATCCAGAAAACATGACTTTCAAGCATCATCCATGGTCGAATGGTCAAATTCACATTTATAAACTTGGAATAGAGAGTTTGGTGGAAGTACTGCATAACTAAAATTGACTTTTTTTAAAAGCCAGAACTATGTCACAGTTGGTGCTTATAATTGTTTCAAAATTATACAACTTTATTTAATTCCATGCAACGCATTTCCACATAGAAATGGAATAGCAAACTCCTACTCAATAGCAAACAATAAAATAAAATAAAATAAAGTATGTAAGCTTTTTCCTCTTCTTAGACACTGTCCCCAGAATGGAAAAGTTATAAAGAAAGGTAGGTAAAAATCCTGCAGCTTACACATTTTTCCACTGAGAAGGCAAATCCTTACTCCTCCAGAAACTAAAATATTAGACCCCAAACAGTGTAGGGGGAAGAGGGGTAGGAAGTTGAAAAAAAGAAAAAAATGATGATAAAGCAGGGCAGAATAAGCCAGAGGAAGCATGCTTGGTCTCAGCATAATTTTCTTTAGCATCCTAAAATCAACGACATCATGCTGCCCATGATCTCTGCTTACTCTTCTGTAACCCAGTCAGAGGATTTTCAAAAAGGAAGAAATCTAGTTGTGCTTCCAAATGCCAAATGAACTTACAGGACCTTCCACTCCTGAAGGAAAACAGCACAGTAGCGCACCAGAAGCTAGAGAATGCCTTGAGTCACGCAAAGCCGGAACTGATGAGTGTGACCCCAGTGGGGTTTATCTAAAATTCCCAAGTACAACAGGCAAAGGGGTCAAAGTTTTCTATGTCAGAGATATATAAATAAAGCCATATGCAGCAACCGTTCCTTATGTTATCATGGATTATACAGTATCCTAGTCCCCCTTCTGTTCAGATATATATACATCTCTCTTTTAAAGAAGGAACTGAAAATGGGAAAAATTAAAAGGAGGGAAACCTGCTAATACTACTATCTACCCCCAGTTCTCCAGCTCTAATCATTATTACTCTCATTTTTAAAGTGTTAGTATTGCCAAGGACACACTGAATCGTTCAGGAAGTGAGAAGAATATGTATGTCCATAATTATGTGCTAACAGTGATATACTGAATTATTCTGGGAGTAAAAAGTACATGATGTACATAAATGTACACAAATACATGTAACACTAAATACAAATATGTGTAACACTAAATGTACACAAATATGTGTAATGTTGAATAAAAATATGTATAACACTAAAAAGCTGAATGTTAGACACAGTGAAGGTGCAAGATTGTGTACACATATTTACACATAAAATGTGTACATTATTATTTTTACCAATGACCTAAAATCATCTTACTGGCAGCTTTCTTAAAGCTTATCAAAGTAAAAAGAAAAAGCAAAATATGTTATAAATAATGAGGGCATTCCTTCAAAAGCACAAGTTTTCTTAAAAACGGGACTTTAAAAATAGAATAAACAGTGATGGGATAGAGTAAAATAGTTTATTATAATTGAGGTTTAGATGACAGTGAGTTTCTTACAGTAATTTACCACATCATACATCCAAAGAATGTAATTCAAATGCATTATAAATACAAAGGAGAAACATCTCTTAGTGTTGGTTTATAAGCTACAGAAAATAGTATTTCATATTTTTCAATCCTTGAATGTGTAACTACTTACTGACTACTTGTAAATTATTTTCTAAAACTTCCCTAAGTTTGCAGAACTGAGGAGCAAATTTTGCAATAATCTTCTAAAAAGGTATACTTCCAATATTAATTTAAAGACAGCTTAACATATTCCGTATTTTTTAATTTATAATTTAAATATAATTACTAATATAAAAATTCAGCAGCCAAACACAGGTAAAACATATCATTTTAAAAGATCTCAAAGGTATATCAAAAAATAATCGATAAAGAATTATGAATCATACAACAAAGAGATGAATATGTATTGAAAAATTTAGTAATATGGGCCTTGATTAAAATTAATATATATATGACCTGTCTTAACTTGGCATCAAAAAGCAAAGCAAAAACAAATACAAAACTTTCTTTTAGGAACTTTTATATGTTCAGAGCTACTTAAGAGTATTGAGAGAAAATGGGCTGATGTATTTTATTTCCACATCTTGCAAAGCTAAAGATGATGTGCAGATAATGACATCACAAAGTAGGCACAAGTAGAATTTGGTTTTTAATTTGTTTTGTCTATCATGCTCTCATTTCAGAACCAAAATTACAATTAAATTAACCCTCAAATAGGTGTTGGGATGCATTAAGTAATTAAAATGGGCATTACAAAGACTAAAGTCATTTCAAAAAATATGCAATATGCTAAAATTCCATGTAGTGCCTGTAATGTAAAAACATTCTAAGCAAGTGAGACTATAGCTATCCTGCATGTACATGTACGCACTTATTTAATATGAAGCCACAAATTCATATATTCCACTTCTGCATAGCTCAGAGAGCAAAAGCTAACACTAGATTAGTAATGCTTGATCCCTTTGTACATGAAGTGTATCATGTAATAGAGAAATTAGATTCCACAAACTAATTTCTGCCATATATTTTTACACTATTTATAAACATATCTGATCTTCCATATGATATGTAGAGAAATTGAAATAGCAATTCACATTGTATTGTAGAATCTAATCAGGAAGCACATGTTATATTATTAATGTTTATTGATTTGTAAGCTTTATACATTCTGTCCAAATTCTACAAGTAAAAACAGCTCTGAAATCCTTTTGATCTTTCTTTTTCTACAGCTAAGGTATTTTTAGTGTTTAAATAGCAGTTGATGTCTTATCTATTGTCTTATACGGTACTGGATTCATTCCTGGTTACTATAATACTCAATTTAACAACTAGTAATATTAATGCTTTTTCCAAGCTTGGGACATATATAGCAGATAATATAAACATGTTTACTATGATTTATGATACTATACTACTCACTATCATGAATACAAAGTAATTAACAGATAAAGCTATTATGAACGCAAACAAGAGAACCATGCTCCCCTCAAAAAAGAAAAAAAGAAATGGAACATAAACTGTAAATACTTGTATATTTCCTTCTAACACTATCTAGTATATTAGACAAATAGCTAACAATAAATCATTTGTTTATTCATGTTAAATAAATTTAATATGTACATTAACTTCTGACTTAACTTAAAAGTATATGGAATGTTTTCCAGAGACTATTTTGACTGTGTCAATTACCCTAGATACCAAAGTTGTTGTATTGTGTTGCTTGATGAAATAGGACATAGATCAACCCTCAAAACCAGTATTACAAGCCTGGCAAATAGCATCACATTTGGGTGACGCACAGAATCCATCACCCTAGGGAAAAATGCATTGGGTCATAGTACAGAGTCTTTACATGTTCCATATTATTTCTACATAACGTTTTGAGATGATAGAATTGTAAACTATAAAGTGGTAGCCCATAAAGTGATATACTCACAAACAGTCCTGTCCCTTAACTGCTCCTCTTAACAGAAATGAGACTTAAAAAATGATCTCAGAAGCATTTCTTACAATACACTGAAAGGTGGCATTTTGATTTATAATTTTTTTCATTTAAAAAAATTCCTTAGTAAATTCAGAGCAGATATAAGTATTATGATAACAATTGATTCATTATGTTTAAACTCCATACTCATTTCAAACTTTTAGACTTCATAATGTAGGTCATGTTAACTCCTTAAAAGATTCACATTTCAAGCACAGAGTTAATAGTTAGCATTCTAAATTCCACCATCAAGATGTGTCTAAGTATTATCGGTCTACATACATTCCACATATAAAACACACCTATAATAGCATGCACATATATTGGCAATAATTCAAACATAGCAAAGCTATCGTGAGTACTTCAAACATTTGCAGGCAATTACATTGCTAGAACTCCTCTCATATTATAGGTATCCTATGACAAGCTACTAAAAAATTACACAAATCAAAAAGTGTTACCTTTGTTCAAATAATACTGCTGTTCATTATACAACAGAAAACATCATCCTTAATCTCTCAGGAACCAAGATAGTGGTGGATTCTTGGAGCAGAAGTAGTGCAGAATGGTTTGCGGCAAAATCGAAACATATTGTTTAAGTAAACCTTAAGGGGAGGGGAGCATATGCGCAATTGATGGATTTTTTTTTTTTTTTTTGGTATCATCTTCCACAAAACCTCCCACCAACCCCTCCCCACCACTTACCAGTAAACAATCTGCGATATTAAGGGACTGCAACTCTAAACACCTCCCTTTGCCTTATTTCCTTCTTGCTAAACTTTATTGCTTTTCCTCATTTTTGAAGCAACAAACAAAATTCATTAAATAAAAATTTATTAACAGATGCAGCCATAACATGAAATGTATGTTTGAAAACTTTGTAATAAATAAAATGAATCTAGACTTACTCCAAGAAACTTGCACTATGCTGATGTGAACAACATATACATTAAGTTCCTAAAGTTTTTCCAAACAAATCTTTAACTAAAGAAGCCATAAGCAAAAAAGGAATGCCTACGATTTGAACTAGAGTCTGTAACTCTCGCAAGAAAAACTGAGAAACATATCAAGTAAATCAAAACTGTCAAATTTATAAGCAGAGAACACTTCAATGCCCCAAATTTGCGGAATGCTTTTTATAGTCATAAATGCCTTAAAGACTGTACTCTTCCTTGTGTGACACTTAATTTTCACTATATATATTATTCCTTAAATGTGCTCTAGGTAAAGAAGGAAAAAAAAAATCTATCAGGAAGAATTTGGGTTAAAAGCAAAGTCCACGACAAGTAACCGTAAGATTTAAACCTCAGGAACAATTCACAAAAGAAAAGTCGAAACAGTACTTAGTTCTGAGCCACCGAATGGGGCGGAGGGCCTTCCACTAAACCCAATAATTTCTGGGTGGAGTGTCTTTTCCCAAGGAAGAGAACACTAGCACAAATCTTTTTGCCCCCTAAAAAGATTTTCCTACTTGCCAGCTTCTGAAGTTGCCCTGATGTCAATCAACATCACCAAGATGTCTCTTAACTGGAGAAAGTTCTGTTTGCCTGTGCAAAGTCAGAGAGAAAGAAATGACTATTTATAAAAAAAAAAAAAAAAGGAAACTATAAATACTGTTTGATAAATAGGGTTAAAAAATTATCATCTAAAATTGTAAGAAAAAAAGAGCTGCCTGTAGAAACGCACTGACCCTTAAAATTAATGTTTTCAATCTAAAAATGCATTTTCGTAAAGTTTCATCTATTTTCCTTCCTCTGCACATAAAAATGATTAATGTCACATTTAAACTTCCACATTTTAGGCTCTTGCTAACAGGTGTCGCATTCGTTATATAAACATATTCTTTGACCTGTGGCCATTGATAACCTTAATTAATTAATCTCCATTGAAACAAAAACAAATGGATTTTTTTTCCAAATAAGAAAGAAATAATGCAACGCAAATACCCACTTTCCCCAAAACCCAAAAACTGTTTAAGTTACGGTAACCTGAAATGCACCAGCCATCACAAAGAGCAATTGGAGAAATCCAGCAGTGCTCAGCAGGAAAGATTTTTAATAACAGATTGAAAAACAAGAATAAAAATAACTGCATCAACAGAGCCTTTCTTCCTCAGGCCACAAGCCCGTTCTTACTTGAACTTTTTTTTTTTTTTAAATGGCATTTTGGCCACTAAAACCAATCCAGAACATTATTAAAAGTTAAAAGCTACCAATTACTTCTGTCTGTTCTTTTAAAGCAAAGTTTGGCATTACGTCAGTTGGTTTAAAGAAAACAAGAAAGAGAGAGAGAAAGAGTAGGAGAGAAAGTTTCCTGCTTGTATAAACTAAACCACCAGGGAAGGTGTCTAGCCACTTGTAAAGTATTTACTGCAGGTTTTTAAAAGCTAGAAACATTTTAAAAATTAAAAGTTTTTTGTTATTATTTTTAGTGAAACACACTTAAGAACGACAAGTGTATCCTTAATGTCTTCTTTGGGGTGTCTTAATGTTATATTTGTATTTCAGTTATAGCTTAGAATCAGAAAATGATTTCAAATGATGCTCCAAATTTGAAGTACATAGATAATTTCACCTTCATTTTTGCTATTTGGATTTGTGCTCTTGGAAAAGGAAAAAAAAAAAAAAAAAAAAAACTGGGATAGCAAAAAGTAGACCGCTACGATAATAGCTGCTATATGCTGCAGGGACCAGTAGAGTTTCTTCACCTAACTAATGCTTAACAATTCAAATGGTTTTCACCTGTAGATCCTACTGCACCTTCAGAGATTCCTGAAGCTCAAAGATCTCTTTCTAACCAAAGTCAAGTTCTACATTATTGTGTCCATCAGAAAACCAAACTAAAGGCCAAATTCAGTTCTCAGGAATAGGAGAACAACTGAGCACTGTGATAGCTCAAAAAGTGATCATAATAATAAAATCGAAGATATTATTTATAAAGGTCATATATAATTAATAGAATATTTTATACAAACAAATGACTTTGGCCCTACTTACATCGGAGGATAAATTTTAAAAAGTAGTTACATCCTCTGCAGCACTGTTTGCTATAGAACAATGGTATAAAACAAGATTTGGTATTTTAGCTTATTTACTTTAATCCACTGGTTACAGCTTTTGGGAGACAAATTATTTTTAAAATTACACTAAAACAAACCTCTACATAATTTTTAATGTAAATAATTGCAAAGTATGTTAGTCTTTTCTATACATGACAAGCACTCTTAAACAATTAGATTAAATGTCTACTTGGCAAAGGCTAGAAGACCATCTTTATGCTATATCTAAGGGGGACTCAAAAATTCCATAAATCATAACTATTATGGTAACAAAGAATTTACTTATTTCTGTATAATAACAAAAGATAAATGTCATTTTCACAGATAAGCCATCAAAGTAAACGCAAGTCTACGTATGCTGTCATTAATTTCCCAAAACTTCAACAAATGGTAAATAAGGATGATAAATGAGTAAACAAGACTCAGAATTAGTTATCAATGGTATTAGCAGTTATCATCAGCAAAAGAGGGAGAAAAAGAAACCTATTACCTGAAAGCTTGACCTAGCAAGGATGAACAACAAAATACGAGCCCATAAAACTTGCGGGTTTTTATCAAATTGATTGTAACTTGTGAGCTGCAATATTTGGGACAGAACTGTCTGAGTTTATAGTTTTCTATGCCTGCTAAAAACAGATGCAGACTACCACACTAGCTGTCCTGCGGAAACTAAATTAAGGAAAGGCAAATACCAAGTGGAAAGTTGTCAGCCTGTTGAATGAATGGCTTCATTTTACACACCAGAGAAATCTTAATAAGAATATGTTTTAATGTAAGCCAGTCATTTTAAGTTCATCACTTATTACAAAAATAATCTTTCCTTTAAATCAATTATAGACACCTGCCCATAACTTTCTTAAAGTCTGTGTTGTTGTACACGTAATAGCATAGTGTTGTTACATTATTGTTGCTATCAAAAGAAGAACTGAAGTTAAAATATAATTATTCTAAAATATTCATGTTATGAAAAATGTTTAAAGGTCAGTTATCAGCATTTATTCCAATTTCAAATTTGGAATAAAGTTCTAGTTCAAAAACAATTTGCTGCAAGTCCTCTGGAAACTTTCAGTAATGTTTATTTACAACAAAGAAGGTAAGACAAGCGTTTATAAAAATCTACAGTCTTTGGTTGCTTTCTTAATAAAAATGTACACATCATTAATCACATATTGTGGGTTGTATGTCTGTACACACATACACATATACATCTAATAATAGTAGTGATAATAGAACCGTCACTGAAATACTAGAATCGTAAAAGCTGCTTTTCTACAGATGCATGCATTTCCCTGTTTTAAAGGTCTTCCTTATGAATGAATATTTCCTTATAGGAAGAGATCTATATGATGTAAATCAGAATAAACTCAGGAGTGGTAGGTGACTTAAATAATACTGAAAATATGGTAGTAGTATGTGTAACTTATTTCGGATTAGCACACTGATTCCGATCCTAAACTGGTTTTCAAACACGTATGCAGAAAATTTTATAAAATCATTTAAAATATTAGTCATCGAAATGCTAAGTTCTAAATTCAGCTCAGACTTCACAGCTATTATGACATTTTTCTCCTTACCTTTAACGTTACCTTTAAGAGACAAAGGACAAAACCTAAATAGTAGCACAGACCCTTACAGCATCTAGAATTCAAAGGAGTGACAAACTTTGTGTTAGTAACTTGCTACTTTCCACCACTTATTTGAAAAGTGTTAGACTTAGGTATTATGTATGGAAAAGCAGTCTACACATATATATCCTAACATATAACATACATATCAGGAAGCCATAAACATCAGCTCGCCAGTGGTAAATAATACTTCGCCAACAGAGTACTAATGAAGCTTCAGAAGGCCTCACATTCAGAGAAATCAAGTTATAATGTTGGTATTAAGGCTCTATTTGCCCCTCAGGAGTTTTATTTTCACATTATTAACATCCAGAAATAATCGTCAAACTTTAGCATGTTACTAGCCCTGTATATTGAACTGAATCTAGAGATGTTTTTATCCAAAGGTGTAGCTTTAAAAGGAAGTTATGAAATCCAAGGAGAGAGAAACTCTAAGAATATGTTTGACTTGTTAAGATTAAGCATATCATTAATAAACTTTCACTTAAAGGTAAAAAAAAAAAATCCTCAAAATGTTGGTATCATTTCCAGACTGTCCTGTCAGCATCAGAACTTACAGGAAACGCTTCATCTTCCCATACAAACCCTGTATTTATTCACAACCCTGGCATACTTGGGGAAAGAAAAAAAAAAAAGCCCACACGATTTTAGATCCTGTTTGCTTTTATACGTTAACTGGTGGAATATCTGAGAGAGCCTTCTAAGCAAATGAGCGGCATGTAAAACTTCACAACAGTGAGTTCAGAAACTTTCATTCTCATTTTGTCCACGTCAAGAACTGGCTGCCCGCATGACTTTCCTCTGCTGTCCCTTGCATTTTTAACTCTGGCAGCCTTTTCTAAATGATCAACTTTTTCTAAAACCAGCAGGAAAGTAACATGATGCCAGCAAGATCCATAGGTTTTAGCTTCAGAGCTGGAGGACTTTGAAGAATTGTTGGAAGGTTCCTATTTTATTTTTGCTTTGAACAATCAAGTTTTAGCCAACAACCAGGCCCAGAGTTATCATTTCTTTGTAATTTTGTCTCAGGCCCTATCTGTATTTTTCTTTTGTACTTATTATCTCTCCCAGACCCTTTCCTTTCCTGTTCACCTGGTGTGTTTACAAAAGTTCAATGAATCTACAAAAGTTCAATGAATAGGCCTAACTTGTCTCAGATTTAACTCCTCCGCTGAGCTTCTCACTTCACTTACCTCGCTTAAACTCTAGCCGTGATTTTCCAAAATGGCATAAGAATGAATATTCTATCATAATTTAGATTCATCATTAAGATCAATGGCTTACTCAAAAAACTTTCAAAGCATCAAATATGAGGCCTAAAAAGATAGAGGGAAGTAAAGCCGGTCCTAAAATTTAATAAGTCCAAGATTCCCTCTGAAACCCACCAGTCCTTCTCACCCTCTAACTTAAATTGCTTTAGAGTCCTGGGGCCATAAAACAGTTGCTGACTTCCCTGGGGAAAGGGGGAAACACCACCATCTCAGACAGGTACTAACGAAAAAGCTTTCCCAGCCACAAAAACAGCTTTACACTTCAAACAGCTCCCACCGCCGCCTCACCCTCAAATTATTCCTGGGGTCCTATAATCCTGGAGTTATTTGGAGGGACAGCGATGTTTGCCTTGGCCTTTCAAAGATGCGTTTCTCTAGATCCCAAACAGGAACCAGACAGAAGGCAAAGCGTCTGTCCGCTTGGATGTCCCACCGCTGTCAGGCATTTAATCACCGGCCAGTGTCCCCTGACCCGCGCGACACATGGCGCATCAACCGCATCGCAGAGGAAGTCTGCCCCTTCCTCAGCCCCTACGGAAGCGCCCGGGCTGCAAGGCCCTGCCACATGGTACGGACAGGGCACAGACCGCTCGGCCAAGCTGTCCTGAGCCGCTCTGAGGCGGGTGCACCAAGGGATGCGACACCCGCCTTCTCCAGAGCCCAGCTGGGCCTTTAAGGGAAAAAAGTTTGAAGCCTGCATTTGCAAACTCTTCAAAGCCAAAGGCAGTCCTGTGCTGTTTTCCCACTTTGGAGACCATACGGAGGCCCGTCTCTGAGACCCTCCCGACCCTCCCGAGTTCGCCCAACTTACTACTCTGCATGCTGGTGCCTAGTCTGCGCCCCGCTTGTCACGAGCCCCCAGAAAACTTGCAGTGGCGGCGGCGGCGGCGGCCCCTCGGGTCCAACCACCTCCAGCTCCTCCGCTGCGCCCGGTAGGAGAGAATTAAAATCAGCCAGAAAGAGACAGCGAGGGGGAGTGGGGCTGCGAGGGGGAGGGGGCACCGGCCTGAAACTTCTTTTTTTGGCAAATGGGGATTTGTTTTTCCTCCTCCCCGGCGGCTGAACTTGACCCTGCTGACTCCAGGGGCTACTGCAGTTTGAAGTCGCTGGTTTCCAAAGCTCAGATGCCTCAGACCCACCAAAAGGAGGAGAGGAAGGGGGAAAAAGGGAGCAGAAGAGAAGAAAGAAAGAAAGAAATCACACGCTCAAAAAGGAAGAAAGAAAATGCATGTGAAACCCGAGAAGCCTGCGCTTGGCTTTCTGCACACTCTCCCTCTGCTTTTTTTTTTTTTTTTTTTTTTTTCAAAGAAAGTCACTTTTAATTCCCAGGGCTCCCCGCTCGCGATCGCCCACATTTTGCGCGCACACGAGCGGGCGCTGCACTCGCGTCGCGGCGCCCCGGGCCCGGCCGAGGGGCGCCCGCGCCCCCCGCGCCCCCCGCAGCCCCCGGCCCCGCGGCCCGCTCGGGCCTCCCCTCCTTACCTGTTGATTAATCGTCAAGAACACCCTCGGCAGCCCGAAAGATGGTGGCGCGGCGGCCAAAGCCATGAACCGTCTTCTGTTGTTTGCAGAGTTGATCTTGGATTATTGCGGGGGGGAGAGAAAAAGGTCTTTCCTGCCTCCCCCCCCTTTCCCTCCCCCACCCTTATTAAAAAAGAGAGAGAGAGAGAGAGAGAGAGAAAGAGAAAGGAAATAGAGCAAGGATGTGCCCGGTGCCGGGTGGGAGAGGGGAGGGGGTGTTGTTTTTTGTTTAAAAAAAAAAAAAAGAAATAGGAAGGCGAGAGAGCAATCGAGAGGACGCGAGGTCTGGAGAAACCAGCAGCACCAAAAAAGAGGACGCTAGAGATTGCAGTAAGATCGGGTCTTTATCAGAAATGTTATCGCTTGTCAGGACCTCAGTCTCCGCGCATTACGTCAGTTTCAAGACACCAACACTATTAATATCAAAGGAGCCTTCGCGGAGGAAAGCGCCACCCCAGACCGAGCTCCCTTAAAGAGACAGCGCGCGTCCCCGCGCCGCCGCCGCCGCCCCGCCCGGCTCCGAGCACCCGCCGCCGCCGCCCGCCGGGACCGGCCCCGGCCGCGGCGAGCCGGCTGCGCGAGAACTTCGCCCGAGTCGGAGCGCCGCAAATGAGAGCGGCGCGGTGCAGGGACCCGGCTACCTTCCCGCCCCGCCTCTCCCCCCTCCTCCCTCCCCCACCTCCCGTCTGTGAACGTGCGGGCTGGAAAAGGAGGAAAAATCCGAACGCGTTAGGAATAATGTGATAAAGACGAGGACTTACCTTGGGGTAGTGGGGGGCAGGTGGGGGGCAGTGCGTGGCCGCCAAACCGACGTTCCCCAGACACTCAGAGATGCTAACAGAAACAATTTAAAGAACTCTCAAAGTCCTTTTACCTTTTCTGTTGTTACTTTCCCTTCTCTCTCCCAATTAAACGACGCAGGATGTGTGTGTGCGTGTGCGCCCCCTCCCCCGCCCTTTATCTGTGGCAAGAAGTCTTAGGACACCTAGTTGGTGATCAGGATTCCCCACGATTTTCACGGCAAGAAGGCTTGAGGAGAACAACTTGAACTCTATCCTGAGTTGGAGAAGTGCGGACTGAGGTTGCTATGGTTTTCTGAGCTAAAGAGAAGCCAGAAACTCAATGGGTGCTTTAAGGGGGTACCACAAAACAGACAAAATGGGAACATTATTCAAATGCTGCAAGATTAATACATGCAGTTTGGGTTTTAGTAGCAGATAAGGAACTCTGAATTAAGCGTGACATTCTTTTTTACCTACTTTACATCTCCATATACTCTCATTATTAAGAGAAATTGCCTCAACATAAAGTTCACTGGATTGAGCTTTTTTTTTTTTTTTTGACTTCTAAAGATCAACAATGCATAAAACATTACCATGACAGGATTCAAAGTATAGTAGGTGTTAAAAACAAAGTAAACATTTCTTGGGCGTTTGGACTTCATTTTCTTCAGTTGGGTGACTTTAAGTGGCATGTTTTTCCTCTGGTGAAAGTCAGTTTAAAGTAATTTTGTGCTAAAAGGAGAAGCATCTTTCCTTTTCCAAACTACAAAATGATTAAAATTAGAATCTTAGGTACAATCATGAATCTGAGAGCCGAAGATGAAGTAATTTCCTCCAAAATATTTTTCACTAAATGATTCTTGCATCTTTTTAGAGAAAAGATGGGTATATTTTCCAAACATACTATTATCAGAAGTGAAAAAGCCAATCATTTTAAAAAATTAAAACTGAAGTAGGTGCTTTTAGAACCTTATTCCTTTTTCTCTATGGTCTTTATTTAATATACCTAGTCAAGCAGATATGTGATTTTTTTTTTGTAGCACATTTATTCCAGAAGTATTTTGGTACCGTTTCCCATACACTCTTTATGAGTAGAAAACCAATAATTCTTTTGCAATAGAGAAACTAGTCAGGTGAAAAAGTAGTCAAAATACAGTTTCACAATGAGGCAAACAATATATTTCCTAAAGGAGAGAGAAGACAATGAGCCTCATATGCCTGGAGTTATTCATATGTTATCATCCATTTAAATTAATTTGAGAACAGAGTTAGATTTATATATAGTACTGCATGCCGGGAAAATTAATATCAAAATCTTCAGTAAATCTCATAGTCAGCTACTAATGACCACCTGCATATTTCCACACTGGAGTCATTTAATACTGTCCACCACCAATTTCCACTGTAAAATGTATTCACATATTAAATATAGACCTTTTATTTTCTTTTTTTAAGCCATAAATTAACTTGCTGACTTTTATGGAAATATGCACGGCACAGTGAGAAGCATTTTTATTAAAGGAAAAAAATAAGGATCTGAGTGAAACATTCTTGAGCCATGACTAACTAAAAATATTAAATCAATTTTGAAATATGTATTCGAACAGTAAGACTGTTTTGTATTGAAAGGGTTAATATCACCTAAAACTGCTGAAGCTGGTATCTAACTGATAAAATCTGAGGCTATAGCATCTTAGCAAAGTTAAATAGTACAATTTATCACAAGGATTAGGCCCCTAATCTCCTTCTGCTCCCCAAGATTTAGATGACATTTTAAAAGGGGAAGTGATCTTCCTCTCCATCACCCACAAATCTAAGGCAATCATCAAGACTGTAAATTTATTCACATGAAACAATCATTGATTAAATTGGTTCAAAAAAAAAATGAAATTACATGCTTTTGCAAGCACAAAGCCCTTGAGATGGCTGGTGTTTTTCCACCTGTAATAATACAAAATTTGACTATTAAGTGTACCCAAAATTACATATTATATGAAAAGTTAAAGCCAAAGGTCTGAGGGTGAATTATGTCTTTTAATTGAAAGGATAAAGTTACACTTCAGGTACTGAAGCCAACAAATTCATGGTCACTTAAAAATTTAATGAATGAAGTTTCACGGACTCAATCTTGCTGAAGTTTGCCTGAGAAATGAAGAATCTCTTCATGTTACTTTTTGTATTTCAAGTTAGAGTAGAGCAGATCAAACTGCTGTCTGTATCAATTCATTTACATTAACCACAAAGGATCTGTAGAGAACTTAATAAAAGCTCAAATATTTTTGTAAACTTTTGCAAGCAAATTACTTATTTATTTATGAAATAATTTATGAAGAAAATTTTTACCTCATGCTTTAGATACATTACATGTGCTCTTGATTGACACAATATGTTTAAGCTCAAAGGCCCTCATAGCATTTTTTAATTCTAGTAGGAATATTTCAAAACAACCAACTAATACATGAGGTCATAATTGTTTGACAGTTGTTTTTAATGTATAAAATAAGTTACGTATATTGTTTTCCTTGAAATGTTTGTTGATTTGTTTTTCTAGTCCTGACATTTGCATGGCACAAACTGAATTAAGGGAAATATTAAAGATTTATTTACATTTAATACCTTCTGCTGTCAAACATATGCAAAACTCTTAAAACCATTCCCTTATTTGCAACGCATTTCTGAACAATGGAGACTGGATATTAAAAAGACAACCTGTGCTTTTATAGGACACACCAGAAAATAAAGAAGATATTAAGAGAAAGAAAAAAGCAAACAAAAGAAGCACATTTTAATTAAAATAATTTCTTTATAATCTTTCATAATTCTTTGAATTATGGAATCTTCTCTTGTGGCTTTAGCACTGATGAAACAGTTCCTCAAGCTGTATTATTAATGCATATTATTTATCAAAATGACATACTATAATATACTTTTTCTGTTTTATTATTTAAACATTCTTTTCCCCCCTTTTCTTGTAGTTTATTCAGCAGAGATACAAAGAGGGATTAGTAGTTAAGCACAAGCATACTTGTTTTACATTTTCAACCTTTTAGCACACTACTTACTTACAGTTCCAGTGCCTGTAATCACAATGATTTTACCTGATGGAACACGTATTTCAGAAATGTAATCCAACTGTTTACCCTAACACGTCATAAATTGCAATTCCTTTTAGAAACCTCAAAGATTGACAACCCTTGGTCCTAAATGCCGACTGCTTTAACACATACTATCAAGAAAACATTTATGTATTATTTGCTTTCAAGTTAGTCCTACCCCATGTGAAATGGAAGACCCTTTACCTTCCAGCATATCAAAAGCAATTATTGAAATACTCTGCCTTCCTTCACGGTAAGACCTGAAGGAACAGAGGCATTATCAGAGATGAACTACCTTAAGTTTATTTCTTCCCACAATCACTCGGCAATCAACGTTTAAAAACATACTCTTCCACACAAATTATGGTAGTTTTCCAAACTACCTATTGCTGAACACCTCTGGGTGAATTTATTAAAGAAAAATTCAGCTTTAAATAGCCTGTATCTGGTATTCAAACTCACACTTACACTTGCCAATCTTCCCCCTGCAATATCAGGCAATTGCCTAGTTAAACAGATGGGCCTTGCAGCCCACCCTAAAAGCCAGCAAACATGGGCTTTATTTAATTAAAAAGGGAAACAAATTTCTGAGGTGTAGACACACACACAGAGAGACATACACACACAATCTCTGACCGGGGTCAATCCCAGAATAAAAATATTGATTCTTGCTTTCTCATTAGGTTTTATGAATGTCCAACCATATACTATCCACTGGATTGAAAGAACTAAATGAGATCATTCAGTGCTGTATACTCAGACCAAATCTCTATGGGAAATAGCTGAACTCATTTCCTTTCTTTCAAGTAAGAGAGAACATTTACATCTGAATTAACCCAGATTCAACTCTTCTCCATCTGACATTGAAGAGTAGGTGTTTTCCAATTTTCTTCCTATTTCTACCCCCTGCTCCGTTATCCTCTGCTGCTTTGCACTCTTATCCCACCCACTACTCCATACTTACGCAATAAACTCTCAGTTGTACATAACCAAACTCAACATCTGATTTTGCCTAAATTTCAGACTAAAATAATCCACTAGAAACTCAAATTTAATATGACCAATATCATCATTAAGAAAGAGGAGACTATAAAGACAGACAACATGGAAGGAGGAAGGAAATAGACAAACCTTATCTCTGTTCAAGGCCTGAGTCATCCAGACCAGAAACCTCAGGATTTTGGCAATACCTTCTCCCATAAGCCCCACATCCAATCATTTACTAGTCCTCTATTGCTTCTTTTTAAAAGGTGTTTGTACCTGTTACCACCTTTCTTTTCATCCACATGGATCCTTCTCAAACCCAAAAGTTAAAATCTTTCTCAAGACATCCAGTTGAATGTGTCATCCCTACTCTAACCCCTCATGACCTTATGACAAAAATCCTATAACTCTCAACTGCCAGAAGAATAACCCCCAAAAGCTTCAAGTTCTTTCATAACCTAGTCCAAAATGGCTTTCTGGCCTCATTCTTCACTCAACTCTTCCACACAGACCATTCTCAATCATTGATTGACTCCCCATTCCCCAGATACAGCTAACATTTCAGAACGTCTTGGCTTATGCTTACAGAGCCACCTCACTTCGAAGGCTTTAAAGAGACTTTTATGCTAAATCTCCATGTGCATATCCTCTCTTCTTCTAAGGTCAAACTGAGATTCTGCCTTTTTCATAACCTTCATCAAATTCCAAATCATAATCAGCAGTGCAAGAACTAAGATTCTATAGAATTTGCTTCCATTTCTAAGTAGCAGTTCATCACAGTGACTTCTATGATATTGTTCCTTGAATTATCTCCCTCCCCTGCTAAACTGAAAGATTCCTGAGGGCAGAAAATCATGAAATCATAGTTACTCAATAACATCTGTTGAATTGATTTTGGAGATTGGATCAACCTCTTTAAATTCTACCTAGAAACAAACCTTTGAGGCCAGGTTTCAAATGTTCTATGTGGCTCACTCATCCTTTCATTTCCTTCCCTTCCCTTTCTTTCTTCCTTCCTTCCTTCCTTCCTCCCTCCCTCCCTTCCTTCTTTCCTTCCTTCCTTCCTTTCTCTTTCTTTTTCTTTCTCTTTCTTCTTTTCTCTCTCTGTCTCTCTTTGTGTGTGTGTCTCTCTCTCTCTTCTCTCTGTCCCTCCCTTCCTCTCCCTCCTTCTCCCTCTTTCTTTCTTTCATACACATGGGCTGATGCATCATGTACTAATTGAAACTTCTGGGTGGCCTTCATCTCAGCTACATATTTTTGGCAATGTATCAGAGGAGACATTTGTCCTCTTCTGAAATATTGTCCTCATTATCATTAAGTTTTGGTTTATAATTCCATGTTGCTCTAAAAATAGTGACTTAAAAGATCCTTAAATCCAAGGCATTAAAATATAGGAGTATTGAAAATGAGGCTGAAAGCAGATAAATTTTAGATGGGAAGGGATTATTTGTAGTTTTAGAAGCCAGGAGTATGAATTAAGAAAGTTATAACAGTGAGGTAGGAATAAGCAAACTCTTTAGACATTAACAGTATTTTTTTCTCTCTCTCTTGTTTACCATTAAAATATTGAATCGTCTTAGCATAATTCCATCTGTTCAAGTTTTGCAGATGTTAAACTCTCAAAAGCTTATGTGACATTTAATTAATTTTATACACCCAAATGTCCAGGTTCCAGCAGAGATTCCATTATAATGTTCTATGAATCTAACGGAAGTATGTGTGTGTGAGCACATGTTTGTGTGTGTATACATGGGCATGTGTCTGGGACTGCATGAGCATCTGGCAAATGAAAACCCCTGTTTTGCTGGCATTCCATCTTGGTGGTCACACAGTTAACTTACCCTCAGTACATCCAGACAAGTTGAATTGACTGCTCCATCAAGAGCCACATAGGCATTGCTAAATGATCACATGATAAGTATTAGTTATTATTTTCACTCTAAACTTCATTCATCAGTAACTCTACATTAATTAGAAGACAGTAAACTGTCAGTTTCTGGAAGGAAGGCACTTTCCACATTCTCACTCTGCTCTGTGCCATGAGAGAAGGAGCACTTTATCGCCTGATCTCCCTTGCCATCTAGGTTCCAGGGGGTTTTGGCCAAGAGCACCATTAGATCAGAGAACAGGAAGAGAGATAATCAGTGTACTTATCCCCCTGTCTCCTTTCTTTCATATTGGGCAGCCCTTCTTCCATGGCTATACTCATAGGGTTCTAGTAATAAGTCCCTCCCCTTATGGTTTTAGTCCTGAGGGTTGAAGCTACTTCTGGCTGTTACTAGGCCCTGGGTGTTTCACCATCTCTTTTTGGCTTCCTTAATCCTACTCATACCTTTCTGTAAATGACCCTTCATTAAATTCTCTTTAATTACTCCTTTGAGTGTGCCTTGTATTATCTGCTTGGACTCTTATTGACATAGAGGACTTGTGATAAAATCACTTTTGCACCCTACAGTCTAGCATCATTTTTATAATTTAATTCAGTAAAGACAAACAATTATATGTTGAGTAATTCCTGTGTGCCAGACACTGTTAGATATTGGGTACCCCAGTGGTAAATGAGCTGACATGGCTCCTACGTTGTGGATGTTACGATCTAATTAAGAGTTTCATAAAGAATCTTGGGTATTTAAAAATACAATGGATAGGCCTCACCTACTGAATGTGCATCCTTAGAGCTTTGACCAGAGAATTCAATTTTAATAAGCAGACCATGTGATTATTGTACTTTTTAACGTATGAGAGAGAGAGTGATTTTTGACTATGATAAGTATTGAATAATCCGTTACAAATATGAAGATACAAAGTAAGGACTTAATAAATGTTAGTTGAATTAACATATGAAGGCATGAATTAATGTTGAGAAGAGGGTGGTTGAGGTATGGAGGGTGAGTTCATTAATAGTGGATTACAATGCGTAGGGCACTGCCTTTTCAGGGGGTGGGCAAAAGTTGAGGGTAGTGGATGCTCTACATACTTCGCTAATTGTTTTTAATAATTGGGCTCCATTGTACTCACCCATATCCCTGCTCTGTCCTCTGTAGCAAGTATTCACAAATCTACTGTAGCAGTCCCAGCTGCTGGGTTTCCCCAGCAGAGCAGAGCCCTGGGCAATTGTTCCAATTTGCTGTAGTCTAGACTCTGGAGACAGCTCTGTCTGGAAAGAGAAGCACGGACACTCATAGTCCGAAGCTAATTAAGTTAGCAAGATAAACAAGGTAAGAGTCCTGGGAATAAGGGGAATTTCTTGAGCCTCAAAAAATTCACAAATTAGAGATTGAGAACACTGGTAATATCTGAGACTTCTAACTATATTTTTCACCCCTCCCAAAGACACCTGAGCTTTTCTGATAAGGGGCATGCCAATGGCATGCCAGATGGTCACTACATGATCATTTAAATACCTTTTCATTAAATGGGAATATTTATTACTTTTAAAAATTATTCACAATCATATACTTAGTTTTTAAATAATACTATTTAATTTGTTCTCAATATTCTTGAACTCTTTTATTGAAAGCAGTCCTGAGCAAGATCCTTGAATTACTCATATTCCAATTACTTAACTAGTCCAGCAGTATAACATGACACTATACATACATATTCATAAAAATATTTACATGTATATTGAGCCCCTTTAAACAAGGAAACATAATTGAAACGTATCTCCTATTATCTCTCCCCATCACGAGGACACATGAAGACTGCAACTACTGCTTCAATAATGTCGTGAGTTTCCAATTGCTCTGCATTAGAATCTAACAGGGTCCCAGCACAAATTTAAGGTACTTCAAACCAAATCTTATTTTATTTTATTTAAAAAGACAGTGGCATTTCATATCTTGATGTTATATTAAGTGATTAAAGGTAATTTTATCTTTTGACCACAAGAGTCACAAATGAATATGAAGTAGCCATCTAGACACAATCCATTCTGTAGAATGCATCTGAACAATTTGTATAGATTGCATATGGAATGTATTGTAAAGATGGTGGAACAGATTGGCTACAGGTAAGAACCTTGTGGTCTTCCCATGCTGCATACTATGTAGTATGCGCTGCTTCTTTATAATGTCATTAGACAAAACTTAAAATGTTGCTCAGTGGTTCATCACATATCCAGTATAATACTCTATTGATACAGTTTAGCTGAGGATCATTCTGCTTTATTAAGATTTTTTAATAACTCAACTATAAGCTACTCTAACAAGGTACCTATTTCTTAACCACATTTTTGGCAGTGGTTTTCTTTTCTCATTCAGAATACCATAAAAGAAAAGTTATGTAATTTCTACTGAGGTCATGTTGAAATTTAGCTTTTTCATGCTGGGCTTCAGGACTCCTTCTTCAAAGTCTCTGTATGAAAGATGATTCTAGAGGATAAGAATCATCCAAATGTCTGTGAAAGCATAGAATTGTGGAACGTTGACTTTACAATGTTACAGTGATTTTACAAATAAAGGAACTGAGTCTTCGACAGTAAATGACTGGAATGATCAAGAACACTCCTAAGTAATAATAATGGTTTACACTTATGTGGTGCTTACAATATGCCAGGTTCCAAATTTTTCACATATATTAATTTAGTCAATCTTAATAAACACTCTATGAGATATCACTACTATCCTCATTTTACAGATAAGGACACTGAGTCATAAGCAATAACATAGCCAAGGGCTACCAGTCAGGTGTAGAACTAGTTGGGTCAACGGTCCAAGCCCAACTGTACTTTCATTATGGTGGGAGAATTGGGACTTGAACCAATGGTTTTTGGCTTAACACTTAATCATGCAATTATGAGTGTGTGTGTGTGTGTGTGTGTGAATACTTTCTACTTTTTAGCCACCAACATTCATTCTTTCATTCTCTCTTCCTTGGCAATAGCACACTGGTTTCCTCTGGAAGTTTATCAGAGAATGACACTGAGGATCTTTACACAGTTGGAGGCAAGGAAGATTTGGAGGACAACTGGAGAGAAAGTCTGGATTTTTTATTGCATTGCACTTGGACTGACAAGATGTAAAGCTGGAGCTCTTTGGTTTGTCTTGGTGCAGAAAATTTGAGCTAATTCAGAGAAAGCAGAGCGTACACATTGAGAAACAGATTCTGGGTTCTGCAGCATGTTTTGGACCCCTTAATAATGCCACACCTCAAGTCAGCCATAACCCCCAGAGTTCTCCAGTTATGCTCTTTTTTTGTGGCTTATGCCTTTGTGAATTGGTATCAAAGAGAATTCGGATGAATATATCAGACTTTAATTTAGTATTATTAGATATATACTGATATGCAGAACTATAATATTATGAAACTTTTAAAAATGTATAAATGCTTTTCAATAATATTCAAAACAATAGATTTTTATACTTTTTACCCAAAATGACATTGTACAGATTGATGACCAATCTTACTTGCCAGACTTGGCTCTGGTAATTTTTGACAATAATTCAGCATCAAACTTACCCTCAAATGGCAAAGACATGAAGATATTAGAAATTATTTTGAAATACAGTGAACATACCCAAAAGACAAATTTCAATAACTGCTGTGAACAATAGCAGCATCTTTGGTATTCTCTCAAGCTCTAGGAAATGTGTTTGTTTTAAACAGCAGTTTTATTTAATAATCTTAAATTGCATATGTCCTTGACTTCACAGATTATTATTATCATATTAATAAACGGCTGGTGTTTTGTAAATACCCTTTAAAATGAACTGAAAAAAATAATAGGCTAACGGGTCAAAACATTTATCACAATGTATCGATAAATCCTTGGTATTTGAAAGGCTCCATATGAAGACGATCAAGGAATTCAGATCTATGTAGAAATGAAGATTTCATAGGAAGTGATTAGTGTTCATTAAATGACGAAGCACAGATTAAAACCTGTTCCATCAAAAGTTTAGACATTTTGTGTTAGCCTAAGTAGGCAAATGATGATTACACACATCATACATGTTGTGAGTTTTGAAGTCTAAAGGATTATTGACCTGAGAAAGCCCAAGCAGACATAATCTCAAGCGATGTTTCTGATGTTTCTGTTATCAGTTTTAACAGTGATTAAATACCGACCTACAACATACTTCATTATGACTCACTACACTCTCTGCAATGTGGCTCTGGTGGTGTCTATTTTATGTTTACCTAAAAACACAGCACATATTAAAACAAGGTTATTGTGTAACAATGAATGAGACACTAAAACAAAGGGTATCTAGACCCTGTATGTGATGCCAAATTTATAAATTCAGTTAAACTAGTAAGATATTTGCATTATTTTCACTTTCTAATATGTAATTTCCAATTTATGTATGGAATTTTGCTTATACAAATAAAACTGTGTGGAGAGGCAAAAAGGAACATTAGCTTACTGTAGTCCAAATAAAATCACAGATGTGGCTGGGCGCCATGGCTCACACCTGTAATCCCAGCACTTTGGGAGGCTGAGGCGGGCAGATCCGCTGAGGTCAGGAGTGTGAGACCAACCTGGCCAACATGATGAAAACCTGAAAACTCGTCTCTCCTAAAAATACAAAAAAATTAGGCGGGCATGATGGTGGTCGCCTACAATCCCAGCTATTCAGGAGGCTGAGGCAGGAGAATTGCCTGAGCCCGGGAGACAGAGGTTGCAGTGAGCAGAGATTGCGTCATTGCACTCCAGCCTGGGCGACAAAAGCGAGACTCTTTCTCGAAAAAATAAATCAATAAAATAAAATAAAATCATAGAATGTTAGCGATGAAATGTTCCTTAAATATTTTTTCATAGAACTGTCCACTCTTAAATGCAACAACTTAAAAATCAGCAACTGAAATAACAGTAGCAAAAGTAATTCTGATGACAGGATATTGACCCTGTGTCAAGCACTGTGCTAATGCTTTATGCTTATTGGCTCCTTTATTCTCAGAACAACTATTTGAGAGAGCTACTATTATTATTCCCATTTTGAGGTGAGGAAATTGAGTCACAGAGAGATAAGTTACTTACATAAGATTACATGACTGGTGAGTGGCAGGACTAGGATTTAAATTCAAGCAGTATAGCCCCAGAGTTTCCCTAAGAAAATATAAGATATTTTATATTATTTTTATATTTAGTGATAGTAATGTATATTACTAATGTACATTAGTGATAGTAATGTGCTAATGATATAGTAAAGTATATCACTAAGTTAAAAATAATATTTTCAATGACTAAAAATTAGCCAACTATATACAGTGTTTATATCAAGTGTTTTTTTAATCTTTAGAATAAATTTTTCTTTTTTTTTGGAGACGGAGTCTGGCTCTGTCCCCCAGGCTCTGGAGTGCAGAGGCGCGATCTCGGCTCACTGCAAGCTCCACCTCCCAGGTTCACGCCATTCTCCTGCCTCAGCCTCCCAAGTAGCTGGGACTACAGGAGCCCCGCCACCATGCCCAGCTAATTTTTTTTATTTTTAGTAGAGACAGGGTTTCACCATGTTAGCCAGGATGGTCTCGATCTCCTGACCTTGTGATCCACCCACCTCGGCCTCCCAAAGTGTTGGGATTACAGGCGTGAGCCACTGTGCCTGGCCTAGAATAAATTTTTCTAAAATAAAGATATACAATTATTGCAAGTACTCTTGAGCATTATTTCATTATTTCATTATCTTTGATCAATTTTCCTTAATTTTTATAATTTGACCAAACTACCAGAAGTCATGTAACTAACACGCTCCAAAGCACATGGCTGTAATGCATATTTGTACCAGTTCTATATTTTTGCACCTGGTTTATTTTGGCATCCCTCAAAAGATCTTATGGGCTAATAACTGTGAAATACATTTTGTGATCCTCTTAAAACTTGAGCCACATCATGTCAAACACCTCTACTCAAAGCCCTTCAATTGCCTTTCACATCATTCTCCATAAAATCCAAATCCTTCACTGTAACTCAGAAAAAATCCCACTCCCAACTCCACTTTGCCTCTAAACGAATTTCTCATTACCCTATTCTTTTTTCACTGCACTCCAGCCACTGGTCTCCTCAATATTCTTTAAATATGGAAACGTATTTTCTCCTTTCGGCCTTTGCACCTGCTGTTCCCTCTGCTTGGAATGCCCTTCCCATGAGTATCCCCATGGCTCTCTCCTTCACTTCACGTATGTACTTAAAAGTCAACTTCATCACGGCTGCCCTGGCTACTCAACTGAAAATGCTGCACTTTATATCCTTCCCTGCCTTGTTCCTTCTCCTTGGTGCATATCACTCTATGATATATTCTGAGTTTTATGTATTTATCTGATTTGTCTGTCTCTCTAACTAAATTATAAGATTCATAAGTACAGGGTTTTTGTCTATTTGGTTTGCTGCTATATTCTCTGCATTCATAATAGTACCTGGCATATAATAGGTGCTCAATACATATTTGCTAATTAATCAGTTAATTAATTGTAGTTCCTGGTATTGAATTATTTTAAGCAAGAGGGATTTACATTGCAAATGAGATCAATTACAATGTCATTAACATGAATGTACCTTTCAGTCCACCACTTTGAATATTTGAGTTTAGCACTTAAGTATTTTCTTGGCAGCTGTGATACTAGGAATTCTATTTATAAAGCATCTGAATCCAATTTATTTCACTATCCACTGGATTTTCTTCAGCTTTCCAGAACAAGTTTGTGATCATCTTGTTGCCAGTTGAATCTAATATATTGACTGATTTGCTGAGTTTTTCATTCAACAAAATTTATTGAACATCTACAATGTATAAGGCATAGGATAACAGCAAGAAATTCAGGACCAACAGGAATTTTTCTCTCATACAGTTTAAAATCTTCCAGGGAAAGATTGGAACCAAGAATTGAAGCATGAGTAGGTATAGGGTTGTTACAGTATTGTACTTAGGTTGAGATTATGGTGATGCCCGACGAGGTAGAGAAAAGTGAGAAGACTTGAGAGATACTTTGCTTGCAGAATTGGTAGACATTTGTGAACGACTGGATGTAAGAGATAAGAGAAAATGGGGACTCAAGGTGCCTTCCAGTATACCAATTTGAGGAAACAGAGAAACAATGGTGATACCATTTAGTGGAATGAAAAAGATGAGGAAAGAAACAGGTTTTAGTCAGACAAATGTGACATTCAAGAAAAGATGCTGTGTCACAAATCCAAGTCTTGAATTCAGATCTGGGAAGGAAAGATACACACACACACACGTCATCAGCATACAAATGGCATTTCAAGCCATGGAAATATATTACATCAATTACTTCACAGTTATAGGAAAGATGAGCACCTGGGGTTGAGACTTCAGAGGTCACATACAGACAAAGATTTCTTCTCAACTAGCACAGGAGATTGAGAAGAATCAACCAGTGTTAAAGAAAGAAACACAGAAAAGGATGTAGTCAAATAATCCAAAGAAAGAAAAGTATTTTGAGATAAAGAGAAAGCTAAGTGGTTGAGTTACATGAGTTAGGTTACATTGCATTAGGTTGTCAGAGGGTTACAATATGTTCCAGTGGAATGATGAGGGCAGACATTATAATGAAGAGAGTTGGGGAATGAATCAGAGATGAGAAAGTGGAGGCAATATGCATAGATAGTAGGATGTTTGGCAATTCAGAAGTCAGAGGCTTAGAGTTCCTTGCAAGTGTGGGTGAAGACATGACATTTTTTTATAGATGACAGATGCGTAAGCCTGTCTACAGAGGGGAAAGAGCCTGTGGGAAAAGAGAGGCTGATGAAACACTGGAGAAACAGCATAATGTGAGACGCCAAGTCCTTAAGTAGGTGACAGATGGTACATCCTCCTTGGATAGAGAAGGGTTCATTTCCTCCACGATGTCAGAGAGAAGGTAAAGATGAGAGTATGAATGTCTGAATGTCCATTTGGTGGGGTGGGAAGCAGAGGAGCTTGAGTGTATCAGGCAAAGTCCTTGGCTGCAAGCAGACTAGATGATTAAGAAGAAAATAAATTTATTACAAGTATACCCTGCAGCTGAAACAATCAGTGGGAACCAACACAAAGCTTACCTTCCAGAAACAATACCCCAAACTATCTTCAGACTTAGACTGATAAAGAAACCACCATTGCTACCACTGAACTCAAGATGTGACGTTTGTACACTTTTACCTCCAGAAACTTGGCCATGCAGCTGCCACCACTGTTGCTGCCATCAAGAAAGAAAGAATGTTCTTCTTCACTTCTCTCTTGTAGTAATAACTCCTTATTAAGGTCTGGTGCTGGAATATCTGATGGTGGAGGCTATATTTACCCCAAGGAATGCTGGAAGAGTAAATATCTCACATGATTAGCTTCTATAAAAGGAAATTTTTTTTCTTTATTCTCTATAAAGATTCATAAAGTGGGCCAGGTGTGGTGGCTCATGCCTGTAATCCTAGCACTTTGGGAGGCCAAGGCAGGTGGATCACATGAGGTCTGGAGTTCGAGACCAGCCTAGTCAACATGGCAAAACCCTGTCTCTACTACAAATACAAAAAAATTAGCCAGGCATGATGGCAGGCACCTGTAATCCCAACTACTCGGGAGGCTGAGGTAGGAGAAGCACTAGAACCCTGGGAGGGGAGGTTACGGTTAGTCGAGATCATGCCACTGTACTCCAGCCTAGGTGACAAAGTGAGACTCTGTCTCAAAAAAAAAAAAAAAAAAAACCAGAAAGTGAAAATTGGGATTAAATGTTCATCAGGTGAGAAAAAAAAAATGTATACTACAATGAACTTCCAGGAAGGACAAAATGTACTACCTTAAAAAATATTAATAACAATTTTTTTAAAGAACTAGAGCAATGTTATCCTAATAACATTGATATAAGACATGATAGTTATCTAGCTTCAGGAACCAGTTGTAAGAATGTGACAATGAGTATTTACTCACATTTGCAGACATTGTAATTTTGGACACTGAAGACATTTCTATTTTAAAAATAGATATTTAATTTAATATATATTTCTATTAAAAAGATATTTCTATTTTAAAAAGTCATTCCAAATTTTAAAGATGATACAAAAAGAATGCTCACAACTGCCACAGCTATTGACCAGGTGTTCTCCGTTCACTTTTAGCTCACCAAAAGCCACAATATTCTTTATTCGTTTTATTGTTTTTAAAACAATAAAGCCTATTAATTTTGAAAATTTCAACCCTATAGAGAAGTTTCCCCAAAATAATGTAAAAACCACCTTGAATCATACCAATGCATTTATAACCATTGAGATATATGTATACAATTTTACATAAATGACTTATTAGGCATCTAGCCTCTAATTTCCTTTTAATAATTAATAAGATGTTGTGGGCATCTTTTCATTCCATTTACACCATTATTTTTAATGGCTGCTTAGAGTATCCACCCCTTACATTTTAGATCACTCTCCATTTTTCTCCACTGTAAACCACAGTATCATGAATATTCTTGAATGCAGAGCTTTTCGCAACTTAGGTATCATCTTCTTAGGGCAAATTCTGAGAAGGGGGATTACGGGGATACAGAGTATACACATTTTCCATTCTGATAACTATTGCCAAAATCATCTCCAGAACAAAAGTACTCATTATCTCTTTACCAGCATGGCACGAAAGTGCCCATGGGAACTAGACAACTTTGAAGAGACTTGGAGGCAATGGGCAGGGCTGTATCATTTCCTACCATCTGCGGAAGCTACCCTAGATCTTCCAGGGTTGCTAGGGATCTATAATCAAGTTGACATTTACTATTCCTCTCTATGTGCCACAGTCAGTGGGGTAATGCAGCAGTGCAGGGAAAGCAGTCAACCAGTAGCTCTAGACTTCCTTGTGTTTCTGGGGTTCTAAACCAAAGTTCCAGAGTTTCTCTTGAGTCTACTTGGTCATCTACATATATTCCATGTGACAAAGTCTCATAAAATTTAGTTATGTGAAAGAGCATCGAGTCTAATCTCTTCATTTCACAGCTAGGAAAATGGAAATCCAGAGATATTTAGTAACTTTATCAAGGGCACAAAACTAGTTGGTGAAAAAAAATAGTAATAAAACCAAGTTATAGCTCCTATACTATTTTTCTCATCCATTTCTATGTTAGATTATGTCATATCAATTCAAGCGATTCTTAGATATGTTAGGCATTTCGAGAAGTAAGTTATCTCTTTCAGGATTTGATTTTTAAGTCATATATCATGTAGCATACCTCTTCCCCCAACATTTGACAATTATCTTTAAATGGTTGGCAAATTAAAACTAGAATATAAATTAACACAAGTAGCATTCTTGAAAATTCCCCCTAAAAGAAATTCTTACAAATGAAATAAATTTAAACATATCATGGAAACATGTGACTAAGCTTTTGATAACTATTTCTAGACAAAATAACATTATATGATGGGTAAATTTGGCCATTTGTACTCTGGAGGTTCTTACTTGAGACAAATACTGAATGTAGGGCACACTCAATGATTAATTCTGAGGAAGGAGGATTCGTGTCACTGTTCTGCTTGGTGGATTTTTTTTTGACCAATTCCTCATTGATACAGTCTTCCCCAATGACATATTTTGGTGCCTAACTTAGCTTAAGTGCCATCCAAAGTGTCACACCCTAGTAAAAACCCTTACAGACTTGAAAGGCTACATTTTAAAGAGCTATGTGCTCTGATAATGAAAGACTTCATTTCACATAGTATGTTAGATCACTTCTGGACAAAAATCAAATGAATACTTTCCTTTCTGGTAGAAACCTTCATTTAGAAATATTCACAGAGCTTCCACTACTATACTGCTTGCTGTCAAAAGCATAGTGGTTGCTGTCTTTTAGGGATTTACCTCCTCAACCCTTTGTAATACATTTTGGGCAAGAATGTGTAACACATTCACTCTTTACTTAGGCAAAGTCATTTAAAATTTGTATCTGCTTTTAAAAATATTACTAGTCAAATACTATCATAATTACAAGGAATAATTTAACACTATATTTTCTTTTCTTCAAGTCTGCCAGCCAAATCTTTATCAAACTCCCTCCCATTCCATTTTGCTGTATTATTCACCCAGATGGACGATCTATTTGGCTCACTGACCCAGCTTCCACACATCCAGATTCTGCAAGGCTGACAAGACTATTCAATGAAAGTGTACATTTTACAATTTTGTACATTTTAAATTTTGTACATTTAAAATTTTGTACTCCAGTTTTTCCTCTGTATCACAATCTTCAGTTACTCCACAATACTTAACTCAAAGATGGTGAATAGCCAGCATGAATTCTACACACACGTGGCCACCATATTCATAATACTTTTTCCAGCTCTGCCTTGAAAATCCTATCCAGAGTCAATCATAATCTTTGTTAACACAAATTTCAGGACATCCACTATAAATCAATCTATCTGTTGATCAAACAGTAAATTAGATGTGACACGTGATATTTGCTTTCTTAGGCTCTCAGAATGAAGTTTCATCTTATTGACCCAGACTCAACATTTGCCCACATCTTTTCTCAGCAAACTTTCAAACTCTTTTCCCAGAAACTCCTCATGAGCACTTTATTCCGACCACACCAGTCCACAAAAATGCCTTTTCCTTTTCAGCCCTGTGACTTCTTACAGCATTCCTCCAGTCTAAAATGCTGTACCCTTCTCCTTTCAATCAATATGACTTTGGAAAAGTTCCATTTATTTGTTATAACCTTTATAGTCCAGGCCAACATACTGTAATAGACTCCATGCCTAAATCTACAGTTCTCTATGAGACATATTTGATAATTAACCATGATACCCTTGACATTTCTTGCTACTTAATCTTATATCATTATTTAACTTTTCATTTCCTTGTGTCTTGAATCATTAAATGGGTTGTAAGTTTCTAGCTAATATATTTTCTCCATACTTTACAGTAGCATGGGAGCTCATGAATACAAGTCAATGTTCTAAGTAACTTTTGTTTATTCCCATGGGAGTGGTAAATGGTAAAGGCAAATACCAATAATGTAAGACGATAGTATAGTAGTGGGATATACAAGGAAACAAGAAAATGATTAATATAATTAGAGTTTTTAAATATAACAATAATGAAAACTTACATGTTGTGACCAAAAAGTGAGGTTGCCATGCCAAAGATAATCTGTCCTTGGGAAACAGAAATCATATCTGGAGTTTATAAGGAAGAACATGATATGTACTACAACAGAGAGATGAATTACCCTAACTCCTCTTTCCCTTGGAGATATATTATCCAACTAACTGCCTGTGCTCTGTTTAGTTTTATAAAACCAAATGAGATCATCCATATTCAGGCTTGTTCAACTCTACTCTCTCAAGTAGCAATCAAACAGCTGTCTTCAGTTGCAACTTTGTGACTCATAATACATTCATCCCAAAATGCCCTTGTACATCTTGTGGACCATATCATCATAATCATAATAATAGTAACACTTAAGCATTGTGTACAGTCTTTTTCATCTTCAAAGCTTGTTTAAATTCTATAATGCACTGCAAACGTGACAAGTTGAAAAGGTATGGAGAGTTTTTTATTGTTATAGGAAAAGGGTGTTGAATGCTGCAACCCTGATTATAGTGTGCAAACCCCTGAGAGGGTCTGCAAGTTGGCAGTGTGCATGCAAAATAAAACTTCAGAGCTGAAAATTATCAGGTTGAAATTACCTCTCCCTTTAGTGTAAATAGAATAAAAATCTTAGCTGTTGAAGAAGTACCAACTGGTAATGTGATTATTTTCTGAAAGCGTAGTACTAAGTCACCGTCTAAGCTAAGTATCTCATTAAACGTCTTTTAAACAAATGAATGTTTTGCTGCTCATTTACAAAACCTGTATGCACTCTTACATGATCATCTTTTGGAAATAGTTCTATATATTCAAGCTACATTTAAAATTGTAGTTACACTGTTATTCTTACCAATCACCTGACTCCGCTGCACATTAATCTGTCTGCAGGCTCCACTTGCTGTAGCTTAAATGACACTTTTTTTTTTTGTCTAATGTATTCTTGGAGCTTCATTATTTTAGTTGTTTTTGGCTCTCATTTTGAAAAATCAAAATTGTCCCAAATTTCCTTAGCTGGATCTTGGAGAGAGAGAGAGAGAGAAAGAGAGAGAGAGCGCACTTCTGTTTCATTTTTGGACTTCCATATGGTTCTTTGTAAACTGACTGCTGACCATCATTTTCTGTCATCTACTTCCCTGCTTCTCTATTTTCTCTCAAGGAAGGTATAAACTGGTTATTATTGTCTTTACTGATCAGGCTAAAGGAGTTTTTTAAAAAGTTACACCTATTTGCTTTATTGAAATTAATATATAACAAGAATTATTGCAATAAACTATTTCATAGGCCACTGACTCCCCCAATCCAGGTAGGCAGTGAGGAGTGCAGATGCAAGCCAGCTCTACAGTGAAAGATATTTATGCCATGTTGATTTGTAAATCCTGTTCTTCAGCCCTGCTGCTGTGACCCAGAAAAAGACTCCTAAGCAACCTGATTTTCCTCCTATTTTCTTTTTACTGGTGGGCGGGGGTGAGGAATGAAAACATACCTCCTTCCCCTTCACCATTCTGTTTTGATCCAGGAGGTTGGGAACACATTTTCCCTGAGGATTCTTCCTGACCCTTCTGTAGACCCTCTGCATCCTTAATTTGGGTCATGACCCAAGGAAGGGAGCCAGTGATCTATGACAATTCTTAAGTAATTTTCAAGTTCACAACGAAATAGTGTATTTTCATTTACTTCCACAGATATCTTGCTTCATACTTGTTCAATTTATCTCGTTATTTTGGTAACCATTTCCAGTCTTCAGGCATATTCACATTTTAAAATGCTTCTTAGTGTTGACAATTTAATAAACTGTTGGCATGCATCTAAACTGCATTAATATAGATGACTTTCTCCCATCTTTAAGAAGAGAAAGGAAAATGTACTTGTAATCTTCTTTAAATACCTTTATGTAACAAAATAGGCTGCCACTTAGCTTCTTCTTTGTATTTTGGCCTCTCTCCCATGTAATTTTTCTTGCTGGATAACTAATTCAACAAGTGTTATTTGGGAAGAAAAATTAATGTTTTACTGAAATATGAATGTATTACCTTATGTTTTATTTCATTTGGAATTCTTTTGCACAATGCTGTTTTTCTTTGAACTAATTTGCTCTTATGTTATTATGCCATTTTTTAAGTCTTTACATCTTAGGATTATTTTTTCTATTTATAGTTTGATTAGTTTAGTTACAGAGTTATATCTATAGTAACCCTTCCTATTTTTGAACAATAATGAAATTTGTTATTGTGTTGGATATAGGATTTGAAAGTAATACCTAAAATAAACAGCAAAGGAGTACAGCAAAACTTTTCTTTCTTCTTTATATAGTTTGAAGGTCTTAAAGCTGGAATAGGTGGGTGGGCCATGATTTACCCTTTGACAGGTCTGAATTCTTGTTGTAATGAAATGTATTATACGTGAGGTTTGCTGCAGTATATTATTTTTTTCTATCCAACTACATATAGTACCTTTTGCCTATAATATAATCCTCCTATGAGCACTCCACTATCATGATTAAATTACCTCTCCCTAACTTCAGCAAATATTGAATCTTATATAATGAACATGTAAAATCATGTTAGCTAAGTCTCTTATATTTTGCATATGTTCAAAATATTCCTTGATGTTATCAGTCCATAGTCAAGTTTATTAAATGCTTATGGTGTAGTGAGCAAGATTTGTAATACACAATAGAACTGTTTTCTTTTTAATTTTAAAGGAAAACCTTCACATCTTTCAAACCAGTAAATTAACTTTCCCCCAAAGCTTAAAACTCACCATTCCCTATAAAATATGCACTGAAGTACTAGCATTTTAAAGGAGGTGCTCTATTTTAGACTCTTTTTCTTTTTTGCCCATAGTATATTGATTTGAATATACATTTCAAAAGTTTCATCTTCAACTGACATAAATTTCCTGAATTTGGAGTCCAAAAATTTTATAGCTATACAACTTCTCAAGCCATATTTTACTATATAGGCTGAATTTGAATAGCTTATAGAACCTGAGAGTAAACATGGTTATATTTTTATATCATCATAAGCCATGAATATAGTCAGGAACCATGGACATAGGAGTCTACTTTCTTTAATTGGGAGTCAGCTTTCTTGGTAATAAATTTTTAGCAGAAAAGGTTCTGAGAATCCTCAACCCAGTGCTCATTTCTGAATCTAGCAATCTCTATTTAACTAAGCCAGTAAAGGGAAAGTGATGCCGAGCTTGTGTAAGTATACAATTTAAGCATGTTTCTTTTATAACAACAAATCAGATAAAAATACCACCTCTATATATATATAGGGTCCGTCCATTAAGCTGACATAAATGTTGGGCCTATGCCAAAAAGAAACTTAAATAAGGCTTTTTTTAGGGATATATTGTATGATGACATCTGAATGTAGTTCTCTGTGGCAATGAAAACTACTATATTCAATAAACCTTTAGTAATATTTAGTGACTGTTCAACATATTTTGTTTTCTTTCTCTTTCTTTCTTTTTCTTTCTTTCTCTTTCTTTCTTTCTCTTTTTTTCTTTCTTTCTTTCTTTCTTTCTTTCTTTCTTTCTTTCTTTCTTTCTTTCTTTCTTTCTTTCTTTCCTTCCTTCCTTCCTTCCTTCTTTCTTTCTTTTCCCATGTATAATACGCAGCTGTTAGAAATGCTTAGAATCAAATAATCATAGAATTCAAAGGAGCTTAAAAACATGACCAATTGCCCAAGCAATGTAGAAATCCCTTTGTTCTGTTCAGTCTCTGCCTGCACACTCCCAGTGACAGGAAAATGATTGCTTCATAAGACAGGCGGATCCATTTTTTTGGTATTTCTAATTGAAAGAAACCCCTTCCCTGGTTTCCTGCAACATCCACCAATTGTTCCTGGCTGCGGATTCTGGACCTGCTCAAAACAATCTGTTCTCTGCTATGTACTTCTCCTTTACATCACTAAAGATAATTCTTTCAATCTCTTTGTTCTAAATCCCTCAGTGGTTTGCAACTGTGATTGAAGCATCCTTCATCAGCCTGGGTCATCTCCGGACAGGCTCCAGTTTGACAATATTCTCCAGATGTTAGTGCCACAAAAATTGCAAGTAAGTGTCCAGATGAGCTCTGATCAGTTGTAGGTGCAATAGTAATATTGCTTTCCTTCATCTGAAAGTGATAGGCCCATTTTGTAATACTTGTCACTCAATTGGCTAATATTGGTCATCTTGACAATTAAAAACCTCAAGACCTTTTCCCATGGCTTTTGATGTATACATTTTCACTCATCCGGAACTAGCAATCACTTTATCATCTAAAAATATCATATTGCTTTGTGTTCGTGTTGTGATTTGTAATGATAATCAAAGGTGAGGTAGTTTGGCAATATTCATCCTTAGGCTTCCCATGAAAATTTCTAGCAATGACTGCATTTTTCCCATTTACTTATACATCATCTTTTTGATAATATAATCTTGAATTTGACTGGGGGTTGACAAGTTTGCTAGCATGTAGTTGATGTAATGTGCTTTTTCTCCTTTTAGAGAATTGGGACATGTTCATATCTTAGTCTTTTGGCACCTCTCCTGTTGTCAATGATTTCTTAAAGATTACCAACAGTGGTTTCATCATCTCTTCTGCAAGTTCTTTCAGTACTACCGGATGTTATTCATAAGGAGACCTGAACTCATTTGAAGTGCTAGCTACTTTCCATTATCTCCTCATCTATTCTGGAATTCCATTCCCTCATAATGATGTTTGTTCTAACCTCACCAGTTTGAAGATCATGCTTCTTGATAGAAAAGCTGGAAAAAATGTTGAATACTGATGCTTAATTTTTATTGTTTCTTAACATTACTTCTTTTCTTAGCAGTGAATATAACCCTTCCTTGCTCATGTTCTAAAACAAAATAGCAATATTAACAAGAACAACAAAAGCCTATTTTTCTTTTTACCATTTTGATTATTAATAATGAAAAGTCTTAATAGTTAAAATTAGGGTATGAATTAGGTATTCTTATACTGTGGTCACTGTGGACTCTCTAAAGTGGAAATCACTGAAAGAGTTAGCATATAGACAAATCCATGATGAAACCTACATTTCGTATTATTCCATCTAAGAGAAATGAGGATCTCTAAAAATTATTTTCTTTTACTTTACTTCTAAAGTTGGTAAGTTGCTGTAAAATCAGGAGACAGGTTTGTTTTCAAATTGAAGAATAAAACTTGATTCAGAATCAAGTCTTTGAGATTTATTAGCAAATATGCTCATTTTTTGTGATTTAAACTTTGAATGTTGAAAAGCCTCCTTTTCAAGAATATTCTGCAAGATAGTAAAGAGTGTACTCGTAAACCTTTTGCAGATTTTATAATGGATTAATGGAAGTTCTATGAAGGCAATATGGATATGCGACCCTGTAAAAGATAGATTTGTTCCTCAGGTTTAGCGATCCTGGAGTAAACTAAAAAGCAGGGTTTTGAGGTCCTTAAAATACTTTGTAAACTGGTTATAGGACATTTTGGGTTTTCTTTTTAGTATTTAGGAGATAATATGCATTGATTGCTTAACATATGGTTAAATAGATTTATTTACACAGGTTTGCCTATACTAAATACATGTCAATATGTACACATTTATATATGACTCTCCGTCTAAAGCAAACATTAATTAGCAGCTATGCATACAAATAGACACTTTCACTACATCACTTTTTTAACCATACATATAAAAACATTTTGAGTTGTGCTTTAAAAGTGCTAATGTTTCAGAGAAATATGACTTTATTTTTACATATAAACATCTGCCAAAACAGTGTATTTTCAGATAAAATAGTTGCAAAACTTAAACTTCTTAAAGATAAATTAATAATGCACACAAGACCTTATTATACCAAAAACAAAGGTAATATTAATATTGGTTTCTCATGTTAAAGAATTTCTGTTAACATTTTTTAAGGGAAAATCTATATAAATTAAACAAACTTGATAATGATTACTCTAAAAATGGAAATATACAGAAATATTGCTTCATATTTCAAAAATAGACAAAAGTTTGAAAGAACACTTTAAAAATTGTCATAGTGGGGCAAAGTTAAACAAATAGTAGCACAACCAGTAGGAATAGTTATAATATTTCTAAACATATAATAAAATATCTTCTACAAAAGAAAGGGAGATGGCTGTTAAGTTATAGAAAGGCTTATTTATGCACACAATGATGAATATCTTCCTGGGATGTACGTAAGGGGTTATCACCAGACACCAGGAAATACAACAAAACATTCACCAACAGCCCATGGGATTTAAACCCGTTGCTTGCAAAGACATTCTTCTGGATCAGGCTCAGTCCAAGTAGGCTGTCAACATGACTTATGTCATCCTTGCTCTTTCCCCACCCTTGTGAATCTACCTCTATGCAGTTTTATTTACTTTTCTTTTTAATTCTCTGCTTGCCTGCATATTTTCCCCTACTTGGTCAGGTTGCTGATGCTACAATAATAGATTTTAATCTATTTTGTTTATCTCTGACCATTATAGTTGTCAGTAATACATAATTCTAGTATTAATTCAACTTTTGCAAACTGCTGTATTTTCGTAAGAAATCAGGGAAATGGGACTAACCCTAGGGTAGATTAGTTGGATTCATTCTGTACTATGATTACAAACTGACTGCAGGCCATCTCACATCTAATGCCACTGGGCACAAGGAAAATAGAAGAGATTAACTGTATGCCTGTGATTGTAAAGCCTGCATCTCCTTCTTTACCACTATGTCCTCGTCAGTGCTTAGCACATCACAGATGCACAAAATACATACTGACTGTTTAGCAAGTCAGTGGGTCACTAAAAATCTAATTATTACATAGACTATTCATGGTGTTCCTGTTCCATCAACCTAATAAAAATTATATTAACTGTATGGACAATTTAATTGTTTCTGTTATGACATATATATCCAGTTTTCTATCTCTTTTGTTCTGTCCATTACTGTAAAAAAAAAAAAGTCAGGGCTATGAAATTGAAAAGGACTCTAGATGCCATTTTATAGATGAGAAAATTGAGGTCTACAATAATTCAAATCTACAACTAGAATTTAATACTCTTAAAGACCCAGTAAATATAAATTTTGAGCGTCATTACTGTATGCTAAGCTATAGCAATAAATTAAACTGAAAACATTCCTTTCATCATAGAATTTACATTCTGCCTTTCCTACCAAAGAACTTGATCTATAATAGGTGTGCCATATATATAGTCATGCATGCTTTAATGATAGGGATATATACTGAGAAATGCATCATTAGGTGATTTAGTCCTTGTGTGGACTTCCTAGAGTATGCTTATACAAACCTAGATTGTATACACTTTGGGTAGATGGTATAGCCTATTGCTCCTAAGCTATGAACCTGTGCAACATATTATTGTATTGAATACTGTTAGCAGTGGTAACACAATGGTAAGTATTTGTGTGTTTACACATAAAAAAGGTACAGTAAAAGTATGGTATAAAAGATGAAAACATGGTACCTCTGTATAAGTCACTTAACATGAATGGAGTTTGCAGGACTGGAGGTTCCTCTGGGTGAGTCAGTGAGTGGTGAGTGAATGTGAAGGCATAAGACATTATTCTACACTACTGTAGACTTTTTAAACACTGTACACTTGGACTACACTCAATTTATAAAAACATTTTTCTTTCTTCAACACTAACTTAATCTTACCTTACTGTAACTTCTTTCCTTAACAAAGTCTTAAATTTTTAAACTTTTGACTCTTTTTATGCAATAACACCTAGCTTAAAACACAAATGCATTGTACAGCTGTTCAAAAACATTTTCTTTATTCATATTCTTATTTTATAAGCTTTGTTTTCTATTTTTAAAATTTAATATTATTTTAACTTTTTAAATTTTTTTGTTAAAAACTAAAACACAAATACACACATTAGCCTGGGCACACACAGAGTCAGGATCATCACTACGTGACAGGAAATTTTCTACTCCATTATAATCTTATAAAACCACCATAGTATTTGTGGTCCATGGTTGACCAGAATGTCATTATGCAGGGCATGATTCAAATTTATTCATGTATGCTAGATAAATAACTATTGCTCAACCTATTAATTATGAAGGCGAAATTTTCATCCTGGTCTCTGAACTCCTAATATTTGTAATTTTTCTGAAGCATTTTGTTGCCTCTTTGATAATTACCCAAACTGCAATTTTTAAAGTAAGTTTGAGATGGGATAGTAATTTTTAAATTATACTTAACTTTCTGTAATAGTTACAAAATAAGTGTGTATTCACAGGAGTGGGAAGGGATGGGTTATTCAATCTGCTATATGGCAGGACTTCTCTCTATGTATAGTTTAAATGCAATTTCGTGCATGCGTGCGTGTGTATGTGTGTATACACGTGATCTCAATTCAATTACATACGTACATGCATATATGTATGCATAAAAAATATGTGTTTATTCTCAATTCAATAACTCCACAAGCATTATTCATCCTATCTTACAGATGCTCAAAATAAGATTGAGAAAAAATAAGCATATCTAGTTATTGACATAAACGGATTTTGACCTCAGAGCTGTCTGAATTCAAAGCCTGCACTCATGATCACACTTCCTACAACTAATCCTGCACTGCAAGCTAATCTGCCAGGAAATTAACCTTTACAGTGTGACTTACTCTCCAAGGGATCTTCAGGCTACCATGCTACATTGCACCTGGATTCATCAGGTGCTCATCTTAGGGAATTCCACTGAAACTTAATGCAATTTTCAATGCCAGAGAGAAAATTCAATGTTGAGTAAAACCACCAATATAGAGTGCATTTTTTGACTCCGACTCAGCTATGATTTCTATTTCACTTATAAAAGTAATATGAGCTATCTAGCAGAAGACTATGTATGAATTTGAGTCACCTTAAGAAATTAATATTCCTGCTTTCAAACTAAAACGCGTGCCAAATCCAGTGGACATAAATCTTCTTGGAACCCTGCTGCATTGGAATTTGTTGAACACACTCTCCTGAAACAGTCTCTTCCCTCAGCTCCACATGTCCTGGATGTCCTCCGGTATCTTTGACTGCCCTTTATTTCTTCTCTCAGTCCCTGTTGTTCTCAGGAACTCTGCATCTCACTGCTCTTCTAAGTCAACATATTCTCCCCATATGATCATGTCCTCTCCCCTGATCTTAGCAACCAAAAAACAGATGCATGGCTCTCCTATCTTCATCTCTATCCAGACCTTTTCTGGGATCTACAGTTGTGTAAGCCCAAACACCTGATGAATTTCCCATTGCTGATCTCCTATTTTTCCCATCCAAAAATTAAAATTATCATCTCCCCTACCTTATTTCTTCTCATCTGTTTCTTACTCCACATTTCCTTTGTGAAGTCTTTGAATACAAACTAGGTCATTTACATTTATCTCTATTGTTTTTTAGTGTGTTAGCCTCTAATGGAATACCTACACCACTTTCACCCTTCCAGGCCTAGATTCACTCTTCTCAATAATTCCTAAAATCAAACCATCACTTAGCCCCACTCAGTCTAGATAAGTGTTCCTTGAATTTCAACGGGCATGCAAATAACCAGAGGATCTTGATACAACAGATTCTGATTCTGTAGGGTTGGAGCGGGAGCCTCAGATTTTGCTCCTGGGTTATGCCCATGCTGCTGTCTGCAGACCTCACTTTGGTATTATCTCTTTACTCATCTTGTTGCCTCCAATTTGCTTTCTTTTGGCAGTCTCTCCTTACACTCATTCTAGAATGAACTGGAAAATTGGCCATATCTTCTGCTTAAAATCTTTCTCAAGCATTCTCAATCAAAATCTTGGCTTCCTAGGTCCAGACATCCTGCAACATCTCACAGATTTTAATGCACTTATACTATAAGATTCATCTTAGGTGCCTCTTCCTCCAGAAAGCCTTCTTGGATATGCAGCATCTTCACTCTTTATTCCCCACATGTCCCTAGAAATTTCTGTCTATGTGCTTATTTCCTGTTTCTGCAGCGTAAGCTTTTTAAAATGAAGAACAAGTTCTTGATCACCTTCGTGATACATTGTGCCTAGGATAGTGCTTCTATACACTTCATGTTCAGTACTCGTTTGCTGAGTTAAACTGAACATATTAAATTTTTTTACATTCTACTTTCAAAAGTACATCAGCCTTTTCAGGCAAAATATAAATATGCCATCATATTTTAGTGGAAAATTACAGAATAAGCTTGGAGCGTTGGACCACTTTCAGAAACAGTGGCAGAGAATGATTCAATAAATTAATTAGAAATTTTATTTCTTTATAGCACATTTTGCTCATGGACTTTAAAGAAATATCCTATTTTTATTATCTGAAAATATAGAAAAAAATATATCATATTACCTGGAAGTAATGCCATGTTGACGAACAAATTTATAATTATAAATGCCAAATGTTATGAAAAGAGAAGACATAAAGACACATGGAAGGTACGCTAGTTAAAGCCGCAAAGTTAATTCAATAGTAATGAGTTGTGGGAAAAAAATATATAAAAAATGCAGCTTATTGCAATCTCCAGAATATATCATAACATCTCTTCCTGCAAAAGTGGTATTAATGTTAAACTATGTTATTTCATTTTGAATATGCAGACGTCTTATTTGAAATGCGTAATACATTCAGCTAAAACATGCTGATGTCAGCTACAATCACAGATGAGGTAAAAAACAAAGTTTGGGCTTCCTTCTGACTGTGTTGGATGACTTATTAAAATGTGCAGGTACGGAAATGGCCCTATTGGTAGATCGGCGGCTGCACATTTTGCTCCCTGCTTCGGCAACATACCGGGGAAAATTTGTGATTGATGACCTGTGGAAAGATTAGAAGAAGGAAAAAAATATGCTACACTTGCTTCTCTACAGGCAGACTGAATTTCCTTTTTTCAAAAGTAACTATTTTATTCTCGAAGCTGTTTGCACGTAGGCAAATTCAGTTGGTTTTAATGTCTTTTTTCCCCAGGTAAAAATGTAAAGATAAACTAGGTTTACGGACAAATGACCCTTATTACATAACTGAGATATCAAGTTTTCCCTTTAAGATAGTGCAGTTATGGGGTTTTGAAAATTCTTTTAAGAAACAATTGATACTCTTAGCACAATTATGACATGTGTCACAAATATGAACCAAACCAGTTTCTATGAAATGATCGTTTATATAACTTTCAGACTTGCACTGCCTTTTTTTTTTTTTGCAATGGAAAAAAATGTGTTATATAATTTGCTCTTACAATTTAAGGATTGAATTCCTCTAATTTTACAGGTGAAACAGTCTTTAATTGTCTACACATTACATTCTTCCAAATGGGTGAGGACTGCCCCCAAAGAGCATCGCTATCTTAAAGAAACAGCTTCATTTTCCTTTTCCTTGTCTTCTGTAGATATCATGTTTTCTTTGAACCATTCTTACTACTTCGTAGAATTCAAATAAGCATGATTGACCCACTTTAAATTTTTGTAAGGAAAACAATTTCCTAATGACAGTCTCTTTAAAATTGGTTGTTCAGGTGGAGTTTGCATTCTGATACATGACAGGATTATAATATTCTTGAAGGCTACTTAGTAGAGTATTTATGTTTACTCTGGGCCCTTTGAAAGTTGAAGACAAGGCTGCACTCTATTCGAAACACATTAATATAAAATTACCTATTGAAGAGCCATTGGCAAAGCTGGACTTATTGGAAAGAATTCTTGGTGGAGTGTTGAAATGGTAAATGCATGGGAGAGGTCAGAGTATCTGCACCCACTCGTACCACAAACAACTTAATTCTAGAAATGACCCTCTTCGGTGACTTGTAAACCTAGTAATGTTAGCTTAACTCGCTTCGGGGAAGAAGAATTTAAAGCATATTCGCATCTACCTGACACCTTTTATCCAAGAATATTTATGAAGTATCATTATGACACAAAATGGTCGATAAAAATGCAGCAGGGAAGAAGGAAAAACAGGGTTCTTAGAAAGTTATTTGTACTGAGATTTACATCAGGAAATTTTAGTAACAGAAAAACTATCCTCGGTAATAAAATTTTTTCATAAGTAGCTGCTTTTAAATTACCTTAAAAATATTAAATCAACATTTTTAAAAAGTTGGGCTGGGAGCCTTAAAAGGTTCTATTTTTTGCACAAAGATTAAAATTAAGCCTAAACTCAACTTAAATTTTTTTCATCTGTGGAGGAATACAAGAAAAATGAATTCATAAAACTAAAGAGGAGTATCAAATGACATGAAAGATAAACTGACAGTTGTATGTTTTAGGCACTGTCTTTCTTTTAAAATTACACAACAATCAAAATAGAAATGCCCACAGTTTAAAGAAAATATGCTGACATTGGATTATTTTCTTTTTAAAGAACTAGCTTTTACTGGGAAGGAAAATGTATGGCAATTTTAAAACAGGCCTCAAAATACCCAGTTTGTGGATGTTTGAGTTACTGCGAGTAATACAATTGTTGAATATTCATTCAGAATAACATTCACAATAATTTGCATTCTTCTACATATAAGAAGAAAGTAGTAATGAGAATAAATATAATATTTTTAAAAATCCTATTTTCTCCATTCCAATAGATAGCACTCTTCCACCTTCTCCAAATGCAATCGTCTTCATTGGACCTCCCTGCAACTCCCTCCTCCCACCAGTATTTCTTTTTCTATTAGGTATTGGAAAGAACAAGAAAATAAAACTATTACGGTATTTTCTCCATTGGTTCAAATAGCAACAATAAATATGTTGATCAACGTTGTCAGGTGAAATTCCCCCACCAAAAGTCAACTTCACATTAAGATATTGCAGATCAGGTGCGGATCTTATGACATTTTCTTGAAAGATAGAGCCAAATAAAGAAATGAAATGATGCAGACAAAGCACTTAGCACAGGGCACTGCACACAGCAAAGACTTGGAACATTTTGTTATGATGTTGATGGTGGTGGTAATGAATAATGATAATGATAAAATACAAATATACATGGTACAGGTCGTAATTACTATAGTGTATCTAATTGCAAGCAATATTTACTTATATATTAAGGTGCAGAAAATATCAAAAACTTACATTTCAAGATCTCCTCTCATGAGCACATGAAAAGATATAACAGATACATACTAGCAATGAATATTATTAATATTGTTAGGTAAATTATGCTATTTTAAAATTAAATATACAAACATTTGTGGGTTTTTTTTTTTCAAGTACAATGGTGAGTATTTAGCTTTGCCTTTTAGAAAGAAACTCAGTGTACGGCTTGAATCCAATAGTCCTCATAAATCAGAAACGCCTTGGCAATCCATTGAAGGCAAAACTTTAAAATTGTGTAAAGTGGCTTAGGGAAAAGTATTATGTATACTTCACTAGGAGGATGTCAGTGTTTTGTTTAGGTAGTCAGTCTGTGACATGTGTGTCTGACATATTAAATAGTTGTACGAAATATATTTTAAAACACTCAGAAATAACCCAGCAACTTAACAAACACTCTTACCATCGTCAGGAAATCACAAAACGTTGAAGATATTTCTGTGCTAGAGAAATTACTCTTTGTAGTGACATTTTCTTTAGAAGTCCTCTTTGAATGGGGTTTCAAAATCTTTCCTAAGAACCTTGTTTTGTTCTTGTTTCCTAAGAGTGAAAATAATAATAATAATAATTGCCAAACTTCAGAAATGATTGTTTGGGAATTGCTCAGATGTAAAACTTAGCCAAGCACACTTGTCTCAATATTTTTTTAAAAACCTTGTGATATGTGAAGCCCAGAAATGAACGCTATTCCTGCTTCCTAGGATGATTTTGAAATGCTAAAATGAGACATTGTGATCCTGTAATCTGCTAAATGTTTTATGTATCCATATTACTGATCTAAAATTTAATAAGAAAATAATGCACTTTGCTAACTCTGTGAGGGAAACATACCATAACAGTAATCTGGCTCATAGAGAATTCTGTTATCTACCTATATTTCAATTATGATAAAATTTTTATCAGGTCAAAATAATTTTTCATCATAAATGTTCAGTTTTGTTTTTCTCTAGCAATTATTTTTAAAACTTCAAACGAACAATATGGATAAACAAAGAGAATTAATCCTATTCCATTCTATAGGGGACTGGGAGGCAATTTGGCAGTCCTAAGTATTAGTTAACATTTAAATTTCAAATATGACAAAAGACTATTTGAAAAAAGAAATACAGTCTTTTAAAAAGATTGTATCAGAATAAACCTTTTTGCTTAAAGGTTATCTAGTGTTTGTTTTCTTTGCCAATACTTTACACATTTCCATAAACAAATACTCTTTTTTCGTCTCTAATAAAATCCACATACCTGGTCTCAAATTACTAAATCAAACTGCTCAGTATGTTTTGGATAAAGTTACTAAGCCAATCCAGAGATCTGCTTCTTGAGAAACAGCAGGGTGACATGGTCTTTTGGTAGAAAGCAACTGAAAGCACAGTAACACAACAGTATTCTAGAAAAATATAGTAGTAGCATGGATCTTTGATTAACTTTTAGATCCAGTTAGGATGCTTGCCGAAATAAGTATTTATAAAATATTTCCCTTTGCTCTTCCAAAAGTGCCCATTGCTTTAAAATGTTTGTTACTGCGATGTGACTGCTTTTTAAATGTTGTCAGCTACTTAGAATGATGGGACACTCTTTGTTTGTCAGTTCATTAATTTATTTAAGATGTGTGTATGGTCAGATTCATGAAGGTAATAAATCTCTTTTGTAGAGACAGATAATTACTTTAACATGGCAAGACACAATAACATAGAACTTAATACAAAGTAAGCTTAGCATATGCATGATAGAAAACAATACAATCCAAATATTAATAGAAAATAAAAAACAGTTCTCAATTACATAATAATTGAAGAGAACACATTTGGAAGTTGAACATTTGATATTTTCTCCCTCTAACAAGCTTGCCTTATTGCTAGATACTTTCCCACATTAAAATTCCACCAATGCCACCGTATTCCAATCTCTAGGGAGCCCTTTCCCCTCTTGAAAATATTTTGGGGTTTCACAAAAATCGTTTGCCTGTCTCAGTGGATTGAACCTCAAAGACTCCTTTGACGCAAGTGTTATTTTGACCACGTGAACATGGTTTCCATTTTTTAACTAGATTAAAACATGCATGAACAAACTGCTTATTGAACTTTAAAGTTGCTTTGTTGCTTTGATGGTTTACAGATTTCTGTTTCATAGACGGTTCCCCCCCAAACATTCTAAAAGTGAAATGATACATTGTAACTTGAATGATAATTTTGTTTTGATGATTTAATTGATAGCAGACAGAGGGACACAATCTCTGCTTTTCCGTTTATGTTTTTCCCCCTGCTGAACAGATGAGACAACTAGGAGTTTCATAAACATCTGTAAATAATTAAGGGACGTTACACTAAACTGTATTTCCTTTACCTTCACCCAGGCTTTTCTTGAGGAACTACATGGTAATCTTGGTTCAGAGAAAGAGCACCTTCTTCTTGTCACTCAGAAATCGTTGCCCTTTCTTTTTGTTAGTTTAGGTGATGATTAAAGGCAATCTTCCCACGTTAATTTTCATGACGCCGGAGAACGTCTTCCCACATCTTTTATTGTTATCATTCCGATAGTCTTTGCAGCTACTCACTTTACCTAATTCTAATTCATTCTAATTCTCTCTCTCTTTTTCTTTCACTTTTTTCAAGTAAGTCTTTCACAGCTGTTCCTATGCTTTTGACAAACCCCGTTTTCAATACACATCATGCAAAATGCTGGGAAAAAAATCAGAACATGGCTTCTTCTAATCTGTGTGCTTGATTCTGTGGCAATACCATATTTTAGAAGATATGTTCATCTTTGTATGGACATGTACAAAAAGGAGAGTGCCAGCTGTTCAAACCTGCTCCACCTATGTTGCATCCAAGAAGCTATTCAGTTCCGTTTATCAGCTATTAAAAAGATTAGATTACATCCTAAGTGGTCTCTGACTTTCAGTGTGGAGCATCCTCAATGGATAAAATATACATATATTCGTTCTGCTACTAAAATATCTCTGTTGGCTTCAGTCCTAACAGGAGCTTACAGACTTGTAGAAAGAAAAATTCTATCAGCAAACTGAAAAACAAATCCAAACACTTTCATTGAGTGCTGTTTGGTTATCCTAACACATATAAGGTCAAAGATTGAGAAGCTACTATATATTTATTTTGACCTACTGCCTCGAGTTTTTCGATGTTGTTTTCTATTTATGGAAAGTCATAGCCTTGGGAAGTCTTTATGGCATTTGCTAGATAAACTGTTTTGCTCTGAGTTCACCTTCTAAATTCCTCTCTCCACCCCTATCCCCCAACGTCAGGAAAGTTTGTATTATTGATAGTTGGTTAGACTTTTCCACTGAAAAGTTCAGGAAAATGGAGTGAAATTTTTAGTTTTAGTCACCAAGATATTTACAGGAGGCAGAAACATAGTTGGCGCAAAACTTTAACAATCGTTTAAAGTCTTTGATAAGTCTAGTTTTGATTTTGCACTTTGACTGAAATAATTTACACGTAGACCAGTGCACCTAAGTAGTCAGCTGGAGAATTTTCACAAACTGAGCACTCTCATATATCCACTACGCTAGACAAGAAACAGAACAATGCCAGCATCTGAGAGGTACCCATCAGTCTCCTTTCCGGTCCCCCCTCCCAACCAACGGCAACAACTATCCTGACTTTTACTTAATGTTTTTAAAGAGCTTAGTGAATAATTATAAAGTGAACACCCACTTTACACCGACAACCCAGGTCAAGAAATCGAACTTTATCAGCCACTTAAAAACTCGTTGTGCTCCATCCTAATCACAGACACTTGCTTTCTTCAAATGTAACCGCGCTCCTGACTTTTACTTTAATCATTTCCTTGCCTTTATTTTTCTGTTTTTGTCATGCATGCATGAATCCCTAGACGTGATACTTTAAACTATATTTAATTATGATACCTCTGTTTCCCGAGCATTTTCAACAAAACAAGTATATAGAATATTGATTTGTATTTACTTGCTATTGACAAAACTTCAAGATTGGTAGTGCATGCTGAAAACCTTGATATTAAGAAGCTTGCAAGAGAAATAAGTTAAAGTGTGTTGGACAGTGGTCTGGAAGAAGAAACAAATCAGTAACTAGCACTCTAACTCCCCTTCTGAAGAGGCTGGGGAATAAAGCAGCAGGGAGGAAAAATTAACTACCTTCTTTTAACTAGATTCTACCCCCAGGCTAAATTTTTGATTACTCACAGACAGATTTGCATTTTGCCTGTTTGTACCTTACCTGGTATATGAATGAACAGAGAACTCCAGTCTCTAGCCCTGACAGTCCCTTTTACCTTGTAAAATCACATTTATTCATCACCTCATTAAATTGAAGAAAATGAACAAAATATAAACAAGGTAGATGGGAGAACACTAGGGGTGGTCTTCTATTAATTCTAAACTAGAAGAGATTGCCCCAGGAGCAGGTAGGGGATAAGTCTTCATGGTCATTGAAAGTCTTTCCTTCTTTTATCATTAGGATTTCATTCAAAAATGGGTCCAAGACTTGGGGGTGGAATGTGTTGGTGGAAATTGAGGAGACTCACAAAAAGTCACATACACATACACACACACACATATACACACATGCACCCGGAGAAAAAACACACACCCTCCTCACCAAATGTGCTTGTTGCACACAGTATTTCTTTTGGCAAAGTTTAGACATGTCTTTCTAGTTAACAAATGTATTCTGTTGTCAGCTCCTTTAAAAATTACAACCCATGCTTCATGCCAAATAACCTCTTTAAATATTAATAAATAACTCAAGGTATCTTAGACAGTCTGTGCTTGAGGAATTATGCTTATAGTTTCAATAGAAATGACAGAGGGAATCCCCCTTTCAATATTTGGCCCAGTAGCAGGCTTCCTCCAATGCAGCCTCCAAACTGGTGCACTCCTGCAAAAGGGGTAAAAACAAAAAAAAACCCAAAAAACAAAAAAAGGATGTCAGTTTATTTTATTCCTATGAGCTATGTTTTGTGCATAGACCCACTGCAGGCCCCTCCAGAACCTTGTGGTTTCATTGTCAGGATTCTGTATTGCTAATCCAAACCAGGCCATTCTGATCCTAGCTGTACAACCGACATCCTGACGTTTGCTGCTTAGATGAACAAGGATAAAGAGTCATCCGTAGATGGTTAGAAGAACTCACTGAATCTGCATCTACTGCTTGTGTCCATGTGGTAGGACCTTGAAGGAACCCTCTGATTAATCCCACTGCTGGGGGATATGGCTTGGATTTTAAGCACAGCCATTGTAACTTGTATATGTGTATGTTTTCTCTAGTTTATTCCAGTCAGTTGATTTTATTTTCCAGCCTATCTCACAAATTTGCATTAATCAAGGCAAAAATGATTTTTCTCTGAATTATCTTTAAAATATTTCAAATTATCTCTTCAGCAAATCACCCTTCCTGCATGGACTTTGCCCAAGAGATACAAACAAGTTTGTAGATAGTCATCAACTAAGTTTCATGACATCAGCAATGGCTGAGATAATTTATAGAGGAGTGTGAGGATACAGGCAAATGATCTTATGTGGTGACCCTGTAACTCAGCTTTCTTCACAGAAAGAAGGTTAAGAGACTCTTGAATCCTGTCCCACCTTCCCCTAGATAGAATATCAAACAAGAGCTTTCTAGCTATATCCCCCTGCTCATCGTCAGCAGGGTTAAAATATAAATTAAATGTAATTTAGTTGTGTTATTCATTCATATTGAGATTAATATGTCTTTAAAGCAAAACAGATGGCTTATTTAAATGTTTCCATTTTGTTTTGTTCTGAATTGGGAATATAGGACATATACAATATTACCAAAGATGATTAAAAAATTACTATTCTATAATGCAAAAATACAAAATTAATTAATATTTGGGTCATATGTGTCTGTATACAGTTGTTATTTGTGCTAGTTATTGCTACTAAGATCTGTTTCTAATTTCAATCCATATTCTAACACCAAATATGTGTTTTTTCCTCACACCAACAACTCATTCTCCAACTCTCTGGACACCACCTGGGTGTCCAACAATTTCCTTCTTCAAAGACTACCCAGAGTTAACACCAGACCCCACAGGTTAAGGGTTCAGTCCCACAAGACTGCATCAGCTTGACACCAATCACATGTCCAGGCCATCTGAACTTCTTAACGACCAGCAATAAACTGGAGGTTCCCATGATCCTCTCTTCAGGTTTCGTAATTTGCTGGAACAGCTCACAGAACTCAGGCAAGCACTTTACTCACAATTTCCAGCTTACTACGAAGGATATTAGGAATCATACAAATGAACAGGCAGACGAAGAGTACATAGGGTGTATAGGGTGATGTATAGGTATATATAGGGTGTATAGGGTGATGTGTAGGTATGTATAGTGTATAGGTATGTATAGTGTGATGTCTGGAAGAGTCCTGAACATAAGAGTTTTAGTCCTCTTGGAGATGGGATGCGCCACTCTCCAGGTATTTGGATATGCTCTCTGAGCCTGATCTTTTATGGTTTTTATGAAGGTTCCAATTGTAGGCGTGATTGATTAAACCATTGGCCATTGGTGATTGATTCAATCTTCAGTCTTTCTCTCCTCTTTACAGGTCTAGAGGTAGGGCTGAAAGTTCCAACCCTCTAATCACATGGTTGCTTCCTCTGGCAACTGCCCCCATTCTGAAGATATCTGGGGGTCCACCAAGAGTCATCGGATTAGCATAAACTCAGGTATGGATGAAAGGGGTTTATTACGAATAGCAAAAGAAGCTCCTTTAGTCCATATTATTCAGAATATTTCAAGGGTTTATGCCAGGACCCAGGGTCAAAGACCAAATATATGTTTCTTATTATATCACAATATCACAATTATGTTCTATAAAGTTGCTATGAACACTGGATTAGCAAACTCTGAAGCACTATATAGAGTCAAGTTCCTGCATCCACCAGCCATATTTTTATCAACTGGTCAATATATAATCTTATGTATTGTTTATTTCCGCTCATGTGTGTTTCTGTTCAAAGATAACTTATTTAATATGTGTTCTTGAGTTATTAACATTGAACTCATGGCAAACAGAATTGTACCTCATTCATGAACTAATCTTACCCAACATACGTATTTTCTCCATAAAGCACATCACAGCCTACTTGCACTTAGTGCTTCAGCCCTTCCCTTGGGGAACATTCTAAACAGTGAAATCACCAAGAAAAAGCACAAAAATGTGAAAAATGTGGCACTAAGTATAGCATGTAAATGACACTTCTCTACTTCATGAGAGCTGAAACAAGAAGGCGTATTGTCCCCTTGTTTGACCTCAGCTGTAATGGGTGCATCAGGTGACTCAATTTTTTGGCTGCTCCACACACGTCTTCAAATGTCTATGAAAGTGCCAGGAGAATTGATTGGAGGTTACAAATAAATTTTAGTAAGTAAATCAATTTACAAATAGAGAATCCATGAATAACGAGGATCAACTCTCTATTATAGCAAATACCTATGTAATTAATATATATAGTGTATTAAAAGTTATAATAATAGCAACAGCCATATTAAAGCACCATAATTGGCTCAACTGCACATCTATTGTTGAACATTTAGGTTTATATCATTTGGTATTATAAATAAGGCCTCAACGGATAACTTTGTATATGATTCTATGTCCACATTTCAAATTATTTTCTTTAATGGAATTTTCTAGCAGTGTCATATCTGAATCAAAGGGTATAAAACTTTTTAAACATTTGCAACATATTGAAGACCTGGCCAAATTTACACTTCTATCGGTAATGTGTAGATTTTTTTTTCCAGAAGACTGAGCAATTCTTTATGATCCAGTTATTGGTTATCCCTCTAGAATCCATCTCTTTCCCCACCAGCAGCCAACAAAGGATACCTCTACCAGCTTCCAGCAGCTGTACCAAACTACTTAAAGGCCTGCCAATACCCGACATATTCTCAGCCTCCATGTCTGTCACCTTTGCCTCCACTACTTTCCCCTGGGCTAGCACCTCCTCATCTTTTTCATTACATTTGGTCCTCTAGCATGCTGTCCCTGATCCTCTCCGAGACTGAATCAGGGACTCTCATTTTTTGGCTTCATAGATTCTCTTTTTCGCTCCTACTGTAGCATTTAGCTGGGTGCCTTGAACCAGCCTACTTACCTGTCTGTCTCTTCCTCTAAATTTTAAGCTATTTGAAGACAAATATTCTGCCTTATTGATCTCATATCTAACTACCTCGCATATTGCACAGCATAATAAAAATCTGTTGCAGGAATAAGCCAAAGAATAACAAATAAATGAATTGCATAGTTTCTTACCAAATCCAGGTAGTGAAAATGAGTGAACGCTACATGGTCAGTGCTGAGAGTCAAAGATTTGAGATTCGATTCTCTCTGCTTGCTTCTCTTCCATTCTCCATGGGATTCAATGTAAGGCAGAGGTCAATTTTACAGACTTTGGAGTCAACACCAGGATTAAAATCCCAGCCCTGCCAGTTATTGAATGTAATAGCTTTTGAATAAGTCATTTTACTTTTCAAAGCCTCAGCTTCCTCACCTGTAAAGTCAGAGTTGTAGTACCTACCTTTAAGTGCTATTGTAAGGATTAAAGGAAAGCACAAATATAAAGTATTTTACATTTATATAAAGTCCTCACCATATCCTTGCGTTTTTAAAACACTCTCATTTCATCCTGAACTCTGCTGTCGCATTAAGCTTTCAACAATTATTTCTAGATATTTCATACCTATATCCAAAAATGTCTTTTAATCTTCGACTGTTCATTCTGTGACCTTTTCAACATGTCCTCATATCCATCAGGATCTCTAGGACACTTGAACTTATCCTCTCCCCTCTGTCTCCCACCAAACTGAGCATGATGCTCATGCTCACTTCCCTCTGGTCTTCCTCCCTAAAGAGAGCTCATGTGTGATTTGTTCATCTTTATAGTCCCAACTTCTTGCATGATGCATGGCCAACAATATATTCACAATAGATTTCAAATGAGTACTTTCTCCTCTTATTTCTCTTCATAAAAATCCTTTGAGTCCCACGTCCAATGCCACAATAATAACTCTCACTGCACCTAAACCAAACTACTCAAATCAATATCTCACACTCTACAAAGCTTTTGAACTTTGACACAATCAAATTTGATTTTGATTCCTCCCTTCTTTGAATCCCATGGCATTTTATTTGTGAACCCTCTTACATATATTTGTCTTTTTCATCTTGCATCATATTTATTTGTGTCCTTGTATCATCGGCCGTTCAGAATGCATGATTTGTCCAGCCATTACGTCTCATTTATCTGAGTGGTTTCTGTATCTGCCAAGTGCAATATCTTTTGTATATTCACTAATCAATTGATATTTCTTGGGTTTAATCTGTTGAAATGATGGTAAGACTAAGTTATTTAATACTATGGGCAGTACACTCATGATTTCTGTCAGGCCTCTGAGCCCAAGCTAAGCCATCATATCCCCTGTGACCTGCACGTATTCATCCAGATGGCCTGAAGCAACTGAAGAACCACAAAAGAAGTGAAAGTAGCCAGTTCCTGCCTTAACTGATGACATTCCACCATAGTGATTTTTTCCTGCCCCACCCTAACTGATCAATTGACCTTGTGACATTCCTTCTGGACAACGAATCTCAGGAGCTCCCCACCGAGCAACTTGTGACCCCTGCCCCTGCCCGCAAGAGAAAACCCCCTTTAACTGTAATTTTCCACTACCTACCCAAATCGTATAAAACTGCCCCACCCCATCTCCCTTTGCTGACTCCTTTTTCAGACTCAGTCTACCTGCACCCAGGTGATTAAAAAGCTTTATTGCTCACAAAAAGCCTGTTTGGTGGTCTTTTCACATGTACACGTGTAACAATTTCTTTAGTTAGATATTAACTCCATTTTATAAATTAATACACTGAGAAAGAAATCAATTACATAACATGAAATTTTTTGAGCTAAACTAAAAACAACTTGTGTCTGCAGTTATGCATTTTTATTCACATATTTCATATTTCTCTCCAACTTCCTGTTATTTTATTATTCAGACACTTGTGACCATCTACCTATGCTCCTAAAACCCTAGTTTCGAAAATTCTCATTGATTTATTTTCTATGGCCTGAGATAAAGGCATTAAAGTGATGATACATGATCTCAGCCTTTCTGAACTGACTAAAAATAATATTAATAATCATAGGAATACATTTCCTTTCCATGCTACTTTATAGTGTACATATATCCTGTAATTTGATCCTCACAACCACACAATGAGGCATTGAAGGCAGGTGCTATTTTCCCTGTTTTGCAAATGAGGAAGCTAAGACAATTACATGAGAGGTTAATTGATATTCAAGGTCACTCAGTTGGTAAGTGGCAGAGATATGACTCAAGTCGAAGTTGTCTAACCTGAATTTCTTTCCATTCTATCCAAGTGTTTCCTTAGGAATACTCAGCAGCAACAGTGAGAAGAAGAGAAAGATAAAAAGAAATGGGAAGAAAGACAGGAGAAATATTACAAGAGTGATGGGAATTAATTATGTTAATTTCGGAATATTCTAAGTTGTCTGTATGTTGGAGGGAAATTTTAGTTTAAGAGACTGTATTCTGCACACATGAATTAATGTTGCAGAAATTTCATTGAAATTTGTAGGGAAGGTATGTGTTCTCAAATCTGACTGAAAACTAAAATCTGTAAAATCAATATGCAGGATCGACTTGGCTATCTGTTATTGTAAAACTCACACATCAACTCAGGTTTATATCAGCCATTTAAAAACGTTAAAACCACAGGAAGAAAATAGTAGACCTTGCTTCTTGCTCAAAATTATCTTATAATTCAATCTTCAAGCTTAGTATAGAACGAAACATTTTTCCAAAAAAAAAGCTGAGTACATAATTTTCTCAAAAATGAAAATAAGAGTTTTTAGTGATAATGTTTTTATAAAATCTATTTGAGCACTGTAGAAAATATAGGGAAGGTTGACGACTATCACCTCCAACTTCGTTACCTTAGTCACATGAAGGTTTAAACACATAGAAATATTCCTTGCTTTTTTTCCCTTAAAACAAAAATTGGATCATCTCATGCAGGCTGTTCTGTGCTGCTTCCCCCTTCCAGACTGCCTCTTAGCATCCTCTCCTGAGTAAAGCTTAACGCCTGGCACCTGCATTCCTTCAGCTCTTTATATATTGAGTCAAAAACAGTGAAGCCTAGAGAAAACCACATGTGTTGAATCCCTGACATGTGAGTCAAACTCAGAGTGGGATGTTACGAATATGGCTATTTTTTTCTGGTGAGAAAATTGATGGGGATTAAATTTAAAAGCACCAAGCAAGCTGATAAATATAAACTCTCATGACAGATACTCTGAAATGGCAATAAAACATTTCTCAGAGAAACAGAAAGGATATTGCCAGAATATTAGGAAGAAAATAAATTTTAATTCCTGGTTTGTTCATGTCGAAAGACCCTGGAGTGCCACCTAACGTGGACTCTCATCAAAATTTACAGATCTACAGCTTCTGGTACAATGTATGTATCTATAAATACAAAAGCTTGTCTAATTTGCTTGAAATTTGGACCATTTGGCCGGGCACGGTGGCTCACGCCTGTAATCCCAGCACTTTGGGAGGCCGAGGCAGGTGGATCACAAGGTCAGCAGATCGAGACCATCCTGGCTAACATGGTGAAACCCCGTCTCTACTAAAAATACAAAAAATTAGCCGGGCGTGGTGGTGGGCGCCTGTAGTCCCAGCTACTCGGGAGGTTGAGGCAGGACAATGGCGTGAACCCGGGAGGCGGGGCTTGCAGTGAGCCGAGATTGCATCACTGCACTCCAGCCTGGGTGAAAGAGAGAGATTCCGTCTCAAAAAAAAAAGAAAAAGAAATTTGGACCATTTATATGAAGTAATCGACTATCTATGCCCAAGAAAACTAGTCTTTTCTTAAATGTTTCTTTCAAAACTTTAAATGTTATAAATTGTTAAAATTATAAAATTGCTAAAATGTTAATGTTAAAAAACTTTCAATGTTATAAACTTTAGATTATAACAATAGTTTTTTAGTGTCATGCTTAAGAAATCTAAGAAGCAGAGTACGGACTGGGAAAGCATTTTGATACCAGCAGGTTTATCAAAAGGCCTTTTGCCTACTACTTTATATAGTAAGATGCAAGCAAAGTATATTCAAGGGAAGTCTTTCAAGGTATTTAAATTACTTTGGGAATTTTAATCATAGTCAGTAAGGCTTCCTCAATTTGTCATAAGAACAAGGGAACATCCTAGTTAGTGAATAGTCTAAATTAAATAGTTTTAAAGAAATACTATCATTGCTGTTAAGCATGAGACATTTTTTAGTATAAGATATTAAAAAGTATGAATAAAAAATTGCAAAAATACTCCCAGCATTCTCCCAGCAAAGGTATTCCTAAAATAACAAAAACAAACAAACACACGAAACATGCTTACTATCAGGAATAGAAAACAAATGCCAAATTCATCAGACAGATAATTACTTGGAGAAAATTGGCAATACAACACCAAAAGAGCTTTTTCATTCATTTCTTTTTAAAGTTTAAATTATGAACTGTGATATTTTATTGAAGTAAGAAATATACATATAGAATGTATAAAAATTGGGAACAATATTTAAATAATAAATTATAATTTGAGTAATAACTGAATTATGATGTGTCTAAATTATCTCCAATTTTGAATTACTAAGTGGCTATGACATTTGTCCCAGCTATTGCCAAGCGTTTTAACAGATGGGCCATTTTGTCACCCTGAAGAGGAAAGAACAATATCTTCCTTTGCCTTAAGGTCCAATTTTCTTTAAGGCCAAATTCCTGGATTTCTATGAAGTGGCCGGGATGGGGAAAAGCCAACTGTAGAAGAAACAGATCCTGAAATTCTTCCCTGAATATACTAGTGTGTAGCTAAGTTGTTGGGCCAGGGTCAAAAACTCTCAGATTCCTGAACAGGAAATTATTCCTTTCTTCTTTGTCATACATAGTTGCTCTGTACTAGCCAAACAACACACATATGAAGGAAAATAGATTTTTCTTAATATCATTGTTAAACTGAGCACCTTGAAAATTCACTGAAACACGAAGTTTGTCTAAAATTCTTAAAACTAGTTTTACAAAATCATTTGGACAGGAGCATCATTTCTCTGCTTACTCTCTGAACACCTACATCTAAACTAACAAGCACTTATGCATTCTACTCTGTTTGGAAGTTCACGACATGCCCATTTCTCCCACTGGTTAGCTCTTTGAGGCTAAGGTAGTCTTCAGAGTACTCAGTGCCATTTCTTCTGTAAAGCACAGAACTGAATTGACCTCTTAGCCAAATCCAGCACTTCTAATTAATTTTCTCCTCCAAAATCTCTTTTCTATGGGTTCCTTTGCTGGTTTTCTTCTGTGGCTCAGATCACTTTTTCTGTCTGTTTTTTCTTGCAGCTCCTCTTCTGTCTGACCTCAGACCCTGGAGTTTCTCAGAGCTCTGTCCTGTGGCTTCTCTCCTGCACACTCTACACACATTCTCCTTAGACAATCTCCAACATTCACATGGCTTCAATTACTATCCATAAAAGCAAATCTGAAATTTATATCTCCAGCTCAGACCCTTTTCTGAGTACCAGACCATGTTTTCAAATGCTTACTTGTCATCAACAATTGAGTGTCTAACAGGCACCTCAACAGCAACATGCTCAAAGTGAGC